>NC_000005.10:105734807-106359807 GCF_000001405.40 Homo sapiens | reverse complement strand
TTAATTACTTATTCTCTCTACCTGTGGAGTCCCACCTGCCTCCAATGGTAGTGAAATGCTATAACCAATGTTTTCTTCTATTCACCTTCAACTTCACCAATCTTTCCCAGAACGTGTGTAAATCTGTCCCTTATTTCTCAATTTGACTTTTGGGTGATTTTTGATATGTGTAACGCACATCATGCTAACATTTATTAAAGAATAGTTTAGCAACTCACTAAAATTTAAATAGGAAGGTTAATATTCAGCATGGGTTTAAACCAGTGGTCCCCAACCTTTTTGGCACCAGGGACCTGTTTTGTGAAAGACAAATTTTCCATGGACCAGGGTAGGGGGTGGATGATTTGGGGATGATTCAAGCATATTACATTTATTGTGCACTTTATTGCTATCATTATTACATTGTAATATATAATGAAATGATTATACAACTCACCATAATGTAGAATCAGTGGGAGCCCTGAGCTTGTTTTTCTGCAGCTAGATGGTCCCATCTGGGGGTGACGAGAGACAGTGACAGATCATCAGGCATTAGATTATCATAAGGAATGCACAACCTAGATCCCTCCATGCACAGCTCACAATAGGGTTCACGCTCCTGTGAGAATCTAATGCCGCTGCTGATCTGACAGGAGGTGGAGCTCAGGTGGTAATGCAAGCAAGTGATGGGGAGTGGCTGTAAATACAGATGAAGCTTTACTCGCTCACCATCCCCCTCTTCCCGCTCATCTCACCTTCTGCTGTGTGGCCTGGTTTCTAACAGGCTGGTTGGTGGCCTGGGGATTGGGGACTCCTGGTTTAAACCACTTCAGAAATCGCAGATCGGCCCTGCTGCTTTTAACAATGTAAGTTCTGACTGCTTTTAGACCATCAATCCCAAAATAATAGGGGAGACTTCCCCAGATAAACACTAAGTGTTTCTCTACCAAATAATTCTTACTATAATAAGTAGCAAAATTTGATTATAATCTCACTTATATTATGGGAATGATATGGCCAATGCAAGAAATGTTTAATATTACTATATTCTAATTCAAAAATTAAAGATTAAATAATACAACCAAGAAAGGGATTCTTGTTGCATTGTTTGATACATTCTCATGTTGAATGCATTCCTGGAAAATACTCTCTTGATAACCTAGTTTTCATGTTCTCATAATTGTCCATCTTTTGAGAACTTTCTTACAAATAGAGTAGGTTAGAGAGCACCCATTTAGGGTTTCCAGAGGAGAAACAATGCTCTAATCTAATCAGCAATACTTTTCCAATTGTTCCCAATTGTCTGAAAATAAGTTACTAATAAAATTAACTCTGCTAATTGTACATTTTAATATATTTGGGTATCTATTCAGTCATGAATAAAAATCATTCTATGACCATCTCAACTCTGATTTCTCTGCTGTCATCAAGCTAGAAGAACCATGTGAAAAATGACAGTATTTCTTAGTTTATTTTAATTATTTTGTGGTATCACCACTTTTAAAATTTATAATATCAAATAGAATCTATTTTTTTGCTAGCAATCCAGGAGAAGAAATATTTATTCTCAAGAAATGCTCCAGGTTAAACATTTAAATATTAATGTGGGTGGTGGGGTATGAGGTAGTGGGAAGTGGTTGACTACATTTCATGAATACTAAACTTTAATTTTATCTGGCATCCTTGAGAAGTTCAAATGACTCATTTATTTAAAAATAACAATAAAGGAATATTTTGAAAGTTGTTCTAACCTGCGTTGAGTTACAAGTAGTACACTTTGTTTTATTTTAAACTCACATATCTAGGAGAAATTTGCTTTTCCAAATTTAATTCTTCATTGGATATTATATCATTACCTTACATTTTATCATCATACACAACTAATTTGATGAATCAAAAAAATATTATAGGATGGGAAACTTATAAGTTAATTGTTTTACAAAAGTTTAATAAGTAAAATAATCCCTGTAAATGGCAAAGATAATAGAGAAAATTACTGTGTCTCAACCATCAGTTAGAAAATTGTGTCAAATTGATTCAATTATTATCATCTTCTTAGTGTAGCTGGAAAGTTATAGCCATTCTTTTACCTATGCATTCAATAAACATTGAAGGAACATCAACTATGTCCTTGGCACTCTCCTAAAAATACTGGGATTAAACAAAGCTCTTGTTTCATGGAGCTTAGACCCTTCTGAGAGAAATATCCAGACCATGTTAAATCATGTTTGGGACAAGCACAGCAAGGAGAAAATAGATGGCAAAATGAATGCACTTAACACAGGACCTTATCTAATTTAGGTGAATAGGAATTATGTTCTTAAGGAAGAAATCTGAAACACATATTTGAAGGTTAATTAGTAATTTTCAAAAGATGGTTAAAGCAGGAAGAAAGAATAATATACGTTAAAGTCCTTAGGTGGAAGAAACAAGGCATTCAGATACTGAAAGGTGACCACAGAAAGTAGAGACCCGTGAGTAAAAAGGAAAAACATCTAACATCTTGCTGAAAGGATAGACAAGTGACATTTCATTCAGAGCCAAGAAGACCACAGTAATGGGTTTTGATGTAAAAGCACTGGGAAGCTATTAAAGGGGATTAAATGGTCACGTTGTAAAATGGTCAGGTTTATGTGATTAAAAACTTTGTGCTGAGAAACAGTTTCCTGTTCCACATGTAGGAAGCTTGAAAGTTGCCACTCTGTCCTAACAAGTGAAAAGTGAAACTGACTAGAAAATCGACAACTTTTCTTGGATCCATCAGAGAGGTGAGGACACAGGGCAAACTGCAACCCTAAAGATTGGAGAGACAGACAAGGAAATACAGGTAGTCAGGGCTTCACAGAACAAAGACTCAGGAATGGAAACTTCCAAGGGAAGGAGTACTTGAGTAAAAAATCCTGAACTGTAATTGATGAGTGCTAAAGGCCCAGTGTGGACACATCTGAGAGTTAAAAATTCCACGGGGACTCAGTTACACACCACCACCAAAACCCTTTATAAGTTTTATCTCTAGAAGCTCTACCAGGTTCTCACAGTGAAGATCAGGAAAAAAAAAAAAGAAAAAAAGAAAGAAAAGAAAAAAAGTTCTCATGCTTCTGGCAGAGAAAGGGAAAAAATATTGAAATCTGCCAGTGTTCTCTGTTCTTCTTAACAAGGCCTGCTCTCAGGGAAAACTAGTTAACCCCAGCTGCTATAGTTTGACTCTGTGTCCCCACCTAAATCTCATCTTGAATTGCAAACCTCACGTGTCCAGGGAGGGAAGTGATTGGATCATGAGGTTGGTTTCCTCCATGCTGTTCTCATGACAGTGAGTGAGCTTTCAGGAGAGCTGATGGTTTTAAATTGTGGTACTTCCTCCTCATTCTCACAAGCTCTCCCTCCTGCTGCCTTATGCAAAGGTGCCTGCTTCCCCTTCGCCTTCCGCCATGATTGTGAATTTCCTGAGGCCTCCTAGCCATGCTTTCTGTTAAGCCTGAGGAACCGTGTGAGTTAATTAAACTTCTTTCCTTTATAATTACCCAGTCTTGTAGTATTCTTTATAGCAGTGTGAGAATGCACTAATACACCAGCCTCATCTTCTGGGGTATTATCAGAGCCTAACTGTCCCATGGGAAAGAAAATACCCAACTCTAGCTCACTCTAGCCTTCCACAGGAGAGAAGAGAAATACTCAACTTCAGCCCACTCTAGCCACTCAGTCCCACCTAAAAAGGGAGGAAAACTTAGAAATACTTGTGAAGTTCACAGTTCAGAGGCATTAGCTCAGTAAAAGCATAACACCTAATTAGAGGAATGTAGAACGCTTCCCTTGACCTGCACATCTTACCACCACATTGCTAAAGGCCTATGTACAGAAGTTCATGTCCAGCTACCAAGGAAACTTTACAAAGCCTGTTGAAAGGCAATGAACACAATTTAAAGAGACAGAAAAAGCCTCAGAACCAGACATGACAGGGATGCTGGAATTCAGACCAGGAATTTAAAACAACTATGATTAATGTGCAAAGGTTCTAGCAGATACAGTAGACAGCAGGCAATAACATATGGACAATGTAAGCAGAAAAATGGAAATCCTAAGGAAGAAGCACAAAGAAATTCTAGAGATCAAAAACACTGTAACATAAAGAATGCCTTTGATGAGGTTTTTATGTGGTTGTTGTTCTTTTTTTGAGATGGAGTCTCTCAGTTGCCCAGGTTGTATGCAATGGTGCAATCTCAGCTCACTGCAACCTCCACCTCCTGGGTTCATGCGGTTCTCCTGCCTCAGCCTTTTGGCTGGGATTATAGGCGCATGCCACCACACTCGGCTAATTTTTTGTATTTTTAGTAGAGACAAGATTTCACTATGTTGGCCAGACTGGTCTCGAGCTCCTGACTTCATGATCCGCCTGCCTCGGCCTCCCAGAGTGCTGGGATTACAGGTGTGAGCCACCGCACCCAGCCTTGATGAGCTTTTTAGTATACTGAATATGGCTAAAGAAAAAGAAAATCTATGAAGGTGAAGATAGGACAATAAAAGTCTCCAAAACTAAAAAGCAAAAAGAACAAAGACCTAAAATAATTATAACAGAATATCCAAGAACTACAGGATAAGTATAAAAGGTAAAATTTACACTTAATAGGAACATTAGAAGGAAAAGAAATAGAGAAAGAAACAGAAAATATATTTGAAATAATAAAAAATGAGAATTTCCCTAAATTAATGTCAGACTAAAGCATAGGTACAAGAAGCTCAGAGAATGCCAAACAGCATAAATGACAAAAAACAAACAAACACAAACCCCTACACTTAAGCATATCATTTTCAAATGACAGAAAATCAAAAATGAAATGAAACAATTTATTTTAAGCCAGAGAAAACAATACCTTACCTGCAGAGGAACAAAGATAATAATTATATTCAACATCTCCTGAGAAACCAGGCAAGCAAGAAGACAGTGTACTGAAATATTTAAAGTTTTAAGATCAAAACAAACAAAAAACCCAGAATTATTTACCATGCAAAATTACCCTACAAAAGTGACAGAGAAATGAAGATTTTCCCAAACAAACAAAAATTGAAAGGGTTTGTTGACAGTACACCTGCATTTCATGAAATGTTCAAAGTTTTTTGGGAGAAGAAAAATAATATAGGTCAGAAACTTTGACATATATTACAAAAGGAAGAGCACTGATGAATAAATAATTGAAGTTAAAACAAAAACTTTTTTATTATTTTTAATTGATCTAACAGATACAGATTATTTAAAATAATAGCAACACTGTATTTGATTATATATGCTTATGTATGTATCTTATGTCTGTGTGTATAAGTGAAATGAATGACAGCAATGATACAAGGTATGAAAGGTATAATTACAAAATAATTTAGGATTATTTTGTTATTCTAAGGCACCACATTACCCATGAAGTGGTACAAGTGCTGTTTAAAAGTGGACTTGGGTTAATTGTGAGTGTATATTGCAAACTGTAGAGTAACCACTTAAAGTAACAAAGTGTAACTGATTTGCTAAGAAAGGAGAAAAAACTGGGATAACATAAAATGCTCAATTAAAACCTCAAAGACAACCAAAGAATGGGAGATAAAAATAGGAATGAAGATCAAGGGCAACAAACAGAAAATGGTGATAAATATGGTAGATATTAGTATAAATACATCAGTAATCACTTTCAACATCAATGGTCTAAATGCACCAATTAAATGTCAAAGATTGTCAGAGTGGATCAAAAAACAAGACCCAGCTATACATTGTCTATAAGAAACCCACTTCAAATATAAAGGCACATATAGATTAAAAGCAAATGGATGGAGAAAAATATACTATGCAAACACTAGCCAAAAGAAAGTAGAAATAGCTACATTAGTTTTATACATAGCAGAATTCAAAGCAAGGGAAGTTATCAGGGATAAAGGTCAATTTAATGATAAAGAAGTCAATTCTCAAAGAATACCTAACAATTCTTAATGTGTGTGCACCTAACAATAAAGTGTCAAACTAAACAAGCCATAACTAATATCTGCAAGAGGTCAATAAGTCTATTGTCATATCTGGAGACCTTAGCATTCTTTCATCAGAAACAGATCAATTGGCAGAAAATCAGTAAGAAACTGGTTGAACTCAATTACACCATTGATCAATTGGATACAATTGACATTTATATACCACCATATCCAACAAGAGAATACACATTCTTCTCAAGTTCACATGTAACATTCATCAGCATAGTCCACATTCTGGGCCAAAAATAAATAAATAAACACATCTTCACAAATTTAGAAGAATAGAAATCATACAATGCCCTCAGACAATAATGGCTTAAACTAAAAATTTACAATAGAAAGGTAACTAGAAAATTCCAAAATATGTACAGATTAAACATCAGGCCTGTACATATGAGATTAGTCAAAGATGAAATATGATACAAAATTTAAAATATTTTGATATAAGTGAACATGAAAATATACTGTAGCAAAATTTGTGAGATTCAGCAAAAGCAGTGCTTAGAGGAAAATTTGTAGTATTGAATACAGTTTTAGAAAATAAGAAAAATCTAAAATCACTGATCTATGTTTCTACCTTAGGAAACTTAGAGAAAGAAGAAAAATTAATCCCAAGTAAGCAGAAGAAAAGTAATAATTAGTGCAGAGATCAATAAAATTAAAAACAGGTAATTAATAGAGAATATTGGTAAAACCAAAAGTTGATTATTGGAAAAGATCAATTAGATAATCTGTTTTTTATAAGAAAGAAAAAATTATAGAGCAATATCTCTCATAAACATAGATGCAAAAATTCTCAGCCTGGCACGGTGGTTCACACTTGTAATCCCAGCACTTTGGGAGGCCAAGGCCTGCAGATCACCTGAGGTCGAGAGTTCGAGACCAGCCTGACCAACATGGTGAAACCCTGTCTCTACTAAAAACACAAAATTAGCCAGGCATGGTGGCTCATGTCTGTAATCCCAGCTACTTGGGAGGCTGAGGCAGGAGAATTGCTTGAACCTGGGAGGCGGAGGTTGCAGTGAGCCGAGATTGCATCATTGCACTCCAGCCTGGGCAAGAAAAGCAAAACTCTGTCTAAAAAAAAACGAAAAATTCTCAACAAAATATTAGTAGGAAGAATCCAACCATATAAAAATAATTATATACCACACTAAGTGGAAATTATCCAAGGCATACAAGACTGGTTCAACATTTAAAAATTAATTAATGTAATTCATCATATGAAGAGTTCAAAAAATCATATAATTATATAAACAGATGCAGAAAAAGCATTTGACAACATTTAATACTCAATTATAAAATTCCTAGTAAACTAGGAATAGGAAGAAACTTTCTCAAATTAATAAAGAAATGTCTTTCAAAAGTAGCCTATAGTTAATGTCATACTTAATGTTGACAATTAGAATCTTTCCCAAGAAGATCAGGAACAAGGCAAGAATGTCCCCTCCCATCAC
Source organism: Homo sapiens (assembly GCF_000001405.40). Classification (NCBI taxonomy): domain Eukaryota; kingdom Metazoa; phylum Chordata; class Mammalia; order Primates; family Hominidae; genus Homo; species Homo sapiens. The sequence continues at coordinate 106,352,368 of NC_000005.10, read as the reverse complement.
TCCTTTTCATTATTGTACTGGAAATCCTAGCTAATGCAATAAGACAATATAAGGAAATAAAATACATACAGGCAGAGAAGAAAGAAATAAAACTGTCTTTGTTTGTAGATGATACGATTCTCTGTGTAAAACATTTGAAAGAATTGACAAAAATACCTCTGAAAGTAATAAGCAATTATAGCAAGTTTGCAGAATACAGGGTTAACATACAAAAATCAAACATTTTTCTACATACTAGCAATGAACAAGTGGAATTTGAAATAAAAAACATACAACCATTTATATTAGCACCCCCCAAAGTAAACACTTAGTTATCAATCTAACAAAATATGTACATGATCTATGTGAGAAACACTACAAAATCTGATGAATGAGATCAACTAAATAAATGAAGATATGTTTCATGTTCATAGACGGGAAGACTCAATATTGTGCTGTTAGTTCCTCACAAATTAATCTGTAGCTTCTATGCAATCTGAGACAAAATCTGAGTGAGTTATTTTGTGGATATCAACAAACTGATCCTAAAGTTTTTACAGACAGACAAAAGACCTAGAATAGCCAACACAATATTTGAAGAGAAGAACAAAGTTAGAGGACTGAGATTACCCAAATTCAAAACTTACTATAAAGTTACAGTAATCAAGACAGTGTGGTATTAGCAAAAGAGTAGACAAATTGACCAATGGAACAGCAGACAGAACCCAAAATAAGCCCACATATATATAGTCAACTGATCTTTGACAAAGGATTAAAGGCAGTGCAATGGAGCAAAGGTGGTGTTTTCAACAAATAATTCTGAAACAACTGGACATCCATATGCAAAAAAAAAAAAAAAGTATCTAGACACAGACCTTACAATCTACAGAAAAATTAACTTACAATGATTCATAAACTTTAATAGAAATAAATAACTATAAAATTTTTGGAAAATAACATAGAAGAAAACCTAGATGATTGTGGATATGCCAATGACTTTTAAGATACAAGACCAAATGTACGTTTCCAAGAAAGAAATAATTGACGAGAGACTTCATTAAATTTAATAACTTTTGTTCTATAAAAGACAATTAAATGGGGAATGAGAAGACAAGCCACAGACTGGGGAAAAATATGTGCAAAATATATATCTGATAAAGTACTGTTGTCTGAAATTTCTATTTAAAAACTTTATAACTCAACGATACGAAAACAATCCGTTTAAGAAAATTGACCAAAGGGGCCAGGTACGGTGGCTCATGCCTGTAATTCCAGCACTTTGGGAGGCCAACACAGGTGGATCACCTGAGGCCAGGAGTTCGAGACCAGCCTGGCTAACATGGTGAAACCCATCTCTACAGAAAATGCAAAAATTAGCTGGGCAGCTGAGGCACGAGAATTACTTGAACCCAGGAGGCGGAGGTTGCAGTGAGCCGAGATCACGCCATTGCACTGCAGCCTGGGCGACAGAGTGAGACCCTATCTCAAAAAAAAGAAAAAGAAAAAAAGAAAAAACAGCCAAAGACCTGAATATACACCTCATCGAAGAAGACATATAGATGACAAATAAGCATATAAGCATATAAAAATATGCTACATATCAACTTATGTATGCACAAGAACCAGAACAAGGATGTTTATAGCAGCTTTATTCATAATTGCCCAAACTTAAAACACCCAAGACGTCTTTCAGTACACGAAGAGATAAACCGTGGTACATTGAGTCAATAGAATATTATTCCACAGTAAAAAGATGAGCTATCAGATGATTGAAAGACATGGAGAAACCTTAAGTTAATATTATGAAGTGAAAGAAGCCAATCTGAAAACACTACATATTGTATGAGTCCAACTATATGACCTTCTAGAAAAGGTAAAACTGGCCAGGAGCGGTGGCTCATGCCTGTAATCCCAGCACTTTGGAAGGCCGAGGCGGGTAGATCATGAGGTCAGGAGATCGAGGCCATCCTGGCTAATGCAGTGAAACCCCGTCTCTACTAAAAGTACAAAAAAATTAGCCGGGTGTGGTGGTGGGCGCCTGTAGTTCAAGCTACTCCAGAGGCTGAGGCAGGAGAATGGCATAAACCTGGGAGGCACAGCTTGCAGTGAGCCGAAATCGCACCACTGCACTCCAGCCTGGGTGACAGAGCGAGACTCCATCTCAAAAAAAAAAAAAAAAAGTAAAATTATGGAGATAGTAGAAAAGGTCAGTGGTTGCCAGTGATTGGAGGTGAGGTAGGAGGGATGAATAAATGGAGAAGAGAGGATTTTCAGGGCAGTTAAAATATTCTGTATGATATTATAGTGATGGATATATGCCACTGTACATTTGTCCATCCCATGGAATGTGTGACACCAAGATTGAGCCCTAATATGTGTTACGGACTCTGAGTGATAATGATGTGTCAAGGTTGGTTCATCAGTTGTAACAAATGTAACACACTGGTGGGGCATGTTGATAAAGGGGGAGTTTATGCATGTGTGGGGTCAGGAAGTACATGGAAAATCTTTGTACATGATTCTCAATTTTGTTGTGAACATAAAAATACCCTAAAAGACTCTTAAAAAGCACACTTGCTTTTGGGTTGTAGAGATTGAACTGCAGGTGGACACAAGCGGATGTCTGGAAACCAGTTACGATGGTACTGCTTGATCTGGGTAGAGAAGATGGTGGTTTGTACAAAGGTGGACACAATGTAAATAGGTGCAACTAGTGAGTTTAAATGCATATTAGAAAATAAAAATGTAAAAAAGTGACTATATGTGAAGTTGATACATATTAAGTTTCAAGAATATCTTTTGTGTTGATATCATGAGTAATTGCTTCACTGATAGTGATGCTGGCTCATTCTACTGTTATTCATGAATTGTGTCTTTTTCATGATTGTTTATTCTTTTTCATTTCCAAAACTTAAGTTTCTTGAATCTTGGACCAGGACTTGATTCTGTAATTCTTCTCTCCCATCACCTCCCCTCCCCTCCCTTCCCCTCTCCTCCCCTCGCTTTTCCATCTCTTTATCTCACTTTTTTTTTATCTTCTCTGTCGTGTTTTATCTTCGTTTCTCATTTCTTGTACTCTCCCTTTTCTCATCTTTTCTCTCTTCTTCTTTTCCCAATCTAGCTTATTCCATAAAATTCTTCATCAAATGCAATGTTATCACAAATAAATCTATGGAAGAGATTTTTCCAGAATTTCTCTCTGGAAACAAGCACAGAGATGGAATCTGGTATGCAGAATATTTATTAGGGATCAACACTTGCGGAAGGTGAGAAGTAGGATTGGGCAAAGGAAAAAGTCAAACTGCAGTGCAGGTTGAACAATCCAACCCCATAGGAAATACCAGAGAACAGTGGCCTAGAGTTGTCCTACTAAGTCAAGTTTTTATATCTTCACTGCGAACAGTTATTGACACTTGCTCTGAAAATGTGTGTTTTGGGGAGAAGGAGCATTCTTTAGCAGAGCAGCCCCTGAAGGTGCTGATAACTGGAGGCTCTCTGCTGCCAGCACTCCCATCACCGAGGTCAGTAAATCTTTCCATGAGGGAGAAGCAGGCAGTATATCTCATTATATATGGCTTTCTGTTAATTACACATTTATATCTCCAAACATGAATGTTCTTGTAGGTGTCCATACAAACTATTTGATATCTCTACTTTGATGTTTCATATGTCTCAACCTTACCATGTCATTTTTCCTCACAGATGTTCCTAATAGTCTAGCCAGTTCCATAAAGACCAACATTATCAATTGCTCAAGCCACAATTCTGGGGCAATTCATGATTTCTTCCTCTCTTTGAGTAGCTAAAATCAAATCACCATCAGTACATGTCACTTTTTCCTCCAAAATATACATCATTAGCCATATCCACAGTGACAATTGTTCTAATTCACCACCTTTGTTTCTTCCCTTGTCTATTGCGGAAGCCTACTAATTTGTCTTCTAGCATTCATGATTACACAACTAGAGCGTATACGTCATAGGACAGAATTATTGTCTCATAAAATGAATCAGACCTTTACATACTGTGTCTCAGACACTTACATGGTTTCCCACTATTCTCTTGTTTTAGATTTTTAAATAGCTTTATTGAGATATAATTCACATACCATACAATTCACCTACTTAAAATATACAATTAATTTTCTTACACATTCACAGAGTTGTGCAACCAGAGCCATGATCAATTTTAGAATATTTTTGTACTCTCAAAATAAAAACACACAAAAGAGCTATACCCCTTAGCTATCATTCTCAAGGCCCTATCCCTCAACTCAGCCCACTATTCTTAAAATAGCATTATAACTCCTTAGTATAGCCTCTGTGCCTAATACAACCTGGCCTCTACTTATCTCTAAGGTGCCATCTCAAACTACATCCTTCTTCTCTCACTATCTTCTAGACACTTTGTCCATTTCTCTCCAAAGTGCCAAACTCATATCTATCCCTATAGATTTGCTTTTAAAAGTCCTTCTGCATATAATTCTTTTTCTCTGTCTCTCTGCATATAACATTCACATTTCAGTTCCCTATGCAACCCTTTTAAAGGTGGTTTAACTGTACTACATATGTCATCCTGCTCTTTTCCTTCACTGCATTTATCACAATCTGTATCGATGTTGTTTACTTGTTTACTTGATTTTTCCTTTGCTACACCCATTCCTTGACAGTAAGATTTTTAAAGGCAAAAAAGTCTCCTTTTAAAATTACTGTATGACTAGTACCTAAAACAAACTTGCCTATCTTATAGTAGATATTCAAAACATATTTTTGCCTCCATGAATGAATTGATTGTAGCAATGTTTGCTGGGATAGAAAAGGCTGTGAAAGAGCAGCTCTATGGAGGAGGATGTTGAATCCAGTTTTAGACATGCTGAGTAAGAGAATATTTCTAGATAACCAAGTATAGATATCCAGTGGACAGTTGATATGATAGTATACAACTTGAAAGAAAGATGTGTGCTGAACCATTATAGACTACCAGAAACTATTATGAATAGCTGGTAGATTTTACTTAACCTAAGCAAGCTGATGTTCATAAATTACAAACACTGAACAAATATCTAAATCAAAGTAAATCAAAAAATGGAAAATAAATTTTAGCACTGTGAGTTATAAAATACAGTTTCTTCTTTTATATATGTTTTATTATGTATTTTATTAAAAAATTGAAGAGAAATAGATTAATCCATGAGAAATCTTATTGGACTGAATGATATTATCAACCATTCTAATTCCTGAATGAGTAGTGATGCCTCCTTGTTCCTCTTTCTTTAAATCTAGAGAGTTAGCAAATGCTGTCCTTCATAATTTAAATATATTTCCTGTTGTCCTTGTTCTCCCTTCTCTCCCTTACTTAGTTCAGGCAGGTCCATATTGTTTGCCAACTGCTATGGTTTGAATAGTGCCCCCTACCCACAAATACCTGTTTGAAATCCTAAACCCCAATACCTCAAAATATGACCTAATATGGAAGTAGAGTAATTGCAGATAATTAAAGTAAGATAAGGTCTTTAGGGTGTACTTGAATCCAATATGACCGATGTCCTTATAAAAATGAAGAAATTTAGGTACAGAGAGAGGCATGCGCCTGGGGAGAACGGTATGTGATGATGAAGGCAGAGGTTGGAGAATGCAATTTCAGGCCAAGTACCACCAAAGATTGCTAGCAAACCACCAGGAGCTAGAAAAGACCCATGAAGAGAGTGTCCCCCACCGCTCTCAGAAGGAACTATCCCTGACAACACCTTGGTTTAGGACTTCCAGCCACCAGAACTGTGAGATCATACATTTCTCTTGTTTAAGCCACCCAATTCGTGGTACCTTGATGCAGCAGCCCTAGAAAACTAAAACATCAGTCTACTAATTGCTCTCTTCTCTAACTCAGATTTTCATCTCTTTCATGTAGAACAGTCACTGGAATAATTATTTCAACACGAATAATTTTGATAATTATTCTAACATGAGAATTATTCCAATTATTTATATCCCTTTTCTACTTAAAATATTTAGTGACTTTCCATTGCCTAAAGGATAAAATGTAAATTCAGGCTCTGTCATAATCTAGGACTTTTTTTCTGTTCAGCATGCATATTAATTCTCAGAAAAATGAGTGTGGTTCAGTGAATATGTCACTTTCTCATGCCCACATACATGCGCTAGTTCTGTTTCCTCTGCAGACAATGTTCTCACTTCCTTTACTCATTGAATATTCTCCCAGTTATTTTATTTTATTTTTTTGAGATGGAGTCTGTCTCTGTTGCCCAGGCTGGAGTGTAGTGGTGCGATCTCGGCTCACTGCAGCCTCCGCCTCCTGGGTTCAAACAATCAACCTGCCTCAGCCTCCTGAGTAGCTGGGACTACAGGCGCGTGCCCCTATGCCCAGCTAATTTTTTGTGTCTTTAGTAGAGACAGGGTTTCACCATGTTGGCCAGGGGTCTTGATCTCCTAACCTTGTGATCCACCCACCTCAGCCTCCCAAAGTTCTGGGATTGCAGGCATGAGCCACTGAGCCCAGCCTCTCCCAGTTATTTTTTAAGTCTTAACTTCTTCATTATATTAGGTGAGAATTTTGCTATCAACAGTTTTAGGTACTTTTATTTTATGCTTCTATTGTACTTTATAAATAACATCAGTAAGAATAAAACACAGTACTCTACAATTTTGTGTTTGTGTGTGTTTGTATTAGTCTGTTATCATACTGCTATGAAGAAATACCCAAGACTGGGCAATTCATAAAGTAAAAGAGGTTTAATGGACTCACAGTTCTACATGGCTGGGGAAGCCTCACAATCATGGCAGAAGGTGAAGAAGGAGCAAAGGCACATCTTACATGGTGGCAGGCAAGAGAGCGTGTGCAGGGAACTGCTCTTTATAAAACCATCAGATCTCATTAGACTTATTCACTATCAGGAGACCAGCATGGGAAAAATCTGCCCCCATGATCCAGTTACCTCCCATTAGATCCCTCCCATGACACATGGTGATTACAGGAACTACAATTCAGGATGAGATTTGGGACATAGCCAAACCATATCAGTGAAAGTATATTTATAAATACACTGAAATAACTATGTATGTGTGTGTGTGTGTATGTATATGTGACTGATAATGTATATCTGATATGTATCCACTAATATGTATATTTATGTATAACAGTGTATGTATACATATACTGATATGATACATAATAGCAAAAACATAGTAAGAGTCACCTTTATTCCAGTTCCCAACAAGTTCCTTATCGCCATCTGAGACCACCTCAGCCTGGACTTCATTGTCCATATCACTATCAGCATTTTGGTCAAAGCCATTCAATGAGTCTCTAGGAAGTTCCAAACTTTTCCACATTTTCCTGTCTTTTTTGAGCCCCCCACTCTGTTCCAACCTCTGCCTGCTATCCAGGTCCAAAGTCACTTCAACATTTTGGGGTATCTTTATAGGAGCACCCCACTCTCTGTGGTACCAAGTAGCAGTGTGAGAACAGAGTCACACTACTAATAAAGATACACTCAAGCCTGGATAATTTATAAAGGAAATAGATTTAATTGACTCATAGTTCAGCATGGCTGGGAGGTCTCAGGAAACTTACAATCATGATGGAAGGGCAAGCAAACACGTCCTTCTTCACATGACAGCAGCAAGGAGAAGTACTGAACAAATGGGGAAAAAGACCCTTATAAAACCATCAGATCTCATGAGAACTCACTCACTATCAAGAGAACAGTATGGGGGAAACCACCCATGATTCAATTATCTCTCTACCTGGTTCACCCTTGACACATGGGATTATTACAATTCAAGATGAGATCTGGCTGGGGACACAGAGCCAAACCATATCAGTGTATACATACACCACATATTCTTTATCCAATCTTCCACTGCTGGACGCTTATGTTGATTCCATATTGTTGCTTGTGAATAGTGCTATGATAAACATATGAGTGCCGGTATCTTTTGTTATAGTGATTTCTTTTCCTTTGGGTAGATACCCAGTAGTGGGATTGCTTAATTGAATGATAGTTCTATTTTTAATTTTTTAAAAAAATCCATCCTCTTTTAGTTTAAATATATTTAAACATATCATGATTTATGCAACAGAACTTATTTTTATTTTAACAAATATTTATGGAGAAATTACAATTTTATAGACATGCATTGGATTTGTTCATATGACTTTGAGCCACACCCATAGGTTGTAACCTTGTGGTACTGAGAATCAAATGGAAGATATAAAGACTAATCAAGTAATAGTACACATAATTATACAGTTAGAGAGATGATAAGTGATATGATGGGAAATCAAATGTGACTTGTGAAAATAAAGCACTAGCATCTGACATTATGGATAGTTCAAAAAGATTTACTCTGAACTCTGAAGATGAGTAAGAATGAATTTGGCAATGAATGTGGAGCAACTGCTTTGAATAGTAGGAACATGTTCAAATACACTAAGGAGAACAAAAATTTGACAGAGGGAAGGAATAGCACAAGGCCAATCTGATTCTACCACAGGAATTGATGGAAATAATGGCTAAAGACTACAAAGAAAAAGCATAGCTTGATATTAATATTTTTATTGGTCTGAAGGATTGTAGATTTTGTCCAGAAGGCAAACTAAATTATTTTAAAATATTTTAAATGAGAGACTAATGTGATATATTTTTTCTTTTTAAATGAGCCTTATGGCTGCACTATAGTGAGATAATAATAAAGATGAACATTGAAAGAACTGGTAGGAAGTCACCAAACAAGACCAGAGACAGAAGACACAGGTAACTCAAAATAGGGAAGATGAGGTAGAGATAGAGAAGAGTGGTCACATTTAAGTGGATAATTTTGAAAGGAGTTAGTAATAAACTATATAGCAGGTAAGACTTGAACAATAAATATCAAGAGATACTTCAATTTTCTATCTTATTCAGTTAGAATTTTGTTCTGTTTTCACTATATTTTTACACAAAAGTATAGAGCTGGAAGACATGCTTTTTTTTAAGTAATTAGGGCATAGACATAATAAAATATGGATTTGACTAAACAGTATGGGCTAGAGCCAAGGGTGGGAAGAAATGAATGCCCAGTTTCGAACTGTAACAGGTAGGGTAGAAAGCATCAAAACAAAACTGAAATGTGGCCAGTATAAAAACTGGTAGGTCTAATATCACAAAAGCAAGAGATAACTAGTGTTTCAGTTAAGAGGGGTTGTAAACAATGTGAATTATAGCAAAAGGATTAAGTAAAATGGGTTTGAAAATGTCCACTGAAATTAGAGATACTAGGGAAAGCCATTGCTATGGAGTGATGAAGGTGAGTCAGCCACCTGTGAATTGAATAGAATTGCAGCCCTCTGGATTTCTTCAAAATAGAAAATAAAATTATGAATTTATCAAAAAAGTCATTATTTTCTACGTGTGGGTTGATTGAAATTATCCTCTGAAGTAAAAATTTATACTTGCCTAAATATTACCAGGTATTCCTCAGTAGCTTACAACCTTAAAAAAAAATAAGAGTATTTTGCACAAATGTTTACTTCTGAGATTAAAATGAAAGATTACTCAGGTTTACATATGTTTAATTTATTTCTCAAGGCAATTTGAAATCCAATAATGCTTTTTTTCCAAAATGCTGATTCATTTTTAAGTTACATTTGTTTCCATGTTCATTGTTTTTTCTTTCAAATAAGATTTTACACAAAACATAAGAAATAGATTATTTACAGGTAAGGTAATGGTTAAAATTACACCAAAGATACTTTAGAAAAATAAAACTTAGAAAAAATAAAATTTGATACTGAAATTCATTCAGCTTTTAAGACTTAAATGACTGCATGAGCCAGTCTGCATGATTTCTTTCTCTTTTTTAAAAAATTAAATTACATAACACAAGATCTGTTTAGATTACATGTTATTAAAAATTTATTTTTCAGTTGGCTAATATAGCAGTCTGTTACTGAATTACTTATTCTAACTAAAGTCTTTTACTATGAATTAGCAATTTAAGTCTATTTCAAAAGTTTAATAATATACACATTTGTATATTTTATTTTCTATTTACAACTAAAGCCAAATAACATTTACTTCTCTCTCCTTACCATTTTCTCTTACAATTTTGCAGTCTATCACTGAGAAATTATTTTTTCATCCACAAATGGAATAAGTAGACAGTCAAATACATTAAGGTGATTTCCTCCCATTCTTGAAAGAAAAGATCAGAATACAATCCTTTCTATGATCATTTACAACTTACATTTATTACATATTGTCAAATTTAAAAAATTTAATTTACAAAAAATAAATCTAGTCCTTAAAATTAAGAGTCTAAGAATACAGTCGTGAAATGTACTGATCTTTATTATGTTTATATTTGAGATATATTGTTCAGGATTCAATTTATATTTGGGATGTAACCAGGCACAGTGGCTCAAGCCTGTAATCCCAGCACTTTGGGAGGCCAAGGCGAGAGGACTGCCTGAAGCCAGGAGTTTGAGACTAGCAAAAAAAAAAAAAAAAAAAAATTTAGCTGGGCAAGGTGGTATGCATTGTAGTCCCAGCTACTCAGAAGGCTGGGCAGGAAGATCGCTTGATCCCAGTACTTCAAGGTTACAGTGAATATGATCCTGCCACTGCACTTCAATCTAGGAGATAGAGTAAGACCCTGTCTCAAAAATAATTCACTGAAAATAATAAATATATTCAAGATGTATCCTGAAACAAAAGTATTCAGGAGTATTCTAAGGTACTCAGCACTGGAAGTAGATAAAGAAAGGAAAGAAGTTTTTAAGGCCGGGCATGGTGGCTCACACCTGTAATCCCAGTACTTTGGGAGGCCGAGGCTGGCAGATCACAAGGTAAGGAGATCGAGACCATCCTGGCTAGCACGGTGAAACCCCGTCTCTACTAAAAATACAAAAAATTAGCTGGGTGTGGTGGCAGGCGCCTGTAATCCCATCTACTCGGGAGGCTGAGGCAGGAGAATGGAGTGAACCCGGGAGGCAGAGCTTGCAGTGAGCCGAGATGGTGCCACTGCACTCCAGCCTGGGCAACAGAGTGAGACTCTGTCTCAAAAATATAAATAAATAAATTGAAAAAAAGAGTAACTTGAGCCCCTAGAATTTATTACATCAAAGGATATAGGAATGCTTCCCAAAGATGGAGGTATGGGTCATACAGGAGATAGAGCCTGCCTGGAGCCAAGGTGGGTTCCAACTGAAAGTCGGTCCAGACAGGCATTAGTAGCCCAACCGTGAAAATATATGTGAAGCAGAAAACTGGGAAAATTCCAGGGACTGAAGGAAGAAGAGAACCAAAGGACATACAGCTGATAATTTAAAATAAAGGAATTTCAGAGTCTGCAAAAGTTCCCACAGAGAAAATAATGTACTACTAAGGGTTTGCTATACCCAGAGAATGTTAAAGGAACTTACTGCACTTATAGTCACCAGCCAAAGAAACTTCCTGATCTCTCCCTTACCTGCAATACAATTAGAAATAAATAAGGAAAAAAACCTCATAATATTAATACATATGTTTGGATTTAAAAACACAATGGTAACATAGGAGAGAAATAACTTTTTCTCTCCTGTTCTTTGGCTGTATCTGAGAACTGGGCTGACATAAGACATTTTAATGGGAGAAAAACATACAAATTTTATTTAATATTTTTTATGTGGACATAGGAGCATATAGGGAAAATGAAGACCTAGTAAAGTTAAAACTGACTATAACCTAGTCTTAAAACTGACAGCTTATATACATTTTTAAACAAAGAATGAAAAATTTGTGGAGAAATGACAAGACAAGGAAATGGCACTTATGCTTTGGGAGGTGCTAAAGTGCGGGAAAATGACTAGGAAATACATGGAGGAAACTAATGAAAAATGAGAGTTATTTTAGTAGGTTTGTTTATATAGATCCATTTTGAGGTTGACTCCTAGTCTCCAGTGAAAAGAATATTCTTCTCTTTCTGGTACAGGAAGGATATCTTTCTCATAGATAACTTTATGACCTGCTTTTAGGTAGAAAGGGAGAAGTCAGAGAGCCCTTCCTGCCTCTGCCGTTTCTCAAGTGCCTTCAACTGAAAATAATCAATATGCCAAAGTGCAATACTCTGTGGTGGCATGTTTTGAACCTCTTTAATAGTTAGAAAATATAGAGAACTAAAAATAATAAATGTAAAATATGTTTATTATTTATATTTATGCTTCTAGGTATCAAGTAGCAGGAAAAATATTTTATAAGTGAATACATTTTAAAGAGGTAAGGGGAAAAAGTGGTAATAGAGAAACTATGGTAGAACATCAATATTGACAGTATCAATTAACCCTTTCTGTATCCAGACCCTTTAAAATGTAACATTGTAGTGCCTTCCCCACTGTAATGGTGTTGACCATGTGACTTGCCATGGGCAATGGGAAGATATGAGAAGTAACACTAGTAGAGACTTCTTAAAAGCTTTTCCCTGTTTATGCTTTCACTCTTGTCTTCTGCCATTACCATGAGTAGAACATGCACAATATCTTAGACATTTCAGGGTTCTGTAAGAAAAATACTGTAGACCGGGCAGCTTAAACACCAGAAATTTATTTCTCACAGGTCATGAGTCTGGAAAGCCCAAGATTGAGGTGCTAGCAGATCCAGCATTGTAAAAGTCCACTTCCTGGCTTGCAGATGACTCTCTTTTCATTGAATGGTCACTTAGTGGAGAGCAGGGAGAGGAAGCAAGCTCCCCTGTCTCTTATTATAAAGGCATTAATCGATTCACAAGGGCTTCACCCTCTTAATCTAATTACCTTCTAAAGGCCCCACTTCCTAATACTGTAACATTACAGGGTTAGGGTTTCAGCATCAATTTTAAGGGGACACAAACATTCAGTCCATGACACACAAGCTAACCCATCATTCCCAGTAAGAGGAAGAGATGCTAGAGATGTGGATCAGAGCTGAGTCTTCCTAGTGGTCCAGGCCAAGGCTATCTAAGATCAGCCAAATCTGTTCAACCTCCAGACAGGTGAGCAAGCCCAGGCACGATCAGCAGAGACAAGGAGATAACCCAGGACTGACCCAGCAAGTACATCCTCAATCAGTAAAGTCGAGCTGAAGTTAGCTGAAGTTAGCTAAAGTTCACCGAATGCTGCAGATTCATGAGACATCTATCTATCTATCTATCTATCTATCTATCTATCTATCTATCTATCTATTTATCTATCTATCTATTTTCTATCTATCTATATGTCTATGTATCAGGTATGTTTAGAGGTTAGTTGTTATTGTAATAGATAACCAGAGGTTTATCACTTTAAGTAGCTTTAATTGGAAAAGAAGAAAGATGGAAAAATGTGCTAAACATCCTACTGAGGATGTTAGAAAAATAACAAGATAGTAATATCTCATATAATACAAGTAAAGATATGTGGCAAAATAAAAATAGAAATTAAAGAAAAATATATATAATAGAGACAACCATCAGAACAATGCTGGTTCCTCACCAAAACTAATGCAGCCGACACCCTTTTGCCAATATTATAAAGGTAGAAAATGTGGAGACAAAAAAATACAAATTAAAATAGGGATACGGCAACATATTAAATACCAAGGAAATTTTCAATTTTCAAATGGAATAGTATGAATAGCCTTTTTATTTTACGTATAAATTTTTACACACAAATTAGAGAACAGGAAAGTTATACAAATTCTATTTTCCATGAAACTAGGAAACCTGCGTTCCTCCCAAAACACCACTATGTAGCAATTGGTTATACTTATCATTGTTTAAACATGAGGAAACCTGAAACGGCCAGCATTGAACTGGATAAATGAGTGTCAGCAGCTTAGGAAAATATCCCAGAGATATTGGTCTACCATTAAATGGAAGCCAACATTTCTGAGGACAGGGTAGAAAAATCTGTAATTAGAGACAGTTAACAATATTTCCAAAGTGGAAGTCAAAAGCACGTAATTGCAGCTTCTCTTAATAAAGAATACTGTTGACTTGGGGAAAAAAAAAAACAGAACTAAAACAGAGTCCACCCCAATAAGGTAGCCACTAGCCTCATGTGGCTCAACATTTAAAATATTGCTAATCTAAGTTGACAAGTGCTATAAGTATCAAATATACACCATATTTCAAGAACTTACAACAAAGAAAAAGATATCAAATATATCATTAATAATTATATTTTGATTAGGTGTTGAAATTATAATATTTGTGATACAATAGACTGAATAAAGCATATTAAAATTTATTTTACTTGTTTTGTTTTTACTTTTTTAATAGGCTACTAGAAAATTTAAAAGTAACACATGTAGTTTTCGTTTGTGGCTCATATTATATGACACTATGGAAGGAAGAAATTGTAGCCTTAAGATAAATGCAACCATAAACAGACAAATTGATATATTTTTGCAACTTAAAAGAACAACAACAAAAGTGTAAGACAAAAACACCAAATGTAAGTATATAAAAAATTTTAAAACATTAGATTTGTGTATATAATAAAAATATACATATAAGGATATAAAATTAGAAGCTACCAATTAGAAGATATTGGCAAGCATGCAACTCATAAAGGATTGGTATCCAAAATAAATAGAAACAGAACTCAAGATAAAATATGAGAAAAATAACCCAATGAAAGAGAACAATGAGCAAAGAAACATGAAATGGTCGGTAAGCATATTAAAAAGTCACTTAAAACCAACAGTAATTAAAGAAATAAAAATTCAAGTTGGCTACTCTTTGCTGTCCAACAGCTTGCCCAGAGTTCAAAGTGAAATGAAAAATCATAGGAATTTTGATTCTCCACAAAAACTAATGCAACAGACACCCTTTTGCCAATATTATAAAGGTAGAAAATGTGAGCACAAAAAATAAAAATTAAAATAGGAATACAGCAACATATTAAGTCATCATGGAAATTTTCTATTTTAAAATGGAATAGTATGAATAGTCTTTTTATTTCATGTATAAATTATTACAAAATAATAACAAAATCATAAGATATTTCATTTCACTTTGAACTCAGGGCAAGCTGTTGGATAGCAAAGAGTAGCCAATTTAAATTTTAGAATGCCATTGTTTAATTTACCCTTAGAATTTACCATTGTTTAAAAGATTTTGATATCTGTAAATTTTATCTGAATAACAGTACTGCAATAGAACTGTTATCAATAAATTATGAAAATAGAAGGGAAATTATCACTGAAGAGATAAAAATTAAAAAATCAACTCTTTTTCACAGTTTTATGGAGTTTAGCCTTACAGGCTAACATTTTATTTTAATAAAAACCACAATGAGATACCACTTTATACCTGTTAGCATTTTATGTGGGTCAGCATCAATAATGAAATTAGCAACATATGTCTAGAGATTTCTAGGCAAATGATGCTGAATGTAAAGAGGAGGTACAGCATCCTACCAAATAATTTAGATTTTTTTTAATCTAGAGATTTCACTGGCCAAGGGCATGTGCTGATGTTGAGGAATTGAAGACAAGAGTAAAGACATAACATAAATGGGAATACTTTTTCTGAGCATCCTTTGATTCAATTATATTTTCAACACTGTGTCCTTTCATGTTTTTTGTTGTTGTTGTTGTTTTCTGTTTGCTTTGCTCCCAATGGAGTGTACAAATTAATGGATGTGCAATAAACTACCATTATGAGAGATGGGAGAAAAATATAGAGCTCTGACTTTTTTTATCAAGGGGCTTATAAGACACAGATATCCATACATGAAGCTATCAAAAATCCTAGGTAGAAAAAGAGAGATTATAAACAAATTCATGCTTATGCTAATACATTCTTCAAACCACAGGGCAAGATATGCTATGGTAGTTCAAGGAAATAATAGGCCAGGTGCAATGACACATGCCTGTAATTTCAGCTCCTGGGTAGTGGGGAAAGGAGAATCACTTTGAGCCCAGGAGTTTGAGTCCAGCCTGAACAACACAGCGAGACCCCAACTCAAAAATAAATAAATAAATAAATAAATAAAAGCACAAAGAAATGGTTTCTTCTAGGCCTTGCTCTAAGAATTTTCTGTTTGTCCTTCTAGGCAGTGACCTATGTCTTGAGAACTGTCCAGTTAAATTGTCATAGATTAGAACATGCACAGAAATGGGCACTGTTATCATGTAAAGTTAAATGGACTTAGGTTTGCTTTTACATTTAGTCCAAGGCATTTTATAGTTGCTGAGGTTCTTACTGAAAAGGGTGTTCTCAACTCCACCAACTTAGTAACTTGAAACATGTCCAAAAATTGCCTTCACAAATTTCGGTATATTGTTTTTCTATTCACGTTTCTTCTTCCAGTGTAATAAATACCTCTATTCTTAGGTAAGTCCTTTCATTTTCCTTTCTCCTGTTGATTTCCATGTGTATATATGTATGCTTGACTACATATCAATTATATTAAAAAGTAAATGTATTATTTAGTTAGAAATCAATAGAAAAGCCTTACATTTGCTAATACCTGCTGACAAAAAAAGAATAATATATTATGTGTCTTTTAATGTTAAAACTGGTGAAATTATTATCTGGCCTAAATATGCATGATATAATCTTTAATATGTCAGAATCGTTTATTTATTTATTTTGAGACAGAGTTTCACTCTTGTTGCCCAGGCTGGAGTGCAGTGGCACAATCTCGGCTCACTGCAACCTCTGCCTCCTGTGTTCAAGCGATTCTCCTGCCTCAGCCTCCTGAGAAACTGGGATTACAGGTGCCACCATGCTGGGCTACTATTTTTCTGGGTGTATTTTTAGTAGAGATGGAGTTTCATCATTTCGGCCAGGCTAGTCCCAATCTCCTGACCTCAGGTGATCTACCTGCCTCGGCCTCCCAAAGTGCTGGGATTACGGACATGAGCCACCGCGCCCAGCCCCAAATCGTTTATATAAAAACCCTGAGGTTACACATATTCTGAAATTTGGAATGATTCAAATTTGAATGATAGTCGATGCATGGACTATATTTTATAATATTTCCATCTGGTTCTAAGGTAACACCATATAGTTACAAAAATTACAATTACTAAAGGTAAATAGTCACTCTACTTGCAATAAAAATCACAAATTGTTTGTGTTCAGCTAGAGTCAAATCATATAGTAGTAACACATTAATAAATGATGTAGCAGAAAAATACAGATTAGAAATATTCTAATTCTTCTTAATTCAAAGAAAATGCCAATATCTACATTCATCTATCATCTATTAATATCTATCTATTAATCCATCCATCAATCCATGTACATGTAATATATGTTCGTCATATCAAATTGTTTGGAAATCTTAGAGAACAAGATGTGAATAAATGTAAAAAAGTTCAGTGCAATGCGAATCAAAACCACAATGAGATATCACTTCACACCAGTTAGGATGGCTATTATTAAGAAGACAAGAGACAAAAAGTGTTGGAGAGGATGTGGAGAAAAGGGAATTCTTGCACACTGTTGGTGAGAATGTAAATCAATGCAGCCATTATGGAAAAGGTATGATGTTCCTTAAAAAAATTAAAAACTGTGTTACCATGTAATCTAGCAAGCCCTCTTCTGGGTATATCTTCCAAGGAAATGAAAGTAGTCACTCATAGAGATATCTGTGCTCATGTTGTTTATTGCAACATTATTCACAATGGCCAAGATATGGAAACAGCCTCAGTGTTCATTGACAAATGAATGGATAAAAAACTATGGTATGTATTATACAGTGGAATTTTATATAAGCCATAAAAAGAAGAAATCTCGACATTTCTGACTATATGAATGAACCCAGAAGACATGCTAAGTTAAATAAGGCAGACACAGAAAAACAAATCATGTATAATGTTACTTACATGTGAAATCTGAAAAGTCAAACTTATAGGAAAAGGAGTAGTATGGTGGTTGCCAGGAGATCTGGGTTGAGAAATATGAGGAGACATTGACCAGAGGGTACCAACATTCAGTTTTAAGAAGAACATGATATGGGGATATAATATGCAGCATGTATGGTGGTGAGTGTATTAATTTGATTGTGATGATTATTATACAATGTACACCTTGAATATATTCAGCCTTTACTTGTGAACTAGATATCTTAAAGTTTCTCTGAAAAGAAACAGAATCAACCCAAGTCTTCGTTAACCAATGAATGGATAAAGAAATTTTGGCATAGATACATGCATACACACAGTATTCACTCTTATAAAAGAAGAAAATCATGACTTTTGCAACAACCTAGATGAATCTAAAGAACATGATGCTAAGTGAAATAATTCAGACACAGAAAGAAAAATATGGCATGATCTAGCTTATATTTGGAATTGAAAAATAAAACAGTAGAATACATAGAAACAAATGTACAATGGTGGTTACCAGGAATGTGGGGGCAGGAGCTGGGGAGAAGTAAGATGAAGGGAACAAACTAGCAGATATGTTGGATGAATAAGTCTGAAGGTCTAATGAACAGCATGAAGACCATAGTTAATAATGTTTGATATGGTTTGGATATGTGTCCCCTCCAAATCTCATATTGAAATGTGATCCCCACCATTGAAGGTGGGGCTTAGTCAGGGGTGTTTGTGTCATGGGGGCGGATCACTCATGAATGGTTTGGTGCTTTCCTCACATGTGTTCTCACTCTGTGAGTTCATGTGAGATCTGGTTGTTTAAAATAGCCCAGAACCTCCTCTCTTTCTTACTTAATCTCACCATGTGACACTCCACCATGATTGTAAACTTCCTGAGGTCCTCACTAAGAGCTGATGCCAGCACTATGCTTCTTGTAGAGTCTGTAGAACTGTGAGCCAAAATAAACCTCTTTTCTTTGTAAGTTACCCAGTCTCAGGTACTCCTTTATAGCAATGCAAATGGACTGACATGATGTGGTATTATATACTGGAAATTTGCTTAAGAGTAGATTCTAAGTGCTCTTCCCACACAGACACAAAAAATATAACCTATGTGAGATGGTGGAAATGTTAACTGACCATTGTAACCAGTTTATCAAAACATCATGTTGTACACATTAAATGTATACACTATAAAGATAATTAAATATTAATCTATGTGATAAATTTCGTAAATTACTTTGCCAAAAGAAAAAAAAATACTTTCCACAAAAATCTGCTTGCTTTCTTTTATCAGTCACTGATTCTATAAAGGCACACAATATTTCCTCTTTTAACCTGGCTACCTGGAAATGGAGAGATAAATTTTGTTCTTGATCACAATAAATAATTAATTCCACCCATATACAGTATTTTCCTGCCTTTCTTCTAATTAGATTTTGAACAAATTTTGTATTTTAACTGGCCTACTTCACATATGTTTTAATATTACATGTTACTTCAAACTAGATTGGGAACTAGTTTCTCTATGAATCATAAGTGAATAAATAAATAAATGAGAGAATTAATTTACAAATATCCATATCAAAGTTCATTAACAAATTTGGATAAACAGCAACATTACATACAAACTGCACTAATTAAAAAGGTTAATAATATCTAGCACTTGATGAAATTAACATTGAGCCAAATCTGACCTTTGAATTATAGATTTCTTACCTTCTGTTTCCTAGAGAATTAGCATTTTTATAATCGAGCACATTTTTCTTACAGAATTAACCAAGAAGTGTTGGTAATATATAGAAATATACACAGTTTGCCTCAGAGCCATCACATTTAATGTAAGCAAAGTGGCAGCAGATTACGTTAATTCATATAGAGACCAAGAAAAGTCTTGTACACATAGTTTAAGAAGTTCCTCTTGAGAACGTTAATTTACATATTCATGTTCGGAGGCTGAGTTAATGGAGAAACAATGCATACATTTAATTTTAGCCTAGAAGAGATATATAAAATATATTACGCTCTGGTATGTTTCTAGAGAAACTTATAATTTTGTCCCTTAAGTACATTACGAATATTGAACTCACTGGTTCCCTGTCAGCTCTGGAATAATAGCACAGCCCCATACCTATCCCATCTCCTCCTTTGCAACAAAACAGGACTTCACAGCCAGATTGTTTAGTACAATCCGCTACTCCACTGCACAGTAGCTGTGTGATCTTGGACAGGCTGGTTGTCCTAAAGCTTTATTTTACATCTGCAATCAACCATGATATAGTAGTTTTCTCACAAAATCAATGATAATAAATATATCACTTTATACAGTTCTTGAAAAATAGTAAGTGCCAAATTAAAATTAGCACTAACACAATACAGTTTTTCTTCTTCTGGGACCAATAATAGTACTGCTCACAGAAAAAGCAAATGATGGCAATTAATTTAGTGATTTTAGTAATGTCTTTTAGGGGACTATGCTTTCAGCCAAGTAAATAGCAAAGAATACCTGACTCATACAATCAAGTCAGAATTCAAGAATATATAGGGTCCATCTAGCTTGTACCAGACACAATAGTAAATGGGCAGAAGTTGTGTTTTCTTCATTTAACTTTTCATTAGGGAAGATAAAACAGACATTAAATATTTGCATGAGCAAGAAGATAAGACTGAGAGTGTTGGGACACACCTACCAATTACCAATGGCTTGATAAAAATGCAGTAGCTGTGGTACCAGAAGATAAATATAAATGAACTAAAGAGAGAGAGAAAAAAAAAACTCAAACAGGCAGAACACCAAAGATGATGTATAAATGGCCGACAAACACATGAAAAAATGTTTACTATCACTAATCATCAGAGAAATGTGTGGAAAAACCACAATGAGACATCACTGCAGACCCATTAGGATAGCTACTATCAAAACAAAACCAAATGAAAAACAGATGATAGCAAGTGTTGCTGAGGATGTGGTGAAATTGGATCCATGAAGCACCAATAGTGGGATTGTAAAATGGTGCAACTGCTATGAAAACCAGTAGGGAGACTCCTCAAAAGTTTAAAAATAGACTACCATGTGATTCAGAACTCCATCTTCTGGGTATATACACAACAGAACTAAAGCAAAGTCTTGAAGAAATATTTGCATACACCGTATTTATCACAGCACTATTCACAAGTGCCAAAAGGTAGAAGCAACCCAAATGTCCATCAACAGATGAATGAATAAATAAAATATGACATATAGGCTGGGCGCGGTGGCTCATGCCTGTAATCCCAGCATTTTGGGAGGCCGAGGAGTGTGGATCACCTGAGGTCAGGAGTTTGAGACCAGCCTGGCCAACATGTTGAAACCCTGTCTCTACTAAAAACACGAAAGTTAGGCGGGCATGGTGGCACGTGCCTGTAATCCCAGCTACTCGGAAGGCTGAGGTAGGAGAATCACTTGGACCCTGGCAGGGGTTGCAGTGAGCCAAGATCATACCACTGCACTCCAGCCTGGGCGACAGAGTGAGACTCTGTATCAAAATATATATATATATATATATATATATACACGATATATACATACAATGGAATATTATTAAGTCTTAAATATGAAGTCATATGCTACAACATAGATGAACCTTGAGAATATTATGCTAAGTGAAATAAACCAGTCAGAAAAAGACGAATACTGTACGATTCCACTTATATGAGGTATATAATCGAATCAAATTTGTAGAAACAGAAAATCGAACAGTGGTTACCAGGGACTGGGAGAAGGGGCAAAATGGGAATTGTTTAGTGGGTGCAGAGTTTCATGTTTAGAAAAGGAAAATTTCAAGGGATCTGTTTCACAACAGTGTGAATATATTAACACTATTATACACTTTTAAAAGGTTAAGACGGTAAATTGTGTGTTGTATTTCTTTACAATAATAGTAATAACAATAATAAAACCAGTAACAAAAATATTATAAGTCCATAGAAGCAAGATAGACTTCTACCACCCAAAATTTGTTCATTTTACGACTACTGACACCACCCATGCACTAGGAAGGTATGAAAGGTTTATAACCCACATAATAATGAGGCTTTCTGGGAAAAGCAGGGTAGATTTAAAAGCATGTCCAAGAATGGCATGAGAGAACAGGAAAAGAAGACCAGTTTGGTGTCTTACGGTGGCTAGAGAGTAGAGCAGGCTGAGGATTCTCTCATGTGGGCCTGGGCTTGCTTGGTTTGTACTTTGTGACACTGACAAAGAAAGAGGCTTTTCTTTGTTTGGTTAAACTTTCTCTGTGGAGCAGAGGGGAAGGAGGAATGATAGAGTTCGAAAGTCATTAGCAGCCAAAAAACAAAAAGAGGGTCAGATTATTACAGTTCATGATTGTTACAGACTTACAATTCATGGTGTGACAGATGATTGAAATATCCCATGCTTCATTTAATTAAATTTGAGCTTGCTTAATTAAGCCATTGTGGCGTTCTATGATGCTAAGCGCCATAAGTGAGGTAAAATGTTCGTTGAATGCTTCGATTAAAATTTCTTCATTTTAGGTTTGATAGTTCATCTTGCATCAAGGCTTTATATATGGAAATACATGTGAGACTTTATGTTTAGCAAGTGACCACGCTGAGCTTGCAGGACAATGCTTTTATGACCTATAGCATTTGGGCAGCTAGGTGCAGAGGGTCATGAGTTCAAGGCTGATTAGGTCCTCTGTTTCCAGGACAGTCCAGTAGCAGCTAGCAATTGCCACTCTAATGAGAAATAGCATGGGACTCAGGAAGGCAAATTGAGGCTGAAAATCTGCTAAAAATAGGCACTAAATAAAAAAAAAAATTAGCTACATCTCTGACTGCAATGTATTTACCTGCTGGTGATTTAATGGTGGTCAATAACTTCAGCAATAATGGGAATGGGGTTTTAATGGGTGTGTGAGTCCATTTGCATTGCTATAAGGAATATCTGAAACTGGGTAATTTATAAAGAAAAGAGGTTTGTTTGGCCCATGGTTCTGCAGACTGTACAAAAAGCATAGTTCTGGCATCTGCTTCTGGTGAGGGCCCCAGTAAGCTTACAATCATGGTGGAAGGTGAAGGAGAGTCGGCCTGTTACATGGTGAGAAAGGGAACAAGAGGCAGAGTGAGGAGATACCAGGCTCTTTTAAACAGCCAGATATGGCATGAGCTGATAGAGGGAGAACTCACTCATTAACGGGAGGACAGCACCAAGCCACTCATGAGGGATCTGTCTTCATGACTGAAACACCTCTCATTAGACCTACCTCCCACATTGGAGAGCACATTTCAACATGAGATATGGAGGAGTCAAAACATCCAGACAATATTAGTCTGTTGGGCCACAGAATTAATGTTTTGATAATCTGCTATGAAGCAGCATTCATTTTCCCAAGTGCAAGATCAGACCAGATTGGGCTGTTAAATGGAAAAACAGTAAGAATAATCACCTCTTCTCTAAATAAGTCTTGTGTAATGAGTTTCATTTTTGAAGACTTTAAATTTCTATTATGCTGTATTAACAATTTTACCCAGGGAAAGGCCCATGGGATCCCTTTTATTTAAGTCAATTGTAAGTCCCAAGTCTTAATTAATTTTCATTTTTTATTCATTGATTTAGAGCATCAGTCCCCACCACAATACATTTTAAGGCAATGGGTGCTGTGACTATCAGGAATTGAGGAAAGACAATTGTTCTAATAGTTACTTGAAGCTTACCTATTTATTGTCTATTTTATATGCAGTACATCTCTAAAATTATAGTGGCATTTTATTTAAATTCAGTAGGATTCATAGATAAAACTTGATTTGAGCTTCAGTATTCATAAAGGCCATGAAAATTTGCTAGTAAGTGCATTTCAGCAGATGTTAAAGTTAATTCAAAACCTATGTTGTAATGGCAAAAGCTAATCAGTGTTTTTTAATCTTTTTGTTATATAAATTAATTTAATAAAATTTAAATTTCTAATTGGGTCAAATCATGGACATCTATTTCAGTTTTTGTTTCTTCTCTCTGCATCCAATGGGAAATAGGGTTCTCCCTGTGCTGCTCATAATTATAAATTTCATCCTCTAGTGAAGCTTAACTTTGGCAATGATTATTTTATGGGGTTTTAGGACCCAGGCTTAAATTGGCCTTGAATTTAATACCTTGAGTTTACCATGGAGGTGTCATGGGCGTTTTTTCCTAAAACCCTGAGAAGTAGTATTTTTTATTTCAACAAAGGAATAGTGATCAGCTACAGAAAATTTATTGTGTAGAGTCCTACTGAGCCATCTGCTTTTAGGAGAGTGATTTCAGTATGTCACATAGTAACTGTTTTTCCTCTCCAGGAGCAGAAATCTAATGAGACTACATATTGTACAGCCTGTCACTCTCTACCCTGAGTAGACCAAAGAGTGAGGGACTGATGCTTGGTTGAGACACACAATCAACAGTTACAGAGTATGTGTTGCTCCTTTGAGCCTAGCATTAGTCAGATTTACATTGAAGCAGAGACAAACTATTCAATCTGAGACACACAGATAGAGATAGAGGCACATGGCCCAAAGTCACTTCAAGGGGGGCCTCAATCCCACATCTTGTCCCTAAACCCCAATTATAACTTCTGATTTAGGTCAGGACGAACGACTATAGAACTCAGCAAATACGGAAAAAAGCAACATAGAACAAAGCTTGCCAGAAGGCAGCAATAAAACTCAAGAGCATGCTAACGAGCAAGCAGCAGAGCTGGTTAGCAAGTCAAAGCGAGACAAAAAGGCCCCCAGTTGTAGTGGTCATTGCCTGAACACTTATTTTTTTGAGACTGAGTTACGCTTTTGTCCCCTAGGCTGGAGTGCAATGGCGCAATCTCGGCTCACTGCAACCTCTGCCTCCCAGGTTCAAACAATTCTCCTGCCTCAGCCTCCCAAGTAGCTTGGGTTACAGGCACCTGCCACTACGCTTGGATAATTTTTGTATTTTCAGTAGAGACGGGGTTTCATCATGTTGGCCAGGCTGGTCTCGAACTCCTGACCTCAGGTGATTTGCTCACCTTGGCCTCCCAAAGTTGCAGAGGCAGAATGGGCCTCCCCACCCAAAATTTGGTTCAGATATCAAGACTAACCTACAACACACATACCAAGAGGGTATGAAAAGGTTTACTACTCACATAGTGAAGTTTTCTGGGGAGAGCAGGGTGGGCTCCTCATCAAGTCGTAGAATGTCAGGAGACAGCAAGGAAAAGAGACTGAGTTGGAGTCTTTTGTCCCTAAACCATACTCTTGTCCTGAAATCCCAATTATAGGGTGTGAGGGTGGGATGACATGGGGCTGGGGTTAAGATTTCCACTCACAGCTTGATCGAGACCATCCTGGCTAACACAGTGAAACCCCGTCTCTACTAAAAATGCAAAAATATTAGCCAGGCATGGTGGCGGGCGCCTGTAGTCCCAGCTACTCGGGAGGCTGAGGCAGGAGAATGGCGTGAACCCAGGAGGCGGAGCTTGCAATGAGCTGAGATCGCGCCACTGCACTCCAGCCAGGGCAACAGAGCGAGATTCCATCTCAAAAAAAAAAAAGATTTCCACTCACAGGTTGATTGATGTTGTGTGGTCTGAATTTCCCACGGGTGTTAAAAAGGAGAGCATTCCCATGCTTTCTTATCAACTTGCCCAGATGCAGGCTGAAGGGGAAGAAAACTGGTAGGATTTGAAAGCTGTTATAAATTGAACAGAAAAATGTGGTTAGACTATTACAAAGATCATGACCAAAGGCCCTGAGGCCAGTGAAAACATACAAATTTGAAGGAATTAAAATTGTTGCTGAGTGGTAGTGATATGGTTTGGCTGTGTCCCCACCCAAGTCTCATCTTGAATTGTAACTCTCACAATTCCCATGTGTCGTGGGAGGAACCCAGCGGGAGGTGACTGAATCATGGGGGCGTGTCTTTCCTGCACTGTTCTCCTGATAGTGAATGAGTCTCACAAGATCCGATGGCTTTAAAAACTGGAATTTCCCAGCACAAGTGCTCTTTGCCTGCAGCCATTCACCTAAGATGTGACTTGCTCCTCCTGGCCTTCCATAATTATGAGGTCTCCCAAGCCATATGGAACTGTAAGTCCAATAAAGCTCTTTCGTTCATAAATAGCCCAGTCTCAGGTATGTCTTTATCAGCTGCGTGAAAATGGACTAATACAGGCAGAAACTAAGTTAAAAATAAAAAGGGAAGGATATAGTGAAACAGGCTACATATTGCCAAGACTGGACAGGAACTCCTGGGATCAAGTGATCTTCCTGCCTCAACCTCCTGAACAGCTGGGATTATGGGTGCATGCCACCATGCCCAGCTTATCTTATGCCTTTCTTTACAAGAAGTTAAAACATCTATTCTTTGACATGAAAATATAATGGAGAAATTAGTATCAGAAATGTGTAAGAATATACTTTGTCTATTCTTGGTACATATTTTATGCTAGCTATATGAAAATAATGTTATTTACTCTTCCTACTTTCTGAACAGAAAGCTCTCAGCGTACTCAGGCACAAAAGAAAGTCATATAACTGTTCCAGTATAATCCTGCTAACTTGTAGCTATTTTATTAATTCTAGTTCCATTTATTTCTATTTGGTTGGTTGTATAATTTCTATAAGTTTTCATTTAAATAATACATATCAATAAATTGGGTGTATGTCCTTGTAATACACATACACAGATAAAATTCTGAAATTTGCACAGCAAGATAAATACAGCATTTTAGGTCAATTTAAAATATTTATTTTATAATGGCAAGTAGAATTTGCCAACACATTCTAATTAAAAATTCAAAATATCTATTAGTTGAAACTGGTGTTTTATGTATAACAGAGTCTTGTTGAAAAAAAGAAGCAGAATCCAAACTAGTTATATAAACAGAGATCATTTAAAGCAGGGATTTGGTTATACGAGTGCTAGAGAACTGTAGCTGGCAAAAGGATAAGACGGAGATGAAAGCAGGAAGAAGCTAAGATTCATTCATAGGAGGCAATAAAAGGAATCCAGCACTGGAAGAGGAGGGTCCTGAGGAGCTGGAGCAGACCACTGAGGAGGTGCTACTGCCCAGCTGCTGCTGGTTCCTTTGAGGAGTTGTAAGAAGACTGGTTCTGGGAGTGAAGAAAAATTACTAGCAGCCAGAACCAACTGCTTCTGCAGAAACTAAGAGCCACTGGCCAAGTGACACTCCAGGAACAGCAGGCAAATGGGAAAGGAGCCCTTTGTCTGCCTGCAACCTTCTGATCTCCTCAAAGCACTTGTGCAGTAGAACCTAACTAGGAGTCAACTGGCCAGCAGACATGTAATTTTCACAGGCTCAGCTTTGGCATCTTAAGAACATACAGTTTGGAGCTGTGAGACACTAGCCTAATATCTGGAACAATGTGGAAAATTTAAAATCCATTTGGTGGATTTGTAACGTGGATGACCTCAAATGATAACATACTTAGGAAAGAGGAAGCTGTTTTACATTTACATACAGAAACATATAGTGGATGTATGTACGGATGAGCACTTCCTCACCTCTTTTCTATTTGGTACTAGAGTAACTTTTGATAAACCACACTGCTGGGCCATGATACAAGAATACTCTTAATTGAGGGCTAGATTCTCAATACTACAGAGGTCATTTCTTAAACTTCCTTTAGATAATACTAACTAGTCAATCGTGCATTATTCATTATTTCAACAAGAATACATTATGCATCTTCAATTTTCTAGGCATTACGGATGGCTAAAATTCAGCACTTAGAAGTCTTAGGAACAGAGTAGATTTTGCAAAGCCGGTTTCTCCTGGTAAAGAATAAAAATACTTAATGATAATGTCTAAAACTTATAACTATGCTAAAATCAAAATATGTTTTATCAAATTCTGGGCAAATTTAAAATCTGAACTAATCATCTAGTTCTTTTCTGTGTGTTTGCTTCCACTGGCATTGCTTTGCCTGGGGCATGACTTGGTACTATTCCCACATGGATCATGCAGGCTTTCATTCTAGGTAAGCCAGCATGATGCTGGTAGCCCAGAGGTCAGCAAGCCTTAGGTTTACTGCACTAGTGGAGTTTATGTATACTGGCCGCCCATTTCTTATGTATACTGGCTGCCCGTTTCCAGATGGTGGTTCTTGTTTTTACTAGGTCTAAGCATGTGGAGAGGTCTTGCTTTTCTTGCATGGCCTGAAGACTGGAAGGGGGATTTGTATAGACTGCATATATACTGTAAATTAAAGCATAACCCATCAATTCTAAACATGGTGTAATTCAATCTCCTCCTTTTCTAATATTATAAAATACTATAGTTTTTGGATAACAATGGTTATTAATTTACAAAAAAACACTTCCATATGGTGGTGTTAATTTTCTCAAGAAAAATTTACTGTGTTAACAGTTCAGTCTTTTAAGAAGAATTTAAAAGATTGTCTTCTAGTGGACGCAAGGCATTCTAGACTCACACTTCCACATGTGCCTCCCTAATACCTCCTCATTTCCGCTGCAGATTCTATGATAGATGTTAATCCCAAGCAAATGTGTCCTGGTAGAGGTGGTTCTTCCCTTTTCCAAGTAAATAGATGTGACAGCAGTTGACGATAAAATCAATGTTAATTTTCCGTGAATTGTATTCATATGAAAATAGCCCAGGGTTCTAAACAGAGAAACACAAAAAACCCCCAGAAAATAAAGAAAGAAGTAAGGTCCTGTTTTTGGCTTTTTTTATTTGATTTGTTTCTATTACAAATAAATTTAACCTCTAATGATCTGGGATGTTTGTTTGTTTTGTTTTGTTTTGTTTTTTTAGATGGAGTTTCTCATCACCCAGCCTGGAGTGCAATGGCACAATCTCTGCTCACTGCAACCTATGCCTCCCAGGTTCAAGCAATTCTCTTGTCTCAGCCTCTTGAGTACTGGGATTACAGGTGCCTGCCAACACACCTGGCTAATTTTTGTATTTTCAGTAGAGACAGGGTTTTACCATGTTGGCCAGGCTGGTCTCAAACTCCTGACCTCAGGCTATCCGCCTGCCTTGGCCTCCCAAAATGCTGGGATTACAGACATGAGCCACCGTGCCTGGCCGTGATCTGTTTTTTAATCTTTCTTTGTCTTATCTCACTATATAGTGGTGAATTAAATAATAAAAGAGTGGCATTCAATTGATATTTTAAAAATCTTATTTATATATGACATATGTAATGATATATATTTTTATTACATATTGATGATATATAATTATGTTTTATATTTCATATATAAATACAAAATATATAAATAAAATATTTCTGATATATAGTTTTATCATTTTATATATTTTATCATTTTCTGATATATATATTTTTATCATTATAATATATCATATGACTTATTTTATAATATATTATAATACCATAATACTATATGATTTATTTTATAATTTATTATATTATAAAGATATTTTGATATATATTTTTAATGTGTTTCTGATGTATGTTTTTATATATCAGAAATATTATTATAATATAATATATTTTGTATTTATATATGAAATATATAACATACTTATATCTCAATATATAATAAAAATGTATATCACTATGTATATCATATATAAATAAAATTTTTAAAACATCAATTGAATGCTTGTCTTTTACTATTTTATTCACCACTACATAGCAAGACAAGACAAAGAAAGATTAAAAAACAGATCATTAAGGGGTTAAATTTATTTGTAATAGAAACAAATAAATGTATGTATTTCACTATATGTTTATAATGATGTGTGTGTCTGTGTGTGTATGCATATATATATATATATATATATATATATATATATATATATATATTTCTCTTGGCCTACTGGCTACTCCTATTTTTGTCATTTTATCTCTTTCCTTTCATTCTAGTATTTGTAAATGCAGTTTGTAGCAAAAGTACACAGGTATCAAAGACTGATTTGATCTCCACTTCTTTCCCAATCCTAGCTTTTTATAGTGATGTGTTGCCATCAGGGCTAATTGTATACAATGATCACTTCCATTTATAAGTAGAAACTAAAAAGAGTTTTCCTTCCATGGAAACAATTTTAGAAATGATTGATGGCTCCCCAGAACCTCTAACAATAACTTATTTAACCCATAACATACCTGAGTCATTAAGGAAATAATAGGAGAAAACATGGATGGAAGTAACAGTTTCATGAAGAAAGTCATTAAGAGTTCAAATTGTGAGCCATGTGATAACCCATCCACAAGAGGAGAAGCAGTAAATGGAATCAGCTCTTTGACCTCAGAAAACCTACCTGAGAAGTTTACGTAGCTATAAAATATAGGCGACTGGCTGGGCGCAGTAGCTCACGCCTGTAATCCCAGCACTTTGGGAGGCTGAGGAGGGCGGACCATGAGGTCAGGAGTTCGAGACCAGCCTGATCAACATGGTGAAACCCCGTCTCTACTAAAAACACAAAAATTAGCCGGGCATGGTGGCATGTGCCTGTAATCCCATCTACTCAGGAGGCTGAGGCAGGAGAATTGCTTGAACCCAGGAGGCGGAGGTTGTGGTGAGCTGAGATCCCGCCACTGCACTCCAGCCTGGGTGACAGAGCAAGACTCCACCTGAAAAAAAAAATATATATATATATATATTTTTAATTATATATATTTTTAATTATATATATATTTAATCTATATATATTTTTAAATTTATATACATATTTTTAAATTATATATAAATGTATATATTTTTAAATTATATATATATTTTTAAATTTATATATATGCAATTATATTATTAGGTTGGTCCAAAAGTAATTCCAGTTTTTGCCCTGGAAAGTAATGGCGCCGGGCGTGGTGGTGCATGCCTGTAATCCCATCTACTCGGGAGGCTGAGGCAGGAGAATCGCTTGAACCTGGGAGGCAGAGGTTGCGATGAGCTGAGATCATGCCACTGTACTCCAGCCTGGGCAACAAGAGCGAAACTCCATCAAAAAAAAGAAAGAAAGAAGTAATGGCAAAAACCACAATTTTTTTTTCAACAATCTAATGTCTATGTTATAGTGCTCATGTGAGAAAATACGTGTAAAGTTACCACCAGGTTTGGCATTTAATGAGCGTGAGCTGTTACCATCATGATGAGTCAGCACTTTGCCCCTTCCTCCTCATCTGCTGGGAAGTTGGAGATAAGAGTCATGCAGGAGTGAGTGAACGTTGGAATCATACAGGAGTCGCTACGTTCCTTCAGGACTAGGCCTGTGTGGATGTGGGTGTTGCTGTGTTAATAAAATCTGGCCAAAGACAAAGGGTTTGGGAATTTATGTTAGAAAGAAAAGAACATTGCACTTGGAGCCAGGAAAATTAGACCTGAGTTCTGATGCATGAATAATTCTCTGTAACGTTTGATTCAACTACTTCATTTTAAAACAAGTCAAACGATATCCAGACAAAAAGCATGGTAGATGTGATTTTCAAATTATGCTTGTAAAAACTGTGTAGCACTTGAAAGCACTGTAGATATGCAGTGCTCTATCATTACAATTATTATTGTTATAAGTAATAATGAAGATTATCTTTTGGTCCAGGAACAGTTCCTCAATCAGCCTTTTGTTTTCTTTACAGAGGCTCAAAGAACAAACATGTCTGTTTTCCTTTGAACTATCATGACCCAGATGATCAAATTAACTTTATTCTTAATTTATACATCACAATCTTATAATATTTAACTAACTCTTTAGTTTGTATTACAAATATAGCCCATTCCCCAACTTCTTTACTGAATTTCTTCCCTCCTTCTTTGCCTTTCCCTCCCTCCCTCCCTTCTTTCCTTCCTTCCTTCTTTCCCCCTTCTTTCTTTTTTTTTTTTTTTAGAAGAGGACATTTACTGCTTTAAATAAAGAGTAAACAGTGAAAATATGGAAAAAAGTTGTAGTAAATAAGTAAATTTACAGAAAAACAGACATGTTTTACTTAGGTCATGTGAAGAATAATTCATTTTTCATAAATAACTTGTTTTCAGAGAAAATAGAAAAAAGCTTTATTTACATTTATAAAATAAGGACTGAGGCTTGTTTTAAAATAATAAGATATATCATAGTAATCATCATTCTTAAATAAAAATCCCTTTGGGAGGAAATTTAAGTCCACTAGTTTGAAAGTAGGATGCTGCCAGAGGAAGCAGCGTTCTCAGATGGAGAGTGAATGGTTAGGTATGGGGAAAAGTTAGAACTATACAACATGACTTTGTTTTATTTTCTTGTCTTCCTTGATAGTCTAGCCACTGAGAAATTGCAAAAATACAAGCCCTTCTCACCATTTCAGGGAATTTTATCTGCTATTTACCAATAATTAGTATTTTGGAATTCAAGTTAGGTAAAGCTACCAAGGTCAACCAATCTAGTTATTTCTGAATTTGACTGAGCATAAGAGACACTTGGGAAACTTTCTCCTGGAGATTCTGATTCAAAATACCTGGGATGTGCCTCCGAAATTAATATTTTCAACAAATAACTAGGTGAATCTATTGAGCTAGCCATTGAAAGAATACTCTCATGTCACTGCTTTGGAGCTAAAAACGCTGAGACTCATTGTAGTAAACAAATCAACTGCAAGATTCCATAAACTGAAAGGAACTCCATAAATGAGTTAGTGCCAGAGTCATGTTAAGAACCTAGATCTCCTTTTAGAACAGAGCTCTGTTTTCTTTTAATTCAGGGTCAGACTGATGTGAAAAAATAGCACATGTCTTTATACCAATTGGTATTCACCTGTCTATACCTCATAAAGAAAATACATACCAAAATATAAATTGTTTTCACCTTATGTACTGATGAAAAGTAGGACAAGCTATCCAAATACTTTTAACCGATTTTCATTTGTGAGGTGAGCTAGGATTTAAAACTAGAACTTGACAAGTTTACAAGAAGTGGTTATAAACTGAAATAAGTTACTGAGGCTGCAGAATCTCTTTCCCAAGGGATAGATTTCTTTCTTTCCTTTTTTAATGCAGTAGAACCAATAGGTATGGGAAAGACAAGTTGAATCTCTCCTAGAAATCTACTTTAGCACTGCAATCTAGCAATTTACTATATCTTTCCATTTTTATTCCCATTTTCCTTTATTCATAACAAATGATTAATAAGTACATGCACTTCAATGAGACATATGGATGAATGCAAGGCAATAACACAGGTACATTATCTTATTATTCTTTTTCTTTTTTAGAATTTAACTTTTATTTTAAGTTGAGAAGTACATGTGCAGGTTTGTTGTACAGATTATTTTATCACCCCACTATTAAGCCTAGTACACATGAATTATTTGTCCTGATCCTCTCCCTGATCCCACCCTCCACCCTCATGTAGACTCCAGTGTCTGTTGTTCCCTTCTATGTGTACATGTGTTCTCATCATTTAGTTCCCACTTATAAGTGAAAACATATGATATTTGGTTTTCTGTTCCTGTGTTAGTTTGCTAAGGATAATGACCTCCAGCTCCATTTACATACCACATTTTCTTTATGAAATCTGTCATTGATGACCATTGAGGTTGATTCCATGTCTTTGCTATTGTGAATAGTGCTTCAGTGAACATACATATGCATGTGTGTTTATAATAGTATGATTTCTGTTTTGGGGGTATATACCCAGTAATGGGATTGCTGGGTGGAATAGTATTTCTGTTTTTAGATCTTTAAGAAATTGCCACACTGTCTTACACAATAGTCGAACTAATTTACATTCTACCAACAGTGTTTAAGTGTTCCTTTTTCTACACAACCTCACCAGCATCTGTCATTTTTTGTCTTTTTAATAATAGCCATTCTGACTGGTGTGAGATGATATCTTTTTGTGATTTTGATTTGCATTTCTCTAATAATCAGTGATGTTAAGCTTTTATTCATATTCTTCTTGGCTGCATATATATCTTCTTTTGAAAAGTGTCTGTTCATGTACTTTGCCCTTTAAGCATATCAAAAAGCTTATCTACCACAATAAAGTAGGATTTATCCCTGGGATGCAAAGTTGGTTCAACATATGCAAATTAGTAAATGTGATTCATCACATAAACAGAACACAAGACAAAACACCACATGATTATCTCAATAGATGCAGAAAAGGCTTTCGATAAAATCCAACATGCATTCACGTTACAAAAAAAACTCTCAATAAACTAGATTTGGAAGGAACATACATCAAGATATTAAGAGCCGTATATGACAAACCAGCACAGCCAACATCATACCAAATAGGCAAAAGCTAGAAGCATTCCTCTTGAAAACCAGCACAAGACAAGGATGGTCTCTCTCACCACTTCTATTCAACATAGTATTGGAAGTCCTGGCCAGTGCAATCAGTCAAGAGAAAGAAATAAAGGACATCCAAATAGGAACAGAGGAACTCAATGTATCCCTGTTTGCTGATGCCCTGATTCTGTATCTAGAAAACCTCATAGCCTAGGCCCAAGGGCTCCTTAAACCGATAAACAACTGCATAAAGTCTCAGGATACAAAATCAATGTGCAAAATTCACTAACATTCCTATAGACCAACAGTCAAGCTGAGAGCCAAATCAGGAACAAAATCCTATTCATAATTGCCACACACACACACACACACACACACACAAAACCACCAAAAAACCTAGGAATACAGCTAATCAGGGAGGTGAATTACATCTACAAGGAGAACTAAACACTATTTTAAAATTTATATGGAACCAAAAAGGAACCCAAATAGCCAAGGCAATCCTAAGCAAAAGGAACAAAACTAGAGGTATCTTGCTAACTGACTTCAAACGATACTACAAGGATATAGTAACCAAAACAGCATGGTACTAGTACAAAAACAGAGACATAGACCAATGAAACTGAATAAAGAACCCAGAAATAAGACTGCACACATACAAAAATCTGATCTTTGACAAACTTGACAAAAATAAAATAAAACCAATGGGGAAAGGATCCCCTATTCAATTAATGGTCCTGGGATAACTGGCTAGCCATATCCTGAAGATTGAAACTGGACGCTCTTCCTTGCACCATACACAAAAACTAACTCAAGATGGCTTAAAGACTTAAATGTAAAATCTAAAACTATAAAAACCCAGAAAACAATCTATGCAATATCATTCTGGACATAGGAACAGGCAACGATGTCATGACAAAGAAACCAAAAGCAATTGCAACAGAAGAAAAAATTGACAAATGGGATCCAATTAAACTAAAGAGCTTCTGCATAGCCAATATAACTATCAACAGAATAAACAGGCAACCTACAGAATGGGAGAAAATATTTGCAAACTATGAATTTGACAAGGATCTAATATTCAGCATCTATAAAGAATTTAAACAAAACAGATTATTTATGACCAAGAATTATTAAGAAAATCATAGAAACTCTTTGACCTTTACCCATATCATAGCTCATGTTTATTTCTTGGCCATCAGTAGTCACAAATTATTTTTTAAGGAAAAGGCAAATACACCAATAGTAAAATGAGAAACATGTATAAACAGATAAATTGCAAGAGACAACCATAGCTGTGAAATGAGTAATTCTATATTCAAGATTGTAAATAGTCAAAGATATACAAATAAATCTTTTTTACCTAATAGACTTTTACTTTTAAGCAGTAAGTGATAATTCCAGAATTATAATTGAGATACAGAAAAGAAGCTGTCAGTCTTTACAGGGAGGATAGTAAATTTTTTAAAAAGCCCTGAAAATGTCAATAGTTTGTAAAATGGTAATTCTACTTTTAGAATTTATTCTACAGAAATAAGCATACAATTATTTATTAATTCTTTCATTCAACAAATTTTGATCATCCGCTGTGTATTAGTAAATTTGTTGGTCACTGAATATATATGTTTGAGCAAAGTCAAGTATAGCCCATGCTTTCAGGACACTTTTTGTCTAGTAGGGGGATTAAGAATTAACCAAATGATCACAAATGGATGCAAAACTACGAAAAAAAAGCAAAGTACTATGAAGTTAAGGAAGATGTTGTTATGAGACACTTCCTCATTTTTTTTTTTTTTTTTTTTGAGACAGAGTCTCACCCTGTCACCCAGGCTGGAGTGCAGAGGCTCGATCTCAGCTCACTGCAACATTTGCCTCCCGGGTTCAAGTGATTCTCCCACCTCAGCTTCCTGAGTAGCTGGAATTACAGGTGCACACCCTCATGCCCAGCTAATTTTTGTATTTTTAGTAGAGATGGGTTTTCACTATGTTGGCTGGGCTGGTCTTGAACTCCTGACCTCAGGGGAGCCCACCTCGGCCTCCCAAAGTGCTGGGATTACAGGCATGAGCCACTGCGCCTGGCTTCCTTACTTCTTTTCAGTATTACTGCCCCTGAGAACATAACATTTCCACTGATATTTAAAAAAC
Source organism: Homo sapiens (assembly GCF_000001405.40). Classification (NCBI taxonomy): domain Eukaryota; kingdom Metazoa; phylum Chordata; class Mammalia; order Primates; family Hominidae; genus Homo; species Homo sapiens. Next base: position 106,316,207 of record NC_000005.10, on the reverse strand, counting down.
AAAATTGAGGCCAGGCATGGTGGCTCATGCCTGAAATCCCAGCACTTTGGGAGGCCAAGGCAGGAGGATCATGAGGTCAGGAGATCAAGACCATCCTGGCTAATATGGTGAAACCCTGTCTCTACTAAAAATACAAAAATTAACTGGGTGTGGTGGCAAGTGCCTGTAATCCCAGCTACTCAGGAGGCTGAGGCAGGAGAATCGCTTGAACCTGGGAGGGAGAGGTTGCAGTGAGCTGAGATCGCGCCACTGCACTCTAGCCTGGTGACAGAGAGAGACTCCGTCTTAGAAAAAAAAAAAGAAAAAAAAGAAATGAACTAGGCAAAGAGAGTTTGGAAAAAGGAACAGCACATGTAAAACCCAGGATTGGCAAAGACACAATCTATTCAAGAAATTGAAATATGATCTGCATTATATGGTAGAGAAGTAGAGGGTCAAGGAAACAAGATGAGGCTGGAATGGTAAGCAGGGTGGAACCCTGGCAAGCCATTTTATGGATATTGATATTATCCAAAAACAATAGAAATCCAGTGAACAGACTTAGCAGTGAGTAGCAGAATTTGACTTGTCTTTTGAAAATGTCCCTCCAGCTACAGTGTAAAAAACAGATTAGAAAGAGTCAAGAAAAGATTGTAGTAAACCAGTTAGGAGGTGAATCCTGTCCTGTCTGTAAGAGAAAACTGTGGCTTATATCAAGCAGTGCATATAGATGGGGAGAAATTAATGAACTCAAGTGATATATATGAAATCTTTAGAACATATAATAGGTTGGACATGGTAAAGGAGGGAGAGAGATTCTTTAAGAGGGACTCCAAGGCTTGCTGAAATAATGAATAGAAACAGGGTACCAATCAGAAAAACAGGAGAATTATGGCTGAGGGCAGGATTTTAGTACACTGTTTGGGAAGGAAGATAAAGAGGTAAGTTTTGTAGCTGTTGTAGAGGAGTTCCTTCTGAGATTTATAAGTGACTATATTGCTAAGTCACTTAGTATGTAGGGCTAGAAGTCAGAGGACAGATCCATAGTGGAGATGTAAATATATGTTTCCTGGATATTTAATAATTATTGAAGTTATAAACACGAATGAGATTTTCTTGAAAATACAAAGGGTCTTCAAAAAGTTCATGGAAAATGTGTATGATTAAAAATACTATGCATGAATTTAAAAATATTTGTAACAAAATAAACCTGTACTAACTTGTTATATCTAGACAGGATCAAATTTGAGGCACTAAGAAAGATAAGACATTAGTTTGAAAAGAACCCCTATCTGAGCTACATGAATTCTGCTAAGTTTGAAGCAGCAAACATCAAGTGTATGGTAAAACTTGGGTGGAAGAAAGGTGAAATAATTGATGCTTTACAAGAAGTTTAGGGGGACAATGCTGCAAAGAAATAAGCAGTTTACAATTGGATCACTCATTTTAAGAAGGGAAGAGATGGTGTTAAAGCCCACAGCAGCAGAACATCCACATCAATTTGTAAAGAAAAAAAATTAAACTTGTTCGTGTCTAATTGAAGAGGACTTATGACTAACAGTAGAAACAATAGCCAACATCATAGACATCTCCATTGGTTCAGGTTACACAATTCTGACTGAAAACTTGAAATGGAGCAAACTTTCTGCTCAATGGGTGCCAAAACCATTACTCCTAGATCAGCTACAGATAAAAGCAGAACTTTCAATGGAAGTTTTAAAGAACAGGGATCAGGATCCTGAAGCATTTCTTCAAATAATTCTAGCAGGAGAGGAAACATAGCTTTACCAGTACAATCCTGAAGACAAAGCAGAATCATAACAAGGGCTACAAAGAGTTGGAAGTAGTCCAGAAAGGAAAAGTGAACCAGTCAAGAGCAAAGGTCATGGCAATAGTTTAGGAGGCTCAAGGCATTTTGCTTTCCTGGAGGAAGAAAGAGTAATAACATCTGCTTATTTTGAGAGTGTTTTGAAAAAGTTAGTCAAGGCTTCAGTAGAAAAACGCCAGGGAAAACTTTACCAGAGTCTTTCTCCACCATGAAAATGCCCATGCTCATGCCTCTCATCAAATAAGGATAATTTTGTGAGAGTTTCCATAGGAAATTATTAGGCATCCACATTACAGTCCAGATTTAGCTGCTACTTCTGACTTCTTTTTGTTTTTTAATCTTAACACAACAACAACAACAACAACTGTAAGTGGCATCGTTTTCTTCAGTTAATAATGTAAAAAAGACTCAGTTGACATGGTTAGAGTCCCGGGACCTTGTCAGTTCTTAAAGAGGAACTGCATTGCCAGTATCATCACTTTAAAAAGTGTCTTCAACTTAATGGATCTTATGTTGAGAAATAAAGTGTACATATTTTATTTTTATCTTTTAATTTCAATTTTCCATGAAACTTTTGTAGTCCCCTCAAAAAGAGTGAGCGAAGAAAAAAATAACAGGAAAGGAGGCCTATTTTGAATTCCTTGAGGAGTCCATCATAAACAGTAACGAATGATTCTACAGCAGAAACTAAGAAAAACACAGGGATCAAAGGAAAACCAGAAGTTCTGATAAATAAGAAGCAAAAGGCCAAAGGAGGGAGTCTCAAAGAGCAAAACATAACCAATGTTCACAACAAAGTCTGAAGACAAAGATTGATGGATTCGGTGAGCTAGAATGATGCTGCTGCTTTAATAGTGTGAAGAAGAGGACAGTCATATTGGAATGAGTTAAGAAATGACTAGAGGTGTGAAAATTGATGCATTGATTATAGAAGCAATATTAAATGGAAAGGAAGATATTGTGTAGTTGAAATGGGATTGAGAAAGGAGATTGTGTGTTTATTTTCATTTGTTTTAAGACAGAAGAGGTGTGAACATTAAAATATATACTTGATGGAAATGATCCAGTGGAAATGAAGGGATAAGGAATTCTTGATAGATTTCCTGGGAAAATAAAGGTTAGAGGATCCACCATGTTTCATAAATGAACATCCTTTATTCTGACTGAGTATTTGTAAAATATACATTAATTTGAGGTATTTTACATGAGAGAAAAGTTTGAAGTTTTCTAAATGGTAAGCCAATATTAAGTTGACTAAATAAATTATTGAATAAATATAAAACAAATTACTATTTTGCCATAAAAAATCTCTATATCTTTCTTTATTAAACTGGAAATATTTTCAGAATAATGGAATTGTCCAAATTTTCTTTTTGCCTTATGCTTAGTAAAATGTTTTGCACATAATGGATGTTTAATATAAACTAACTAAATAAATATATGGAGAAATAAGCTATTTAGAATAAAATTCCCACAACACAAACAGTTATGCAAGGAATATTGACTTAGAGATAGCAGTGCTTCATTCTCTATAAATCAGCTTAATTTTGACTTCAAAACCTCATTTCATGGGGACTTGTGGAAAATTCAGTCTTAGTGTTCAGTTATGCTCTTTTGCTTCCGGAGGCTACACCAGAGTTTCAGAGAGGCACCTCTGCTCACAGGCAATGTGTGGCTGTCTATGGACTGGCTATGGCCTGGCCTCCACAATCTGTTATTTTTCTCACTTGGGCAGTGAGAATCTTAGGTTGTAGTCCTGAATGTAGAGGCTGGCCCTCTGGTGCATGAAGCAGCCTTGTTTCCAGAAAATATCTTGACTCCCTGTCAGGACACTGCCAGAGAGTGAGCCCAGGCTTTATTGACTTATGATTCATGCCTATCTCTCCCATCTCTAGACATTTTTAGCCAGTGAAGCATCCTCTCTTCTTGATCCTCTTTCTTCCCAGTGTGTTTGAACTTTAAGAAGTAAAAGATAGTTCTGCAAGAAAAGCTCCATGAAGTATGAGCATGTAACTTTTGGGAATGGGACAATTTTAGGATTAAAAAAGTAGTATTTCAAAAATATAATAAATTTTTGGAATGGATGAGGGATAAATAGATAGATAGGCCAGTAGAGCCTCTCTCTGTATAGTGGGACAGTGTGAGGACTTTTAAATTTACTTTGTTTTGCTTGACTTACTTTCTTTTTATAGGATTTTTAATAATTTCTGATATAATATTTTATTTAATAAATTAAACTCAGTGAAGTACTAGAAAAAAGAAAAACATAGCTTTAATATTTTGGGAACATAAATAGTTTTCCTTTCAAAAGTAGAGCAAGCCTGTACCTCATACATGGCATTGCCCACTAACAGCCCCAGCTTCTGAAAGCCAAGGAATAAAGGTGTAAGAAATACCTATTCCATGTTGGCTTTTAAAACCTTTTTGTAACGGTTGCCTTTGGGATACACTATATTAATTACATGCTGTAATTTTTTGTATTTTTCTTCCCTAAATTGTCATATTGTATATGTTACATACAGAATAATATATTTTTTTTCAATGGACTTCACCCTGCTTTGCATTTGTGTAGTTTTTGGATACATTATGAAAAGGTCTCCAATTACAGTTCGACAGGGTCTAATAAATCACAGTGTTGGGAAATTTTATATGGGAAAAGGCAATGTTCCATACATTTGTCATTACTAAAATATATCATTCATCCATAAAAGCATTTGGGTTATGAAAGCAGCTTGTGCATATTGATACCCCTTGTGAGCATATTCTTGAATTGACTGAGCTTCAGAAAATGTTGGCTTTCTTCAAATTGCAATACTGTCCATGTTACTTGATCTAGTATTTTCTTCTTTTCACTGCACTCTCTTAGCAGTTTGAGATTGGGAATGAGAATTCTATTTTCTTCTTTTCCCCTTAAGTAATAATTTGTGATGACTGAATTCCTCTCAGTAATGCTGACAGGCATGTTGCCAACAACAGAGCGTTCACTGCTTATTGCTGTTGACCCTGCTCTGCTGGACTCAGGGCTACACACCAAAGGAGCATATTCTGATCTTCCCCATAGAGAAAGTTAAAGTGAAGCATGAAATGATAGCTACCTACTGTTATTCTTGTCTGATCCTAAGAATTATACATGACCCTTCTTTTATCTTTACTTTATCCAAAATTCTACTTGCTCTCGAGGCCAATGGGCTAGGAAGATAGAAGCAAAAGTAAAGCTTGCAAATGTTCAAGGCTAACAACTCTTTCAAAACAAAATCTCACCCTCATGCGTGTTATGCATATATTCGAGAAGCCTATCTTTTGTTCCCTTGTACTTTTTGGGAATTCAGTTCCAAGAAAGTAGCTTTCAGATATCAAGCCAAACCTTCAGCTTAAGGACTTTGGGCAGCAGCTACTGGGCACAGAAGCAGAAAAGAGAAGCTAGGATTAGAAGAGCCAGGGATTCACTGAAGCTTAGGAAAAAGGCTAAGCAGTGGATCTACAATAGGCAGAAACCCAGGTATTCAAAGACAAATAAAAATTGAAGATCACAATGAAATAACAGGTTGGAAGGCATGCTGGTAAAGAAGAGTTCCAGTGCACATGGACCCTGGAAGTCATGTTAGGGAAGAGCTCCCACAAAGTGTGGGACCCACAACAGTGAAGGGAGTAAAGATTTTAGGCCTTGTTCAGAGCTACTATTCAATAAAGGTGAATTAAATTGTGATCATTTTATTTTATCTTTATTTGAAGCCTTTCAAGGGAAAAGTCTAAATTTAATTTTAGTGTAGAGTTTCATAATTCTACACTATTTTGTATCAGGAGAGTCAGTCTTTGGTTTAGAGGCTTTAATAATGTTGTGTTTTTTTAAATTACACTTGTTTTATAGCACCTCCTATTTTAAGTAATATTTTTCATTATAATTACATAAAATTTCCTTTTCAATATATTTAAAGTGAATTTATTTAAATAGAAATATTAGGTAACTAATACCTTTAATGTAGTAGAGCAGGCTCTTAGATATGGCCAAAGTCCTGAAGATGGCACTCAGATAACAGACATCTGGAGAATATTGTTCTGAGTAGTATGAAGGCATACACATTTTTGTGCTTGCGTGTACACCAGGCTTCCCCATCAATTAGCAGGTACTTCTATTTGCATAAGACTAAGAGCTTGAAAGCACGCACACACAGACACACACACAAATAGATGTTTCTGCAAGAGATGGGGAAAGGGAAATCCATTTACAACTTTTATTCTCTTTTTATCCAGTGAAATAATTAGAAATAAAACAATAACTTGGATTTGGATTTGAGCAACAAATCCTAAGAGGAGCAACAAAACTATCTGTTTATCTTATGTTGGTAATTTCTCTGAGTTAACTTGCCTTCATAAATTATTGCATTTCAGATTGTCCTTGGTGCTTTCCATGGTTGATGACAATAGCATTGGCAACTTGAATCTTCTTCTTCTTCTTTTTTTTTTTTTCTTTGAGACAGACTCTCGCTCTGTCTTCCAGGCTGGAGCGCAATGCGCCATCTTGGCTCACTGAAACCTCCGCCTCCTGGGTTCAAGCGATTCTCTCACTTCAGCCTCTGAATAGCTGGGATTACAGACACGCGCCACCATGCCTGGCTAATTTTTTGTTATTTTTACTAAAGGCAAGGTTTCACCATTTGGCCAGGCTGGTCTCGAACTCCTGACCTCAAGTAATCCACCCGCCTCAGCCTCCCAAAGTGCTGGGATTACAGGCGTGAGCTATCGCGTCTGGCCGGCAATCCTAATCGTCTGATCTCAGGAAGCAATGCAAGATATAAATACCTAAATCCCACAAAAAAACCTTAGTCTTAGAAGTCCATTAGTACAAACCATAAGGCAATACTCCTCTGTGTTATTGTGAAGAAGAAATAAATTAGAATAGTAGTCAACTGTAAAAAAAATCAATCTATTCTACATTCGAATAATAAGAAAAGACCTGTCATTTTTTTTTCACATTTGATAACATATTCAACTTTGTATCTGGTAACTATTTAAATCTTAAACACAATTTTTTAAATAATTGAAATAAATATACAGAAAAGTGTGCATACCATAATTGTTCAGCTCAAGAAATTTTCATAATTTAAACATGTTTATGTAACAAGCACCTAGTTCAAGAATCAGGATGTTTATGGTATCTCAAAAATACCTATCATTATCCATTGCGGTCACTGCTGTCTGACAAGGATAACTGCTATCCTGACTTGTAATAGCATAGATTAGTTTTGACACATTTTGAAATATATGCAAATGGAATAATACAGAATGTATTATTTTATGCCTGATTTCTTACTTTCAAAGGTGTTTTGAGATTTGACATTATGTTTATGAGTACAATTGTAGATTATATATTTTGTGCTGTATTATGAAAAGATGTTCAACCTCAGAACAGAGAATTACAAATTAAAACTACACTCAGATACCATTTTATCTATGAGACTGGCAAAATTAAAAATTATAACAACACAGTCTGTTGGTGAGGCCCCTTATAAAATAGGCTGTGATAATACGTAACACAATTATGCATGCACTTACCTCTTACTTCTAGGAATTTACCCTGCAGATACATCTGTGGCAGTATGAAAAAACATGAAAATAGTATGTCATTTAATGCTGTATTGTTTGTAACTGAAAAATATTGAAAATAATCAATATGGCCATACATAGGAAAGTGTTTGAATAAATTATAACTCATCCTCACAATGAGGAGCTACAATAGTTATCAAAAAGAATGATAAAGGGTTCTATGAACAGGCTTGGAGTGAGTTCCAAAATATATTTTAAGTGAAAAAAGTAAATTGCAAAAAAGTACCTGTATTATTTAGTAATCTACTTTTCATTAGTCAATTATTAATAAATAAACTAATAAGCAAATAAATGAATAAATAAATAGGAAAGTTATTCCTTGTAGTAGAAGTCCAAGTAGTAAATGTAGAAAGAATAATCACATTATGCTGGCAACAATCATCATTATTGATTCAAGCAGGAATTATCAATAGATGGTAAAATCAGCAGGTGGAAGTTTGATAGTTGAGGGTTATTTATACGGTCTCAAAAGTTTTCAAATATGATATTTATTCATTATAAAGAGAAAAGTTCAGTGTACCATTTAGAAACATTGCAGAAAGAAAACCACCCTACTAAGGGATCTGAATTAATATTTACCAATAATGGGAAAAATCAGCCTCATACTCTACTGATACTGTGCACTAAGACCATAACTTCACACCCAGGGTATTCTGGTCAAAACTGCATAACCTTTTTATGAGAAAACAGAAGTGAAGCCCAAATTGAGAAACACTACACAAAATAACTGTCCTGTCCTCTTCAAAAATATCAGTATACTGAGATGCAGGACTGTAAATCTGTTTCAGATTCAGGGAGTCTAAAGAATTATGAAAACTGGATGCAATGCACCACTTGGGATTTTATTTTGCTATGAAGGACGTAATTGGAAAGTGGATAAAATCTAAAATATGACTGCCAGTTATAGAATTATATAAATTTAATTATCTGATTTTTATAATGGTACTGAATTATGTAAGAGAATGTCCTTGATCCTTTGAAAATGCAAATGGAAGTATTTAGGATTAATGGAGCATCATGTCTGCAGATTATTGTCCAATGGTTGCGGGTAAAATATACACATATATCATATGTATAGAATATAAATAATAAAATATCAAAATAAAATTAATATCAACTACCAATATACACATATATTACACACACACGTACATAAATGAGTGTGTGTAAAACATATACAACAAGTACTTGAATAATGTTTTGTTGGACGTCCTTTAGTTATAACGTTGAGAAAAAATCAATTCCGCTTGGGGAAGGTCATTGTCTGTGTGGAGTTTGCACATTCTCTGCATGTCTGTGTGGGCTTTCTCTGGGTACTCTGGTTTCCACCCACATCCCAAAGCTGTTAGACACATTAGGTTATGTCTAAGCTATGGAACATGTCTCAATGGTCTCAGTCTGAGTAAGTGTGAGTGTGAGTGTGAGTGTGCCCTGGTGTGGAGTGGCATCTTGGCCAGGGCTGTTTCATCCTTGCACCCTGAGCAGTGCCACTATGAACTGGAATAATCGAGTTGGAAAATGAATGAATGAATACAAATTATTGTGAAATAAACATTTGTAAAGTAGGTGACAATCATATACATGCATGTCGTAAGTGATGTAGTACAGTATTGCTCAGGGAGTCTGTGATTTCTGTGATTGTTTCTGAACTGCCTGGCAGGAGGAGGGACTTCTAACAATTTTCATTTTGCAAGTATTTATTCCTTAATCTAACCTACCACTGCCATGATACTCACTGATTCCCCCAAAATTCAGAAAATAATTCTTATTTGTTTTTATTAATCTTTCTTAAATGTGTGTAGCTAACATTTATTTCAATGTTTCATATTAGAAGTGTTTTAGTTCTCTTACTGAGAAGCTTGGTGATGTTTTTGTGACTGAAAGTATGTCATAGGAACTTAACCTTTGTTAGCTAATCAACTAGCCTATGGTAAAATTGGTCTCCTTATAAGCTGTTTCAAATAAAGTCACAGTTTCCAAGAACCTATTGAAAATCTTAAGTGAGGACTTCCTGTATGTTAAAATATGTTAAAATTGGGGGTATGTGGGTGGTAAAGGATATACAGGATTATTTTGTATTTTTCCTGCAGCTTTTTAAAAATAAGTTTGAAGAAAAGATTTTTAAAAAATGCCAGGACCAGTACACTACTTTAAAAAAACTGTCAAAAAATAAGGTGCCATTCCTTAGTGGAAATTAGAATTAGAGAATCAGAGGCTGGGACTGTGGTAACAGTAAAGAAGGACAAGTGCTCTGAGATCAGTTGTTGTGACAGTCAGGACCATTTGCCAGGTGACATCTCTTGCATCCAGACATTTTAAAATCAGTCACGTGCACAATGTGGCAAAACTCGCATTCATGTGCTTTAATTCGCAGCCTGGAATTGAACAGAAAACACATTTCTTTAAAACTGCTAGTGAATTTGACAGCTTACCTCTATCTTTCAGTTCAATTGATGACTAGAAAACGGACATTAGGTGATTGGGGCAGTCTTGTACACTTCTACTTTCAATTATAAACTTCCCTTCAATAAAATAATCATAGTGCCTTCTACATAGCTTTTTGTGCCCATTATGAAATTGTAATATGTTTGAAATGGCCAGGTTTGCCTGACTTTCACAAGTGTTTTAAAATGGATATAGAAATCTTTTCAACATTTGTATAAGTTTTTATTCAATTCTGATATAATAAGCAAGATTAAATATTTAAAAGACATACAAACTTTAAGGAACAAATATGCTAATTGTGCTGATTTAGAAATAAGGCTCAATTCAGTCTTTGGAAACTCTGAAAGTGAGTGGATCGTAGACATAAAAGATGTAAATATGCTGGAGTTTCTTTAAATAATTTTCTTGATTTCAGTATTTCATTGTTAGCATTTGGAACTTGTGTATTTTATGTAAAATACCTGTGTACTTTGCAAAGTTTAAAAATGTCATTTGATATTATCTTCAGCTTATTTTTTTCAGTGGGGAATATACAATAAGACATGGCTTGAACAGCCAAGCTGACCTTTAAATTTAAAAAACAATTAAAAAGCAAACTGTGTTAGTGATTTTGATTTGACAGACCTCAAAGACAAGCCAAATTTCCAGGCAACAGCTAGAGGGAGAAACAAAGTGAGATATTGTATAATTATAACATTTTCTGAAGAAAATGTTGTCCCTCGGAAAGCCAGCACAACAATCGAAACTTCCACTGAGATATTCATAACTACTATTTCTTAAATTGGTGAGTCAATGTGGACCACAAATGAAAAAAATTACAAAGTTCTAATGAAAAAAAAATCCTTATTTTGGGGCTACAAAAAGCTCAGAAAAATATTTTTGACAGAAAATTTCAGGCAGAGAAGTAATTTGTTTTTACATATAGATATAATTTGCCATTGGCTTAATGTAAGAATTATTATAAATGTAATCTGAATGAAGGTGTCTATATTCAAAAGATTCGTATTTATTAAATACTATGTGCCTGGTTAATCCAAAAGTGTCTAAGACTATTTATTTATTTATTTATAGAGACAAAGTCTCCCTCTGTCTCCCAGGCTGGAATGCAGTGGTGCAATCTTGACTAACTGCAATCTCTGCCTCCTGGGTTCAAGGGATTCTCCTGCCACAGCCTCCCAAGTAGCTGGGACTACAGATGCCTGCCACCATGCCCTGCTGATTTTTTGTATTTTTAGTAGAAATGGGGTTTCACCATGTTGGCCAGGCTGGTCTTGAACTCCTGACCTTGAGCAATCTGCCTCGACCTCCCAAAGTGCTGGGAGTACAGGTGTGAGCCACCACACAAGGCCTAAGACAACTTATTGAATATAAAATCAGTGTCTGAGTGATAAGCTGTGCTGATCTTTATAGAGGAGACAAGAATGTACAGAATACAACAAAATAATATATAGTTTAAAAATTACAGGAAGAGAGTGTCAGTTGTTAGAGAATACTGATCGTTGTACTTCATTATCTTATTTCTCTTGGGTTCTCATAGAAGCTAATCTGACCTGGGGTATTTTCTTTAATAATTTGTTTATTTTAATAAAAATCTGCTAGTCTATAGTAGGTCAATTTCTGAAAGCCTCTTTATTTTCTTCACAAAAGCATGTTTGACATACTTTATGTAAGACACATTAACAAGTGATCTCTGTAATATTTTTCTAGTTTACTTTAAAATAAGGGTTTAGTGTTTTAGAAAAAATAGTAAGATTTCACAGATTAGTTATTTAGAGATTTTAAATTTTACGGTAAAGGACAACGAAAGAAACAGAGAAGAAAGAAAAAGGATTTGAGCATAGAAAACTAATAACACTTAAGGAAATGTTGATGAGTAAAGATGAGAGTGAGATAAATTTAAACTTTTGTTTTAAAGTCTGGGTTTTCAATGTAGCTAAATGAAACATCGTTTCCTTCCATTCCTGTGGAGAGCAGGTAAAGCAGAAGAAAATCAGACTCTTCTGCAGATAGGATGAAGGTAACTCCAACCACCCTGAATCAGTTAAAGCAAACTTTATATTGGTTTTCGTTCACAAATGTCATGTCTACTACATTTTACCTTTGGTTTTCTTTCATTTGAAATGCTAGGAAACCTGAAACTCAAAATAAATTCCCTACCCTTTGCTCAGCTCTGTGGGTTTGGAAACTTCTCTAGGGTTTCGTTCATTTTTTCATTCTTACCAACTGGCATTAGAATTAGACTCTGAACCCAAATGAAACCACAAAAATTGGTCTCAAAACAGCACTGGCTATCAAGGGAGAACAAAAGTTAAGTTCATAGGTTCACTGAATGGTTCAGGGTTTTGGAAACTGTTCACAATATACTTGGGGCTTTTTTATCTCTATTTTCAATCCCAAAGTAAAGAATCCCTTAGGATTTAAGTTTTCACTTTTCAGACAGAAGCTTGGAACTTAACTACAAAGTATTTTTTTACATAGATACTCAAGGGAAAAGAATTGTATGTATTTGAATCATATAAAAAATATAAATTTAAATGCATGTAAACTTACATCAGAAAGTTACTATAAAAAATTGTAATATAGAAACTTATCTCCTCATTAAGGATTCAGAGTGATAGAATATCACTGACTTACTGGCTAGATTGTCCAAACTATGATGATTGGTGTGCAATGTAGACATCTAGGTGTTAAATAACTTAAGAAAAGTGAAATACATTAATATGTTTGGAGTGGAAAGTTAAAAGTATAACTACAATATAAATAAAGATTATTATTGATTTTAAATTGGATAATAGGGAAAACTACAGTTACATTGTCAAAAATTCTGGGCATGGCAAAATAGACAAAAGGAATTTATGATCATCTTTTCCACTTTAAAAATAACCTATGAATTCTCTTTTCTACTATCTCTGACCTAAGGAATAATGGCTATTCATTTTTTATGTTTTCCATAATTGTACAACACTTATGGCCTCTCATTCAAACCTGTATAATTTACCTTGTTTAAAACTGACACCAAAAGGAACATATGTTCGATTAACCAGATGTTTTTCAGGATTAAATTTAGATTGAATTTAACTCCCTTATAAGCCTAAACACACACACACACACTCAATTTTTGTGGCTTAACAAAATAATAGTTTTTTAAAAATTTATTTTCACAAAACAAGAAATCTGGATGTGAAAAATAAGGACAAGTAGATTATTTAAGGTAACTAATGAAGGAGAAAAATTCCTTTATGTTTCATATTCCTTCTCTTTTACTGTTTAGCTTTTCCTTCACCTCCTATCACTGAAACTGTTTTTCTAGGAAAGAAGAAGTAAATAAAGGTCAACAGAAAAGAAGACAAGCTTTTCAGTTTTTGTTCCTTTTTTATTATGGTCAAAATACATAAAATAATATCTACCTTTGACAATTTTTTTAGGTGTACAGTACTGTATAACTAACTATAAGTCTCTATTCCTTTGAATGAGCTTTAGTGGACTCTCCAGCCAACATTATCCACTTATTTAACTTGCATCACATGGCAACTCCCCATAGGAAGACATATCTTGAATCCAAATATTTTAACTGGACATATTATCACCATGAAATAATTAGGAGTGTTTTAGTAAGGCAAAATGAGAGAACACATATTATGTATTGTTGCAACAACCAACAGGATGTACTCATGACAGCTGATTTTTTTAAAAAGAAACAGCAATTTTTGTTCTTTACTTTTTTTTTTCTTTTTTTTTTTTTTGAGATGGAGTCTCGCTCTGTCACCCAGGCTGGTGGGCAGTGGCGCAATCTCGGCTCACTTCAGGCTCCGCCTCCTGGGTTCACGCCATTCTCCTGCCTCAGCCTCCTGAGTAGCTGGGACTACAGGCGCCCGTCACCACGCCTGACTAATTTTCTCTATTTTTAGTAGAGATGGGGTTTCACCATTTTGGCCAGGATGGTCTCGATCTCCTGACCTCGTGATCCACCCACCTCGGCCTCCCAAAGTGTTGGGATTACAGGTGTGAGCCACCGAGCCAGCCCCTTTACTTTTACAAATCTAAGAATTAGGGGGATAGGTAAAATGATAATTGTGGAGAATTTTGTCAGAGGTGAAGAAAGATATTAGTCTTTGGATTGCAGAAGAACATTACATAATAAGATAAATAAAAGTAGGTAAGTCCAAACCTAAACACTTTAGTGTAACTTCAGGAATTAAAAAAAATGAAAGATAGCTTAAAATTAGCCAGAGAAAGAGGGTAAAAAGAAGAAAATCACACAGTATCTCAAATGATCAATAATTTGGTGGAGAACAGACACAACAGACTTCTCATCTGTAACATTAGAGTCCAGATGGAAATGAAATACTCTTATTTGTACTCAGAGAAAACTTCTGTCAGTCTGAAATTCTATCTTTCATGAACAAAGGTGAAATAAAGACATCTTTAAAATAAATATATTTTTATGTCACGTACACTGTGGTTGACACCTCTGTACCCATTTTACACAGACTCGTCCAATAAAGCATGAATTCTTCCATTCCCGTTTTAATGATATGAGTCCCAACACTGCTAGCATATTATAATCACCTAAATATAGCTCCTGACTCCATTAACGTAGATAAAAATCAGAATCTCTGGGGTTGCGATCTAGGCATTAGTACATATTAAAGCCTCCAAAATGATAGCAATATGGAGTCAAGGTGAGAACTACTACAATAAATGGTTTGGCAAGCACAGCTCTAAGTTTCACTAGGACTGTTTTTGTCCTAGGTACTGATTCAGGCTTTTTTGTTTTGTTTTATGTTCTGAATTAGACCCAAAAGAAGAACTTTAATATGTATGACTGGGGAGGAAGTCCTTCCTTTCTTCCACTGAATGTAAACCAACAAGATGTGCAAAATGATGATGGCAATAAATGAGAAATAAACTTGAGTCCTTGATAACATAAATAAGCTTTGAATAAAAAAAAAAAAACCCTGTGTTATTTTTGGTCTTTTTTCCAAAATATCAAACTTTCCTTAATGGTGTGTTCTCTCAGCTTATTAAATCTCTATAGTTATTTGTACTTGTAAATATTTGATCAGAAATATTAATCAATTAAAAATAATTCCAAACACTTCAGGAAGAATTTTTAAAAGTCTGACCATGTATTCGCCAGATATAGCGAGAGAGAGATATATATACACATATATATACAAAAACGCATATACATATGTAAAACAAGAGGAATAATTGACCTTTATAAAAACATGGGAAAGATCAACATATTCATTTGATAAGAAGACAAAAATAAATAATGCAATTGAATAATTGAAAAGCACAGGTAACAACCTTTACTTAAAGAATATGCAGAACCCTATGCAACAATTAGAGGAAGGACTATATGAGGACATAGAAAGAAGGCAACTCTGTAGGCCAGGAAAAGATCCCTCACCAGGACAGGAATCAGCCAGCATCTTGATCTCAGATTTCATCACAAAATCATACTTATGAAAAAATTTCAAAAATATAATATTTGATAACCTTATTCATAATATTTTTAAAGCCTGTAGGGTACTTACAAATAAGAAGTATTTGTTAGAACTTTATAGAGAAAAATAACAAAATCTATTTTAGGACATATATAAATGTTCAAAAAAATAGAGGTACACTCTACATTTCCATTGGGATACTGAATGTATTAATGATGTCAATTCTCCCCCAAATTAACCTGTAAGTTATTTGCAATTTGAATCAAATTCCTAGTAGGATTCTTTCCAGAATTAGACATTCTGATACAGGAATTCATATGGATGAATACAAAGCCAAATACAGACAAACAATTTTGAAGAAGAAAATTGAGTTTGCATGGGGAATAGAAAGGGGTTCCCTTGGCCTGCCAGATATTTAGATTTGACATAAAGATTTAGTAACTGCAATCAAAGGATATTTATAGAAGGATTTAAGAACTAAATATAAAAGAGCTCAGAAGGAGATCTAAATCCTATAGCAACTTGATATATGACAGAAGTAGAACTGACACCATGAGGAATGGCTAATTCAGTCCAGTCAATAATGTCACTGTTACCTTTGGTGACATATATGAATCAATAGTTTTCATTTCACACAGTATCCCGAAACAAAGTTCAGACGAATGAATGAAGTAAACGTGAAAAACTTAAAAAATAGTTTCCTGCAGTCATACATTGGAATACTGTTTAGCTATTAAAATGAATAAACCAAATGTAAATATAACAGGATACATACGAAAGAATTAATGTTGACTTTAAAATATTGCATGAAAATGTCTACATTGTGATAGCATGATAAATTAAAACACATCCTACCATCTCATATATATGTATAGTTTTGTGTACATATTGTTTATACAATATATAAAATCATGAAAATGAATGAAATATACCAACCTAAATATAATAGCTTCATCTGGGATAAGAGTAGAGAAATAACATGAGTGATGAAAGTTTCACCTATAATATTTCATGTAACTAATGATGAAAAGTCAAAATTGTAACAAATGATGGCATTTATAAAATCTAGATCATAAGTAAACAGGTATTTAGCATATTATCTTCTGTATGTATGAAACATTTCATAACTTAAATAATTTTAAAATACAATGAACTTATCAGTACCAATTTTTCAACAGAAATTAGATACATCTTACCAAAGTGATTTTTTTGAATATAATGGCATTTATTTATATATTACCTAATTATCATGTTGTCATCAGTTGAAAATCAAAGTAACACCATTCTTAAAACATATATGTTATGGTCAGTTTTATGTGTTAACTTAGCAAGGCTATATTACCTTGTTATTCACACACTAACCTAGGTATTGCTGTGGAGGTATTTTGTAGATAAGGTTAACATCTCCAATCAGTGGATGGTAAGTAAAGGAGATGCTTCTGGGTAACATCAGTAGGCATCATCTAATCAATTGACAGGCCTCAAAATCACAACAGGTTTCCCTGAGGCAGAAGAAATTCTGCCTCAAGACTGCAGTATCAGTTCATGCCTGAGAGTTTCTAGCCTGCTAGCCTGCCCTGCATAGTTAAGACTTGCCAGCCCCCACAATCATGGAAGTCAGTTCCTTGAAATTAAGGTCTTCATATGTATGTCTACATGTATGTGTTCTATTGGTTCTGTTTTTCTGGAGAACCCTGGCTGATACCATTGTAAATCATGGTTCAAAATAGTCAATTTCTAAATAAATTAATAATATTGTATGTCTATTTTAATTCAGGTTAGTTTAAAGAGAATTTGTGTGTGGGTATGTGGGTGTACATGTGTGCACGTGTATGTGACTGGGTGCATTTTTGTGTATGTTGGGGGCTGTTATTGCTTTTTTTATTTTTTTTTGGTTTATATCTTTCTACAGCTTCTTCTATGTAGAAAGTTGTGGGTTACTGACCCAACATCAATCAATCAATCCCCCACTTTTCTGCAAACAGAACCACAGTTTTTCCTGATATATATATACATATCAGGATGTGTATATATGCATATATGTGTAGGATGTGTATGTATATATATACACACACACACACCAGGAAAAAATATATATATTATTATACATACATATACACACCAGGAAAATATATGTATATATATACCAGGAAAACATATATATATATGTGTGTATATATATATATATATACACACACATATATATATACACACACACACACACACACACATATATATATATATACACGCACACCAGGAAAATATATATATATATATATATATATATCTATATATATATATATATATATATATATATATATCTCGGGCAAAGTGACTCTAGGCCCAGATAAGGGGTAAAATTTATAAACCTGAGCCAATTGTGGTAATTCCTTTTCTCTTTCCATTATCTATTAACAGTTGAATACATAACTATTTTCTGGGCAAATATACTCAGGAGGGATCTATAGAGAAATGTTAGTACTCTAACAGACACTGCAGAGATAGTCCCTTTTCTCCCACTGGATATGACAATGTCTAGATGAAATGCCTAGGATTATTGCAACTAGTGTTCAACCATGAGGGGAGCCATCCTGAATTAAACATGCCTTTGGAGATATTTTACGTCTCTATGCTTTTAAGCTAACTTAGACTAGATTTTTCTGTTACTTGTGGCCAAAGCCACCCTAATGTATACATAATTTTATCTATTGGAAAATTGTGACAAAATATATATTTTGCAAACTATTAACTCCACTGCATTTTAACTGACAAAGTAATTTAAGACATGAAAAATGGACACCAGAATATTACAGTATATTCAGTGAAATCCAATATCTCACTAGAAACTCTTCTAAGACCCAGTTTGAGTAAATTCAACTTATCACACTTAATTGCATATTTTTTTTTGCTGCTTTCAGTCAATTGAAGGCATTATTAAGGTGGAATGCAAATGCATACAGATTCAGAGAAACATTCATTCCAATTCTATTCTCATAATACTAGTAAACTACAGACTAATCATTGTTAACTACTGAAAATACTTCCTGCCATATCTGATTAATTTTGTAGACTGATAATAATCTTCATTTGTAGAACAGAATATTGCTTTAATTGCTCACCTTTGACTCTTTTCCAAATTAGGAAAATTTATAGATGAATTATATGAGATATTATGACACTAAATAACCATTAATTTTCTTTTACATACTACCTAAAATGAAAATGGTAACTGTTTAATTTTTTGTGAAAATAGGATATAATACAGTCTGTGTTATCTTGGTATGGATACAAGCTAAATATTAAAATTAAAAATAGCAACAATAACAATCAAAGCAACTTTTTAATCTTAATACTTTCTTAAAGGCTTCAGACCTAACAGATGTCTCTGTAAATTGTAACTGCCTTAATTCACTTAATTTTTGCACATATTCACGTAATTGTAATTTTTTAATATTCATTGTGAAATGGGAATTGTGAACTGTTGTATTTCATTCTTAGTTGGGATGACATATATCTCACCTATGAAGTTTGCTTTATTTTAATGTGCTACTTAGATGATAAAAAATTGACTTAATACTGTAATTAGTTTATGAACAAAAATATAATTTCTTCCACCAAAACAGATCAAAAAGGTGGTATCTTAGTTGTTAACTGAAGACAAAAATATTCAAAAATTTGATGCCACTTAGGGTTTCATGTTTCGCATTTTATTTTTGTTTTTAAAGAGTTGCTTTATTACAGAATAATTCAAACACTCAGAAATATAAAAAAAGTATAAAATATGCTCAGATATCCACCATGTAGACTTACCAGATATCAACATTGTGTAATATCATTTTCCAATTATGTTTCAGTTAATAAAATAGCATAGATAAGGCTAAAGCACTCTGTGCATTCCCCTGACCTATACTTCTCATTTCTTTTATACTGAGGTTACTGTTATTTTGAATTTTCTCTTTAGCATTCTCATGAATTATACTTTAGAAAGCATTCTCATGAATTATAATTAGACAGCATAGGTTAAGTTATGCAGTGATAACTAATGACCAGTATAAGTAGCTTGTAACTTATTTCTCCCATGGCAAATTAATCATAGGTGAGCTATAGAACTACTACTCTACATTATGTTTAATTTAAGTCTCTGGCTGACATAACAGGTCCTATTTCGGACATTACCTGTCCCATTAAAGAAAGAACAGTAAATACAGAATGTCAAACTAGTTCTTAAAATTTCATCTTGAAAGAGTCATAATATATGCCGTAGTTTTTCATGGACTGAAACAAGTCACATGCCATTCCTAAGATAAACTGGAGTAGAGAGATACTCTCCTCTTATAATGAGACACCCATGATAAAGCTTGATTCGCTAGAACAGAAACAGAGCAGAGAATGTTTTTAAAAATAATAATGTATATAAAATGTAAATTAGGCCAGGTGCGGTGGCTTGCGCCTGTAATCCCAGCACTTTGGGAGACTGAGGCGGGCAGATCATCTGAGGTCAGAAGTTCAAGACCAGCCTGGCCAACATGGCGAAACCCCATCTCTGCTAAAAATACAAAAAATTAGCGGGGCATAGTGGCGGGCACCTGTAATCCCAGCTACACAGGAGGCTGAGGCAGGAGAATCACTTGAACCAAGGAGGCAGAGGTTGCAGTGAGCCGAGATTGCGCCACTGCACTCCAGCCTGGGCGACAGAGCAAGACTCCGTCAAAAAAATAAATAAATAAATAAAATTACTAAACACAGACAGACTCATATATAAGAATGCATAATATTGTTTTATATGTTTTTGAACTTTTAGCATTATTCATATAGTTTCATAACATGCTCTTTTTAAATGTATTTTTGAAATATACCTGCTTTAATTGAGATATAATAATTCAATGTGTTAATGTATTAATATTTTCTATTTGAGATTCAAAGCATTAATTCTATTGATGGACATTTAGTGACATGATTTCATTTTTATCTTCTTATAAACAATATTGCTATAAAATTCTTTCATTTGCTTTTCTGAGTATTTTGTATAAGAGTTGCTCTAAGTGCAATAAGCAGAAGTGAAATTGTGAAGTCTAATTTTACATGTTTGGCATTGCCATGTTTTTCTCCAATTATAATAAAATAATTTCTATTTCTTATCACTAATATGTAACTTGATAACTTCTTTTTTAATAGTTATCAAATTTCTTATTCATGACACTCTGACTTTTGATGGAGTCTCATTGTCTTTTAGTTTTTCTTTGGGAGGCTGAATATTTTTTCATAGTTGTAAGAAACATACAAATGCCAAGCAGCATTTCTCTCTTCTGAGTTTTGTTCGGAAGCAACATGGTAGTCATCTTTCTATTTTCCACCCTTAAAAGCATATTATTAATTTTGTGTATTAATCTGAATGGCATATAATGTAAATCTCAGTTTTGTTTGTGTTGCCACCACTGTGTAAAAGTTATTCTTTATTTTACTAAACTGCTACCTTAATAAAAATCTAAAATGTATGATCATTAGCTTGAGAGTGGGAAAAATTATATTTACACTACTAAAAGGGGTGGGAAAATGACAGTTTGTGTCATGTAGTGTTGAAACATTGGTAAAACTGTTGCTCAAAATAACTTAGAAATTAGAAAAGCACCTAAAAACTTTTGAATTTGACTTAACAGATTGCCATGCACGATGATAAAAAGTCAGGGGTTCTCGCTAGCTGAAAATGAGGTACTGAAAGGAAGAGATAAATGCAGGAAATAATCCAGAACTTAGCAAGCCAAATTTAGAGGGAACATAAAAGAGTCAGAATTTTCTGGTTTGGAAAATAAAACTATTTCTCATTTCCAGCCTCTCAAGGCCGATAGAGAGAGAATAAGATCATGAATGATTTCTCATTGGGGATGAAAATGTAAAATAACAAATAAATGTTTGTTGAGTAACTAATTTGCTTCAAGCTATGAGACCAGAAAATACTCAGCAAGTGAAAAATACCAAAACACTCACTTTCTTAATGAATCAAGGAAAAAGTTAGCTAAATAAAGTCAATGCTTGTCACTGAGTCAAACTCAAATTGTAGAAAATAGAAAATGCCCTTGCAGTGAAAGGAAGTGTGAAGTCATATATGTCAAGAATGTGAGTACTGAGTGGGGTACAGAATCAGGGTCACCAATGCAATGCCTCTATGCGAGTTCCTCCACCCTCCTTCTCCAGCAGTATTATCCACAACCCTTTCATGTGCAAAATATTCTCAGCCTCCACCAAGACCTTCATAAGTATTATCCACTATTATCAAGCATCAGGCTTGAAATCTAGGATCTCATGATATGTCCTATTTGGATATGGCTCCTTTTGTTGCAGACACATGAACTGAAAAGATAAATTCTGTCCCCCCGACCCACCTCCACACACAAATGCATGAATGCAGGTGACTAAGACTAAGTAATTATCATAAACCCAGCTATTGAAATAGGGAAGAAGAAGAGGAACACACAAGTCAATGGTCCCTCACAATTCTGAAATCCTGCTGTGCGAATGTCAGATTTTCCCATTCTGTGGAGGAGTAATGTTCTCTATTAAGTCTTTGTTATTTTCTCTGAGCATGGCTTCCCAGGTTATTGTTCTCTTTGGATTTTGACCCCCTTTGAAAGCTTCTGAAGAAGCCTTTTGAAAACATTTTGAGAAATTTTCATAGATTGCTTTCTGCTTGTAAAACATCTGTCCTGATCCTTTTTAAGTTTGAAATGTTTAAGTCCATATTCACCCAGGATGGCAGTGCTTTTAACAGTTTATCTTCTTTAAAAAGTTTGTGGTGTTTCTGTTTCTGATTATATTCCATCTCAGCCTCCAAAGACAAATCCAGAATTGTTTTTGAAAGACTCTACTGCTACATTAGTAGTAGGCCTTAGAGTTCTATCCAGCTAGTAAGATGCACTTAACACCATCTTAATTCTTGTAGAGGTATTAATGAAGGGATCCTCAACACATCATTGTCTTACCTGATGTTTTAGGGTCAAAAGTGAGAGGAGGCAACTTGTGAGGACCCCTTTAATTTTACTAATATATATTGTTTTAATGTAGTTTTCTGTTCTTCCTCAAATCAATTTTGATAATTCACATTTTATTTCCAGTTTTTTCATTTAATTTAATTTTCAAATTTATTGGCATAAGAATGTTTACATATTCTCATACAATACTTAGATAATTCTGCCTCTTTATTTTTACAACTAATGCTGATTCATTTGTTTTTACTTCAGAATATATCACTATTGCATTATCTTTTCTCTCCATTCTTCTCGAATTATTATTTGGCATATATTAGAGTCTCTTGATTTATCTTCTATATGTACCTGCTGTATTTCAGTTGCTGTATCTCTTTGTATGTTCTGCTGTTTTGAGTTTTCTTTTTATGGGGAGGAATTCTTAATTTTTTCTCCTTTTCTCAAGTTCTCTCTGTAAGTGTGTCCAGAAAGAATACATAACCTATTCAGTTTTTAAATTTTGGCCACTGTTTTTATTTCCAAGAGCTTTTATTCATTGTTTCTTTTTTTCAGCTCTAATGTATTTTTCACAATTTTCTTAAATTCATCTATATATTATACAGTCATATATAAAATATTTTACATAAATTTTAATAACTATAAAGCCATATTCATATCACTTTCTAATTGCCTTTTTTATGAATTGTTTTGTCCTTGCTTCATTTTTCCCTATCTATATTTTATTTTTTCTTTTTCTTTTATTATAAAAGGGAATTCTTCATTTCTCATTCTCTGCTTCTTTAACATCTAGGCATCTCATAAGAGAACTCCTATAAAATTAATTCAACCCTTAATGTCAATTTTTGGTTATATTTCTTAGCATTAAATTTAATTATGTGGTTTAAAATAGGGGTTTACACGTCTACTGGGTCATTAGTTTACTTTTAATGCTATGCATCCCATTTAAACAGAGAGCCTAGCTCTTGTTCACTGGTGGACTGAAGGGCTTATTTTCCCCCACACTGACTCACAGGCTGCCACTCACCTAACAGATATTTGCATCTATAATATTACTAAGCCCTGACGATTTGAGTTCTGGTCTGCTGAAATGTTTATCATTTTTTATGACTCTGCCTGTATCTTTTATCTTTTGATAATTTACCACTCATTTCCAGTGTTTGAAACAGAGAAGCTGCTCCAAAGATTGAAATCACTGTACCCTCTTGTCAACCTCCTGTGTGTTTACTCTTCTGGATCCAATATGACATACATATCATCATATAAATATAACTTCATCCCAACTATTGGTATCTTTTGTTAATATTAATGTTTTTCAGTTAAATACTTGGATGATTTGTTTTAGTTAAAAACTCTGGCTATCCTGGTAAGGTAAAAATGACCTCATATTGTTAGAAAGCTCTATTCAGAAATAAAAAAAAAATATGCCAACCTCAATCCCTGTCACATTTGTTGGTCAAGATGGAATATTCATATTATCATTTTCAAATTGTAGCAATTTCTTCAACTATATATCATATTTTTCTAAGTAGTAGGTTAATGATACTGTTGCTTATGGTCAGGTTTAGAAGTGACCTATTGATTACCTACTATGGAAAGAAAGAATTTTGTCCTCTCATGCCAAGTATCTTCTAACTTACACACCCCCTCTGAACACACACACTTTTCCTCCTCACATTGTCTAGTTTTACTCACATTTTCTCATTATATTAATAATTTTTAAACATTGTTTATTTATGCAATCATTTTCACAACTGAGCCTTCTGGTTTCTTCTCATACATCTCTCTCTCACCTCTCCACCCTGGAGTAAATAATTGCCTTTATATTAATATACGCCCATCACATCTGAATTCAGCTGAATTCAGTCCTCAAATCTCCATCTAAACTATAAAATTCCTCCTGTTGCATTCAGTGAGATGTTTCTCTTTCTTCCCTTCTCTCTGTCTCTTCCTCTTTCTCTCTCTGTTTTAATACTTGGAGGTACTTCTCTTTATCTACTCCAGTATATTTTTTGGGCACTTGCTTGACTGAAAATACCTTCATATCCCTCATGAAAAATAGCATGGCTGAGTACAGAGTTGTAGTTTGGAAATAACATTCCTACATAATTTTAAAATTTTGCTTTACTGACTTCCACCTTCTAGGAATGCTCCTAAAAATACCAATAGGTTCTGTTTCATTCATAATTTCTCTCCACTTCAAAAACTTCAGCTTCATTCTTTTGATTTCATGATGTTTAAGTTTCTTTTATGTTGGTGAGAACCTTTTTTTTTTCATTAGTTTGGTTACCTGTAGGCCCTTTAGTTATCATATTCATATATTTTAGGTCCTGGGATAATATATTACTTTGTCTTTTATACTTTCTTCTACTTTGTTTTATCTATTCATTTCCTGAAATTAAATGTTGCATTTTTTATTGCTCTTTTATTTTCATAGTCTATATAATTTTTCTATATTTTGAATTTCTCAACTGGATATTATAATTTTTTGAATAAACGTTTAGTTTCTGGAAATTTTTTTTTTTAATTTCCAAAAGTACATTCTTGTTCTCTGACTGTTCTTTTTTAATTAAAAAAAAAAAAATCCTAATTCCTACTGAAAGAAAGAATAACTTCTTTATTTTTGGAATAGTATATTCTATGGAATGCATATATCATCCACATACACATACAAATGAAATTTTTCACTCTTTGGATGGTCTAAGGGTTTTTTATGAATTTTTTTTTTTTCCTCTCTTAATTTCTCCTGGCCTCTTTTGTTGCTTTTGGAGTAAAGAAAGACTCAAAGACTCACTGTTAGTTCACACTTAAGAATGAGGCACTAGAAACAGCATTATAAATTAAAGGTTATTAGACATTCCCACTCATGGTCAAGGCTTACTCACTGATGAGACTGTGTCATAGAAGATCAAGCTATCAAATTTCATTCATATTGTTTCTTAGGCCAGCTTACTTGGAGAAGAATCTTGTAATCTCCTGCTTTTGTGAAAGGTAGTTTGGGAGGTTTGGGGAAGTTTTAGCCTGGCTCTCCCAAATATGGAAGTTGAATAAGGGAAATGGGCTGACGTTCCCATCACTGTTTGTTAATTTCCACCAAATCTTTACAAAATGTTCCCAGTCTACCCCCTCTGCTCTGCCTCCCATCTCTGAAGGAATGAAGGAGGCAAGTTTAATGTCTGCATAGTCTGAGAGAGGAGACGTAATTTCACTTTGACTTCTTATCTTCCTATGTTCCCCCAAACCCTACATCCTGGCCTTCACCAATAGCAGGGACCTCCAATTCCTGAGGATTTCTGGGTTTTTGTGACAATAATTGCCTTGTTTGTTATTAGAATTTATCTGTCTTTACCCTGCCACAGGCAGTTACACTTAAATATTCTCTGTTGGAAATGTAGGTTACAATCTACCCTTCATTTGTCCAACATTCTAGTTAACAATTATCTACTATTGTTCTCACTGTCTTTGTGATTTCCTGACTTTTTAATTGTGTCACTGTTATTTCAGAAGGGTTTCAGGGAACAGTAGAAACAAATGCAATGTGCCATGTTAAATAATGTATGTAGAGATAGCCTATAAAGTAACACTGTCACATTTGCCAAGCACTATTACATTTTCACTATATGTTCATATGTTCTATACTTTAGATAATTATAGACAAAATAGGTAAGTAAGCTAGAGGTGCTTCAAATCCATAGTATTTGGCATTTCATAAAGCTGATTTTAACAACATATTTACCAAATTTCTTTGTAAAGTAAGTTTGCTCTTTTTAAAATCTTAAACATATTAAATGGTATATATTCACAATTCACATTAAAAACAAAATAATATAACTATTTATATTAGTGTTGAATAAACACAATCAGGCAATTTGGGAGGCTGAGGCGGGTGGATCATTTGTGGTCAGGAGTTCAAGACCAACCTGACCAACATGGTGAAACCCTGTCTCTACTAAAAATACAAAAAAAAAATTTTTTTAAAAAGCCAGATGTGGTGGCACATGAATGTAATCCCAGCTACTCAGGAGGCTCAGGCTGGAGAATCACTTGAACCCAGGAGGCGGAGGTTGCGGTGAGCTGAGATGGTGTCACTGCACTTTAGCCTGGGTGACAGAGCAAGATTCCATCTCCCCCACCCCCCCAAAAAAATCAAAAGCATGGTAAGTGCATTTGTCACTGTCTAATAAATCAGAGTTTAACAACTTCCCTTTATCACATGCGAGTAAGGTTTTTACACCTGACCTGTTTTGAAAATTGATAAACTACACCTGTAAAATTCAAATCTTGTCTTCCCTGATTTTCTGAAGTTTGTGCTATTGTGAGACATCATAAATGTCTGGAAACTGAATACCCTGAACTTAATGAATATTCACAGGTTTTAATAATATAATCAACACATTTAACCAGTAGACAAAATATCTGTGCCCTAAAGTATCTGATAAAATCTGAGACTTTTTTTCTTGCTTTCTACTCATTTAGAACCGAATAAATCTACAAGAAAATTTAAGACAATGATTATTTCAAAAACAAAAGTTTGAATAGTCTTTTATTTAGTCTTGGGTTTCATAGCCTAAGCGTGTCATAATAGTTGCTGGGTTTTTGAGAGCTTTTTATTATTATTCTTCACAATGGCAGTTTTAGTATAATCCTATGCAACATGGGCTGTTTTAGTGTTATCTATCCCGTGAAACATGATAGACTTTAGTAACCCTGTGTGTGGTAATAGTGGAACTTCTGGCACCATAACAAATAAAAGCCTGTGACTCAGGACTCTGTAGGATTTTCATGACACGTGCAATTGGGAATAATTTTTCAGTTATCATTCCATGATAATTACAATTACTTATGGTATTAAATGTTTTTATTGGATAGTGTTTTTTTTGGATGTTTAACTAAAAGTTTTATATCAACCAGAATTCATAGTTAAGCTTAAGAAAGAATGGCCCAACATTATTTGCAGTGGTTAAATAATATTAAACATACTGAATGCAGTGAGCCATATTTGTGCATTTTAAATTTTTGTTCCTGTCAAATCAGATTGCTATGTTTTTGAAGGGGCTGTGGTTTATTAACTTTTATGCAGAATGGATTATACTTTAATTCAAATGTGCTGATAAACTGGCAGGAGAGGTGAACAAGAGTGATCTGAAACTTTTATTTTCCCCTATAACATGCTTATACATTCAAATCTACAGCAGAAGGATAGAGAAGTCACTGTGTCGTTTGTGTCAAATAGTAATTTTCTGGATAGAGACAGCTACATGGGCTTGTAGTTATGTGTCATAGAAGCGGGACTATGAAGAGAAGCTATAGTTAGCTTATATCTGAAGGATACCTTGAGAACTGTGGACAATTTTTCCATTCCTGCCTTTTGAAGTGCCAGTTTTCTTGCCTTTTGCTAAGTGATGAAAGGCTAAATGTTTACCTTCCTTGGCCCTAGCTTAGAAAATATGAAATGTAGTTTCAGAGGTGTTGAGAGACGATTCTCCACAGTCTCTCACATTTCTGATTGTATTGCAGAGGCATGGACTGTTCTGAAATATGTATGAATGCATAATGAACATCCTTGGAAAACAGAGATATTGTCACTCTAGTGTGCAAATGGAAGGGTTGTTTATGGCCTTGGAAGATAGACATAGTTTCACTCTGGATAATTTGTTCTGGTACTTTCCGGAACAAAAGACAGACATGCTTCCTGTCCATAGAATCCCACTGCATGTACAAATATCATCTGCTCTTCTGTTCATTTATCTGGGGAACTGGGAGCTGAGGAAATCAGGACAGAAAATGCTGATACTCTAACCACTGCTATTACTGTGAGTAATAAAACATTCGTTGTTTCTGACCCAGGTGCCTCATGGTTTCTTCCAGTGTTCATTAAACTATCCTAGATTAACTCAGTCCCTACACATTCTTGATAGTTGAAAACCATTTTTCCCTTGCTTCAAATTTGGATTCACAATAACATATCCCTCTTCCCCACCCCACCCACCTGTCTCCAAATTTTTGTAAGACTTGACTATGTATCTTGCCTTCACTTGCTCTTTCACTATTTTGAGAATATTGAAAAAGATCTTGTTTAATTTATTTTAAGGGAATTTATGTCTGAAGACAATCTCTTGACAGTGCTCACTTTAGGAAATAGAATTTTAGTCAATGAAGTAGAAACTTATATTCACAAAAACATTGCTTCAAAAATTAATACATTCTGTTTGACTCTTCAAGTGTAAAAGCTTAGAATTCATTTTTATATCTTTTTTTCTTGACCTTAAAACTTTTGATATCAAAATTGCATGCTAGAATTCACACTTTCTCAGTAGGAGCATTTGAGTATGAGGAACTATAGGTCAACTCCATTTCAATATGGTTTGTGTCAGCATTACAGATCTAGTCAAATTCTAGTCTGCTTCATCAGAGGAATTCCATTTAAGCTTTGTATATCCTGAAGGGACATTCAGGCCAGTGTAGAATGTTCTTCTTTATGTTTCTAATATGATTCAAGGCATTTAAAAATCTGCTATAAATGCAAGTGGCACTAATTTGATTGCTAATGCTGATATGTGCTTTTGTGCATATTCATGTTTATTGCTTGCATTTAATGACTGCATAAGGGTGGAAAAGACACATAAGTCAGTGCCTTCCTCTCTTTGGAGCTAGTGAATATAACTGATATCTAGTCTTGGGCATTAATATCTGGCAAACAACTTTTGGTTCAGATTCTAGTTTGAATTAATTATCTTTGTTATAAATTTTGATGTTTCCTTGATATAATAATATTTCAACCCTGGAACATTATATAAAATATAACAATTATAATATGTATCATAGAAGGCAACACTGCTCTTTCAGGAAACTATAACTGGGCCATCCATTATACAGTCAAGTTAAAGCAAGCAAGTATATGCCTGTATTTGTATCGTACCATCAATATTGTCACATATGCTTTCCAAAATAACAAAAATAATCCAGAAAATTATTTGTGGGCTTACTTATTGTGGGTAAATGCTAAACAATTGACACTTGAACAATGGGGGGTGGTTAGGGGCGATGACACCCACAAAGTTGAAAACTCTGTGTATAACTTCTGACTCTACTAAAATGTAACTACTAGTGGCCTACTGTTTACCAGGAACTTTACCAATGATATAAACAGTTGATTAACATGTATTTTTATAGTATATGTATTATATACTATATTCTAAGAATAAAGTAAGTTAGATAAAGGAAAATATTGTTAAGAAAATCGTAAGTAAGAGAAAATACATTTACTGTTTATTAAGCCGAAGGGAATTGTCATAAACGTCTTCATTCTTGCTATCTCCATGTCATCGAGTAGGCTGAGGAGAGGGAAGAGGAGGGGTTGGTCTTGCTGTCTGTCTCAGCAGCAGCAGATGCAGAAGAAAATCCATGTATAAGAAGACTCAAACAATTCAAACACATGTTCTTCAAGGGTCAACTATAATACAAAAATTTTTTAAATATCTTTAAACCATCTATTTTTGTTAAGTTTCAGAAATATAAAGTTTTTTGTTGGATTATAGTCCATGCTGTATAATTTCTACATTTTAGAGGTAAGGAAATTAAGGTATAAAATATGATGGTTTCCCAATTTAGGTGAACATTTAACAGGGGATCTAATACCATAATTCTGGTTTGGAGTACTATGTCGATGGCAACAGAAAATACGCCTGTACTTTTTAGGGCATATATATACATACATATATCCACAGACACGCAGACTTCTTGGCCTCATTTCAGGAAACCCAATATTAACAGGCATAGAATCTATGTCAGGAAGACTAGTTTTTAATGGCTGCAGTAATTCTGAGTCATGGCTAGATTTGGAAACACTGCTGTAGGTAACGGTGCATCCTTCAAGAAACATGTTCTAATTTGTACAACAAACCCCTGTGACATGAGTTTACCTATACAATGAACCAGTACTTGTACCCCTGAATCAAAAATAAAAGTCTAAATAAATAAATAATAAATAATGAAATAAACTCCAGAATTATAGTTCTACATCCCCTATTAAATGTCCATATAAATTGGTAAACCATCGTACTTTATACCTTAATTTCCTTAACTCTTAAAATGTAGAAAGTATACAGCATTGACTATAATCCAACAAAAAACTTTGTTTCTGAAATGTGACAAAAATACATGGTTTAAAAATGTTTAAATAATTTTGTAAGTAATAAATAATTAAACACCATAGTCAACTTCTGTTATATGCTGTTGAATACTATGCTAAAATAAAACACCTTCTCACAATCAGGAAAAAAAAAAAAAAAACATGTTCAGCCACCAGATCACAAGGAAAGAAAAAGTGCTTTCAAAGGAAGTGGATGCATCAAACAAACAATGCCATGGAAAGTTTAAATGAGATTTGTTCTTTGCTGACTGTCATCTTTACGGGTAATCTAAAGGTGCACTGGAAATTTTTCTAAAAATCTAGACATCTATTGTTCCACGCTTATATTAATCTGTTTCATTCAACAACTACTTTTGGCCATATATTATCTGCCAGGCAGAGATATAATGATGAGTAAAAATATCTGGTGTGGGAATATTTCGAAAATAATTGTGCCAATAAAGATTTAATTAAAGAGAGAGGGATTCTGAAGCACAGGTAAGAACATAAAGCAAAAGAAGTGACCTAGAGGTCAGAGTTTGGCAAAACTCCAGAGACTACGTTGAGCACCTAGGATACAGAGGCTAAGTGGGAGTAAACAATATGAAGAAAGTGAGAGAAGACAACAGTTTGGAAAAAGTCCCTATGATAGGATACTTCTTGGAACATTCAATGAACAAGAGTAAGTCAAGATGGAAAGAGTGTGAATATGTTATGGATAAAGATGGGCAAATATCAATTGGATGAATGCCCAGAGAAAAAGGATAGAGAGCAAAAACAGAAAAGAATAAGATAAATATCACTTATGTATTTAGTGCATATTTGTTGGGCCATTATTATATGCCAGATCCTTTGTTCAGTATTATAAAATATGAAATAAATAGCTAATCATCTATTTCAGAAGTTCAGATATGTATTTGAAATACATTTGTGAACGTGACTATAAGAAACAGTAACCATTTTATATATGGGTTTGATAATTCGATGAAATATTAAATGGCTTTCAAAGAAAAGTAAACAATAAGGTAGCATATAAAAGGTATTAAGCTTTCAGTACAAAAACTTTTGCTGGATTACTAGAGAATAGCTTTTGACCCTCAGAATTCAGCATCCTTTCAAATCAGTTAGCACAGAGATCCCCAGCCCCAAGGCCACGCACCAAACCTGTCCATGGCCTATTAGGAACTGGGACACACAGCAGGAGGCGAGCAGTGGGAGAGAGAGCATTACCACCACCTGAGCTCCACCCCCTGTCAGATCAGTGGCAGCATTAGATTCTCATAAGGGCGCGAACCCTATTGTGAACTGCGCATCCAAGGGATCTAGATTGTATGCTCCTTATGATAATCTAATGATAAACGTAATGCACTTGAATTATCCCCAAACCATCCCCTACCCCATCCGTGGAAAAATTGTTGTCTTCCACGGAACCGGTCCCAGGTGCCAAAAATGTTGGAGACCACTGAGTTAGCATAAACTAGAGATGGAATGACAAGTCCTGTTAAAGTAAGGTTAACATTGAAGTTACAGTTTACTGGATTCAACGATTATTGCAAATTAGCAAATGAAACTTGCCAGCCTTCTAATCATTTGATGTACTCTTTTATGTTCAAGTATAGATTACAGTTTAGATTAGCAGTTAAAGTCAAAAATTTCAGTTGTCTCCAACCATAAGTACAAATAAGGTAAATGACAACCAGGATAAATGTATTTCCATCTCTGTTTCCATATATTTTTGAAATAGTTAATATGAGTCCTGATGTGCATAAGCTACTGGCTGAAATTTGGAAATGTAAATGTAAATAAAATGCGATAACTGGGCCTGTGTCTTCCAAGCACTAAAGTATGTAGGTTATGGTGAGATTCTCACATGTTGCTCAGATTTGTAGGATATATCCCCTGGACTATTTACCAAAGGTCAAGATTATACTTTTGCCAATAAAAGCAATAAAGGTACATTTCATGTACTATGTGGACTCCTACTCCATACCTTATAGACAAAGCCTACATAATTTTCTCTGCAGGAAGAGATTATTCAACTGTTGTGTTGTTTTTATTTTATCCTTTACTAATCTTTTTTCTTCTCTGCCTTTCTTCATGAGAAAACCACTTATTTTTTTCCACAAATAAGTCATTGATATTGTTTGACCATTTACTGAATTGTCTGATCTTCTAGTTTTCTAACAGAATATAATTCAAATTTTAATGTTCGTCTTAACATTGAAGATTAAAGAAATTTCACTCCAGAGGAGAAAAATGTTATGTTAATAAATCACAAGTGTGACAGAAAATATAGAACCTCCCAAAAAATGGTTCTGGAGGAAAATAATTTTGACCTTTTATGTTGAGTGCAAGTTTCTTGTGTATGTCTTCCACTACATAATTTATACTTTATTTTATCATGGAGGAAATAAAAGGAGGGGATTCAGCTAAGGATTTATAACTTGGACATCCTGCTTGGGGAAGTGATCTCTAACATGTCTCTTGCTATGCAGTTTTAGCTGGACACTGAATCCCTTATGTGGAATGTGGGTTCTTAATGCATCTATAAAATGCAATTTTAATCAGGAACATGAGTTTTCAGTTATGTTTTGTGTAAGACACTAAAATATTAACAAATATGAATATAATTTAAATCACCCTATCTAAAACATGAAGTAATTAACTACCAATTTGTTTTTCTTCAATTTACTATGTTCTGCTTTATTTGGGTGAAAATGTGCTACCTAATGAGTTAAATCCAGTTTCTAACATGCTGATTTATTTTCCAAGGTTAAAAGTGCATGCTCACTGATTTCTATTACGGTTAATATAAACATTTACCTTGTTGAATACAGAGATCCTGTGTGTTGTAGAATGGCCACAGATTTATCATTCCTGCAGAGGTTTTGCTCTTGGCATCCGATTAAAAACATAAACCAATGTCTACTTTTATTTACTTATTTTTGATTTCCTCTTTGGAAGTCTTCAGTGGTACTGTTCTCAGGGCTCCCTGCTGTTGACCTGTTCTGTAGCATTTGTTGTCTTAGTTTTCCTCTCAGTGTGGCACCAGAGATGAACTGCATGGTATACTCTTTCATACAAGGATAATCCATCTGCCCACCTCTTCATCACTTGATCATCCTGGACATGGTTTCTATAATGTGGTATAATGAGGAGGAAAGCAATAACCAACAACCCTAGGACTCTTCATGTTGGTGCAGAATGCTAATAAAATGCACCATATGCTTCTGTGAGCCAGAGTTTATTTCTTAAATCTACAAAATATAGTAAAATTTTGGTTTGAAAATGATGTCATCTAGCAGAATATTCTTCTGGAGGAATTCTTGGGTTAGGCAAAATCCACATGGGAGCTCCTCTTACTGGAGCATTTATTAAAACAAATGTCTTTTGCCTCCTAAGAATCAGCCTGAATTTATACCTTCCTTAAGTAAAGGGAATAAGGTTGATATACTAAGAAGGCAGAAACTTTTGATATAAATGATTAACATATTATGTAAATTTATTAATATTCTACTTTTATTAACAAGAGAGAAAAGAAATAATTGAGAGTTATTGCTAAATAATGGGTAAACAGATTGTTTCCATATCCACCAAAATATGTACTAAATATTCTCTGTATAATGCAGCTCTGTGTCATTGATGTAATGCCTGCATTTCTGTGATTTCTGTTGTTTAATCACTATATTTTTTACTAGTGTCCATATTCTAGTTTCAGAAGTCTCAACAATTAAAAGAAAATTAGAAGCCAAGTGCAGTGGCTCACACCTGTAATTCCAGAACTTTGGGAGGCCAAGGTGAGAGGATCACGTGAGTGCAACAGTGTGAAGTCAGCCTGGGCAAAATAGTGAGTCTCTTAAAAAAAAATTTTTTTTTAATATAATAAAAATATATAAAAAAGAAAATTACATAGAGATGAAATTGTTATTTAATAATTAATTGTAATCCATTACAAGAAAATGTATTATTCACCCATAATATGACAAAAATAGAGAACTGTGCATTTGAGTTTTATAATGAATTACCAATATTTTGAGACCTTCTGTTTTAATATTATTTTATCACTTTTGTTCATGGTTCCTTTCTATGAAAATTAAAATTTTTATTTGCTGGGTTAGCAAGTAATGCTAAATTAATTAGCAGAAAGGACAGTGAATTCAAAAATATATAAGATCATACGGTGTATGTCATAGTTGCATAATGACAGATTATGTTATTATTTTTACATAAATGTGTTAATGTATGTAATATGCTCATATGATATATAATAAATAATGTATCCCTTTATATAATATACTCTGAAGATGATCCTTTTTTCTTTGACTATATTTAGTTTTACCTGGACTTTTCAAAGTACCCAAGGCCTAAACAAAAACAATATACTTTTTTCTTCTAAATATTTTTATTTATTTATTTATTTTTATTATACTTTAAGTTCTAGGGTACGTGTGCACAAACAAAAACAATATACTTTTAAAAGCAGTAGAAAAAAGTGGACAGTTTTGAAGGGTCATTTTGTGATATTTTTATTTTATTGAATAGACATGACTGAGTACTTACTGTACCTATTCTCACAGTGCAAGAAAAACAAAAGGTTTAGCTGGGTGCAGTGGCACATGCCTGTAATCCCATCTACTTGGGAGATTGTAGTGGCAATATCACTTAAGCCCAGAAGTTTGAGTCTTGCCTGGGCAACATAGTGAGACCCCATCTCTAAAATAAGTAAATAAACAAAATTAAAGGTTCAAATAATAAAGCATATTGAAAACAACGGAATTAGGTCTTTCTGATTTTACTATATGTGTATATATTCAGTTTAAAGTTTCATGGCCTATGGGTCTCACAGCCCTCATATTTACTATCAAAGTATCAGGCAGTTTTCTTTTAGGATTTCCTTTAGGATCTATCCCATGAGTCTTTCACATTAGACACCCTTGATTATTAATCACTTATAATTAACTATCAAAGCAAAAAGTTTAATAAGGCTCTGAAAAACATGAGAGGCATAGAATATGCACATAAAAATGGAGGCATAATTTTAGGAGTTGTCATAATACGGGCTTTTATTTTAATTGAAGCATTTCTTTATTCAGGCAAACACTGAGATGCTTAAGGGTATAAGGTCAAAGACTTGCCTACCTCACCTTGAGTTTAAGTTAGAATGTTAATATTTTAAAGCAGCATTCTGGCAGATAGGATTTACTAGGTCACATTTTAATAATTCCAGTTCCTCATGTGATATACACTTATCACATCACATACTAATTTTATACTTGAGGAGTCCATTGCAATGTCAGCTATGAATATAACTATTCATATGACATAACTATTATGTCTCAGAGCTCCTGGAATAAAAAAAGAGTTGTCCTTTTTTGTTGCCACAACATAACCTTTGATAATTATTTAAATCTTCTATTCTACTCTATTTTTATTCTAATATTTTCTAATATTTGATTTGTTAGTTTACCACTTGCTTTCCATTTATTTTACCTGTAAATGAAGGCTAGGGCTAAACCACATAAGATGAAAAATAGGTAAATAAATAGGCAGACAGATAATCAGAAAGACAGATAATCAGAAAAACAGATAAAGGTAGATTGAAATAGAAGCAATCATTGTTTACCTATCTGTGGGAAAATAAGATGCTTGCACCCTGCGTTTTTACAAATGTAAATAAATACCTAACCACTAGTCATTGGGAAAAGCTCTGAAAAATCTATTGATCAAAATGTACACTTTAGACTAAGAAGCTAAGTATTCTCTTATTTTAAAAATCTGTGTATAACTACTTCTGAGATGAATCTCTACAACTGTTGTTCCTTTTTTATTGTTTGGCATGTGGTATGGCCAGACAATGAGAGGAGATTTCCTTTATCTATATTTACAATCTATAAATCATATTTTTCTTGTGGAGGTTTTTTTTTCTTTTGTGATAAACCAGTGACAAGACAGGCATAAGCTTCATCTCATTTCAGAAGAACCAGTGTAATAAGAGTGAAGTTCAATTTGGAATGTGGTATATGATCCTGCATAACCCTTACGTTGGGAAATGCACTGATATTGAATTGCTATGCCCTTAACTATGGCTCAAATACATTATAAAGGCAAGGCCACACCTCTGTTGGCAGGAGGTAAAGTTCCAACTATAAGGTATGGAAATTTGCACTGTCATTCAGTCTGGGAAACAGGAGATTTTGAACAATCTTGACTGCAAAGAACCAGCTAGAAAATATAAGTTTTAAATCTGGTACTGCCAATATAATATGGCTAAAAAATGTTAGTTGTTAGTATTTTCATCTTTAACATAAAGATGTATTAATTTAGAAACATCATGATTGACAACATCATTTTATCATTATCACCTTAACCACTTTGTGGCAAGAAGTCTTTGGAGTGGGACTGGGAACTATGTTTTTAATGGCTAGCTACTTATGTTCCTTAAGACAGTTTCACCCCTGCTTAACTTACTGCCCATCTTCCAAGTTCCCATTTCTGTAGCTTTCTGATGTGGGACTGAGAACTCAATGTGTGGGAGAATTCTGATGTATGTGATGAATAACTATTTTTGAGAAATATTGATATAAGTTGATAGGTAACTGTTTTTTATTCTTATGTGTTCATGAATTCTGGGAAATAAATACCTGAACTACCTCAATGGAAAGGTAGGGATAATTGACCAGGAACCAGTAAGAGAAGTTTCAAGCCAAGGTGTGTGCCCATGGCATCTCACAGAAGACACATCTAGCTGCAGTTTCATGTTGACTTTCTTTTTCTAATTACTTTAGGAAAATATTAGAGAAAGACTGGTATTAGCTAGGGTTTGGGGACCATTCTGTGGTTTGGACAGAGCAGTACATGGAAAGTCAAAGTTCCTCCTTGAAACCTATCTCCCCAAAAATGTCTACAACTGCCCAAAGGAGTTAATGAAAGATCGAGCAGTAGTACCACTCTAAGGATAGAATAAATGGGTACTTTGTTGGAATCCTTTTTTAGTTCAGGAGGAGGACAAGGACAGAAACTTTCAATGAAAACAAATTTAAAAAGAGAGGAAGAGAGGAAATAAGAAACAAGACGTCACTTTTTGTAAACCATAACCCTAAATAATTAATAACAATTGTCAACAATTTTAAGGTTTATATGCATGTGTACACACACACACACACACACACACAGAGTTTATACTACACTTTGACATACTTCATCTCATTTTATCTTTGCAGAACCTTTACGAGGTAGGTTTGGCAGGAGTTGCCAACTTATTTTATTAATAAAAAATAGAAACCTAAATTATTTTCCCTGCTTTTCTTCTCAGTCATAAAACATCTTATTTTCCTCACTAGCTAGAAGTTAATAAATAAAAAGTACTAAGAGTTATATCCCTATATTAAGGATAATACATTTAAAACACTGTGAAGTCACCATTTTTACATCTATTTTGCCAAAATCCAGAGATATAACATCTGGAAGGTAAATATTGCAGGAGGAGAGACTATTTAGTTTAGCATCACCAGCTACATTGAATAATAAACCTTCCTTCTTTCAGTATGTGAACAACTACAGTAACTAAAATAATATTCAACAGGATATGGGTTGCATTCTCGAATAAACTGTATCTAAGTTTAGAAATGAACTTTTTCTAGCATCAAAAGTGTTCTTTACTTGCTTGTTACATCCATTCTTTTACATTTAGCCTTCTTATTAGTGGATAATAAATGATACGAATGTGAACATAGAATTGTCTTAGGTTATAAAGTTGCATTAAATATAATGTGAACCTAGGAGAAATTTCATACACTGCTAAGAGACTCCCATGCCTTTTTGTTCTATAATGCCACAAATGATTTCCATGAAGATGAGTCATAGCACCCAAGAAGAACTAGATATTGAACTTTGTAAAAGTACAAGCACGGACCTCACTGACAGGCAGTTCATCATGCTTCTACATTAAGGTATTAATTTCAATTTCAATCTTCCTGTAAAACCAAAAGGAAGAATTTTTGATTATGGAGTAATGGCTTTACAGAAGTGACATAAATTATAGTTGAAGACATGAAAGTTACACACTAAAGGCTACTTTTACAGAGTGTATTTCTTTCTAGTAGAGTCTCATTGCTTCTAACAGTAGCCTAGATTTTTACCAAAGCTCTTTATTTTCCATATAGGACTACTGTAACAATCTTAAAAAAAAAAAAAAAAGATTGTCGTAGGTCATTGATATGTTATTTTGCCTCATTTTATGGCATATCTTTTCAGGCATATCTTTGAAGACTCTCCTCTCACACTGATGATGATATCCATAAATCTGAGACCTTCTTTAGTTCTACAATAGCAACCAAGGACAAAATCAAGGCCTAGCCAGAATTATGATCTCACAAATTACATTTTGGGTTTCTTCTGTCTTTTCTTCCTTTTTTCCTCTTTTTTTTTTTTTTTTTTTTTTTTTTGAGACAGAGTCTAGCTCTGTCACTCAGGCTGGAGTGCAGTGGTGTGATCTCAGCTCATTGCAACCTCTGCCTCCTAGGTTCAAGCGATTCCCTTGCCTCAGCCTACTGAGTAGCTGAGATTACAGGCACGCGCCACCACACCCAGCTAATTTTTGTATTTTTAGTAGAGATGGTGTTTCACCATGTTGGTCAGGCTGGTCTCAAACTCCTGACCTCATGATCCGTCCGCCTTGGCCTCCCCAAGTGCTGGGATTACGGGTGTGAACTACCACACCCAGCCCTTTTTTCCTCTTTTAAATTTTATCTTATATATCTTGTCTACATTTTGTTCAGAATTCCTTTGACACTACTACATATTTTATTGAACATAAGTGATATCCTAAAATCTACTTTAACTGCTAGAGTTATGATCCTGAATGTGGCAGTGTGGATTTCTTCAGTGAGCTTTTGGTAATGTTGAGGGAAAGCAAAAAGACAATTACAAAAAAAAAATATGATGATACCATGATGTTAATAAGTATTCAGTACTTTGCTATTCAGGCACCTAAACAAGTCTTAGGAGTGCTGGAAGGCTTCCTAGAGTAAGTAACATGGAAGTTAAGGCCTGAAAGGTGAATTAGGGACTAGGAATTGCCGGGAAGTAAGAACACTAGAACTGGAGGATGCAGCACTGTCAAAGACTCAAATTTAAGAAATAACATAGATGTTTCAGCCATGGCAAGTAATTTCATTCTAATAACCATACCATTATTTAAAATTGCTTGCTTTAAAAATATGAAAATGATAAAAGTTTTAAAAATTAACAGTACAGAATAATTTAGCCTGCTAAGTAAAAACTATCAGTTCTCTGCCCCAGAGATAGAATTCATCAACTGCCTATATTATACAGTTTCAGCCAATTTCCAACCTTCTCTAGGCAAATAGGTATATGTGTGTATATATGATACAAATGTTTCTGTATGATCATTTTTATTAACAACGTTTTTGCAGATTTTATATCTACATATAAATTTACCTTATTTTTAAGATAATACTTCTATTAGAAAAATATATTAAATTGTTCCCCC
This sequence comes from Homo sapiens, assembly GCF_000001405.40. Lineage (NCBI taxonomy): Eukaryota > Metazoa > Chordata > Mammalia > Primates > Hominidae > Homo > Homo sapiens. Next base: position 106,276,279 of record NC_000005.10, on the reverse strand, counting down.
AAATTGATTTTAATTTTGTTATAAAAAGAGCGCTGTAATTAGTATCAATGGAGATCTCAGTGGATCTATCCCTGGAACTTTTATTGCTAAGTGATGGATTGCATAAATTTTAATTTTGATAGCTATTGACAACGTTTAAAACTTTTTTTTAAACTGCTCATTCCAATTTAGGGTATTTGTTTGCATGCGTTTCCAAAACTAATGATGTTTGGGTTGAACCCTATAAAATTGTAGATTTATATATTAAGAACAGTTGGATATCAGCTATTTTGTAAGGTTCAAATTTATATGATAACATTTTATCTTTGTCAAATTTTTAAGTGAATTATTTTTTGGATTTCCATAGTAAAAATAAATTATCTTTTCAAAATGTTTTCTGTATGTCTTCGATGTGCTTTAAATATTTTTAATGAGATTTTTCTGTTTCTTATACTAGCTTCCTCAATTTTATGATAGATGAACAATGTACACAAATCATTACTGTCCTAAATGTTACAATTCTTGCTGGGCTCTTTTTGTTTCTTTTTTATTTTGTTCACAGTGAGTTTTTAATTATAAAAGTTGTTAGACACTTATAAACAAAATAATTGTCTTGGGTTTTATTTAGGTTTAGAAAAGCCTTAGTCTCTCTGAGATTAAGTGTATGTGAGAAAGAAAGAGATCGATTGTATTTCTATAGTACTTTTATGTTTTCATTCCTTTAAATTTAGAATATTGATTCATTTGAACTCATTTATTATAACAGGTAAGAGAATGATCCAATCTCATTTATTTAATAAAAGCTAGAAAGTTATCACAAGACCATTTAGTAAACAATATACCTACCCTGCAATGCTTTGAAACACAAGTTGGGCATACACAGAACTACGAGGTTTTAATTCCCCCTGGTTTTCTATCATAATCTGCTGATTGTTTTGTCTATCCCTGTGAGTAGCAAATCATTTCATTTAGGGTATGTTTAATACTGATTTTGAAAAATTACCCATCAAATTTTTTACTTTATGACTTCTCTTGGCAATATTTACACACATATTTTTATAGGGAGAGCTAAATTTTTAAAAGTGGCACATATACTTTTACAAATAAAAATCAAATCTGTTTTTTTAGGAACTGTTTATTTACACACATGTATAAAGAATTGATATATTTCTAATATTCATGCTTCGAATCCAAAAAAATCATGTTATTTCCATTTATGCAAATCTCCATTTAGATCCCTTAGTAAAATGTTAAATATTTTAATATAATTCCTTCACATTATTTTTTTAAAAATCATCAAAATTCTGCATACACTGGGTTTAAAACATAGAAAGCCACCACCATCACCACCACGACAAACTGTTAACTATAGAAAGGCAGAAGCCTCCTGCCGTATAGACTAACCAACAGTTTCAAGCTCCAAAGGCAAGCGCTTGTAAGTATTTGTTAAGTATTTCTTCTGTCAATTTTCTGGTTGTTATCTCCATAATATGTCTGCTCTTGTTAATTAATGAATTAATCAAACTTTTAATATTTCTTCTTCCAGATATGAAAGATGGTGGATTACATTAAGTAAAATACATTATTAAATTCTCTGTTTCCTATTTATATCTTTTTATCAGTTCTTATTAACATTATAACTTTGAAGAATAGAACTAAAACTTTATTTCTTGTGTCTCTTAATGAAGAAATGAACGTCTCTGTGCTTCATTCCTTGTCTGCTGCCTCCTCATTTCCATCAGCTGTACAATTACATATATTATCATAAGATTTATAACACATTCATTCTCTTTTGCAAACATTATTAAAACTTTTTTAGATAATGATTCTATTGATTCTACAAATTAAAAACATACTAATAAGAAGTTTTTTTTAATATTTAAACCATTCCTATAAGCTTTACAAAATTAATCAGGAAAGAAGGGAAGGAGAGAAACAAAAATAAACCAAGTTTGCAGCACATTCAGCATTCATCATTAGTTCAGCTTACTCTCTGACCTGCTTCCTCATAGCTATTCAGTGTCTATTGCCTCAGAATTACATAGACCCTGTTACAAGATTATAGTTTTCCTTAACTATTCTATAGATAGCAACGTGAACATTAGGAAGCATTACATTTTCCGTTTGATGTATTCTTTCAGGTCCTGCATACCACTGAAACTACTGATGTCAGCTTTCTGAAGGACCCCACTGAGAAGACTCACTAAAGAAAGCAGTTTCCATGTCCTGATGATTTTGTCTCCCTTACCCTGACCAATCAATGGCCCTAATTTTTGGTCATTTCATTTTCTTGCCCTCCATGATACCCTTAAAGACCCTGCCCAGACCTCGTTGGGGAAATGGATTTGAGGGTCTCCCCCCACCTCTTTGCTGGGAAGCTTATGATCATTAAACTATTTCTCTGCTGCAAGCCCTGTTGTGTCAGTGCAATTGGCCTGTTACTGCACAGTGGGCATGTAAGCCTCTTGGTCCTGTAACAATATTATGATTTGAAAGAGCAAAATTCAATCCAGGCTTGAAGGAAGAAAAATTGGCTCAAACTGAAAAAAGAAAAGGCAACCCTTCCCTTAATGAGGATCGAGAGACAGAGATAAAATCAACTGCAAAAGTAAGAAGAAACACTGTTTCTCCTTAGTTAATGCACCAGTTGTAAAATGCTTTGGCAACCACTCATTGAGTGACTACTCCTTGCTATTTTCATTTTATTATTAATTAATTAATTATTTTTTTAGAGACAGGGTCTTGCTCTGTCATACAGTTTGGAGTACAGTGATGCCATCATAGTGCACTGTAGCTTTGTGGGCTTGAGCCTGAGCTCAAGTGATCCTCCTGCTCCAGCCTCCTGAGTAGATAGACTATAGGTGTGCACTATACCTCCTGGCTAATTTTTTATAGTTTTTGTAGAGATAGGGTTTTGCTATGTGCCTAGGCTGGTTCTGAACTCCTGGGTCCAAGTCACCTTCCCACCTTGGCCTCCCAAAGTGTTGGGATTACAGGCGTGAGGTACTATGCCCAGATGCTACATTCTTACCAATGCATTCTTACCAATAATACCCATACTCTCTTGGCTATTTTAATTTATGCCTATGGATATGCAATGGTTAAACTGCCCTCACCTCATTACAGCAACCACTTCTTAGTTAATCTCCATTGTTTTGTTTTGTTTTTTTTTTGAGATAGAGTTTCACTCTTGTTGCCCAGACTGAAGTGCAATGGCATGATCTCGGCTTACCACAACCTCTGCCTCCCTCATTCAAGCAATTCTCCTTCCTCAGCCTCCTGAATAGCTGGGATTATAGGCATGGCCACCATGCCCAGCTAATTTTGTATTTTCAGTAGAGACGAGGTTTCTCCATGTTGGTCAGGCTGGTCTCGAACTCCTGACCTCAGATGATCCACCCACCTTGGCCTCCCAAAGTGCTGGGATTACAGGCATCAGCCACTGCGCCTGGCCAATCTCCACTTCTAATCCTGCTTTAGGTAGTATCAATTCAGAAATGACCCTCCATCTCTGACAGTTTTTTTTTTTTTCCCCATAATCTTTCAGCAGAAACTCAACTTTGCAAAAGTTGTTTTCTTTTTCTCATGAGTTGAGTAGCATGCCCTGGTTCCCTTTTTCTCTCTTTTAGGTGCATTCCACAGTTCTTACTTGAGAGTTACCATGTTTGACTGTTGGCTGATTTTTGATAGTCTTTAGCTGATTAAGCTTTTATAGTGAATATTCCACCAAGATTTGGCTGAGACTTTTAAAGCTGTATACCAGGATCCATGACTAGGTAACAGTGTACATGTGTCTCCAAGATTGAGGTAGCCTGGTCCTCTGATATGATCAAGTTTCACACTGAATTTGGGCTCTGATGGTCTCAGTGAGTCATTTAATGTCAGATTTACTATTTATTTCTTAGAATATGATGTTCTGATCATACTTGGGTGTCCTCGTGAATCTTGGCTTCACACGCTCTGATGTTTGTGATTGTCTGCATTTGTCTTTCTGTTTATGTGTTATGCATTGCCTCTGAAGAGGCATATATAGGGAGGGGCTGATAAGCCTACATTGAACAGACCCTGGGGGCTGAGGAGTTGAGAGAGTGTCTTTAGTCAGGCGCCATATGGAAAAGTTTGTTTCAGGTCACCTTTATGAAACCATGTTAGGACTCTCCACTGTGTGAAACCTCTTTGTTTAGCTCAGCGTTTTGTCAGAGCTTTCTAGTGCTGTCCCCTTTTTTTTTTTTTTTTTTCTAAACTAGATTCTGTAGATGGAAAGTTATACAAGCTTCATTTTTTATTAATTGTATATTTCTCATGGGGTTATCTTACTCTCACTCATGGGGCCTGCCCCAACTCACTGGGTGGGAAACTCACCTTTATTACTTATATATAAAACTATGCTAATTTATTTGTTTATCTTTCTAATTGTCACAATCTAACCAAAGACAAATTGGAATCATTGTGGCCCTTTTGTGGGAATTCCCTATTGTGGGAATTTTTCATATGTACAAGATTGTTCATTTAATAGGAGCCTTGGTATAGAAAGAAAGAAAAATTACAATTAAAAAATGTGTTTGCTTTCTTTAACTGTTAGGATAAAGCTTCTAAAGACAATTCTAATGTAATTCTAAAGACCCTAACACTGGTTCTCTGAAAGACTTCCAGCAAAGGTGTGGTGGGTTGCGTTGTGTCCCCCAAAAAGATATATTTAAGTCTTGCCAATGGATGCCTGTAAATGTGTTCTTTTTTTGGAAATAGGGAAGTTAAGGTGAGGGTATGCTGTGCCCTCAATCCAATGACTGATGTGATCTTAATGGAAGGAGAGTGAGATTTAAATACAGAGACAGAGAGGAGAAACACAGAGAAAAAATGACCCCATGGAGACAAAGACAAAAATTGGAGTAACGGGATGGCAAAGCCAAGCAATGCCAAGGACTGTCAGCAACCACTGGGAGTCAGAGAAAAAAGGAAAAAAAAATCCCTATACCTCCCAGAGGTGCAACGTGGCTCTGCAGATACCTTCACTTCAGAATTCTAGCCTCCAGAACTTTGAGAAATTTCTGTTGTTTTAAGCTGCACAGTGTGTGGTAATTTCTTATGGATGCGATAGGAGACAAATACAAAAGCTAAGTGAAAAATGCGAAAAGCTTGAGACTGCTTCTCTGGGGGATGCTTCTCAATCCTACTCCAGTCTCCTCGCCTTCATCCAACTCTTACTCTGCCCCACTTTTCAGCTTCTCCCTCTTCTTCGTCCCCACTCCCAAGGCCAGGCTATGTCCCCAAAGACCCTTGGCTTTTTCCTCTTTCAACTACACCTAAAAAACCCAGGCAACTTTGATTTATTTCACATTTGTCTAAAGACAAACTGTTTTTCACCATTTCTTTCCATTTCTCTCTGTTTTTGCCTCTCACTTAGAAGATTTTAAAGGTAAATTGATCAGGAAAAAGCAATTTTTTTGTTGTTATATGCACACTCTAGGAATATCTAGTTCAGATAAACAGCTAAAAATGTCTAAAGAAAATGAAGAAAAAGTTAATTAACTGTGATTATTTTGCTTTAAGAAATGTGAACAAGTAAGTTTAAATAATGGCTTTGTAACTGCAGTTATAAGATAAGAAGAAAAGGCCTTGATTCAAGATAAAAGGGCAGCTTTCAAACGTGATTTAAATTTTGTTTATGAAGGCAAGGTTTGTAAATTGTATTTTTTAAAGTTTATGTAATATTTTTGATAAAAATGTGTAACTTTGCATTAATTGAAATGAGTTTGTAATTTTGTTTTAAAGATAACTCTATGGCTTCCCTGTGGTTTTCGTAGATATCATATTCTCCTTTAAATAAAATTAAATGTACAGTTTTCATAATTCAAACTTTCTACATAAATTATGTTTTCTAAAACCATTGTATAATTGAAAGCCAGAAAAACCTTCTTTTATGGCAGCTTGCTTTATTGCCCTTCATAGATAGTGTGGTTTTTACAAATCAAAGATTTGTGGCAACTCTACATCAAGCAAGTGTATCAGTAATATTTTTCCAACAGTATGTGCTGACTGCTTGTCTCTATATCACATTTTGATAATTCCAAAATATCTCACATGTTTCCATTAGTATTGTATCTGTTATGGTGATCTGTGATCAGGGATCTTTGATGTCACTATTGTAATTGTTTTGGGGTGCCACCAATAGCACTCATACTAGATAAATATGTGTGTGTTCTGACTGCTCCACAAGCCAGCCATATCTCCGTCTCTCTCTCGTTCTCCATGGTCATCCTTATTTCTTGAGACACAACAATATTGAAATCAGGCCAGTTAATAATCCTACCATGACCTGTAAGTATTCAAGTGAAAGGAAGAGTTGCATGTTTCTCAATTTAAATCAAAAGCTAGAAATGATTGAGTTTAGTAGGGAAAGTATGTTGAAAGCTGAGATAGAACAAAAGCTAGGTCTCTTCTAAGAAATAGCCAAGTTGTAACTGCAAAGAAAAAGTTCCTGAAGGAAATTGTTAGTCCAGTGAACACACAAATGATCAAAATGCAAAATAGCTTTGTTACTTATATGGAGAAAGTTTTAATGGCCTGCATGAAAGATTAAACCAGCCATCACACTCCCTGACGCCACAGCCTAACCCAGCACAAGTTCCTAACTCTCTTCAATTCTATGAAGGCTAAGAGAGTCAGGAAGCCACAGAAGAAAAGTTTGAAGCTAGCAGAAGTTGGTTCCTGAGGTTTAAGGAAAGACACCATCTCTGGAACATAAAAGTGTAAGGTGAAGCAGCAAGTGCTGACATCCAAGCTGTAGTAAGTTATCCAGAAGATCTATTAATAGCTAAGATAATTGAGGATGAGCATAAATAGATGTTCAGTGCAGATGAAACTGCCCTCTAGTGGAAGAAGATGCCATCTAAGACTTTCCAAAACTAAAGGAAGTCATTGCCTGGCTTCAAAGCTTCAAAGGACAGGCTGACTTGTTAGGAGCTAACGCAGCTGGTGACCTCAAGTTGAATCTGATGCTCATCTATCATATCTATATATGCTATATCTGTTCTGTGTGCTATATGGAACAGCAAAGCCTGGATGACAGCACATCTGTTTATAGCATGGTTTACTGAATATTTTAAGCCCACGCTTGAGAACTATACTCAGAAAAAAATATTTCTTTCAAAATATCACATTTCATTGACAATATATTTGGTCACTCAAGAGCTCTGATGGAAATATACGAAAAAAATGTTGTTTTCATGACTGCTAACACATCTATTCTTCAGCCCCTGGATCAAGAAGAATTTTAATTTTCAAGTCTTATTTAAAAAATACATTTCTTAAGGCTATTACTGCCATTGAAAGTGATGCCTCTGGTGGGTCTGAGAAAGCAAATGGAAAAGCTTCTGGAAAGGATTCACCATTCTAGATGCCATTAAAAACATTCCAAATTATGTGAGGAGGTCAACCTATCAACATTAACAGGAGTGTGGAAGAAGTTGATTCCCACCATCGTAGATAATTTTGCGGGGTTTAATACTCCAGTGGAGGGAGTAACTGCAGATGTAGTGGAAATAGCAAGAGCACTAGAATTAGAAATTGAGGCTGAAGATGTGAAGATGTGACTGAACTGCTGTCATCTCACGGCAAAACTTAAATGGATAAGAAGTTGCTTCTTATGGATGAGCAAAGAAAGTAGTTTCTTGAGATGGAATCTACTCTTGGTGAGAATGCTATGAACATTGTTGAAATGACAACTAAGGATTTAGAGTATTACATTGTGATGGTTAATGGTGAGTGCCAACTTGATTGGATTGAAGTATGCAAAGTATTGTTCCTGGATGTGTCTACGAGGGTGTTGCCAAAGGAGATTAACATTTGAGTCAGTGGGCTGGGGAAGGCAGACCCCACCCTTAATCTGGTGGGCACAATCTAATCAGCTCCCAGTGAATATGAAGCAGGCAGAAAAACATGAAGAGGTGAGACTGGCCTAGCCTCCCAGCCTACATCTTTCTCCCATGCTGGATGCTTCCTGCCCTCAAACATCAGACTCCAAGTTCTTCAGTGTGGAGACTCGGACTGGCTCTCCTTGATCCTCAGCTTGCAGACAGCCTATTGTGGGACCTTGTGATTGTGTAAGTTAATACTTAATAAACTCATATATATATGTGATATATAGATAGATATATATGTGATATATAGATATATATGTGATATATAGATAGATATATATGTGATATATATATAGATATAGATATATAGAGAGAGATATCATATATATATATATATCCTATTAATTCTGTCCCTCTAGGGAACCTTGACTAATTCATACACAAACTTCATTGATAAAGCAATGGCAGGGTTGCAGAGGATTGACTCCAATTTTGAAAGAAATTCTGCTCTGGGTAAAAGGCTATCAAACGGCACTGAACTACAGAGAAATCGTTCATGATAGAAATAGTCCATTGATGGGGCAAATGTCATTGTTGTCTTATTTTTAGAAATTGCCACAGCTGCCCCTGTCTTCAGTGACCATCATCTTAATCAGTTAGCAGCCATCAACAACAAGGCAAGACTCTCTACCAGCAAAAAGATTTCAATACCTGAAGGCTCAGAAGATTGTTATGATTTTTTAGCAACAAAGTATTTTAAAATTAAGGCATATATATACATTGTTTCGTAGGCATAATACTATTTGCACACTTAATAAACTACACTACAGTGCAAACAAAACTTCTATACAGACTTGAAAAAAAACAAAACAAAAAAATGTGGCTTGCTTTTTTATGATCTTGGCTTACTGTGGAGTTCTGGAACCAAACTCTAAAGTATGCCTGCATTTAACGAAATTATATGATAATGATGATGATGTCATCTTAATTTTTTATTAAAAACTTTATTATGCTATAATTAATGTACAATACATAGCACATATTTAAAGAATGTAATTTGAAATGTCTGCATATATGTATATATTCATGAAACCATCACAAACTCAAAATAAACAAGTTCATCATTTACAGAAGTTTCTTATTCCCCATGGTAACATCTTCCGACCTCTTAATATTCTACCTCTGTCTCCAGGAAACCACTGGTCTGCTATCTGTCACTATAGATTAGTTTGTGTTTTTCATAATTTTATAAAAATGAGATTATATATTATGTACCATGTTTTTGTTTGGATTTTATCACTCAGCATAATTATGTTGAGATTCATCTATGTTACAGTATGTATCTATAGTTTATTTCTTTCTATTGCCAGAGTTTATCATTATATGGATATACCCTAGTTTACATAATAGTTTTTAATGGCAAAGGTTAACTCTTTCAGGTGTCTTTAGTAGCTTTTCCTTTAAACTGATAACTGAATATCTGATGTGTTTTGAATATCCTCTCCAATTCTAGATTCTGCCTTATTACAAACTGACATTATTAAATATTTCAAAGGACTTACACAATACAGTGTTTAATCAATCATTAATTATGAGCAGCCTTTTCTCAATATCCTTTTAAATAACCTTTGCTTGATCTAAAACCTAGAGACTTAATTTTCTGGACATAACACCAGAAAAAGATTGTTTTGAACCCTCATGGATAGGACCTTATGTGGTACTGTTAACAACCAGTACATCACTGAAAATCCAAAGGTTTCATGTTTAGGTTCATGCCTCTCAATTATAATTAAGAAAAATATACCTTACTCAAATCACTGTCCCCCAAAACTTTCCTTATCAGATACCACAAGCTGAGAGTTCTTAAGCCCCCTATACAAACATACACACACACACACACACACACACACACACACACACACATACACACACATTCCTTCACTTAAGCAGTCTTTGGAAGGTGCTAACTCCACCTAAGTACTTTGCACTAAGTAGATGACTGCCTGAGATGCTGGGAGCTTCCACCACAGAACAGAATAAAGAACAGAATAATGACGATTAAACCTGTGGTTGTCATGCTTTAATCTTCATTATTCTGTTCTAGGTATCCTTTCCTTTGGCTTTGATATTCCTTCCTACTGGCTTACAGCTACTTTTAACTATGTTACTTAGTTCCCTCAATTTTTAATACTGTTTTTTACATTATTAGTCACTCATTGGTATGAGTCAAACACCTACCTACAATTTGCTCATGAGCTAGCTAAAATGTGCAAAAAACCTGAATATTGAATTTTCTTTGAAAGACAAACAACTTTCTTTTGTACCAATGTTTTGTAATAGAGCCATTGGCTTCCTAAGCATTTGCACCCAACTGTTAAGAAACTTTTTAGCTGACAAACATCACAATAGACCAGAAAACCAGAAATCTAAAACCCTATCATGTTGTGCATTTCTTCACTGAGATGATGCTCAGGAAACATTTGTGGCATTTACCTTTTATAATCGTACTTTCATAGATACATAATTTGAAGAAGTCCTGGGGAACAAATGACATATGTTCAAAGGTTGTCTTACTTTTACATGCTTTACCATAAATGTGTGTTAGATAGGCTCAGGCCTCAGTTTATTTGGTTGAAATATACCTGATGTTTATGGTTTCTGTACAGAAAACACAGTCACTGCATGTCAAACAACACTTGACAAATAACCCTGCAGCATTTTAATTCTATTTGGCAAGCTCATAGTTGCATTTTGGCCACAAATGAATCACTGAGTGACCCCTAATGATTGGTACTAAGTTTCCAGCACAGACAACTATTGGTTATTACTGACTTATGAGACGAGATCGGGTATCGCCACAAAATCACACTGGTTTGCAGGAGAGTCCATGACATCGCTTGAAATTTGTTTTGGCTTTTCTTTCATACCCTCTTTTATTCATGCCCTTCTCTCTCCCTCAGCGCCTAGTGACCACTGATGTGTCTCTCTCCTTATATATTTACTTGTTCCAGAATGACACATAAATGGAATCATGCAATATGTCATCTTCTTTTGCCTGACATAATGCATTTGAAATCCATCTATGTTGTGTCTGTATTGGTAGTCTGTCCTTTTCTGTTGCTAAGTATTTCTTATTATGAATGTACCATGTTGGATCCTCTAATTTGAAAACTCTAGCTTTTCTTTAGCTCTGAGACAAATTCTTTTGATTTTAATTTTATTATTTCCTTCTTCCCTTTTTTCTGGTCTCTTTATAGTACTCTAGTCTGATAGCAGACATCCTACTTTATGCTTTTATCTTTCCTTTATGTCAGTTGACTTTTAGTTTATTTGTTCTGTATTTCGGGAAACTTCTTTGAACCTTATATGTCTGTGTTATTGGTGTGTGTATGTGTATGTGTATAATTTGGGAAATTATATTTTTAATTCTTAAAAACTTCTTTTCTGATTTCAGTGTAATATTTTTAATTTGTCTTGTTCAAGATACTACTTTCAAAGCTTTTTAATTTCTTTTATCCATAAAATAGATTTCTCCAAGATCAGTTGTTTTCTTTACCTTGTTCTCCTTTTTGCTTAATTTTTTTCTCAAATATTTGGCAAATCTTTCTTTTTTTTCCAGCCATAGTTAAGAATGAAAGCCTAGTTTAATTATTATAATAGTCAATGCAGTTTTCTTTACCTCTGTTTACAATATATATGGAAGCAGCACTTTCTTTGTAGATGTCTCTCCGTGATGGGTATTTCTTGAATATGGGGTACACGAATACAAAAGAGGACCCAATGTGCCACATTAAACAACTCAGGTCTGCTCAGGAATATTAGCTAATTCTATTAGAGAAGAGCTCTCAGTTTAATATCTGGGTATAGATTCTGGGTTGCCAAGTGCTCTGCATGTATCAGAAGGCAGAAAATGTGATAGCTGAGGTAGCTTTTCCACAGATAGTGCTTCCAGTTAACATTCTTCCTTTATTACCAGCTGGTCCTAATCTTTGTATATATGCCTGACAATTTATGCGGTCTTTTTTGGGAAGACTTATTCCATCTCTGCTCCAGTATTTTCCTTTTTGACTTCCAGAAAATAAGTTCCTTGTTTTTGATGTATCAATGTGTACTTCCAGTCCCCAAGAAATCTTTCAAAATGTCTTCTCAATGAGATCTCTGATTTCCCATTCTCAACAACCTAGGTTTATTCTCTTTTCATCTATTTCAGCTTCATTCTTCGAAAGCTCAAACATTTATAAAATTAGATTTCTGACAGAAAGTAAAGGAAGTGTATGCTGTCATACTGAAATATTTATTCAGCTTCAATTTTGTCACAAAAATTTGTAGTTCAGTTACTCTAACTAGATATAAACCGTATACTTTATACCTCTTTTACCACATGGTTACTAACAAATATATATAAACTATTTTCTCTATATTTATATGTTTATACACTATATATATGTATAAGGTATACATATATAAACACTATTTTCAAATTTTATTTTGATTGGTAGAATATTATGGCTTGTTTAGATTTAGTTAAAGTCATGTGTACAGCAGAAACAATTCATATGTTTAGCTTTTAACTAAATGTATATCAGCATTTATTATGATTTTTATGTTTAACTTTTAACTAAATTTATATCAGTATTTATTATGGTGTTAAATGTTTCACCTTGGACAGAATGAACTTCCAAAAGCATTACTTAGATTCCATGAATGGCAGAAACAAAATCAAATCATCTTGAAATGAAATTATTTTATGTTTGTAGCATCTGCTGACAGTGATGAAAACATGACATCATTTAATTGTTAGTAAAGTTCTTTTTCTGCTAAAGGAATTAATGCATTAACACCTGTTGCTTCACTTTTCAATTCTGAACAGGAAAATGTGAGATTAAACTAAATAATATTGTTAGAATAGTGAAACTGAAAATTCATGCTTTAGAGAAAGCTATATATAAACTCTCTCTGCAGATTTATGTATTAAAATGTTTACTTCAAGTATATTATTCTCAAAATAATTCTAAACTTCTGAAGTAGATGCTAATGTGTCTTCAGCAGATCTGTCTATTCCAGTTCTCATGTTCAGTGACATTACTATGGCCTCCATGGGGTTGGTAAATATTGACAAATAATTGATTCAAGTAACACTTTCATTTTCAACTTTCTTGAGAAATAAATTCATTCACTTTTCATTAAACATGTACTTACTCCCATCTCCCACCTTTTTAGCTGATTGCTGCTGAAAGCAATTATTACAAAATGAGATACAGTTGCTAGATGGTAAAATACATTAAAAGTTGTACAATTATTACACAAAATAAATGAAAAAACCATTATAAGACTAAGCTGATTTATTGAGGTATTATTTGCATACCATGAAATTCACTCATTTTAAATTTTTCAATGAGTTTCAGTAAATTTATAGGTTTATGGAATCACCACCATGATCTAATTTTGGAACATTTCCATTATACGAAAAACAAACTGCCTTCCCATTTGCAGTCACTCCCAGTTAAATTCCCATCCCAAACCCAGAAAACAGGTAATCCACATTATGTCTCTATAAATTTGCCTGTTTTGAATATTTCTATTATTGGAGTTATACAATATAGTCTGTTGTATCTGGCTTTTTTTGCTACATAAATGTTGTGTAGGTTCATCTGGGTTGTAACATGTCTCAATACTTACTTTGTTCCTTTTGCATATAAGTTCCTGAACAGAAATTTTGAGCCTCTGTTTTGCCACACATCTTTCAAACACTTTCCCTTTGAACACTCATATTTACTCAAATACTCTAACTAGTGACTAACTAGCTGCTTCATGTATCTCTCACAATGCCACAGCACAACTGTTATTTATTCCAGTGTCTGGAAGAGGCAGCAGTGGCACAGTCTTTCCCCACCACCTGGGACTGGAATCTGTTGGCTATCAGAATAGTGACATGGACTACCCAGGATCTTCTTTCAGGTTTTACTCCATGTTAAAATGACAACTCTGTTTCCTGTACATGTGCAACATATATTTCTAGACCATGGCAAATGTTAGCAACAAAAGACAAGGACTTCCAAATTTATTCCACTCTATTTTAATGCTTACTATTATTAATGAACTTTGTTTTTTTTTTAATTTTAACTTTTATTTTAGGTTCAGTGGTGCACATGAAAATGTTACACAGGTAAACTCATGTCATGGGAATTTGTCATACTGATTACTTCATCACAGAGGAATTAGGCCCAGTACCAAATAGTTATCTTTTCTGCTCCTCTCCTTCCTCCCACCTCCACGTTCAAATGTTCCCTAATGTCTATTGTTTCCATCTCTGTGTTCAAAGATTCTCATAATTTAGCTCCCACATATAAGTGAGAACATGCAGTATTTGGTTTTCCGTTCCTGCATTAGTTTGCTAAGGATAATAGCCTCCAGTTCCATCCATGTTCCTACAAAGGACATCATCTCATTCTATTTTATGGCTGCATAGTATTACACGTGTATATATGTACCACATTTTCTTTATCCAATCTGTCATTGATGGCCACTTAGGTTGACTCCATGTCTTTGCTATTGTGAATAGTGCTACAATGAACATTTGTGTGCATGTGACTTTATGGTAGAATGATTTATATTCCTCTGGGTATATACCCAGTAATGGAATTACTGGGTCAAATGGTAGTTTTGCTTTTCACTCTTTAAGAGATCACCATACTACTTTCCCCAGTGGTTGAAATAATTTGCACTTCTGTGAACAGTGACTAAATGTTCCCTTTTCTCCACAACCTCTCTAGCATCTGCTATTTTTTTACTTTTTAGTCACAGCCATTCTGACTGGTGTAAGATGGTATCTAATTGTGGTTTTGATTTGCATTTCTCTCATGATGGATGATATTGAGATATTTTATATGCTTATTGACTGCATATATGTCTTCTTTTGTGAGGTGTCTGTTCGTGTCCTTTGCCCACTTTTTTATGGCGTTGTTTTTCTCTTGTATATTTGAATAAACTTTGCTTTACATTTAAAAATCCGAATTTTGTGTCAAGACACATAAAGCGAGACTGTCCTACACAAATCATCATGTGTGATACCTCTAAACCCAGGGTACTATCTCAAAATATAAGCTGGTGTTCTGCACTTGTTGGGTTTCTGTAATTGTTGTTGCTATTGTATTTTTGCATAATTTCTCTATGTAAAATGTATGTGATTTATATATTAAAAGCTGCTGATTTTTACATAGTAATGTTTCTACCAAACAACTACCACTGTATTTCCTCATTTTATCTGATGAGATTCTTGTTGTCCCTTTGGATTTTCCATGTAAACAATCATATCTGATTCAAGTAATAACTGATAAATCAATTCAGGGTAGAGAAGAAAAGAAAATTGGAGACACATAGGCCTATATTGTTTTACACAAGAATAAAGCAGAGAAATATGGCATGGTGAGGAAGAGAAGAGATATAAATGATCTTAGAAATGTCCTATAATTATGAGCAGTAGCCTGACAAAGTTTGCTGTATTGTGTTTCCATTGCAAGACAATCTTATCCTCGTATTTCAAGACAACTGAGATTTGTTTATAAAGACAATCTGATATACACGTATATTCAAGTGCTAGGTAAACCAATCAGGTTATTATATTCTATTTTTAGTTAATTATGTAGTAAGAGGAGACAGAAGAAGAAAGGAAGGAAATGGACTCACTTTTGCACCTTGCTTATCAATCAAAATGGAAACAAATGAGTTTGTTGTGGTTAGAAATTGATCAGTCAACAAAGAAGCTTTGGGTTAACATTAAATTTAAAACTGTGCAAATTATTTCTTACAAGTCACAAAGGGATGCTAATGAGTATCTTGGTAAGAAACCTCTATTGCTCATCATGCAGCTTCAAAGCTAACATTAATCTAGTGGCTGTGTGAATGCTGCTCTCTAAATAGAAAAGACTTTCCTTTCTTAATTTTTGTCATTTGTTATTTTGTATGTGGGACACAGAAACACAGTATGCAGCCATGAAAATATTCTGTATCAGGTAAGAGTAACAAAAGCAATATGCCTGGCACAGACAAGTAGATTTTAAAAAACCAAGGGTTCAAAGATCCTCTGAACCAATTCCTATATAGGCAGTAATTAGCAAGTAAGGAATTACATTGTGTGACTTGGACATAATGCTAAAAATGAAATGAATAAAATGCAAATTAAGGCTTCTAAGATAATAGTCTGCTACCACAAAATCATAATCTTCTCATTCTCCTTTAAATTGTTGGAAGGACAAATAGATGATTATCAAAAAAGGATTTCATCTCTTTTTGTATATTAAAATAAAAAGATGTGGGGAAAAGAGAGATCAGACTGTTACTGTGTCTATGTATAAAGAAGTAGACATAAGAGACTTCATTTTGTTCTGTACTAAGAAAAATTCTTCTGCCTTGAGATGCTGTTAATCTGTAACCCTACCCCCAACCCTGTGCTCGCAGAAACATGTGCTGTGTGGACTCAAGGTTTAATGGATTTAGGGCTATGCAGGATGTGCTTTGTTAAACAAATGCTTGAAGGCAGCATGCTTGTAAAAAGTCATCACAACTCCCTACTCTCAGGTACCCAGGGACACAACACTGTGGAAGGCCGCAGGGACCTCTACCTAGGAAAGCCAGGTATTGTCCAAGGTTTCTCCCCATGTGATAGTCTGAAATATGGCCTCGTGGGAAGGGAAAGACCTGACCGTCCCCCAGCACGACACCCATAAAGGGTCTGTGCTGAGGAGGATTCGTAAAAGAGGAAGGCCTCTTTGCAGTTGAGATAAGAGGAAGGCATCAGTCTCCTGCTCGTCCCTGGGCAATGGAATGTCTCGGTGTAAAACCCGATTGTATGTTCCATCTACTGAGATAGGAGAAAACCGCCTTAGGGTTGGAGGTGAGACATGCTGGCAGCAATACTGCTCTTTAATGCATTGCGATGTTTACATATGTGCACATCAAAGTACAGCACCTTTTTCTTAACCTTGTTTATGATACAGAGACATTTGTTCACATGTTTTCCTGCTGACCCTTTCCCCACTATTACCCTA
The DNA here is from genome assembly GCF_000001405.40 of Homo sapiens. Taxonomy (NCBI): domain Eukaryota; kingdom Metazoa; phylum Chordata; class Mammalia; order Primates; family Hominidae; genus Homo; species Homo sapiens. The sequence goes on along the minus strand of NC_000005.10, from coordinate 106,259,394 downwards.
TTGTCCTGCCACATCCCCCTCTCCGAGATGGTAGAGATAATGATCAATAAATACTGAGGGAACTCAGAGACCAGTGCCAGCACCGGTCCTCTGTATGCTGAGCCCCAGTCCTCTGGGCCCACTTTTCTTTCTCTGTACTTTGTCTCTGTGTCTCTTTCTTTTCTCCGTCTCGCGTCCCACCGGAAGAGAAACACCCACAGGTGTGGAGGGACAGGCCACCCCTTCAAAAGAGAACTGTCAGATGGATAGTTTTCATTTTTGATTATCACTTGTTAGATCCTCAGTTCAAATGCCATCACCTTCATTTCACCTCAGAATAGTTTACTGGAGTCTAATTTAGGGTAATTCTGAATGCAAGAAACAATTTAGCTAAGGGACTGGAGGGGGAAGGAGCTTTATTACAGGAAAGTGGTCCAGCCATTGTGACTCATACCTATAGTCCCAGCTACTTGGGAGGCTGAGGTGGAAGGATTGCTTGAGCCCAGGAGGTCCAGGCTGCAGTGAGTCACGGTCGTGACACTACATTCCAGACTGGGTGACAGAGAGACTCCTCTGTCTCAAACAAATAACAATAAATAAACAAAATTTTAAAAGAAAGTGGATTGTTCATAATCAAAATACATTTGAAGGGAAAAAAAACCCTTGTAATAGATATCTATTCCAGATATATTTGCAGGAGCATTTGATGAACTGTTGTCCTAATGCCCCTTATTTACATGATTAAAAAACTTGAGGCCATGACATCCAATTCGAGAATCTGATGGCAAGGCATATTTGGTGGATGCATCCATCTGTGGTCAGAGATTCACCCTATTACAATCACTTGTTGCAGTTTCTTTAGGATTATTGTGTGTGCCTGTGTGTATCTGTGTGTGTGTAAAGAGAGAGAAAGAGACAGAGGGAAAGGGAGAAATCAGAGAATTATTTACATAAATATTATTCTTTATTTTTTCTAGAAATTATAGAAATAAAATTCCAGCAATTGGATGTTGTGATGTATTTCTAACTTTGCATCTATTCTTTTCTTCAGCAATGTTATGTGCCTTTTAATTAGAATCTGTTGAGCCCTGAGCCAACAGCATAGTTAATTCCCAGACAGTGAATAATGTTATTAAAATGAGGGTAGAGGTTTGATGAATGGCAGAAATTGCTGCTGTTCCTATATAGAAATTACAGTATCCCATCCCATTTTTTCCAGATAGTTACTTAGCCTCTAGAAATAAAAGTATATCATTTTTGGCTATTAATATTTGACTAAAGGAGAGCTCAGGTTAAAATGTCATAAATTTTGGAGTCTGACAAGTTCCCAACTTTTGTCAACTATTTCTCAGGCCTTGAGCATAGCAGTGTATAAACTCACAGCAATGCTGAAATTTTACTAAGACAGGAATTTATTGAATTGAATAAAAAATACTTAGTCTGTATTTTCTTTTAGTTTTATCATTTACTTTGACAAAAATTACACACCACAGATTAACATTTTAGATGGAGAATACAAAACCCCTTCAAGATTGACCAATGAAATTGAAAGGTGGCTTAATAGCTTGGGAAGATAAGAAAATATATTAATCTTTTATTTTCTGAAATCACAATTTTCTAAGGTAAGATAATAAATGTGGTTTTATTTCATATTTTTGAACTCACATTCTGATAACCTCCTGGTTAACTTTTGTGTGTCTAACAAAGGCTGTCTCTTCCACTTCACATTGGAATCACTAAATTACCATGATTTCTCTAGAATAGTAATTTCCATGTGAATAGAGACTGAAAATATCCAATGCTAACAGCAAAATCACTTTTAGTCTGACTTCCATGTTAAGGACAGAGGTTCAACAGAAAATGTCATAGAGGATTCTTCACAAGATGTATAAAGAGAATATGGTTGAGCCATTGAGGTGATATAATCTGGATCTGATTACCAGTGTGATCTTGGATAATTTACTTTCCCTCCCTGTGCTTCAATTTTCAATTCCTAAAACAGGGAATGATAATACTATTATCCTGAAAGAGGATTTAATAAACTTTTTCATCAAATAAACTAGCTTATCACAGTGCCTGGAATATTAAGCAGTAGAGATAAATTCATCTTCCTAAATTAGGAATTACCTAAAATTTACATTTTTATTTAAATAAAATAATTATATTTCCAAATCAATTCTTATCCTTTTCAAACTTGAAATATTTATTGTTATAAGAGCCAATCTTTCTTGTGTATTAATATTTAATATGCTCACACTTGAAGAATAGAAAACATCCCACCATAGCACTTAGGCAGTGGTAGTTGCACAAAAATAAATTTAAGAAAAAGTATTGTTGGAATCCTTGTCTTTCCTGTTTTCTTTTGGTATTCTCTATCAGCTTTTGTGATATCAAACATTTAAGTGTATTCAACTAAAGCATATATAAGTATTTTTTGTTGTTTTGTTTTAACCTATGCAAAGTGATTTCACAGTCCTTAGACCATGTATCAGTTAAGGCACAACTGGAGAAGTTAACAGTACATTTAAAAATGTGTTCCATGGCCTGAAAAATAATCTGGTAGACTTTCCAAATCTTTTTCTACATGAAAAGGATGTAGGGAGGCTGGTGCCCCCAAAATATATCTATGTTTGTTAAAATTTTTCTTTAAAATGTATGTTCTTTTATAAATTTGAAAATATGCAGATGTTGGTAACACAAAATTACTGTTTTCTCATCACATTCCACAGAGTGAAATGTTTATAAATGTTTACAAATGATTATGTTTTTGCTACATAATCTTACATGGTATGTTGTTTTTGAAATACTCATCCATATATATCTGTATTAGTCCATTTTTTTTTTGTTTTTTTTTTGGGGGGGGGGAAGGAGTCTCCTCTGTCGCCCAGGCTGGAGTGCACTGGCACGATCTCAGCTCACTGCAAGCTCCGCCTCCTGGGTTCATGCCATTCTCCTGCCTCAGCCTCCCAAGTAGCTGGGACTACAGGTGCCCACCACCATGCCCGGCTAATTTTTTGTATTTTTAGTAGAGACGGGGTTTCACTGTGTTAGTCAGGATGGTCTCAATCTCCTGACCTTGTGATCCACAGTCCATTCTTGAACTGCTATAAAGAAATACCTGAGACTGGGTAATTTCTAAAGAAAAGAAGTGTAATTCACTCACTGTTCTGCAGGCGATACAGGAAGCATTGCTGGGGAAGCATCAGGAAACTTACAATTAAAGCAGAAGGTGAAAGAGATGCAGGCATGTCTTCACGTGGCTAGAGGAGGAGGAATCAGGTGGGGAAGGTGCCATATACTTTAAACAACCAGATCTTATGATAACTCTATCATAAGAACAGCAACAAAGGGAGGAATATGCCCCCATGATCCAATCACCTCCCATCAGGCCCTACTTCCAACATTGGAGATTACACTTCGAAATGAGTTAGGTTGGAACATAAATCCAAACCATATAATTCCACCCCTGGCTCCTCCAAAATCTCATGTTCTCCCATTACAAAATACAATCACCCCTTCTCAACCGTCCCATGAGGTCTTAATTCATTTCAGTATTAACTAAAAAGTCCACAGTCCAATATCTCATCTGAGACAAGGCAAGTCCCTTCTGCCTATGATCCTGTAAATAAAAAGCAAGTTAGTTATTTCCAAGATACAATGGTATCTTGGAATGGTGTCTTGGTAGAGACATTGGGTAAATACACCTATTCCAAAAGGGAGAAATCAGCTAAAAGAAAGGGGATACAGTCCCCATGCAAGTTCAAAACCTAGCAGGGCAGTCATTCAATCTTAAAGCTCTGGAATAATCTCTTTTGATGCCATGTCTCACATCCAGAACACAGTGGTGCAAGGGGCGGCCTTCCAAAGCCTTGGGCATCTCCACCCCTGAGGCTCTGCAGGGTACAGTCCCTGTGGTTGCTTTCACATATTGATTGTTGGGTGCCTGTGGCTTTTTAGGCATGTGGTACAAGCTGTTGGTGGATCTACCATTCTGGGGTTTAGAGGATGGTGGTCCTCTTCTCATAGCTCCACTAGGAAGTGCTCCAGTGGGGACTCTGTGTGGGGGCTCCAACTCCACATTTTCCCTTTGCACTGCCCTAGTAGAGGATCTTCATGAGGGGTCTGCCCCTGCAACAGACTTCTGCCTAAATATCCAGGCTTTTCCATTCATATTCTGAAATCTAGGTGGAGGCTCCCAAGCCTCAACTCGTGGACTCTGTGCACCCACATGCTTAACACGACATGGAAGCCACCAATGCTTATGGTTTGCCCACTCTGAAGCAATGACTTGAGCTGCACCTTGGCCCCTTTTAGCTATGGCTGGAACTGGAGCAACTGTGATGCAGGGTACCTTGTCCTGAGGCTGCATAGAGCAGTGGGGCCCTGGGCCTGAGTCATGAAACCATTCTTCTCTACTATGCCCCCAGGCCTGTGATGGGAGGGGCTACCTCAGAAATCTCTGAAATGCCTTCAAGGCCTTTTCCCCATGGTCTTGGCTATTAGCACTTGAATTCCCTTTAATTATGCAAATTTCTGCAGCCAGCTTAAATTGCTCCCCTGAAAATAGGCTTTTCTTTTCTACCACATGGCCTGGCTGCAATTTTTTTTCAAACATTTATGCTGTGCTTCTCTTTAAAATATAAGTTCCAATTTCAGGTCATTTTTTTGCTCATGAATATGAACACAGGGTGCTAGAAGCAGCCAGGCCATATCTTGGACACTTTGTTGCTTAGAAATTTCTTCCATCAGATACCCTGAATTATCGCTTTAAATTTCAAAGTTCCACAGATACCTAGGGCAGAGGCACAATCCAACCAGGCTCTTTGATAAAGCATAACAGAAGTAACCTTTGCTCCATTTTGCAGTAAGTTCCTTACCTTCATCTGAGACCTCACCAGCCTGGACTTCATTGTCCGTATCATTATGAGCATTTTGGTCATGACAATTTAACAAATCTCTAGAAAGTTCCAAACCTTCCCTCATCTTCCCGTCTTCTTCTGAGTCCTCTAATTTTTTCTAACATCTCCCCAGTTCCAAAGCTACCTCCACATTTTCATCTATCTTTATAGTGATACCCTGCCTCTCAGTACAATTTCTCTATATTGGTCTGTTCTTGCACTGCTATGAATAAATACCTGAGAGCGTGTAATTTATAAAGAAAAGAAGTTTAATTCACTCAGGGTTTTACAGGCTGTCCAGGAAGAATGGCTGGAGAGGCCTCAGGAAACTTACAATCATGGTGGAAGGCGTAATGGATGCAGGCACACATTCACGTGGCCAGAGCAGGAGGAAGAGAGGGGGAGAAAATGCCACACAGTTTTAAACAACCAAATCTTGCAAGAACTCTACATGAGAACAGCACCAAATGGGGAAATCTGCCCCTATGATTCAATCACCTCCCAAGAGGCCCCACCTCCAACACTGGAGATTACAATTTGACATGAGATTTCGGTAGGAACATAAATCCAAACCATATAAATATTTATTCAAAAACAATGTAAATGGTTTGTCATTATTACTTTTTTGGTCACCTCATGGATGAGTTTTACCTCTGCTGAACTTCCATTTTCTCTGATCACTAACTGAGCCATACAGATACTCTGAATCGATCTGTGTTATACTTTTACTGGCAAGTGGAAATGGCATCTCTTCTGCCTCACTAAACTCTTCTTTATGGTTAGAAGAGAACAAGTAATAAAATCAGAATTTTTTGTCTGATAATAAACATCTTCTGTACTCACAATCTAGTCTTTCTTCAGGTACTCAATAGGTATATATACAGGATTTTGGTGATTTTTAGTTTACATTTTGGCACCAATTCTTTGCCTACTGACTTTAGTCTATTTTTTATTCTGAGAGTAATATATTGCTTTTAGAATTACCACAACATTTACATTTACATTGATCTCTCCTGAAGATTATATCTAATTCCTAAATCCTCTTTGATTATTATCCCAGTAGGTAGTGTTTATGGTTCTAATTTAGTCTATATGATATTCAATATTCATGTCAGTATTGGATGCTATTATTTTTTATTGCTATGTCAGAGGTTAATCAACATGCCTGGAGTCATAACAAAGCAGATGTGAATATTGGTATTTAAATGTAGATTGTTGCATAAATGAGCCTTTTGAGATCCACAATGACAGTTGTGCAGTGAAGATAATGTTGAAGTTATGTATTCTAGACCTGTAAAAGACCTAATTGGATTATGTTCTGTTCCCTATAGTCCAGACCTTATATGACAAATGCATTTTTTTATTCTGTCAACAAGCTATTTTATACTCATTTTCAAGTGACAACATTAAGCATTAAAGACATTAAGTACCTTGTCCAAAGTCACATAGTTAAAATTTGTCCGAATGGCAAGGTTCTATATTTTTCTTTTTTAGTATTTCTCTTATTTTAGTGTCCTTTAATTTGAGAATCATTTAGTGCATTTCTTTAGGAAAAGATATGATTGTAATTCTTGGACTACTAAAAAGAGAACTAGACAAGTAAGAGGCATTCAATTTACACTAACTCTACTACTTAAGTCTGTGATATTACATACTTAATTTTTCAACTCTAATTTTCCTTATCTGTGAAATGTGAAGACTATATGAGATGTCTTCTAAATTCTCATTAATCTCCAAAATTCTAGTTCAGTTCAATATTTTATAACACACTATTTTCCCATATTGCCATTGCCGAGCTCCAACTCAAACTTCACTCTTCAGGGTTGCCAGGCTTTAATAGTGACAAATATGTTAGGATCACATTTTATAATCACATTTGTGTCCTTCTATCATCTTAGTAATCTTTTACTTCTTAAGAAGTCTGACAAATTAGGAAGCATGTAGCTAACTGGAATTGTCTGTAAAAAGTCTTTTAGCTAGAGATTCTCCGTCTTGGTACTACGAACATTTGAAGTCAAATAATTATTTGCCATGGAAGATTGTCCTTTGCATTTTAGTATGTTTAGCACCATTACTGGCCTCTCTACTAGATGCAATAGTGTCCCTCACCAATTGTGACAATCAAAAATGTCTCCAGACATTCTTAGAAATAGCTCAGGTAATAATCACTGCTCTAGATACACTCATAACAATATGAAGAAAATATTGTTATAAACCAGCCTTCTTATTGCTTCTATATTTTAATAGAAAATAAAAAATTTTCATCTCTTATGGATAAAATTTAAAACTTTACTCCAGAACACATGTTATTCTCTCTAACGGATAGTTCCTGCAGAGAGCAAATTGAGGTGACTGTAGTCATCACCTCATCAGTTACCAAACCGACTGCATGACTCTTGGGAATACATCCATTGAAATTCAGAATTTTATCCTAGGCCCTTTCCAGTTTGGCAGTGTCTTAAATTGCCACTCTTATTCAGATGACTTAGCTCACTTTTAAAAAACAAAACAAAAATCCTGCTAATGTGTAATGTTTTGTACACTTTGAGACTAGAAAATATGAACTACACATGACAATTAAGGCTTGTTTTTCTGCGTATTTTTCCTTTCCATTTCTTTTTCCTCTCTATATGAGTATAATGCATTAAATACAGACAATCAGCTGAAATCTTGAATGTTCCCAAGCTCTTGTGGCTTTCTATTAAATACTTACTGTTATTTAAGACAGACTTTTGTAGTTCATTACAGAAACCTGCTGCCTAATGTTACATTACAATCAGGGCACCTAAGGAGAAACACATTTCTTTTGCTGTTGTTCCCATTTATATGGTATATCTCTTCTGCAAAATTCAAAGAACTTAGTAATTTTCAAAAAATACTGAGTTATGGTTTGGGAGTGGAAGAAAATACAAAGAGGAAGGAGAGGGAGAGAAAAACAGATTGGGGAGGGGGAAAATGACAGAAAACAGAAAAAAAATTAAATTCTTTTAGAATGTAAGCAGACTAATAAACAGGGCATCGGTTTAACTTTCTTGGAAAGCAAGCAGAGAAGGGAAATTTTTCCTGCTATTGCTTTATTTGTTGTCTTGAGGATGTGTGCAACAATTTCTCCTTTCCAGACTCTATAAATTACAGCATCTAAATATAATTCTACTCCTCTTTTCTTGATGAATAACTTAACATAGTCATTTTCCTTTCTTTCACTTCCTTTCTCCATGTCAAATTCTAGTGAGCAAGATTCTTCTTACACATAAGGTACCTGGCTAGTTAGAGTTTAGAGGTCAGTGCAGGTAATATGAAGAGTTTGATCCTTGTCTAGTTCATGAAATCAATGGCTGGGGCAGGAGATGGGGGAGGTCTTAGTGATGTCCTCTTCATTCTATCTTGCGTACTTCTGAGAAAGAGAAAGGCTGACCCCAGAATCACAGGTCAGAGGATGAGTTCTCATTCCTCTCATGGGGCCCAAGCTCCTGTTCTGATAACCAGGGTTTCTATAATAGTTGCCACTGATTATACATATTTATCTGTGCCTTTGAAATTGTCTACGAACAAATGCACTTTTTTGTAATCACTGGACTAAAAGCAGTATTACCTCTAATTGTAAGAGAATTTGGGATTTCTATCTTTATAATTTAAAATAATATACCTAACATGATCTATTATACATCACTTTAGTCTGAACAAAAGGAGTTGGTTAAAGCAGGATTATTCCTTAGGTTTGTTTTTAGGGTGTTTTGTTTTTTATTTTGTTTGGGGTTTCTTTTCCTTTTTTGCTATTTTACTGACTTAAATTATCAACACACAAGGAACATGTGAATACTGGAGCATACAATGTTTATTGTTTTTTTTTTTATAGACCAGTGAACTGAGGCCCCTATCCAATGTCACCTTGTTGGCATGCAGCAGAGGTGGAATCAAGAAGCCAACTCTGCCTCCCAGGACAATCTACCACCATAACATGGTGACCTAGCATGCTGCAGAAGAAGAAAAAAACCAACAAAATACATGTACAAACCAAAATATAGTCATAGAATTGTGTGAGAGAAGAATGGAAAAGACTTACTTTCACATCCGGAAGGTCCTGTTACAATTCCAACTTTTCTTTGTACCTGTGTAAATGTAAGCAGGTCAGTCATCATCTGGTGGAGTTTGAATTTCTCCATCTATTTTTACTATTTATTTATTTATCAGAGATAGAGTCTCTCTGTCACTCAAGCTGAAGAACAGTGGTGTAACCATAACTCACTGCAGCTTCGAACTCTCACGGCCAAGTGATCCTCCCACCTCAGCCTCCCTAGTAGCTGGGACTACAGGTGCATGCCACTATGCCCAGCTCATTTACTATTATTATTATTATTTCTTGTAGGAACGGAGTCTCACTATGTTGTTTAGCCTGGTCTAGAACTTCTGACCTCCAGCTATCCTACTGCCTAAGCCTCCTAAAGTGCTAAGATTATAGGTGTGAGCCACCACACCCAACACCCCATCGAAAAATGATAATCAAATCCTTACAACCTTCCAGAAATTCTGCATGATCCCAAAGAGATAAGGCATTTATAATTATAAAATTTTAAACACCATACTAACTAGGACATAAGACTTTATGTGCAATATAAAAATAGTTTTTTGAAGTTCTTTTAAGATGTTTGTATTCCTTAGTTACCCATTTTTATTAAAAAAAATTTAAGTCCAGTATACTGAATAAACTCTTATGCTAACTTATTTTAACAGCATTGAATTGTTCTAATTGCTTTACCTAATGCTAGATTAGAGATCAAACTGATTTAGAATTTGAAAACAAGCATTTCACAATATGTTTAGTATTGGACAATATAATTGAGGTTGGTAGAAGGCATCTCAAAAAACCAAGGTAAATTTGTCTATATTTAAGTAAAAGTTAGGTACTTCTTTTACCTTACCACATTTGTTTATTTCTAGTATTCATGTCTTAAACCTTTTAAAATATCTTATTAGCTAGTTCATCTCATGTACAATTTGGGAAGGGGGCTTTATTACTAAATCCTCAAATGATTCCCTCTTCACATTTTGTTTGTTAGGTTCTATAGCACCTTGGGAATTATATCAGCCTTTTTATCTTTTTTTTGTTTTTATGAATTTCTTTAAAGCATTTTTCCAACTTTCCTTTATTTGTCTATGAACTTTGAATACAGTGCCCCTTTTTCAATTTAGAGGGGATTTTATATTCTCTGATTTACCTATTCATGAAATTAATAATCTTCTTAAAATTACACTTGTTTAAAACTCTTCAGGAATGGCAAAATAAATGAATTTTTCTTTTCTACATTAAAATAATTTGATATTTCTATGTTTTTCCCTAGTACTTTGAGTAGATTTCCTATGAAGGTGAGAAAAAAGCTTATCATGCTTACAAATTTATTACACTAACTTATTTAATTCTCATAAGAACACAACTATAATCCCCATATCACACATGAGGAAACTGAGGCACAGAGAGAAACAGTATATTCCCCAAGATCACACAGCAGAGCCAGGATTTGAATGCATGTAGTCTGACTCCAAAGTAGCTCTTTGCTACTTCATTTTCATTCCAAATAGACAAGTAACCATTCTCCTGCTAACATTTTTTGCCTCTGGTTTACTATGGAAATACCTCTCTGCAATATTCATTATATGTGTTTGCCACCTTTAAATAGGATAAAATACTGTATGATAGAAAAATATATGAATTATTCACCAGAATAATGACTAATAATAATGACTGTGGTCATCTCTGAAATTAATCAGCCTCATCATATTGGGCAAAAGCAATTAGTCTGCTTATTTATTTGTAAATAAAGGTGGTTTATTACCTGTCCAACTTTTTATAGGTTTGTGAGGAAAAAGGCATTAAATTATATCTAGGAAAAGTTCATTATAAATGTTAAATGCTCTACTAATCTTATACATTATTATTGCAAGTTTGTTCCTTACTCACCTAGTCTCAATCCATTCTTCTCATATTCCTCAAACTTTTCCCTCATTATGACAATCCTGTGAAACTACAGGAGCCCACATCGTGTGTGTTTTGTGTGTGTGTGTGTATAAACACATATATACTGAATTTTCCTGGAAGTTAGTGTATCTGCTTCTTCACCTCTCCTTCATTATTTAATCATCCCCAATCTAACTTATCCCCCGTAAATTCATCCAAAGAAGCTTTTGCTAAAGTCACCAGGGAATTCCAAGTTTTAATTCCAATAGGTAAATTACATTCTTCATCTTATTTTATTTCTTCAGCAGTTTTTAGCCTATTGACCACTTTTCCTACTAGAATATTCTATTCAGGAGGTTCCCAAGACACAATAGTTGCCTGAATTTTCTCCTTTCTTCTGATTGCTCTTTAGTCATTTACCTAATTTTAATTAAGTTTCCTCAAGATGGAAACTTACTGACTCATATCAATCTATCTTACCAACTTGGTGATCGCAAACAGATATACAGCTTTATTTATAACATATATATTGGTGGATTACAAAAGTTTTATCAAAAGACTGAGCTCCAAACCCAGAGATCGTATTAACTAGTTACTATGTCAACTTGGAAGTCTCAAAGCCCACTTGTTTCAACATGTATCTACAATCATAAACACGGTCTTCTAAATTTTTCCATCTCATTGAATGGTCTCTCCCTGTGCAAAAAATAAGCATAGGCTTTTTTCCTCAATACTCATTAGTCATTTACTCTCATTCCCTAAACTCAATCCATTATCAAGTTATACCTACTTTTTCTCCTAAATATCTCTCAAATCCACAAGGAAAACAAGTGGGCATTTCTCAATATGTCACTTAACTAGACTTTAGCCATTACCTCATAACTCATACCCACCATATCACGTTGCCGTTGAAATATGGCCACAAATAATTAACTTATTCATACCCTTGCCATGTAATTTTGTGTGGTGTCCTCTTCTAATTCTGGGTTCTGGCATGTGATTTCATTTTGTTACTGGAACGTTACCAAATGTCTCGGAAAGAGGGGCTGAAAAATAGTTGTCTGTTAAGGCTTGTCTTCTCTTTACATTTTTGAGCTCCCTGTTCAAAATGTGAAGAAGCCTTACCTAGAGTACTAGAAGATAAAGGACACATAGCCCAATCTCACTCCTATTGTGTCCGGAATTGGTGGGTTCTTGGTCTCACTGACTTTAAGAATGAAGCCGCAGACCCTCGCGGTGAGTGTTACAGTTCTTAAAGGCGGCGTGTCCAGAGTTTGTTCCTTCTGATGTTCAGATGTGTTCGGAGTTTCTTCCTTCTGGTGGGGTTCGTGGTCTGGCTGGCTCAGGAGTGAAGCTGCAGACCTTTGCGGTGAGCGTTACAGCTCTTAAGGCAGCGCATCTGGAGTTGTTTGTTCCTCCCAGTGGGCTCATGGTCTCGCGGGCTTCAAGAACGAAGCTGCAGACCTTCACAGTGAGTGTTACAGCTCTTAAAGGCAGTGTGGACCCAAAGAGTAAGCAGTTGCAATATTTATTGCAAACAGCGAAAGAACAAAGCTTCTACAGCGTGGAAGAGGACCCCAGCACGTTGTCACTGCTCGCTCTGGCAGCCTGGCCCCACCCACATCCTGCTGATTGGTAGAGCCGAGTGGTCTGTTTTGACAGGGTGCTGATTGGTGTGTTTACAATCCCTGAGCTAGACACAAAGGTTCTCCAGGGCCCCACCAGAGTAGTTAGATCCAGAGTGTCGATTGGTGCATTCGCAAACCCTGAGCTAGACACAGGGTGCTGATTGGTGTGTTTACAAACCTTGAGCTAGATACAGAGTGCGAATTGGTGTATTTACAATCCCTGAGCTAGAGATAAAGATTCTCCACCCCCCCACCAGACTCAGGAGCCCAGCTGGCTTCACTCAATGGATCCCGCACCGGGGCTGCAGGTGGAGCTGCCTGCCAGTCCTGCGCCGTGCGCCTGCACTCCTCAGCCCTTCGGTGGTCGATGGGACTGGGCGCTGTGGAGCAGGGGGCGGCGCTCGTCGGGGAGGCTCGGGCTGCATAGGAGCCCACGGTGGGGCGGGGAGGCTCAGGCATGGCGGGCTGCAGGTCCCAAGCCCTGCCCCGCGGGAAGGCAGCTAAGGCCCCGTGAGAAATTGAGCACAGCAGCTGCTGGCCCAGGTGCTAAGCCTCTCACTGCCCGGGGCCGGTGGGGCTGGCCTGCCGCTCCGAGCGTGGGGTCCGCCGAGCCCACGCCCACCCGGAACTCCAGCTGGCCCGCAAGCGCCGCGCGCAGCCCCGATTCCCGCTCACATCTCTTCCTCCACACCTCCGTGCAAGCTGAGGGAGCCGGCTCCGGCCTTGGCCAGTGGCTCCCACAGTGCAGCGGTGGGCTGAAGGGCTCCTCAGGTGCCGCCAAAGTGGGAGCCCAGACAGAGGAGGCGCCGAGAGCGAGCGAGGGCTGTGAGGACTGCCAGCAACGCTGTCACCTCTCACTATTGCTCAGGCAGCAGACAACTAGCTTAAAGGTGTAAAGCCAGCTAGCTGACTGGAAGCAGACTGCACACACGTGGGCAAACCCAGCTGAGTCCAACGTAAATTTCTGACACACAGAATACTCAGCAAAATAAATGACGGTTGTTTTAAGCCATTAAGTTTTGAGATGATTTGTTGTTCAGCAAAAGCAAATTGAAACATCCCATCTAAACATTTTTGTTCTGCATATACAATTTTGTTGTTGTAAAAAAGGCTGGTCATGCCATGCCAGCTTAATATTCTAATAGCTACCAATAACATTCAGAATAACTCTACTCCATAACACGGAATAAAAAGGGTCAGCATATCCTGGTTTTTAATAAAATTTCCAATTTAATATTTTATTACACTCTCCCTTGCTTTCTGTACAAACCACATTAGGATTCCTCATTCACGAAAGTTCCATGCTTTCTATTTTCCCATAGCTTTTGCACAATATGACTTTTTTTTTGCCTAAACTAATATCCCCTAATGCGCTTTTTGCGTATTTAGTCATTATGTATCCTTCATATTTTAATTCAATCATTACATATACAGGAGAGAATACACTGACCCCTCTAACAAGGTCAAATCACACTATTTGTTCTGTATCTTTCTAGCAAAATGTACCTGTCTTTGTAGAAACTATACAAATAGTGATATCAGATTTATCTGATTAATATATCTGTTAGTAGTATGTGAGCTTCAAGAATACAGTCATTGCCTTTCTTAGTCTTATTTCCAATGTTTGACACAGTGTCTAGAACACAGTAGACATTCAATAAATAACTGTGCAAATAATAAATGAACTAAGAAATGAATTTAGTTGAAACGTGTTTGTAACATAATTATAAGATTTATTAACTATTACATTAACAATGACACATGTAGTTTTTAGAATGAAATCATGTTGATTCTGCATCATGAAAATATGTAGGTTGCCAAAATTTAGCACATTTTAAAATCAGTTGGGTAGCATGTTAAAATGAAAATTCCCCATCCTTAATCACAGAGAATGTGGTAAGAAAATTCTGGGATATTGCCCATGCATTTTTAGTAAGCACCCAAGGTAATTTAAATGTACAGTTTTATGAATTTACTTTTAGAAATACAGACTATTGAATTTTGCCCATTCACTTTAAATTAAAAAATGTTTTATCTATTCCACTTAGAATATTTCTGGTTATCTATTGAAATGTGCTTAGGTAATATAAATTGATTTTAATATTGGTCTAAGGAAACCATAAATGGGAAAATAAATATGTGCTAAAAACTATAATAACAGAAAAAACTACTACTCTTCAGCAACAGAAGCTTTTTGATTATTTTTCTGTTTTGATTTATTCACCCTATGTGTTCCGTCCTCCATGGTATTGGTAATTAGCAGGCAACTGTATATAAAGTATTAGAAACATATCTTGTTCTAAGTCACAAGGATTCTGCTATTTCTTAAATGGTATATATAAATTCATTCAATTTTAAGACTTGAAAGGGACTTTAGGTTTTTTCTAGTTCAATTGACAGATTGTGAATAAATGTCTTGATAGAATTAATTTTTTCAAGATGAAGGTCTCAGTTGGGAATGATTTAGTCTTTCACTTCCCAAAGCTGTAAACTACCTACTCAAAAGAAAGAAGATTCTTATTATTTTGTTTATAATGAATATAAGACTTGGCTACATTCACTAGGCCAAAGACCTCTGGCATTTCTTGGGAGAGATGGCCACTGGTGTCACTTCTAAATCATAAAGTGGGAAAAGAGAAATTCAGTCTAACTTGTGTTTGTTCTATGAAGGGAAACCCCAGACAATCAAGGTGGTAAGAATAATTACTTGGTAACTTTCTCACATTTGCTTATTAGACTTTCTCATGCCTTTTCCTTCATGGTAATTTTACGTGGCATGGCTAAGGATAGGAGATTAAGAAATGGCCAGGATATAGATAATGAATTAGGGAGCAGATATTTATCATTCCATATGTTCTTGAGGAGATATACAGAATTCAAGGGCAGGTAAACATACTATTTTTAGGATTATGGGATTTTTAAAAAAACTAATCCTCAATGTAGTCAATAATTGAGATAGACTTGGTTTATATGGAAAATCTCTTTTGTCCTACAATAGCTGTCTTACTCAGTCTCTTCGCTAACAAAGTAGGACTGGCCTTTAATATTTTACATGCTTCCTTCCTTCCAGCCATCTAGGCTCTCTTCCCTTTTACAGTTTGGCTAAATGGAACAGTAAAGATTCCAAACAACGTCTACTTAAAAAGAAGGATGTTGATTGCTTTAAACAAAAGAAAATCTTTCAACCTGAAATATGACACTTTTTATCGAAGAGGGGACCCAGCATATGGTGACGCTAGTAGGCACTCAGTGTATCACTTTGTACTTATCCCTTCATGTTAAGGCGTTCATCTTTGGTGAGTTGGCGTATCTATGCCAGAATGAAGCCAAAAAATAAAGTGAGTGGCTGAGGATTAGTTGGTCCGGCAAAAAGCTAGCCTATTTAAAGCTTCTCGCCCAAGATAATTCTCTGAGATGGTATAATAATTTCTGTTAAACTAGAAGGTGTAATAATTTCTGTTAAACTAAAAAATAGGCATAAATGCCTGTTGTTAAATTGAAGCATAGAACAATATTGTTACCACAGTAGCAAAGGAACAAGGATCAGGTAGTATTATCAGCTGTTACCTATACTGTGAAGTGTAGACTAGCGTTGGTTTAGCTGAATACAGTTCATCATCACAAATGGGAGTGGGATGTAGGAAAGTGGAATTAAAAAATCAAAACTAGGCCAGGCATGGTGGCTCACACCTGTAATCCCAGCACTTTGGGTGGCCGAGGTGGGTAGATCACGAGGTCAGGAGATCAAGACCATCCTCGCCAACATGGTGAAACCCCATCTCTACTAAAAATACAAAAATTAGCTGGGTGTGGTGGCGCATGCCTGTAATCCCAGATACTCAGGAGGCTGAGGCAGGAGAATCGCTTGAACAAGGGAGGTGGAGATTGCAGTGAGCCAAGATCGTGCCACTGCGCTCCAGCCTCACGACAGAGGGAGACTCATTCTCCAAAAAAAAAAAAAGATGTCTGCCTCCATCATGCCTGAGAGTGCCACCAACTGCGCTGTTGAGCTCCTGGGCCCATGGCCAGCAGCCTGAGACTTGCACAGTGGTACACCAGCATGCTAGAATCAGCACAAGAGTGAGTCTTAAAAAATTAAAGTTAGGCCAGGAACAGTGGCTCATGCCTGTAATCCCAGCACTTTGAGAGGCCAAGGCGGGCCGGTTAAGAGATCAAGACCATCCTGGTCAACATGGTGAAACCCCATTTCTACTAAAAATACAAAAGTTAGCTGGGCGTGGTGGCATGGGCCTGTAGTCCCAGCTACTCGGGAGGCTGAGGCAAGAGAATCACTTAAACTCAGGTGGCAGAGGTTGCAATGAGCAAGATTGTGTCACTACACTCCAGCCTGGTGACAGAGCAAGACTCCATCTCAAAAAAAAAAAAAAAAAAAAAAATTTTAAATTAAAAAATGTACTCATGGGTTCATTGAAAATTTTGTTTATTACCTTCTGCTTGAAAATTAAAACTATTTCCTTGCTTATCAAGAAAGGAAAAATAGGTTACCTAGGAGTTTATAATGACTAATTCCACCTTCTCTGTTCTCATTTGCTTATACATGTGTGCCTGTGTATAATGTGTATACATGTGTATACGTGCATGTTTGTGTGCACTGGCACGTATTGAGTTTTTGGCATAGACTTTGTAAACTCCTGTAAATTAAAAGTATCTTCTATTTTCTTCCCTCTCTCTTGAACTGAGAACAATACATGATAGTGATGAAATACTAGCGGTTTCTCTGATTATATGGAAGATATATGTAACAGGGAAAAATTACTAGTTTTTCTTATCTAAACTATTTACTGAATCAAGGCAGGCTTCCTAATAGCATTTTAAAATTTAATATTTTTAAAATATTTGTCCTCTTGCTTGGCTTAGTAAATGTCATGAACTGGGATTTAGTTTACGGTGGTTCTAACATGCCAGAAAAACCCCATGCTAGAATTCAGACCCCTAAGATCGCAGCATGTTCTTACTCAGAATTACCCTCCATTTGGCCCCTAATCTTTATATCCAATGCTAATCATATTCCATAAGACATAGTTTGTTGAGGCTTATGTATATTTGCCCTCCATCCTCTTGTTTGAAATTTGATTTTGATTTGCTGACAAGAAGTATGAAGCATCTCAACAAGTTAGCCTGCCACAGTTTCAAGGATATTGGTGGAGGATAGGAGAATGCTGGGTCAGAGCATTGATCCCCACAGGGCACTGTGACCTGGACTAGATGGCACCTCCACACCCAGTGGACTGTATTACAGTATAGGAGCCCTGCTCTCAAGGACATTGAATCTTTTATAATTGATGGTAAACATGACTGCCCTTTGCTTTGGAGGGAGACATTCTCTATCTTCCAAAGCTGTTTGCTAGGCAAAGATCCTTGAAAAGATAGTCTGGAACAAAAGTGCAATTGATGACTCATTCAAACTCTTTGTCTGAAGAGTTTGTTTGAGAGATTCATGAGAATAATTTCCCAACATTTACTTTCTTAATTTTCTCTCATGAAAATATAGTTTGAGTTAATGAGTTTGTTATTTGGAAACTCTTAAAACAGAACCTAAGTCAAAGTTCCTGAATATGAGATCAGAAAATGTCTTGTTTGGATGCTGAATTTATGATTTATGTTTGTATAAATAAGACAGATAACTACATTGAGTGATGTTAACATATGGAAGGTGTAAGAATATGAAATGTGTCCGAATAAGACATTCTTAAAAGATTATAATATAAGCTCTATGAGGCAAAAGACACTGCTTGTAAACATAATTACATCATATTCTTATTCTTCAAAAAGAGCGCCAACTTCTTGGAATTGTTAAATACTCATGATAGAAAGAAGTTTTTCTTCTAGAGTTAGTACTTAGCAAACATTCTGTTCTTACTTTCCTAAGGTAGTGGCTTGTAAATCTCTGCTTTTACTTACAAAATTTTATTATCCATTGTTTTCAAAGCTAACTTGTGCACAGATAAAATTGAACTCAGACTTCGTCATTAGTTTTAATGGATTTGATCAGTGTTTTATTCAGTAAGAACTTGAGGTAAAGAAAGATTTTGGACTTAGAAATGAGCACCTGCTTGTGAATCTTACTATTTCCTTTAACTGTATGGATGTCCTCTGAATACATTGCTCAAGATTCAGAATTTAGCATGTTACGAAGATAATTTTAGTCCTTTGCATTCTAAAGGACAGCAAAATCAGACTAATTTCTCTCTCTAGGAAAATGTATAGTATAATTATTTAAACTATGTAAAATATTTTTAGTTTGAAAATGTTAATGATGATATAGAATTACAATGCATACAATTGAGTATTAAACTGTAATACTTAAATAGATTGTTTTCACCTTACAATTGATTTTTTCTTAAAAATTCCTATATAAAACAGTGATTCAAGAAGTACAAACTATTTTCACCATGTTCTTGAATCATTAAAACACCAAACTAACTACTCAAAAATATGAATTTCCTACCGGGAAACAGCATAACACATAAAATAGTAATTATTCTGAATTCACCTTTGGTGTTTAACCACTATGTTTATTATTTAGCAGGTGCATTAGGAAAGGAATGAGGCAGGAAGACATTGTTATCATTTAGCTATTATTTAGCAAATACATATTAAGAACCTAATATGAAGTACACACTCTGTAAGATAAAGGTAATGAGAGGCATATTTATTGGGAAGATAAAGAAGCTTATGTTTGCAGGCCTCACGCCTGCCTGGGGCAGCTTGCCTGCCTAGGACCCCATTCAAGGCCCTGGAAATAACCCAACAATGGGCTCACTTGGTCCTGCCACTTTTGTAAAATTTGCAGAGGTAAGGCTGATTTTTACTCAGTAAAGACTGCTCTCTCTTTTTCCTCTCTGATTTCCTGTCCATCTTACTTCTTCTGATGGGTAGCATTAGAGTGCCCAGGGATGTTTTTGGATCCAACTAAGGCAAAGGTTGAAGTGATTCACTGTCACTTTCATACAGCATTAAGTTATCCATATGCATGTAGAAATAGCTTTCTGGAAAACTGCTCCAAACCTGTATCAACTACCCATAATTCAGGCCACAAAAATGTAGTGCCAGAGGTGGTATCTTGATAGAAGCAAATTCCATGGTATTGTGTGCATGTCGGTAGTGGCGTCTAAACATTATTTTAAATAGATGGTGTGAGAATATGATCTGTATTAGTTTTTGTGTTTTGTGGTGCTCTTGGATTTGTCACCTTTTAAAAAATTAAAGTGTTTATTTATTTTCATAAATGTCATAATTTTATATTTGTTATATGTAAACTTGGATTGGATCTGGCTAGAAATACAATGATGAGCCAAAAAGAGTCATACTCTTGCCACCCTGCAGCTTAATGTCTAAAAGACAAAATATAGGTTGATAAAAATATTTACGCAAATTTATTTAAAAATTTAGAAGAAATAAATACAGCATATGAGTGGGCCACAGTGCAGTGAGCACTTGCATTAAGAGATCTGTCTTTGTCTGAAATGTAAAGTATGTTTTCCATGCAGAATTACTGCTTGAGAAAAAAAATGTGAATTAGATACCCCTCTGAATTAACAGATGAGACTGGCTTGAAAGAAAGGGTAATTGCTTGAGACAAGCAGCAGAACAAGTATGAAGATCCTTGGAAAGGGAAAACACTTTTATTGCTGCCTCTTAAAATCTTTCAGAAGAATATCAAATGTTTACAATTTTCTTCCTGGCCATTAATTAAATTGCAGCAATAGAAGACTACTAAGATAGGGAGGGCCTGTTTACTGTGCAAGAAAATGTACTAACTAGGATTAACTAATCTTCTTTCCCTTTTCCCTCCCCTCCCATCCTCTGTCATGCCCTCCCCTCCCCTCCTCTCCCCTCCCCTCTGTCGTTCTTTCTTTTCTTTCTTCTTGCTTGCCTTCCTTTTTCCTTCTCTTTTTTCTTCAGCTAGGGTAGAAAATAAGCTTAGTATAGGACTCAAGGAGAACATTAGTCTGTTTAATACTTATTTTCTTCAAGTTCATTATACAAATTCACAAATCGTTACAATTTTTTGAGGCTTTTGTGTGGACAGGTATGTATAAAATTTTGTTCTGGCTGGAGATTGTCTTTAAATTGATCTTTATCTGTAAAATTAATTTTTAGCTATGTATTCTTGCTCAATTTTAAAATGTTTTGCCATAATCACCAAGTATTATATGTATTACCTCTAATGACTCATTGAACAGCTAAAATGTTTTCAACTTCTTTAGAAAGACAAGTGTGATAGACATAGTGGCTGGTGTAGATGTCAAAGTCCTAAAGTTCCTATTCTTCAAAGCTCTATTTTTTTTTCCTCATCTATGTGTCCCCAGACCTTTTCCTTGTAAGTTAAAAAACAGGTTATAATATTAAAAACATTCTAATGGATGTGGAAGCTCTTGGTGCCTCACTCAGATCTCCTTCACCAGATCATTAAATCCATTCCATACCATAAATTTAGCTGCTACTGGATCAAGTTATCTTTTCTTTTCCTGCAAAATTGTTCAGGGGAGTGCCCTAGGCCAGGGCTTCACAATCTGATATTGGGCATTAGACTATTCTAGAAAGAAAGTAAAAACACAGACTCTCAGATATGGAGTGAGGCATGAGAATGTGCATGTCTAACAAGTTCCCAGATGATGTTGACGGTACTGGTCTGTGGAAATGGCCTTGAGGGAACTGTCTTGACTGAGTCTTCATGCTTTCCACCAAGAGAACTGCCAAGGAGTTAAAAACTGTAGGAGAATTGTTGGGTGTAACTTTTTTGCTCAAAAGGCATCACCCTTTTTATATCCCACCAAGAATAGTCTTTCTCAGGGTCCACAATTTTGCTCAGCGTTTCCCCTTTCACCACATTGCTTTCCTCGCTCTTTCAAAGGGCTTTCCTAAGGCACATTCTCCCAATAGATTTCATGCACTTGATCCCTCGCTCAGGCTTTGCTTCTAGAAAATGAACCTAAGAATATATATACACACACATACATATATAATATATAAATATTAATTTTTATCAATAACATATGATACATATATAACATGTATTATACGTATATATAATATATAGCTGTATATATAACTATATTATATATGTATATGATACATGGTTGTATATGTGTATATATATTATATATAGTCTTCAAATTAATTTATTTTTATTTTTATTTTTATTTTTGAGATGAAGTCTCGCTCTGTCGCCCAGGCTGGAGTGCAATGGCGGGATCTCGGCTCACTGCAAGCTCCGCCTTCCGGGTTCACGCCATTCTCCTGCCTCAGCCTCCTCAGTAGCTGGGATTACAGGTGCCCGCCACCATGCCCGGCTAATTTTTTGTATTTTTTATTAGAGACGGGGTTTCACCGTGTTAGCCAGGATGGTCTCAATCTCCTGACTTCGTGATCTGTCCCCTCGGCCTCCCAAAGTGCTGGAATTACAGGCGTGAGCCACCGCGCCTGGCCAATTTAACTTTTTTATAATCATAAATTGTCTTGATGTCATGTCAGTGTTTTTTACCTTGATTTGTCAGATTTGTTAAACTGAGGTCAGAACAGAAAAATCCACACTTGTTTTGAGATAAGCACTGAGATCTTGGATTGCCAGATGCTCAGACTTGGTTACCAAGTGGGCTGAAATAACCCTCTGTTCTTGGATTTTATTGCCTCCTTCCCCTTCCCCTTGGCTCTCCACCTGGGGTTGATGAGAAAGCGAAGTACTGTTGACTGATTTTGCAGGTAAAACAAGCTACAGCTCATAATTTCAAAGTTAATCAGCTTGACTTAATGGAGCTATGATCTGTGTACTATGTACATTAATGTATAATATACCTTCTAGCAATAGCTCTAGGAATACAAACATATAGAATAATAAAAATGGAAAAGAAAATATAAGCAAATTAGATTGGTCTATTATTACAATTACTATCCAAATTATGTACTTTTGTCAACTCTTATTTTTTCCTTCTTTGATGTTCAAAAATTTACATAATTTCCTCTAATTTGTTTTTTTCTGTAAATTTTTGGCAGACATAGAGTCACCACTATTCATTTTACAAAAATACATTTATGCTTAATTTAAAGAAATAGGCAGGGAGAGGAGCCATCTGGTTCTTGTTTTCTGGTAGATACTTAAGAAAATTGGAAGAAATCACTTTGAAAGATCAATGAGACTTCAATAAAGTAAATTTAAGAAACATAAAGCTGAATTTATTATAGGTGGGAAGGAATTGTGTGTGATGTGGTTACATTCCTATCCACTAATTTTCATATTCTTGGCTTTCACTTCTCTAAGGGTACAGGAAATACACACACATACACACACACACAATTATGCTTTATGTAGTTATGTAACCATATAAGTTTATACATTAATAATAACATGTAAAATAAAATATTTTATGATTACAAAAAGAGAAAATTATATTGCTAAATTTAATACACAGTCCCCTATCAGGGAAAGGATTCAGAAGAAATATGCATTTGAGTATAATATTGTTATAGAACTGATATATTTTTTAGAGTAATTACATAGAGGTGGCAAAAACTGCTACACATCAATGATTAACAAGGCATATTGATCTATTATTTGTTCATTAAGAAAAATTATAATTTAACAGGTTTATTCAAATAAACATCTCAATGCCACAGTGAGAAAGATTCAAAATGTTTACAGAAAAGACAAGTTATGTGTTAACCAAAAAAATGCCATCAATAGAAGAGGGATTTTGTATGGTTTATATGGATTTTAAATTCTGCTTTTCAAAAGGAAGTAAAGTTTATTAACTAATTGCCAAAAAAAAACATGCATATTGAATAAAAAAGATGTCAAAGATATTAGGAGTTAAGTGCTTATAAACTGTGTTTTTGTTTGTTCATTTTAAGGTATTATTAAATGAAGGGAATAAGAGATGTTTCTCTTTGTTTTCTTTTGCCCAAATCAGCTCTTTTCCTTCAGAGGCCAGACTGTGTAGTTTCAGATACTTGCTATAACACTGTCTCTTTAAACATGAGTGTCTCACTTCACTTTGCATGTCTGAATCTTCTGAATTGTAAAACAGAAAAAAGAATGCCAACTTCATAGTTACTGTGATGATTAACTGAATTAATATCAGTAAAGTGTGTCAAGCAGTGAGTGCCTGCCATATTTCCCAGCACATGTATTTTCATTGTTATTTTTGTTCCAAATTACTCATGTTACAGGTGGTGTTTTCTGTTGTTGTTGTTGTTTTTATCTTTAAATGCATCAAAGACACTTATTTAGAATTTAAATACACCTACTTTTTGGATGATAAAATTTCTAGCTCTGACAATTGTCAATCAAATAAAACCACATTTCCTTGTTGTCACTTAGAAAACAACTGTCACTTAGAAAACAACTGAAAACAAAAACAACAAAATGCAAAAATGTGTTTAAGAATTAGAATTATTATAGTAGTGTTTTAAAATACATTATTTGGCAAGCCAAATAAGGAACTGAAATTGCTTTTATAAACCACAAAAAAGTCCTATATAAATTTATGAGGACGCTGTTCTTACCTGCACTTCCACCTTTCAGTCTAATAATCATTTTAGTGAAAATTAAATTTTCCAATAAGCATATATGAGAACTTTAACGATTTCATAAATTAATGCACTAACTAGTAGTAGTTTTATTTTCCATCAAATGTGAACAGTTTTGGTGTGTGGTTGCCGACTATGTAAATGTGACAGATAGGACCCTAGGTTTTAGGACTTAAATCCTGGAGCGAGGGCAAATATAGAAAATAAAAAATATTAACACGTGAAAATATAGATACTAACATGTGATGTAAAATAAACGAGCCAGACAGTGTAAAAAAAGAATAATGGGGCCAGGTGCAGTGGCTTATGCCTGTAATCTCAGGACTTTGGGAGGCCAAGGCAGGTGGATCACTTGAGTTTGGGAGTTTGAGACCAGCCTGGGCAACATGGCAAAACCTTGTCTCTACAAAAATACAAAAGTTACCCAGTCACAGGGACATGCATCAGTCCCAGTTATTTGAGAGGCTGAGGCAGAAGAATCTCTTCAGTCTGGGAGTCAGAGGTTGCAGTGAGCTGTGATCAAACCATTGCACTCCAGCCTGAGTGATGGGAGTGAAACCCTGTCTCAAACAAAAACAGAATAACAAGGGAAGAGAGGTGTGTGGAAGAGTTGGTTTAGACATGTTAGTCCAGGAAGGCCTCCCTATAGACATGGAAGATAAGTCAGCTTTATCTAGTAGAAGGACAATCGAAGATTTTTTTAAAAAATCACAGGGTAAAAGGCCTGGGCATGGTTAAGAGACAAAAATGAAGGCCAATGAGGATGAAATGAAATGGGGAAGTAGTAGAAAACAGGAGGGAAAAGAGATCAGAGAGGTGGGCATCAGTAAGGACATGGAGGACCTTGCAGAGCATGGTTAAATTGATCTATTTACACTGATTGCAATGGAAGCCACTGGAGAGTTCTATAAAGAGGAGTGTGCCATGCGATTTATGATATCCATAGCTAGAAACAGCAGAACATTACAAATCCTGTGAGATCCCAGCTTATTAAAGTCCCATCTGTCAAATTCCAATATATTTATAATTTTAATGGGCACTAATCATATTTTGAAGGTATTATACATTCAGAAGTTGTCTTGTAAATCATTGGGTTTTTATACCACTGGCAACATTTGGACTCAGGGGTACAGGTGTAGGGAATAAAACTTTGGTAGAAGAATCACCCCGCACATTTCTAATCAGCCACTGTTCATAATTAGCTAAGCAACTATGCACATAGATACCTTCAAGTTGCTTCTCTCTCCAGGCCTGCAAGTCTCAGTGTAAGCTTGTTGCATTTATTGAGTAGTAAATTAACATCATAGTGCTTCAAGCAACAACATGTTTTTTAATTCTGTTACAATTTCAGCCCTTCTGCCTTCCCTGCTGCAATCCTCTGACAATGGAGCCAGCTTACAAAATGAATGCTGAGATAGTTTTGTCAGCTTGGCAAATCATGTTATATTTCTCCCCTTGTTTGGTAGAAATAACAAGAGTCTCTTTTACTATAAAAATTAAGAAAATGAATAGTAGAAATTTTCCAAAAACTTAATCCTAGCACATTTTATATAGGCAATACTGGATCACGTCCTTTCAAAACAAGAAAAGCCATTCCCACTTCAAATGTTTTAATTCCCTTAAAGGTCCATTCAATATGCTTTCTGAGAAATATATCAATTGCAGTGGAAAGCAATCTTTCAAAGTGCCCTATTTGATAAGCTTTAAATGGATGACAACACTCACACCCTTATGCTGATACTGCACACGGGAAGAAACTGCCATTATAAAAGATGTGAATGTTCTTAATCCAAGTAACATCCACTGACTGGTTTATAGCATAAGAAGGACAGGGAAATCAATGGCTTTGAGCTAATTGAACATAGAAAAAAAAGGCAAAGGCAGCCTGCTTATAGATCATTAAAGATGTCAAAAATAATAAGAGTTATGTTAAAAACAGTAACAAAGAAGCACTTAAACTTTGAAACTGAATGTGATCTATAATCTAAAAACAAATATCTCATAACGTTAAGTCATACTAAAGATGATCTGGATAAAGTAGAAAGTAAAGAGGGTAAAAATAATGCCTCTGTTCCTTTAATATTGAGGGAAGGATACTTAATGGTATTGTTCATTTAAAATTATAGGAATGATTTTGTTTTGCTACAAATTCACCTTGTCATCAAGGAAAGGACAATATTACTAGATGTAGTCCAAGATATTCAACTGCACGCAAAGGTAAAAAGATGGTCATGATGTTTGTACTCAATTGCTTCAACAGGTATGTCTCCAGTATTCCTTAACTACTATAGGTTGAGTATCCCTAATCCAAAAATCCAAAATCTGAAATGCTCAAAAATCTAACACTTTTTAAGTGCCTACATGATGCCAGAAGTGGAAAATTTCATACCTGACCTCATGTGATGAATTACAGTCCAAACAGTCAAAACTTTGTTTCATCCAAAATTTATTTAAAACGTTGTATAAAATTGCCTTCAGCTATATGTATAAGGTGTATATAAAATACAAATAATTTTTTTGTTTAGACTTGAGTCCCGTTTCCAAGATAGCTCATTAAATATATACATATATTCCCAAATTAAAAAAAAATCTTAAATCCTAAACACTTCTGGTCCCAAGCATTTTGGATGAGGGATACTCAACTTGTACTTATTTCTTATTATTTAATTGATTTATTGTTTTCAGGGAACTGAACCAACAATCCATATTTTATTTTACATATTTATAGAATGGGGATAAGAATGTCTGCTCTTATGTGATGTTTAGAGGCAAGAAAAAGTTGTTTCTACAAACCATGCTAAACACATAAATCATAAACTAGATAATTAAAAGTAATGATAGCTGATTAAATACAACTGTGCCTTAGTTTGCATGTGCATGTGATTATTTATATAAATTAATAGGATTTGGGTTTTTTTGTGTCTTTGGAAACATATTTACATTATTAACTTTAAAAAAGAATTCCAAGAGAATAAATGACTTTAAGCCTACATTTTAACTTTCATAGTTGATTTCGAAGTTCTAAAACATTGCACACTTTATTAGCTTTAACGTTATTTTATTTATAAAGTATAGTTATGGGAATAACTTTGCTTTACTTTCTACAGCCCAAATTTCTGAATGGAAATCAAACTCAGTGTGATATAATAAGTAGCTTTCCTTGGGAATAAACCAGTGTGGACTGGTTCTCCATTTGTTCAAGTAGGAGGAAAGCCACCATGGAAACTACTATACCATAAAAGCCACGAGAAAAGGGAATGTCCCAACACTGTGTCTTGCTCATGTTATTCTCTCCAGAAAATTCACTCAGCTGAATTTTAAGAAAGCTAAAAGTTTATGCCTGAGAGGATTGCCACTAAATGCCTACTACTGCACAAGCATCCTTGCCCACAGTGTCACATGAGAGAGTAATCATAAAGAACAAAACTAAAATATCGACTTTGTGCAAAACGCATGTGAGATCACTATTATTGAAGGGTATTCTTTGCGGAAAAAAATGAATGTGGGTTTTTATAGAAACTGTACTTTCAATGAACGGTTTTGAATAAAGAAAGCAAATGAAAAGAGCATGTACCTACAGACAATGTTATTTGATTTAAAAAAGTATTCCATATTTACCGTGCCTTTTCTTATTCACATTTTTATTATTACTCTCCCACATAGTGAGACTGGAGATTTTATATTCAATGTATGCCATATATATAAAAACATAATTTGAGATAAATAATCTCGAATGTATGCCATATATATGTATAACATAATTTGAGATATATAATCTTGAATCAAAACAAGGATAACAGTGTAGCCTGAGAATTGGCCATTTTTCCTATGGTAAAATTAAGCTAAAATGATGGTTTCCTCTCTGGCAATATTTAGCAATTGGATTTTTATTTCCATGTTTTAAATGTTGAAAGTTCTTAATAAATGAAATATAATGTTCATGATTTTGTCAAGTTACACATACATTTTACAGGATTGAAAATTAAGCAGTATTATATTAGAGACATACAACTTTAGATATATGTTTAATTCTTTCTCTTGTTTAACAAGTTTGTATATTATCGGGTACACTTATCCAGTCTACCCAGGTCATTGCATGTTATAAACAATTTTCTACAATGTAAACTATGTTAAATTGTGTATTATGTATATCCTAATTATTTTAGTGTATTAAGGTACAAATTTTAAGCTGCTGCTCAACTTACAAATGCTTTAAGTTTTCACTACTGACAATATGGAGGAATAGACTACCTGATGGACTCTTGCAGTGAATACAACTAAGTCATGAATGTGAGTAATATGCTACAAAATTACCAATATAACTTGGAAAATATTAACAAAAATTGTTTAAAATGAATGTTATAATATTGGAAACAAATTATAATGAATGAGTCAGTCAGTAGGTTGATCAAATTCTGAAGAGATTCTGAAACTTAAAAAATATTAATATGTGGGTAATTCTCAGCAATTATTTGCCACTAATATAATAATAATCATGTGTTATCTGTGGATCACTGATGGACCCATGACTTATATACACATCAGTTATGAAAAAAATAGTTTTTTCCATATTTGCTACATAATTTAAAAAATTAATAAAGGACTATTTTTCATGGAAAGTCAATACATGTTCAGTTATTCATGTTTGGAAATTTTATGTAGCTATGTAAAGTACATATGTGTCATTTTGTCCTGATTAGCATTTAATTACAAGTCTATTTCAGTAGATATTATTTGTCATTTGACAATTATTCACATTTCTTAATTTGAGGGGTTTGAAAAATATTATGCTATTGTTCTAATCCACCAAATGAATGGATCATGTTAAAATCCTTCATTAAAGCATAAAATATTGTGAAATAATATGAATAAAATAATCACATAAATGAAAATATTACATGGGAAAATGTATACATGTAAATAGTAAACTGAACTCAGGAAATACAGAATGTGAATATATGTGTACTGAGATGAGGCAATATGTATAACAAATATTTCTGCACAAGCAACCCAAAAATTGTGGAAAGAAGGCAATGAATACCTTAAAAACTGTATGCATTAGACCAGTTATCTAGTCACAGTTTCTCTCCTACTTTTCTGTACGTTACACAATGTTGTCCATGCTCATTAAAATTTCACATCATTTTAGAACAAAACACAAGAATCACTGTTAAAAGTATTGATTGGTTTCTGTCTGTGTTTCATAAAACAATCATTAAATATTTTCCACCATAAAATTGATAAATTTTTGTCATTAATTGTAGACAAGAGGCCTAAAGAAGCATCATTCAGCTTAGTAATCATGGCATAATTTTGTAGGAGAGAAAAAATGAAGTATTAGAAAAATTATTTATTTAATAATAGAGTTATATTAACAGCACCAAGACTGCCAAGGGAAATGTGCTCACATGCATTTTGGTACTAATGGATGGCATAAAAGTATTTATTTTTGCCACTGATACAAAAAAAATTCATTTCAGTTATTTTGTGTGACCTATATTGTGTCTTCAGGAGTACATTTAATATTTTGTATAGTTAGAAGCTATAACTTATCAGATAAAACATTATTTTTAACGTTGTGGATAAAATATTCAGATATTTTCAAACAAACTATAATATGAATAATTTGAAAACTAAGAGCTTGTCTCATTTCTTTATTTTTAGACATACACTGGTGATGCATTATTGGGTGTATTTTTAATAAAAGATGTAAATATGCCACAGAAATTAGGAAGCTCTTTATACCGTTTAAATAAACATAAGGATCAATTAAAGCTTATTAAGCTTTGGCTTACAAACTGAAATATTCAACATTCAAAATTTTGAATCTGATACACACATCAGGTTAACATATGATATAAGGTTGTTAAAAAATTTTAGAAATAAATATCTCCTTATTTGTGGGTCCCTGCCAAATATTCAGACACATTTGATGAAGCCACCAAACACTGCCATTCCCCAACCTGTAGCTGTGAGTTGAGTTTTCAATAATTATAAATAGAGTAATACAAGAAACTAACTGGATATAGAATCTAAACTACAGTTTAGTCTTTCAATCACCAAGACTGAAACAGATTTCTTAGTTTTCATTGGGTAAATCAAATAATCTTTCCCAAAGATATAAAATAATTAAGATTTATGTTGTCATGTTAACACAAAGCATTTTATTCATTTTACTTAAAAATGAATTTTCTGTCACTAAAATTTACCTAGAATAGTGTTGAGCTCCAATACCATGTTGAAGAACCTTACATTGGCCTCAGTTGCCAGTTCGAGAAACAGTGATCTACAAGGTGCTCATGAAAAAAAAAAGATAAAAATTTGATATATATCATCGTAAATTATTAAAAGTGGAGCACTTCTAATTAATATGTTTTCATCTTATAGCCACCTTATTGCACTTTATTATTAAGGTTCTTATTTTGCTTCAATTATACTTATTACTTTGTATATAATGTGCCTACACACATACAGAGAAGATAAGAGACAACTGACTTTCCTAGCTAGCAGTTTAACATACAGAATGACTATGGTACAGAGGTTCCCAAAGATACTTGCCCTTTGGCTTGTATCTTTTAAAAATACAGTTTTATTTAAAGTATAAAGGGATTTTAACTTTGAATTAACATAGTGTTAATTCACTATGGTGTCAGTATTCTGGTGAGAGAAATATACTGTAGGGATTCAATATAATTCTTTGATGTAGAAAATAAACCTTTGAAAAAGTGGGACAGAGTAGATATAAATATATTATTTAATATAATAAGTTTACTAAATTATGTCATATAGCAATGGCATACCTAATTAAATGTAATGTATGATTTTTGAGGAAAATAATAAAAGCAATTTTGTTCATGTCTATGTTATATTCAAACAAGTCATCTTGTTATATTCCATAAAGTATATCTATCTTAAATTATCTTTATAGTGCCTTAAAGAATTATTTTGTAAAATTGAAGGCAATACTGCATGCATTCTATTAAAAGAAAATCCCAGTAGTAAAATCAGATGTGTTTAAATCTGGCCTTTCCACTTGCCACAGTTTTCTCACCTATAAAATAAAAACCTATAAAATTTTCTCACTTATAAAATTATGTGGGATTACACATATCTCATAATTTTGTAAGGTTAAATGTGATAATAAATGCAAAAATATAACTATGCATGGGGTATTGTGGCTATTCCATGTTTAGCAAATATCTATCCCAATGTTCTTAGAATTATGTTTTTAATTTTGCATAGATCAATATTTTCAAAAGTTATATTAATTAAAATATTGTTATATGCAAGAGCGTAATTAGAATAAATGTCAAAATTAAAGGTATTTCTTTCATCATATTCTCATTATTTCTATATATACCTCTTTTGTGCATATCCACCTAAATACAGAACCATATATAATTTCTCTGTATATTAGTCAATTTTATTTATTTTATTAATAGGGATGTATGTATTTTTAATTTTTTTATCAGTAAACTTTGAGAAACATGATGTCGCATGAAATGTGCATTCCCACTCTAAGAATCAAAAACAAAAAAAGGTTAAATTTCATTATTATTGTTTTGAGAAAGTCATTATAAAATGACTATTGTGATAGTCATTGTAAAATGACTATCGTGATTATCGTTTTGAGAAAGTCATTATAAAATTGATCACACACACACACAAAGAACTAAATTCTAGAAAGTCTCGGGTTCTATACAGGTGAGAACGAGCTCTCAACTTTCCTATGCCTGGTAGACCTACACAGGAAGATGAATCCACAAGAAAGTGGATGAAGAGATGCTAGTTGGGTTTACCAGTGCCATACAGACTGTTGTGAGCATCTTACTAAAGTGCACATTACACCTACATGCAATCTTTATTAGTTGTTCATCATCATGTGTGGTAGTGGTGAAGGAGGCAGGAGTGTTGAGAGAAATCTATTAACTGCACATCTTCAGCTGCAAAAAGCCTCTAATCAGGGTAAGAGAGCAAAAAGAAACTCCTTGGGCATTCTGGAATTTCACCTACAAAATACTGAGGGAGTGGCAAGAGAACTAAGAGACATTTTTCTGAAGAATTCCATGCCTCCACACAGCACAGGTCTCTAGTCCTAGAGAAGTTAGGAAAGGGACTACTGTACTCTATGCCAAACTATTTTAGGCATAGAACTAAAAGGGCAGAACTATAGACCTAAAACTCCCACAAAAAGCCCCCCAGAAAAACCTGGCAGTGAAGCTGTGAAAAAGCATGAGATTTCCCACATATTTGAAAGCTAGAAGTTTAACAATGAAGCAAGAAATCTTCACAGATATTTTTTCCTTATATATATATCTAATTTGTTGCTAGAAAAATTATATAAGAAAAAATAACTTCAACCACTTTCTAACTCCCTATACAAAATTAATTTGAGACAGCAGGTAGACAAAAACATAACACTCAGAACCATAACATTTTAGAAAAATAGATTATGTATATAAACTAATATATCGTTAACATAAATTAACACAGAAATAAGATGTTCTATTTGGGGAGTTTTAGCAATTAGACATAACTATATAACCATAAACTGAATCAAACTACAGAAATTTTCATACCCTAGAAATGTCTAATGAACCAATCACACTTTTCTCACCAATTCTCTCCTCTTGCCCCCAAATTAAATTATTTTCTATTGCCACAGATGGGTTTTGGCTGTTCTTGTCCTTGATATCTGGCTACTTTCACTCAACGTAATGTGTTTGAGATTCAATCATGTTGCTATTGAATGTATCACTAGTTTTTTTTTTAATTTTTTATTGCTGAATAGCTTTCCATTTTATGAAAATACCACAATATTTTCATCTATGTTCTTGCTGATGGACATGTGGGTTGTTTCTAATATTGGCTATTACAAATCAGCTTGCAAGTAAGATTCTTATGTGAATCTTTTTGTGAATGTATGTTTTTTAAAAAATAATTCATACAATCTTTAATTTGTGACTGTTTTCCCTATATAAACAATTTAATCTCAACCAGGAAATTTTTTTCTAAGTCCTGTGGATGTACTAATATTTAAAATTAACTTATTATTTCCCATTCTCAATTGTTGCAAGAAACAGGAGAGACATGAGTAACTGTATACTTGTGAATTTTTATTAATGTTAACTAAAAAGAGAATAGTCTAGGGTAAAATGAAAAAAAAAGTCTTTATCATTGAGGAATTTTTCTTCCCATTCTATTGTATTTGTGTTAATATTTCTAATAATACATTTATCAATGTTTTCTGTAATGTACTTTGTACGTTCCTAGGTAATATGATGTGTTTGTGGGAGTGGTTGTTATCTCCACTTAGCCATATAAGTGTTTAACTTATTCTAAACTTTCACATAGAAAATGATTAAGATAAACAGATTACCTTAAGGGAAAGCACTTATTTGCTTATTAAACACACAACTATCGATCACCTGTACTCTCTAGGCCTTGGGAAACTCATATTTCCCAAGGATGGAAGAAAGTAAAAAATATTGAGATAAAGTTTTTTTGTTTTCCTTTCTTTTTGTTTTTATTTGCAGTTATCTAGGTTAAACTGAAGAAGGAGGAGAATGATTAAATTCTGTAGGCAGAAAGAAGAAATGGAATCCAAAGTCTATGGGAGATTTGCACAATAAATTCAAAAGCAATGGAATTAAGAATGTAAACATATTGATATGTTAGTATCATGAGATTCTCCTCCCTCAAAAGAAGTTTACACCTAAAATCTTTTTTTTCCTCCGGAGAATAAGCAGTAAAGCCACATGGTTGAGGTGAGGCTCTGTGTTAAGAACAACTCATATACATAAATTGTGTGTACGTGTATATGTATACATGTATACATATAAACACACCCATATATATATACACATATATATATACAATACATATATACACACATATAGACACACATATACACATGTATGTATACACACACATATATACACACACACTGTCTCATTACAGAGAGCATCTATATGTTCATAAACACACAAATCTATGTTTTCTGCGGTAAGATATGTATATATATTTCCTAAATAGTCAAATCCACAAATCAGGGCTTTCTAAGTGTATAATTGGTAGAAAGCTTTTACTCCTCAATACCTACCTAACTAAACAAGAATAAGCTTCGCTTCTGTTTATTTGACATATAATACCAGGTTATAAAAATTCTTACATAATGTTAGGCTAATAACTACTAAATAACAACTTTGACACTTGTGAAGCCTAAGTGTTTTTCTGAAAGTCATCTTAACCATTAAAATTCAATGAGAATGTCAATTCTGATAATTTCAAAGATTTCCTAAAATAAATTAATGCAAACTTTTCTTTACAAGTAATTTTGAGTATAGTTCTGCTTGACTCAAAAGCTGTTATAACCAGGAGGTGTGATCAAAACATTGTCCTTGACATGTGTCATCTTATTAAATCAAGTTTCAATGTTTGCTAATTGGTTGAATGAATGATGATTGATCTAGGAAATTGCAATTGGAAAGAGTTATAACTTTCCGTGGGGAAAAGGAAATATATGTGCATGTAATTTGTGTACCTACGGAGAATTATATACACGGTACACATACATACATTGATGCATTGAGGTTAATTATGTCTTAAAGTCTATGAAGAACCATAGTAAAATTAGAAATGTTTAAAAGTCTTGGTCAGCAATGCATACTATAAAATATTTACAGACAATGTTCTTAGGATAATTTAAACAAATTTTGAATTTACTCATCTCTAGATGATTTTTGTTTATACATTTTTCTAGTAATTCTGCTATTTTTCTAATGACTTAAGACTCAAAACCTCAATGTTAATATTAGAGTTAAGAGCACTTTTACAAATGAAATTGTTTCTTTGCGGAATGTCTGAAAATACCAAGAGTACTTAAATATGAAACTGTAGAATCGGTAGAAGTAGAAAATAAAACTGGAGAGTTTTATGAAATTACAGACACTTGTAATACTTGTAATTACAGACACTGCAACCTAGAAAGTTGCAGGTGGGCAAATTCTTTTTGGATTTCCATTTTAAGAAAGAGATAAAGAAGGAGAATTGGTAAACTCAACCACACATCCTGAAAATATTCTAGACTAGATGATTAAGCAAATGATTTGAGAATACTAAATAGGATCACTATAAATCAGTATACATTTATTAAAATTAACATCTTAGTAAGTAATAATAAATAATTTCTAAAATAGAAGTCATTTAAATCATGGTCACTATATTCCCAGTATAATTTCCAATTAAATATAGATAAAATCCAGTTTGTATCTACATTTTCATGTGGCACTATTAGGAGACAGATTTTGGTTTAGTGTGAGGAACAGGTTTTTAAAACCCAGTGTTGTCCTGTGGAACAAATTCCTATGCTAAGCAATGAAATTCTACATTCTCGAGGCTTGGTGCAATTTGAGCTTTTTCAGATAGCATTTTTTTTTTTTTTTTTTTTTAGGTGGTGTTTCGCTTTTGTTGCCCAGGCTGGAGTGCTGTGGCACAACCTTGGCTCACTGCAACATCCGCCTCCCAGGTTCAAGCAATTCTCCTGCCTCAGCCTCCCAAGTAGCTGGGATTACAGGCGTGCACCACCATGGCCGGCTAATTTTTGTATTTTTAGTAAAGACAGTAGAGACGAGGTTTCACCCTGTTGGCCAGGCTGATGTGGAACTCCTGACCTCAGATGATCTGCCCGCTTTGGCCTCCCAAAGTGCTGGGATTACAGGTGTGAGCCACTGCGCCCAGCCTCAGTTAGTATTTCTATAAAGCAGTGTCTCCCAATGTATGCCATGTATACAACAAGATGTATGCATGATGATTTTAGGTGGTATATAAAAACAGCCAAGTAATATGTATTAAAGATCACAATTAATATGTTGAATCTCATTTCAAAGATGATATTTACTAGGATTAAGCTAGGTAGGATGTGATTACAAGCCTTACCAGATTTAAATGGAAATAGCAATTTCCATTTAATTTAATTTAATAGTAATGGAATCTTAGGTGATCTGAAAAAAAAAGTACTAAATTTGAAGAACATACTAAATGCTAAGATTTTTTTGAGGCCTTGCTAACTGCTAATTCTTTCTTCTTCTATGCTATGTCTTGGCTTTTCAGTGAAGGGACTCAATTTTATTCTCCTTATACTTTGCTAACCAATGTTCCTTCCCTTCTCCAGAATAGATATTTAGTAAATAGTAGTTTATTTCATTTGATCGTGTATTCAAAGAGTCTTAATTTTTTCCAGATATTTGCTTATTTTGAAAAATATCTAATTTTATCAGTTTTATAAAGGAGCAATTTGTAAATTTATGGTCTACATGCAATGTTATAATATTTGAAATGTTCTCCTATCAATCAACTGAAAATGTGTCCCTAGAGCAATCAATTAAACTTTCAAAGTCACAAAGCAGAAACAATACTCTGCAGTTTAAAAACCCCATTGGTAAATATTAGCAGAGCTTTTTATAGTTTGGAATAATTAAACCACCTTGGAAAGTCTTTATGAATCCAGATCTGTAAGAGATAAACAAAAATGATGACAAAATATTTTCAACTTCACTTTGTTTTAAAAATGAATGATGATACATGTAACAGTATTGGCAAGCCTGAAAATTACATTTTGTTCTCAAAGTTCAATTTTAAGTTGATTATTTACAACTTTGAACAAATACTTCAATGGGAATAATATAAAACTTGTTCAATTCTCAACTTAGCCTTTAAATGCCTACAAACTCTAATGTAGTGAGAACAAAATGCTAATACTGCCGGCCTGAATTCTGAATTCTAAGATAGAAAACAATAAAAACTAAAAAAGAAGCAGAGATTTCTTATTTTTCTGAGGATAGTTTAAACATTAAAGAAAGCTATGAAATTACTTATTGCCATTGCTGTTATTATTGATATCTGCTGTTCTCCCTTTCAGAACCCTTTGTTACCCAGTTTCCTTCAAGATAGAGCCTTAATCGGCCCACACTGGTGGGAAGGCACCCACCCTGGATCCCCTAGCTGAGCCATTCCACTCACCTGCCTTCAAGTGTTTTATGGTTCAAAGTCACTGTCCTTCTACATGAGCAAAACTCCTGTTAATTACAGGCTGCTTATTTAGCTATATTTTTGGAAGAATGTAGTATGCCAACTATTTCACACTAGTAAATAATTATTGCCTTTTGAAAACCCTAAAGTTTTTTTTAAAATAATTTTTTAAAATGTATAGTGAGTGTATCTAGAGGCAGTTCTTTATTTTTATTTTAAGTTCAGGGGTACATGTGCAGAATGTGCAGGTTTGTTACATTGGTAAACGTGTGCCGTGGTGGTTTGCTGCACCTATCAACCCATCCCCTAGGTATTAAGCCCAGCATGCATTAGCTATTTTTCCTAATGCTCTCCTTCCAGCTACTGTCCCCCACCTACAGGCCCCAGTATGTGTTATTATCCTCCCTGTGTCCATGTGTTCTCATTGTTCAGCTCCACTTATAAGTGAGAACATGCGGTGTTTGGTTTTAAAATTGACTTCTCAATTTATCTTCACTAAGGCTGATGATTTTCTGGATTAGTTTGGAAATCATTTGTCTTACTTTCATTTTAGTTTCTTCCATTCTTCCTCCTCTGAATTTATAAGATCACCAAAAGTCCCAACTCTTGTTTCTTTCCCACAGGAGCTTCTATGCCCAAAATGGTGAGCTTTGGTAGCCTGGGAAGGGTCAGAGGGAAGAAAGGCCGAAGAAAGGCTACAGCAGAGATGGTATCAGCCAATAAGCCAAGCATATTTACAATGGATACTGTGGTAAAATGATATATTAGTTGGGATTCTTCAGAGGAAAAGGAATAATAGAATGTGTGCGTTTGTGTGGATATGTTTGTACATATGTATATATTTATATGGTCCTGTGCCACATAACAATGTTTCAATTAAGAACAGACCACATATACTGTGGTGGTCCCATAAGATTACAATATGGTATTTTTACTGTACTTGTTCTATGCTTAGATATGCTTAGATACACAAATACTTACCACTGTGTGACAATTGCCTACAGCATTCAGTACAATAACATGCTGTACAGGTTTGTGGCCTAGGAACAACAGGCTATACTATATAGCCTAGGTATGTAGTAGGCTATACCATCTAGGTTTGTGTAAGCACACTCTATGATGTTCATACAGTGACAAAATCTCCTAACAATGCATTTCTCAGAATGTATTGCCATTATTAAGCTGTATTCCCATTATTAAGCTATACATGATTGTATGTGTGTGTGTGTGGGTACATATATATATATATATATAGAGAGAGAGAGAGAGAGAGAAAGAGAGAGAAATCTACTTTAAGGAATAGGCTTATGCAATTATGAGGGTTGGCAACGCTAAAATCTGCAGGCAGACAGAAGCTGAAGAACTAAAGAAGAGTTGATGTTGCAGTTGGATCCTAAAGGCTGTCCAGAGGTGGAATTATCTCTGCCTCAGAGGACCTCAGTCTTTTCTAAGGCCTTCTACTGATTGGATGAGGCCCACTCACATTATGGAAGTTAATCTGTTTTGCTTAGAGTCTACTGATTTAAATGTTAATCTCATCTAAAAAATATGTTAATAGCTCCATCTAGATGGGTGTTTGGCAAAATATCTAGGTGCCATGGCCTAGCCAAGTTGACAGATAAAACTAACCATCACAGACAGGAACCGTCAGGACTGTAAAAATTACGTTTTGGGTATAAATCTATTTAAAGTAAACAAAAGTATAATTTCATAGGAGCATTTACATAATTAAATTTTACAAAGCATAGAAACAGGAGACAGAAAATTACCAAAACTTTTTGAAATTTAGTACTAGTTATTTTTAATAGTAAATGATAAATATTATTTATATTTTTAATGATTTATCTTATTTAATGATTATAAACTCTCATGAAAATTATAGATTCTTTGTCTCCTCCAAATATTTATAGTCATAAGCCACATAATGTTTCAGTTAATGGACACTTATATCATAGAGGTCTCATGAGACTATAAATAACATACTTATTGTACCTTTTCTATGTTTAGACCATGCTTAGATACACAAATGCTTACCATTGTATTACAGTTGCATACAGTACAGTAACTGCTGTACATAATTGTAGCCTAGGAACAATAGGCTATAACCTATAGTCTATGTGTGTAGTATGCTACAGTGTCTAGGTTTTTTGTAAATACACTATAATATTCACACAACTATCAAATTATGTAACAACTCATTTCTCACAGAGTATCCCCATTGTTAAGTGATACATGACTGTATCTGGAAGATATACTTACATAGTAATTAGTCAGAGGTTGAAAATAATCCTTAAAGAGAATCTTGCAGTTACTTCATACAAAGAGATGAATACAAGAGTGGAATATGTTTACGTTTTCTAGATCGGTAGAATTCAAAGCAGTTATGTACACTTTCCAGGAAATAAAAAGAAGAAATGAATTTTT
Organism: Homo sapiens; assembly: GCF_000001405.40. Classification (NCBI taxonomy): domain Eukaryota; kingdom Metazoa; phylum Chordata; class Mammalia; order Primates; family Hominidae; genus Homo; species Homo sapiens. The sequence goes on along the minus strand of NC_000005.10, from coordinate 106,219,933 downwards.
TTTCCTTATGTGGGGAAACTTTCTTTATCTTGTATATGTTGTTACTGCTACCATGATTACATCATTTCTCTTTCAACAATAGAAGGCAACAGTTTGAGGTTTAAAAGACACATAGATTTAAAAAATCTAAACAAAAAAATAAGATGCTGAAAGCTATAGTTCACCAGTATTGTAATGCACACACACTCATATACTACTAAAACAAATAGTGACATTTTATGTTTAATGATGTTTCTTTCTTTAAAAGATTATAATAAGAAAAGATGCTGATTTTTAAATGAAATACTTTTATCTCTCTATCTATGGCAATATAAATCACTCGTTTATGGTTATTATAATGCTAAGCAATGATAAAGTCACATATACACAAAATGAATACAAATGAAAGGTAATAGTTAGCTAAATAATGTTTGCCACATAGTTGTATGAAACACTAATTTAGAAATTTCTAGCAACCAAAGGGAATATCAATGAGAAATAACCTAGAGCAAGAAAGAATCAGTTTGATGAATTGGGCTATATTAAAGAAGTTCCAAGACTTTTTCTTTTTTCAACTCTAGCAATAAAATAGACAAAACTTTCATGTGAGAAAGTAATATTTTACTCTTAGAAAAATGAAAACCTCGAACCTTTTCCTTAAGGGAAGAACTTTGCATTTAAACCATTGGTTCTTTAGAGACATTTTCAGGACGAAAAAAAAATCAAAAGATTCATTTTACTTGGAGCATTAAAAAAGATGAAACACATGGGGCTCCTGGTATTTCTCTCATTTAAGTTTAGTGTCATGATGGTTTGATAGGGTCTGAACATTCATTTAAAAAGATATGCCAAGTAATTAAAAATATTGCAGGTAAGTTGAACATTTGACCTATTTGCTTATTTTAAGCTCTGCCTCGGGATCACTCCTATTCCACATTGTAAGCTATTCCACAGAAGTTATAGGCCATGCATATATTTTAGCGTGATGAATGTTGGTATTAAAAGGCTACAGTGTGTCCCATCTGAGGCAGCACTTTATATCAATGTGGAAACTTAATGTGAGATTGAGGGTTACTGTGGCACCCTAGGGAATCAAGAAAAGTCATACTCTAATGTATGAATATTCAGAAGGAAGAGCATATAAATGTACCATGTTTTTCTCAACATTTCTAAAAAGCATTATTATATATTGTAAAATAGAATATTTTTATTTTGGTAGCAACATTCACTCAACTCTATGCTGTAGTTCTCTCATTCATTTGTACATTCATGTACTCATTTATTTAACACATATTTATGGGGCATCAATTATGTTTCCAGGAACTCCTCTAGATCCTAGGATATAACCATGAACAAAACAAACAAAAATTCCCAATCTCTGTTTTAGTGAGGTGAGACAAGAGATAACAAAAAGAATAAAGCAGGCCGGGCGTAGTGGCCCACGACTGTAATCCCAGACGTTGGGGGGCCGAGGCAGGTAAATCACCTGAGGTTAGGAGTTCAAGACCAGCCTGGTCAACATGGGGAAGCCTCGTCTCTACTAAAAATACAAAAATTAGCCGGACGTGGTGGCAGGCTCCTGTAATCCCAGCTACTTGGAAGGCTGAGGCAGGAGAATCGCTTGAACCCGGGAGGCGGAGGTTGCAGCGAGCCAAGATTCTGCTATTGAACTCCAGCCTGGGCAACAAGAGTGAAACTCTATCTCTTTTTTTTTTTTTTTTTTTTGAGATGGAGTCTCGCTGTTGCCCAGGCTGGAGTGCAGTGGCACGATCTCGGCTCACTGCAGGCTCCGCCCCCTGGGGTTCACGCCATTCTCCTGCCTTAGCCTCCGGAGTAGCTGGGACTACAGGCGCCTGCCACCTCGCCCGGCTAATTTTTTGTATTTTTAGTAGAGACCGGGTTTCACTGTGTTAGCCAGGATGGTCTCGATCTCCTGACCTCGTGATCCGCCCGCCTCGGCCTCCCAAAGCGCTGGGATTACAGGCGTGAGCCACTGTGCCCGGCCCAAAACTCTATCTCAAAAACAAAAACAAAAACAAAACAAAACAAAAAATTAAGCAGAGCAAAACATAAAATAAGCTGTGTCTTAGATCAACAATAAAGCATGATGGGGAGAGAGTGAGATAGATGGGAATGGTGAGGTGCAATTGCAGTATGCACAGTTCTAGAAGGACTCAATTAACTGAGCGGCATTTGAGAAAAGATCCAAAGAATGAGAAGAGAGAGCCATGTGTGGCTAGCTGGGAGAAGAGCCTTCTCAGCAGAGGAATAAATAACCACAAAGAACCAGAAATGGCTATATGATTAGAAAATCCAATAAATAGCAAGAAAGCCTGTTGTTGGCCAGGAAATGAATTCAGGGAAGGACTTATAGGCCACACACATGTTGGTTTTTTCTCTGAGTGACACTGGAAGCCACTGGAAGACTTGAGTTGAAGATCATATGATATAAAACGACATGACTTAGATTTTAATAGTAACATTCTGTCTTCTGTGTTGACAATTGACTGTATTCCGGCAAGGAGGAAAGCAGTTACTCCACTTACAGGACTTTCCCAATAATTCAGATAAGAAATGATAGTGGCAGATTAGCCACTGAAAACTAGTCAGATGCTGAATTTACATGGCCTATTGAGTAAATAGCATCTGCTCATAAGAGGAGCTCCTGCTCCTCCTTTATAGGCAGAAATCTTCGGCCTCTACCTCGGGTTGCCAGATAAAATACAAGATTCCAAGTTCAATGAATTTATGATAAATAGTTAACCATTTGTCATATTTAAGCATTATATATCCATATATATAAAATCATTATATATAATATATATATAAAATCATTATATATCCCATGGAATTTACTGTCCATGCAAATATGTCCCATGCAATATAAGAAAATACTTTACTAAAAAAGTTATTTGTATTGTATTTGAAATTCAAATTTAACTATCTTGTATTTTTATTTGCAAAATCTGGCAACCCTACTTCTATTCCTCCCCGCTACAATGTATCTTTACTTACATGCTGTAATGTATCTTTACTTACATTGTATAATGTATCTTTACTTACATACATGTAGCATACATGTAATGTATGCTACAATGTATCTTTACTTACATGCTGTTAGTGAGAGTGTTCTTATCTTTCCCCACAAAGAGGTGTGTATTCCTTCCCCTCACTCCTATCTCACAAAAGCAATGGAGTTTTCACTGGCCCTGGGAGCTGGAGAGTTAGCTGCCCTTCACCAGTAGCCTAAAGTTTTTGCTCCAATGAGAAAGTTATGAGGGAAGTGGGCGTGGCTTTGTGTCCTTCTCTCACAGCAGCCAATCACCTCCTGCACCCTGTATCATGGAGAAGAGCTTTCTTTGTTTTGTTTTGCCTTGCTTCAATTCTTCCTGTGAGCCCCTTTTGGAAGGCTGTAAATTCATGTTGAGTTTCGCTCCCCCTTTTTCCAAGTTGTCATACTGCCCCACTCTTGGCTTTTAAAAATTAGTTAATTTTTGGCCACCTTCCTTTTTCTCATTTTCTTGTATAACAACTAACTTTTTCCCATGATCCTCCAAAGGTGAAAAGTTCCTGTCTCATTTCTCTTAGCAGTGACTTGTCACACTTTCCAGTTCAGTTTATTTGGTTGCCTTGGTACCTCCTATTTCTGATGGGCTCAAGTAAAGTTATAATTTTGCAGATTATTTGTCTCTTTCTCATTGTTAGGGTGAAAGCAGTCTTCTCTCTTTCTACATGCAAAGCATAGCAAGACCTTTACAGACTTAAACAAAACGTAGACACATTATCACACTACATTTTTTGTTTGTTTTCCATTCATCATCCAAGAAACTAGAGAGATAGGAGGGTAACCAACCATTGAAAGCAAACATCTAAAAGGAAGTGCCAATAGAGTACAGATTTAGATAATTAAATTTACACAAGTAAACAAAAAAAAAAAAATAGTGCTCTCCAAGCCAGTTTCCTGCCTGAGTCTTCATGCTTTTCTTGTTCTCATTCAGCCTGATACTACTGGAAATGTTCGTGGAAACATGTAACAGGTACCCAGTATAATAACATGATATTGAGTCTCCTAACTCTTAACCTCTAGCCAGCAATTCTTTTATTTATCTCATATTGATTCTGTCTCTGTAGAAGTATTTTAAATTTGTCTATTTTTTCCCAACCCTTTATTTCAACGTCATTTTCAGTCTCATTTTTCTCTTTCAATAGAGAAGTATCCTACATAATTTATTGAGGATGGAGGTCATCTGGCATAACCTTCCTCAGTCTCACCACTCTTAAAATATAATTTACCTCACTTATCTTTAAGAGTCTCACCACTCTTAAAATATAATTTACCTCACTTACCATGTTTTCCTGTTCTCCTGCTTCAAAAAGAGATTGTGCCTTTCCAAAAACAAATTTCTCCTTGAGGTTCTGACATATTCCCACCTTTCCACATTGTTAGATTTCTCAAATGTTTGCTTCCTTGTTGCTGCATATTACTTTTATACCTGATGTTCGCTTCTTCTCTGGGCTCATTTTATTTTTTTTACGTGCATTTCTCTACCCAATTTTTGTAAGTTTTTGTTTTCTAAGTTCTAATATATATTTGAGTAATATTTGCACTTCACGTACAAACTTTACTTCCAGATTTTCTAATAATCTGGCTATTTCTCATTTTTGGCAGTATTAAACTTTTCACACTTTCTTATTTCTGATTTTGACACAGATTTGCTTCTGTATATTATTGACCTATCCCTTTTATTTTCCTTTGCTTCATCTCTCTCACACACACACTTGAAGCCCCTCTCTCTCTGAGACATCTTATTCCTGCTAATTATTCAGCATTAATTTATTTTTTTCAGCAATAATTTAATGTAATGACTGCTTAGTCTATATTTGCAGTCTCAAACACTCCACTAAATGCTAATTTTACATTTTCATCTCCTCACTAGATATCACTACCTCAATATTTGCAAACAGCATTGATGTCCAAAGCTGAGTCGATCATTTTTCACTAATGAAATTTCTTCTTTGATGTCTCTAGATTCGATGTGTATTTTACCAGTTTTCCGGGTTCTAAGCTCCAGATTATTTTTGATTATTACCTTTTTTCATTTTTCACATGCTTTGTCAATAAACAAATATTGATTTGACATTATGTGCTTTGCAAAATGATTGAGATTCAGCCATTGACAAAATTTCTTCTGTTACAGTGTGGTCTGGGAGACAAACAATTAAATAAATTAATTTAGTTAATTTCAGATAATTCTACCAGGATGAAATACTGTGACAAAGTATGATCAAGAGAAATATCGATCTGGGTATATGGCATTTGAGTTGACACTGGAATAATGAGCACAAACCAATTATAAAATGACTTGACAGGAGTATATTCTTGCATGAATGAATGAATAAATAAATAAATAAATAAATAAATAAGAAAATAAAAATTATGCAAAGCCCTTTTTAGTTTACCCAGTTACTATTTGAACCTATTCCTGATTATATATCTTCTTTCATTTCCATGATTCTTTTTCAAGGCCTGTTATCACATAATAGGACTATTTTATTAAATTCCTAACTGAAGCTCCAATCTTTCCAGTGGATAGAGCTGGAATTATTTCTTGAATAATCTTCTGTGCTTTCTTGCTGGGCAATACATATTCCTCTTTGCATGCCTTGGCTGAAGCATATTGGAATATTTGATAATGTCATTTCTTCCACCCAAACAGCCTCCCCTCATTGTCCCTAGCTGTTAAAATGTCTTACCTTTCATATTTTGATTTATATTTTGGGCTCTTTCATGTATGAAGCATTCATTGATAGGCTTAGTATTATAAAATTTTTCTTGTCTAGATTTCCCAGAGTTATTAGTTTTAAATATGTATAAAGCTTTATATTATATATTTTTAAATTATTATACAGTAAAATTTACCTTTTTAGTGTACAGTTCTATGAATTTTAATATACTATCAAGATTTTTAAATTAACATTCTTGTATATTTATAATTGATCTTTCTCCTTATAACTGAGTATTCTCAATTTCTCCATCTGCAACTTGTTGCCTTGCTAGCATTCTTTTTTTATTTGAATCACTCAGTATATTGTTACAATTGTTTATTTGTTTGATTGCTTGTTTTTGAGGCAGAGTTTCTCTCTTGTTGCCCAGGCTGGAGTGAAGTAGCATAATCTCAGCTCACTCCAACCTCCACCTTCCGGGTTCAAGCAGTTCTCCTGCCTCAGCCTCCCAAGTAGCTGTGATTATAGGCATGTGCCACCACGCCCAGCTTATTTTGTATTTTTAGTAGAGATGGGGTTTCACCATGTTGGTCAGGCTGGTCTCCAACTCCTAACCTTAGGTGATCCACCTGCCTCGGCCTCCGAAAGTGCTGGGATTACAGGCATGAGCACTGCGCCTGGCCTACAATTATTTTTTAAACAAACAGCTCTATTAAATAAATTAAGAGGAAAAAAAGATTTTATTTTACCATTTTTTTTGCAATGCATTTCTACTGGCAACAAATTATTTCTGGTTTTGTTTATTTAAATATAATTTTTATTTCTCCTTTATTTCTGAAGACAATTTCACAGTTCAAAATTCTGGGTCATTATTGTATATATTTTTAATACTTTATTTTATTCTACTTTCTTCTTGTTTGCATCATTTTTATAGAGAAATCTGAAGTAATTCTTACTCTTGCTCCTTTATAAGTAAAATGAGTTTTCCCCTTTTAGCTTCTTTGAAGCATTTCTCTTTGTCTTTGATTTTATGAAATTTTACTATGATAAACCCAGATGTTTATTTTTTAACATTTACCCTATTTTGTGTTCTCTGAGCTTCCTGTATCTGTGGCATATTGTCGTTAACTTTGAAAAATTATTAGCCACTATTATTAGTTCAAATATTTCTCTTGCCCGTCTCTCTTTCTTCTCCTTCCAGAAACCCCACTATCTGTATTTACATCTTTTGCAATAGTCTAACAGTTATTAAGCATAGTGTTCTGATTTAAGAATTTTTTGCTTGTTTTTATTTTTGTCTTCATATTTCTGTTTGGGATGTTTCTGTGTACATATCTTCAAGCTCACTGATTTTTTTTTCCATCATCTGTGCCCAGTTGAATGATAAAACCATCGAAGTCATTTTAAAATTATCTTTCTCTGTTTTTGATTTCTAGCATTTCCTTTTGTTTCTTTCTTAAGGTTTCCATCTCTCTGTTTACACTATTCATCTGTTTTTGCATGTTGTTGATTTTTTTATTAAAGCCCTTAGCATATGAATTATATTACAGTCACTTTAAATTCCTTGTCTGATAATTCTCAAATCTCTATCATATCTGAATATGGATGTTTGCTGTGTCTCTTCAGGCTGTTTTATTCTTGCCTTTTTAACATGTCTTGTAATATTTTTTTTGAAAGCAAAAACATGATGTATCAGGTAATAAGAATTGAGAGAAATAGGCTTTTTGTGTGAGGTTTTATGTTTATTTGGCCAGGAGTCTATGCTCTGGTTAATATTTGCTGTAGCTGAGGAATCAGAGGCTTCAATTTCCTCTAATGTCCTTGCTTTAATTTCCATGTTGTCTTTGAGACTCCTTAGGAACTCCTTAAATGGAGTCTGTGTTTTGTAGCTCTTTCAGTTATAATCCACTGTTTCTATCCTGGATCCCTGTCAATGTGGTGGTAAGGTATTAGGGAGGGAAGACATTCTGTAATTTTATGATTAAATGCTCATTTTATGAGTGTGCCAAAATCTCTGGGAGTGACCTTTGGAAGCATTCCTTAGCCTTTTAAAATTCTCCCTCACATGAGATCTGAAGGCTAGAGAATATTGGAGCTGTTTAATTCCTCTTTTCCTAGGCCATTGAAGGTTCTAGTAAAATATTTTCCCTTGAGAGAAATTTGTTATTGAGAAAATTATGCTCTGAGCATATTTGAAAATGGCACTCCACCTCATTCTACTCTACCTCTTTCTACTGGAAGTAGAAGGTGTTTTCCAATCTTTACCAAAAGAACCTGGTGGGGATCCTGGAGGTAAAACTCAAGAAAGTGTGAGATCTTTCCCAAGATGGAGTCCCCAGAAGTTTTAATTTTCAAAATAATCCATACTCAACCTATAGTCATTTGTCAATTACTGTTTAAGTGTTCTTACCTGTTATTGGCTCCAGTGTCTTCTGCTCTCTATCAGCTGTGATTCACTGTATTTGTCTGTGTCTTCTGTTTCCAGGGTGGTAGTTTGCTATGTGACCTCAATTCTCTAATAAATCTAACAAGAGTTCTCATTATCAATTATTTTTTTTCTTATGAGATTGATAACTTACAAGGACTTTACATATCAGAACGGAAACCAGAGGTGTCTCCTAGAGTTTTCAAGAGCTAATTTTTATTCTAGTCTAAAAATCCTTATTATATATGTTACAGAGCATGATATATATTTGCCAAATCACACTTTATGACTCTTAACATACACCTCAATGAATTACAATACATGTAATAGAAGATTGGGGTGTAGACTCCATCCTCCTATTCTTTGATGAACAAGTCCTGAAGTTGAGACTATGTCTTATTCAAAGAAGCATTTCACTCTGTATAGTTTTCACAGCAAATATTTATAGGAGATAAGCTCCACTTATGCATGAATATAAATGTTTAAGCAGCAATTTTTCATTGTTGATACTTTATTTTTTGTTCAGAGATAGTTTTAGTTATTTAGTTTCAGATATCTTCTTAAGTTAAAAAAGAATTCAGACTTTTAGTACTAAACAGAACTCTTACTGATATATGTCTATTGTGTAAACATTTTCTTTAGTTTCTTAACTTTAATATTTAAGGTCAGTAGTGTTTTAAAACTAGGCTATTTTTCCTTACTTGATCTTTGCCTCTTCTTGAACCAAATCTGCCTTAGCAGATAGGATTTTAGAGGATTTCCCCTAGAGTGTTACTTCAAGCTATTTAAGCTGCCATCAGCTCCTGATTTAGCATTTTTAATAAACTTCCTAGGGCAAAGGATTAATTTCCTTGGACCCTCTTTATCCTTGATGTAGAAGTATAATGTTCAATGTAGGATGGATCATTGTTCGCCTGCTGTCTTCCCTGCATGTTTATGAATAAGTAGATACAAGTTCAAGGAAGGGAGGAAAGCCAAGGCAAAATAAAAGTATTCCCAATTCTTAAAATTTGTTGTTAAATAAAACCAGAAACTAATACATATGAATGTAAATACAATTATTTTCACCGCATTAAAGTGAACACATTAAAGAAATATATGTCTACTGAGGCAGTTTATAGCCAAATAGTTTGAATTTAATTGCCCACATGCTTATTGATCCTTATCTAAAACTCATCTAAAAACAGAATTTTCACTGTGTTAGCAAAACTGTAGTTTATACAGTGACCCAGAAATTTGGGACTATTGTCATTATCAGAGACACTTGGATTACCAAACCATCACTCAACAGTATCTCAAGATTATAATGGGAAGTAAGCCTAAAAAATACATATAATTATTCCCTCTTTCATTATGAACATATGTAGTAATATCCAGAATGGAATGATTTCACAGCATATCCAATTACAATTTTCTGCAATTTTTTGGTCTCAAGTTTGGGCTCATTTAAAACACTTTCAAGAGAAAGAGAAACAAGGGGGGTGGGGTACATCATAAATTAACTGGGAAGAGGTATAGAAAATGTTGACAAGGGACATAGTGATTAACAGTCCTCTATTAAAATTAAACTTCCTCTCAGGTTTTCTGATAAGACCTAATATAACTTGTTTATGACAAAAACAGAATATAATCTGTATTAAGGCACAGAATATCCTGTACAGTGCTGTGAGTCAAACATAAATCAGAGCCAAGAGCAACTCTTCTCAGTGATAATTAATGGTGATTTTATATCACATGTGTCACTCTAGTTTTTCTTCTTACTGAGGAGCATCATAATTTGTTGTCCAAAAGCAACACATTTGAGTGTAAAACATGGCCTTTATTGGACATCATACTAGGACAGTGGGTTTAAATTGAGACTATCCCAGGAAAACTAAGAGATATTTGGTAAACTGTCTAACAAATTTCAGTTACAGTTAATTCTGAACATTTTTCCTTCTACCAAAAGACAAGTGTTCCAAAATTATCAATATTTTCTATAATGGAATGTATATGCTAGTAAAATAACTATGGGGCATTTAAAGAATAAATAGGAATCTATCTTCCTAAAGTGAAAGAAAGTTTTTAAAATAAGAAGTAAGTATCATTTCCAAAACAAAAGAGTGCCAAGGCAAAAAAAATTTAAACACAGATGTATGGAAATATATCTAACTTTTTTTGTTGCTGCTGAAAACAATATAATTCACATATAAAAACTCCCTTATCTCAAGACTTTTAAAAATTGGAAACTCATATCTAGACAGCTTTGCACAGGAAGACTTTCAACAGGCTGTGAATCTATGTAACTATATATATATATATGTATATAGATAGATAGAGATAGATATAGAGAATTTTTTAATTGATTGCTATTGTCTGAACATTTATGTGCCCCCTGAAATGCATATGTTAAAATCCTAACCCCCAAAGTAATGGCATTTAGGAGGTGATTAGGTAATGAGGCTGGAGTGCTCGTGATTGGAAATAATGCCATTATAAAAGAAACTCCAGAGAGCTAGCTAGTCCCTTCCAACATGTAAAGATGCAGCAAGAAGTCATTGTCTATGAGCCTTCAGTAGACACCAAATTTGCCACCACTTGACCTTGGATGTCTCAGCCTCAAGAATTGTGAGAAATAAATTTGTGTTGTTTATAAGCTACCTATTTATAGTATTTTGTTATAGCATTCCGAATAGATTAAACAGAAAATTGGTACCAAGAGTGGGATGCTGATAAAACAAATATTTAAAAATGTAGAGCTGACTATGGTACTGGGTAAAGGGTAGAACCTAGAAAAGTTTTGATGTGCATGCTAGAAAAAGCCTATATCCTGCCATTAAGGACAATTCCACTGAAGGCCCAGAAAGAAGAGAGGAGAGATATAGAGGGAGCCTCGATGTCTTAGAGAATATCTAGGTGGTCATAAACAGAAGGTTGGTAGAAATAGGGACAGTAAAATCCATTCTGTATGAGGCCTCAAAGGAAAATGAGGAACAAGGTATTGGAAACTGAAGAAATGTGGTTCTTGTTATAAAATGACAAAGAGCTTAGCTGAATTGTGTTTATTTGCTTGTTGTGTTTTCTAGAAGGTAGAATTTGTGAGCAACAAAATCGGACATTTAGCTGAAGCTATTTCCAAGCAATGTATAGAAGGTTCAGCTTGGATACTCTTGACTGCCTATAGTAAAATGTGAGAAGAGAGAAATGATTTTAAAATGGAATTGTTAATCAAAGGAAAGCAGAACTTAAAAGTTTGGAAAATTTTCAGGCTATTTGTACTTGAAAACATGAAAAAGTTTGTTCAGGAAGAAAAATGAAGGGTGTGAGGCTGTGACGAAATGTAATAAGGAGATTAGTTAGAATCAGCCATCTCAAATGAATCTAAGAATTATTCGTTAGTATAATGAAGAGATTAAATAGCCATCTACTGTAATCTCAGCACTTTGGGAGGCCAACGTCAGTGGAACACTTGAGGTCAAGCGTTTGAGACCAGTCTAGCAACATGGTGAAACCCGACTCTACTAAAAATAAAAAAAAATAGCCAGGCATGGTAGCACGTGCCTGTAATCTCAGTTTCTTGGGAAGCTGATGCAGGAGAATCGATTGAACCCAGGAGGTGGAGGTTGCAGTGAGCAGAGATCATGCCACTGCACTCCAGTTTGGGTGACAGAGTGAGACTCTGTCTTAAAAAAAAAAAAAAAAAAGCCATCTAAATAGAGCCAGGACCTATTATCCAAAATAATGAAAGGATTATCTCAGAGACATTTTGGATATCATCAGGGATGCCTCTTCCATTACAGGCAAACTGCAAGGGCCCAGGGAACAGAAAGATTTCAAGGTTCTACTGCCCTGCTCCTTGGCTGACTCAGGTGAGGCTCTAGTGGGCTCAGATGCAATGAGGGCCATGGTGGCAACCTCTCCAAAAGGCATATGTAGTAAATTTTGGTAGTGTTTATGACAGAGTGTATAAGCCACGGAAGCTTGGCTACCTCCACTTAGATTTCAAAGAATACTCCTGAGAAGTTTGGGGCCCAGTCAGAAAACTGCTCTGGGGCCAGGGCTACCACAAGGAGCCTCTAAAAGGGCAATGCCCAGCAGAGCAGTGGGAGCCGAGCTGCTCCTGAGACTTCAGACTGATAGAATAACTGGTGTGCAATTTCAGCTAGAGGAAGCTTTGGGCACACAATCCAGCCACAGAGCTGCCATCTTGATTGCTTCTAAGTTTTGGCAATTAAGAATAAAGTTGCTATAAATATTTACGTGTAATTTTTTCTGTGAAGATAAATTTTCAACTAATTTGAGTGAATACCAAGGACAAGAGTATGTTCAGATTTATAAGAAATTAGCAAACTACCTTCCAAAGTGGCTGAACAATTTTTCATTCATATCACCATGAATGAGAGTTTCTGTTGCTCCACACAATTAAGTAACAACGTAAAAGACCCTCTATGTGCAGACTTTCAAATATTGGAAACCCATATCTACATAAATAACATTTCAAATAAAGAATTAAAATGGTTTATGAATCTATAAAATTATGTATTTTTAGGACAACAATTTTTTAAAGTTTCAGAAAGCAATTTATATTTCTCAAGAAGTTTTGCTTACAAGTCCATTGATAGATGAAAACATAGAAACAAACAAATACAAATCCTATGACTTCATGGTGAATGGGTTTAAAAATGTTTATAATTTTTTGAGTGAGCATCTCTGTTTTGGTTTGTTTTATATACCTTTGTAATTCTATTTTTTCTTTATGACTATTATTACAAAAGAGATGTAAAATTAATATTAGAGCTATAAAATATTGTATCAAAAATGCAAAAGCCAGGATTTTCCAAATAATTAAACTTATTTATCATATTATTAATAATAAAAATATCTTACTATTATTAATAATTTTACATGGGATTGAATAAGTATTTTTACTAATCATAAATAATTTAGAATAGTGTTATATTTCATATTTATATTACTCTTTTAGATTTTTCTTGTATTTTGTTTTATAAAACATTTGGATAGATTAAAATATAATTTTTTTCCTTATGAAGTAAAATTTTAGTGATATTAGTGATTTTTAGAAGCTATATTTGAGTCTTCCTAGGCTTATATTATGATGTGGTATTTGTTTACACTTCTATAACTGAAATATTATATAAAGCTTTTGAAGGAGGTACAAAGAATATTAATATATTATGTGTTTAAAAGTCTGAGAAATATGTCCTACTGAGCGTGCTGGCAGCCCTCACAGCCCTCACTCACTCTCTGCGCCTCCTCGGCCTTGGAGCCCACTCTGGCCACGCTTGAGGAGCCCTTAAGCCCACCGCTGCACCGTGGGAGCCCCTTCCTGGGCTGGCCAAGGCCAGAGCCGGCTCCCTCAGCTTGTGGGGAGGTGTGCAGGGAGAAGCGCGGGTGGGAACTGGGGCTGTGCACAGCACTTCCGGCCAGCAGAAGTTCTGGGTGGGCATGGGCTCCGTGGGTCCTGCACTCAGAGTGGCCGACCGGCCCCGCTGGGAGGGGCTTAGCACCTGGGCCAGCAGCTGCTGTGCTCCATTTCTCACCAGGCTTTAGCTGCCTCCCCGCCAGGCAGGGCTCGGGACCTGTAGCCTGCCATGCCTGAGTCTCCCCCACCACCCCCTCGCGCGGTGGGCTCCTGCGCAGGCCGGAGCCTCCCCTACGAGTGCCGCCCCCTGCTCCACGGCACCCAGTCCCATCAACTGCCCAAGGGCTGAGGAATGCAGGTGCACAGCGCAGGACCGGCAGGCACCTCCACCTTGGGCCCCAGTGCAGGATCCACTGGGTGAAGCCAGCTGGGCTCCTGAGTCTGTTAGGGACTTGGAGAATCTTTATGTCTAGCTAAGGGATTGTAAATATACCAACCAGCACTCTGTATCTAGCTCAAGGTTTGTAAATGCACCAATCAGCACTCTGTGTCTAGCTCAGGGTTTGTAAATACACCAATGGACACTCAGTATCTAGCTAATCTAGTGGGGACATGGAGAACTTTTGTGTCTAGCTCAGGGATTGTAAATGCACCAATCAGCACCCTGTCAAAATGGACCAATCAGCTCTTTGTAAAACAGACCAATCGGCTCTCTGTAAAATGGACCAATCAGCAGGATGTGGGTGGGGCCAGATAAGAGAAGAAAAGCAGGCTGCCTGAGCCAGCAGTGGCTACCCGCTGGGGTCCCCTTCCACACCGTGGAAGCTTTGTTCTTTCACTCTTTGCAATAAATTTTGCTACTGCTCACTCTTGGGGTCCACACTGCCTTTATGAGCTGTAACACTCACTGCAAAGGTCTGCAGCTTCACTGCTGTGCCCGCGAGACCACGAACCCACCAGAAAGCAAAAAACTCTGTACATATCCGACATCAGAAGGAGCACACTCTGGACACGCCGCCTTTAAGAACTGTAGCACTCGCCGCAAGGGTCCGCGGCTTCATTCTTGAAGTCAGTGAGACCAAGAACCCACCAATTCTGGACACACTACTAGGTAAGAATAAGGACCAGAGAAGAGAGAACCAATGAAAATTGTAGCCTCCAAACTTCAACAGAGAGTTTGAATGAAACTCACTAGACTTCCGCCATTTCCGTGTGAAGACCAAGGTGAATATAGTTTAAAATAGATGATTGTGTTAAGTCATGTTGTTAGTCATATTCAATGCCGAGTTGAATATGGTTTAAAATGTACAGTGGTGTTAAGAGTCATGTTGTCAGTATATATTGAGTAACCATATCTAAAGATTTTACAAGACCTGAATTTTTAAATAAATTGAAAAACAATTCTGACCACAAGCAAGAAACTAAGCCAGGTGCTTTTTATTCTTCTAGAATTGCTGCTTCCAAAGCGAAACACCATCACAATATCTACCCCACTCCTACGTGACACCTCATGAAGAATCTCAAACCTTCCTCCAAAATGTCTTGAGAGCTAAGTTGTAGGCTAGATTTGAATGTCTCTCAGCAGAATACCAAGCTTGCCAACAGTATAGAATTTACGTTAATATAATCCATTGGTACTACTTATGTATTATCTTCATCCACTGAAACACTAGAATTTCAACAATAATTTATTTTTTCTTTACATACATTCTCTAAAAATAGAAGAGAGTTTTTAAAATATTGAAGTTGAAAATAAGAAAACATGATTATTTTTCTCCTAACCTTAAGCATATTCTCACACCTGAAAAGGGATTTAAAAAATGTTAAAATCACGTTTTGTATTACTTTGTTAAAATTGCCCTCACAATGGGATACCAACTTCCCACAGTAATATTTTAAAGCATTCTGGTGCTGTGAAGAATATTTAATTATGTGATTATTTTTCATTATGTGTGTAGTTAATTGTCTCTACGTCAAATGTAAATCAGTTTGAACAATAAAAGTGAATGAGTAATGTTCTTGCTGTGAGCAACAGATGTCATGTGGATTTTGATTTCTTAGTAATTTATAAATATTTCTTTTCCAGTGTAGAAAAGCAGTTAGTTAAGATTATAGACTAATAGCCACTAAAATCCAAGTTTAAGAATGAAAAGCAATGTGAATTATGGAACTGCAGAATACCGCCTAGGAAAAAATATTTTATTATATTTATGCTTTTTAAAAACATAAAAATATGATTTTTAAAAAGATGCATAGCTTAGTTATAATTCTCTGAATTTAAGTCCTACTGCCAAGATTAAAGATTTTTGCCATTCTCACATGTGAACCAATGTCTTCTTCTGCCTCTGACCACTGCCTCACATGTATGGTCTTTTGCACATTATAAACAATCTTTGTTTATGGAATGGCGTATGTAAGACTCAGAAAAATAAGATGTACTTTTTTAGTTTACTGGGCATATTCTGCTTCTTGGCAAGCATCCCCTTCCCTTTTACTGACAATAGAATAACTTTCTTTGTGATAACTATTTACCCCCACTTAGCTCACATAATTTAGGTAGGGTGGCTGCAATTCTGGATCCAGCGCTAGTTATGAGAAATAGATCCTGCCGGCAAGAACATCACATTCGTCACTCAGAGTATTTTAATTCAGAAATGGTTGATATTTTTCAGGTTGTCAATCTGTGCCATTTCTTGGAAATTTTGCTGGAATAATGAAGGAGTTAAGACCATACCACCCCAAAATGTTCCACTCTGGCGTATTTACTATGTTGATTTAAAGGCAAGTACAAGAAGCGAGACAGGTACAAGATGATCATTCTGACCATCTTCTGTTTATTAAAAGCAGGATATACTTTTCTCATGTGAAAAAATGGCCTTCCTAAACCAGAAGGAAGGTACCATTCTTAGCAAGGTTGGGAAGTCGAAGCCAAGGGGAATCAGTACAAAGAAACCTCGTTGGAGTAATCCTTATATTCTTAGTCATCTCACTACCCAATTTACTACTCTAGCCTAAGCTCCTTTGCTTTTTTTCCATTGTCATAATTTACTACTCTTTGACCAATTCAGTATAAATTTTCAATTCTAACTGTGTCTTTGGGTCTTTATTTTCTTATGATGGCTCCTGGGCCATGTAAAACTTGTATTTAATAAATTTGTAGGCTTTTCTCCTAACAATCTTTCTGGTGTCAATTTAATTCTCAGGCCCAGAGGATAAAAAACATGAGGGTAAAGATAAAATTTTGCCTTCCACACAGTGACTAGAGAGAGGCAGACACTCTTTTGCACAGGAGTTACTGAGGCTGATGATGAGAAAAGCTTGGTGCTCAAGGAGTCACCAAGAGGAATCACCTTGCTTAGGAGAGAAGCTAAACAAGGAATCATTGCTGTGAGATAGAGAACAATAAATATTGTTGTTATTTGAGCTGCTGGGTCTAACCATGGGTGATAGTTCTCTCTGACTTGTGACAAAGATTGTCTGTCTCTTGCTAGCCTCGTCTGAGTCCTCTCTTAACTAGGCCTCAACCTTGGTCTATAATGACTTGAACAAAACACTAACAGTTTTTAACAGATCAAGGCTGCATCCCGAGGATGACTCTAGTTCAATGTAAAGTGCCTGTCTGAGAGAACTCAAGGGTGCAAAAGAATTAACTGTCTATTAACTGTCTATTCCAGCTAGCACCTGATAGGGCCCCTGTCTCCCAGCCTTTCTGGAAGGGTAAAAGTTTAACTTTAATAAGCACCAGTTAGCAAATCCAGATGAATTTCACATGGGCCACCCCCATCTTCCCACTTTTTATAATTTTTTACTTCCCTTACTTTACAGAGCCGCTGTTCATCCACCTCCCTATTTTCTTAATCTCCCTTTAAAATCATCCGAAGTCACCTCTGTACAAATGAAGGTTGAGTTCAGCTCACACTGGACTCTTTTATTATTGCAATAGTATATTACAGATTATGGTCTGGCCTTACTACTTTAGTGTATTATCCAACTTTAGTATCCAACTTTGTCTTTAACACTTGATGCTTATGAGAGCCAATAATCTGAAATGTAATAAATTGAGTTTATCTATCATTTGCAACTGGAAGAATCATAATTGATTCATTCTGTGTATTACCTGGAGTTTGAGTTCCCTTCTCCATGTGCCTATGTTTGAATTTGGTAAAGATGGTCATAAAGATATCATTGTGAGGCAGCTGTTCCACAACTCTTTATCTCAAGGGGAATATAAACATGAAGCTTGTTTGATAGTTATATTGGGCTTGGCTAGATTGGGAAACTCTAAATTGTAGGGAAGAGTTTATACATAGGATAAAATATTTTTCAGAATGTTTAATAATGATTGAGAGCTAGGACTTGCCTTTTCGCAATCACAGTTTTTAAGTGACGACTTCCTCTTGATATTACATATTTCCAAATTCAGTAGAGACGTCCAAATCCTTCCTTCCCTCTTTCTCCCTTTCTGTCTCTGTCTTTCTTTCTCTTTTTCTCTCCCTTTCTCTCTCTCCTTTCTTCCTTCCGATCTCTTTCTTCCTCTGTTATTTTTCTTTCTTCACAAAAGAATCAGAAATTAATAAGATAGACAAGTAGAGGAATGAGATATAGGCTATAAAATATAAATTTAAGTTACTTATCAGAGACAAAATTTGGAAAGACAACATGATAAAGAAGATATCAGGGAAGATAATTGAGCATTTTGCATGTCAGTGGAGGACTAATGGCATATAACTATTTATAAATTGAAATCAAAGTGAGAATGGAGAACTTGACTAGAAGATTACAACAAGAGGGTACTTGAGTAAGTTGAGTTGAATGAGACAAATTCTATTCCGCCCCTACAGAACATTAGAAAAAGAAGGCTGAACATTTGACCCCATTAATTTAGTAGCTGTTCAGGAGCATGACGAACACGGGATAGAGAAGACATTCCTTCTCAACTCTAACCATGTTTTCAAGAATTGGATCTTGCAAATTTTCATGTTTGGGGTGAAAGACCACTAAGTCTTAACTATTACCAAGACTGAAATTACTGTTATAATTTTGTTCCTTTCAAGTACAATAATGTAAATGTAACTATTATCTTATGGGTAAAACTGACTTAAACACACACACAAACGATCAAATAATCAATGACCTGTCTCTGCAAATGTGTTCTACACCATTGCACCAGAGTCTGTTTCTATGAAAATTGTGTGTTGAAAAAAATACTAACCTTCAGAATATCAGCGGTTTCTGAAGAGGAAGAAGAGTTTGTATAAAACATGAATGGTTTTTAGATCTGTCACTCTCACACTTTATTACACATTGAAATCAACAAGGAAGCGTGAAATAAAAATTCTGTTTCCTGGTTCCCCCTTAAGAGATTTTGATTTAATTGGTCTGGAATAAAGGCTATTAGGTTCAAAAGAAACGAATCTCCACAGATGTGTCTAATGTGCAGCCAAAGTGAAAAATTACTCTTTTGAGAGGACAGAACAGGAGCAGATGCCCATGCATTGAGGAGTATTTTTACAGTGGCCTCCAACGTAGCTGCTTAACAGTTGTAAATTTGAGATTGATTGGTGGTAACATACAAATTCTTTTAAAACCAATAGCTCTTTGATGAGTAAATAAATACACTTCTTATGTCAACTTATGCAATATTTATACTATTTTTATAAGAAAAATGTGAACAACCTCTTAATGAGAACATATAACCATTGTGTTATGGGACTCCTTGTACATTACTAATTTATACTATTTAATAGCAAGTACCAGAAAAATAATTAAAATAATTACTAAAAATATATTATTACCTAGTTCTTTTATTTGGTTATTTGAACATTTTCAATTTAAAAAATCGTATATGTTAAGTTTTAATAAAAGAAATGTATGCACAAATAACATTGTGACAAGGTACGAAAAGGCCTTGTTTAGTTCAGAGTTCAGAGTTATTAGACACAATTCACAGAAGTAAAATTGCTGACTCAAAGAGCATATGTTATTTTAAATTTGAAGGGTATTACCAAGCCGTCTTGCATAAAACTCAGACTATTTAACATTCTAGCTTAAAATACATGATAATACTTCACCCCCACCTCTTGTCAGCATAGACATTAATAGAAGAGGTATTAATGATGCTTTCCTAGCATTTTAATTTGCATGACATAATCATAAATGTCATTGAGCACGTTTTCACATATTTTAAGTTCTTTTTCTTTTTTGTATGTTTGTTAATTGTGACATTACTGATTTTTTATAATTAGTTACTCTATCATACTGATTCATATAAAGGCTTTGTATTTTTTATTAAATATTTATGGTGTGTGTGGGAGGGGTGGGAGTGTGTATATGTTGCAAACATGTTCTTCTGGTTGAATTCTCGACTTTCGACTCGATAATTTGAGAAATGTAAATTTTCTAAATACTATTTAATCAAGGTTATCCTTCATTTAAACTGAAGTTTTTCAATTTTGTGTCTCACTCAGAAATTATGAAGACAATAATCTCCTATGGTTTCATCTAATATTTTTTATGTTGGCAATTTTTAAGATTTTCCCCCTCTTTTTTATTGAAATGTAACATCACACACACACACACACACACACACACACACACACAGAGAAAGACACACAGACACACAAAGTAAACATTTTGTAACTGCAATCTTTATAAAGACAGAGAATGTCCTCAGAATTTGTGGAGTCTTGGGTTTGTTTGTTAGGGCAGCAGTAACAAATTACCACAAATTGGGAGGCTTAAAAGAGCAGGAATTTATTCCCTCACAATTCAGGAGGCTAGAAGTACAAAATCAAAGTATCATTGAGATCTGTTTCTGCCTTTGGGAAAATTCAGGATGAAGATATCTGTCTGGGCTTTTATTTTTCAGTGGGAGCTGTCAAAGCAGTTATATTGAACAGATATAAAATTAATCAATGTCTCTAATTATCGTCTTTAAGATTCTGGTAACTTGTGCTTGTCTAGAAATCTGGCCCTTGAAATTAAATTTTCAAATTTTTAGTCATAAATTTCATTATTGTATCCTCTTATTACCTAATTTTAATATATGTAGAGACTGTTTTTATTTTCTTATCAAAGTACTAACTTTGGACTTTGTAGATACCCACTGTTATTATGGTGTTTTCTATTTCGTTATTTTCTCATATGGCCTTTACTCTTTATTTAACATTATTTGGTTTAATATGCTGTTCATTGTCTAATTCATAAACCATAAAATATACACTAAAATAAATTTGCTCATAAACATAGTTTAGTTTCCTTGTATATGTTTTATACATAATATTTTCATTATTCATTATTTTTTAGTTTTTATCATGATATTTTTCTTTGACTATGGATTATAAGGAAGTTTTTTTCTTTATTTCCAAATACATAGATTTTCTTAAACTTTGGTTCATTTTTAATTAACTTTTTATTAACTAAATTCCACATTTTACCTTATGGTTCATTCTTTGCCTTGTAAAATACTAAAAGTTTTGACAGATACATACTAGAATGTATCCACAATTTGGTGTCCTACAGAATTATTTCTCCTCTCTCAAAATCCCCTGTGCTTCATCTATGAATTGCTCCCCTACCCCTAACTGCTGGCAACTGGTGATCTTTTTACTGTCTCTATAGTTTTTTATTTGTGAGAATGACAAAGAGTTGTAATCATATAATCATACAAGATGTATCCTTTACAGACTGGGTAGGTGGTAGTTTTTGTTTTGTTTTTTTCTATCGTGTGTGTGTGTGTGTGTGTGTGTGTGTGTGTGTGTGTTTGTGAAAGACAAACTTGGGATCATACAAAATGTAGCCTTTTCAGACTAAGTAGGTGGTAGGTGGTAGGTTTTCCATGTTATCTTCTAGGAATTTGGGGGTAATGTTTTAAATTTAGGGCTATGATCCACTTTGAACTAACTTTTGTGAAAGCTATAAGATTTGTGCATAGATTCAGCATAGATTCATGCTTTTGCATGTAGATGTCCAATTATTCTATAATAGTACCAGTAGACTATATGTGTGTGGATTCATCTATTTCTCCTTGCAGTTCTATTGATTTTTGCCTCCAATATCTGAAACTTTGTTATTAGGCCAGTACACATTAAGGATTGTTATATCTTCTTGGAGGAATGACCACTTTATCATCTTTCAATGCACCTCTTTGGCTCTCATAATTTTTCCTGCTCTGAAGATTATTTTGTATGAAATTAATATAGCTACTATATCTTTTATTAAAACTAATGTTAGCATGCTATATCATTCTCCTTCTCTTGTAATCTGTCTGTGCTTTTATATTTAAAGAAGTTTTTTTGTAGACAACATACAGTTAGGCGTTGTTTTTAATCCACTCTCTTCGTCTCTCTCAAGTGGGTTATTTAGACCATTTCCATTTCACTTGATAATTGATATATTTGAATGAATGTCTACCATATTTGTAACTTTTCTATTGGTTGCACTTATTTTGGGGGTCATTTTAAATACTTTTCTCTGCCTTCTTTGGTTTTATTAAGCATTTTGCATGATTACCTTTTCTCTCCTGTCATAGCATATCAACTGTATGTCCTTAATTTTTTATTTTTAGCAAGTGCCCCAGAGCTTGTAATATACATTTATAACCAATCCATGTTCGTTTTACAAAAACACTATATCATTTTATAAATAGCATAGGTACATTATAACAGATTATTCCCAATTCTTATCTCCCTTCTCTTATAACATTGCTTTTATTCATTTAACTTTTCCAAAAGGAATAATCTCCCAGTATATTGTTGCCATTATTGTTTTGAAAAAAATTTTATCTCAACTCAATTAGGAGTAAAAAAATTAAAGATTTTATTTTACATTGATATTCCTTCTCTAGTACTCTTCTGTAATTTATGTAAATATCAGTTTCTGATCTATATAATTTTCCTTTCCTCTGAAAAAAACTTATTTGAACTTTTTCGTTTGCAAGGCAGGTCTACTAGTGACAAATTTCCTCAGTATCTGTCCATTTTGGAAAATATTTCTCTTTCACTTGAAGAATAATTTAGCTGGATACAAAACTTTAAATTGGTAGAATATTTTTTTCTCTATCATTTTTCTATAGATAAAGTGCTTTTATCTTTGGTATACTTCAAGTTTTCCTTTGCATTTCTGCAGTTTAAATATGATATTCTTACATATAGATTACATTTTAGGATTTATCTTTCTGTGTCTTCTTTGATTTGTGCTTCCTAAATCTGTAATTTGGTGTTGGTCATTATTATTATTTTTTAATCAGCCAATATTACTTAAAATAATTCTTATGTTCACTTATCTTTTTATTCTTCTTCTTGTATTCCCATTACACATATTTAGAACTTTCGTAATAGTTCCATGGTTCTTGAATACTCTGTTGCATTTTTTCATTTTTTACTTTGCCTTTCAGTTTGGAAAGTTTCTAACATATCTTCAAGTCACTAATTCTTTTCTCAGCTGAGTCCAGTCTACTGATGAATCCATCAAAAACATTCTTTATTTTTGCTACAGATTTTTTTTTTAATTTCCAGCACTTCCTTTTGATTATTTGTTAGAGTTTTCATCTTTCGTTCACATTACTCATCTATTTTTGCATGTTGTTGACTTTCTCCATTAGATTACTTAGCAGATTAATCCCAGTTACTTTAAATTTCCCTGTTTGATAATTCCAAAATTTCTGCCATATCTGATTCTGAATTCTTGACTTGTCTCTTCAGATTGTTGTTTTCTTGCCTTTTACATGTCTTGTGGTTTTTCATTGAAAGCAAGATATGATGCATTGGGTAAAAAGAAAAAAAAAGGTAAATACAGTGTGAGAATTTTTGTTTATCTAGCTAAGAGTTGTGCCGTGTTTAATGTTCACTACAGCTGCTGGTATCAGAGGCTTCAATTTCCCTTAATGTCCTTGTTTTTGTCTCCCCTGTTGTCTTTTGTGTGTGTGTGTTTTTATCTTTGTTTTTGTTGTTGTTGTTGTTGTTCGTTCGTTTTTGAAACTCCTTTTCACACAGAGTCTGTGTTTCATAACTTTCTCATGTTTAATCCATTATTATTATACTGGAGTATTGCATATGTGGTTTTAAGGTATTGGAGAGGACGAGCCTTCTATAATCTTGTGATTACCACTTTGTTTTTTTCTTCTTAATGGGCAAGAGTACCTGGGCTGTGCCCTTCAAGAGTGCTTTTAGTCTTTCTCCCCGACTCTTCTGTGAGATAAAAAGGCTAAAAATGGCTGGAGCTGACTAACTGCCCTTTACACAAGTCAATTATGTCTGTGATAAATTATTTTTATTGCGGGTGGATCATTTTGAGGATAAAATGTTTTGGACATATTTCAAAGTGGTCACTTTCCCACCTTTTCCTGTTAGAACCAAGATGTCATTTTTCTCTGATCTTTGTTGAGAGACCCTGGTTCATCTCCTAGAGGTAAAACTCAAAAAAGCATGGGGACCCCCTAAATCTGCATCTTTTTCCCTGATGTTTTAACTCTGAAGCTAGCCAACATTCGACCTTCAGCAATTATTCACTGCTGTTTAAGCATTCCTACTAGCTATTAGCTATAGAAGTTTCTGTTCCTGTTAAGCGGAGATGTCTGTATTCTTCTGTGTCTCCAGTTTTGGGGTCAGCAGTTTGCCTTGTCACCTCCCTCCTCTGATGTATTTCTGAAGAGTTGTTGATACTTACATTTTCAGCTCTTTTCCAGGTGAGGAAGTGAGAGTAATTATTTCCAAACATCCAAATGGAAATGGAAACCCAGTTTTTAAAACATTAATATTTTAAAATGTTTAATTTCTCCATGTTCATAGAAAACAGAAGGATTTTATGGCTCAGCATAAAATCAATTTTTGGTAACTATTTCCTGTGTTTTTGAAAAGAATATGTATACTGTAGATTTGGGTGTAATATTTCATATATGTCAATATGGTTGTGTTGTTTAAATCATTTGTATGCTTACTTAAATTTATATGACAGATACATATTAATATATTTCCTGTTAGATTTTGAATATTTTGAAGTATTTATTTTCCACAAATAAATACATCTTCAAATTTGAGTTGTATATACTTTAAGGCTATTGAATAAATTAGACACTTCCTTAGAATTGTTTCCTCTTTCTGGTATATTGTTATTATTTTGAAATGTGTAAATCATTAATAGAGTTTATTACTTTAAAGTCCACTTGCATAATATGAATATGGCATTCAATCTTTCTTTCATTTATTGTTGATGTAACATCTTTTTTCTTTCACATTTAACCTTTCTGCATATATATAGAGAGAGAGAATACATAAGTGAATTTCATTTTTTTGTTTCCAATGCCACAATCTTTTTATTTTAATTAAAGCAATAATTAATTCATTTGACCTCATTGCTGATTATATTTAATTTTAAATTTATTAATTTACTGTTGGCTTTTGTTATGCCTATTTTTTAGTTTCTGCTTTTGCTAATTATTTTGGGTTGAATTTACTTTAAAATTTTTTTCTTATTTATTTAATACAATCCAGAAGTTATAACATGCGTCCTTGACTTATCAAAGTATAGTATATATATTACAAGATATTACTAAATTTATGTTTGCCCTTATTCTGACTTATCAGCAAGATTAAAGTGTATTTTACTTTTATATTTATAAAATACAAATTATATTTGTATTTTAAATACAATACAATTGTATTTAAAATACAATTTATATTTATAAAATTATGTCACAATACATAATTTTTAAAGCTTTGCCCATTAGTTTTTGAGGAAAATTTCATAGGAGTAATTAAAAAAAACACATTTATCTGAAAAAGTTTTGTTGTATTCTTGATAAGTAGTTTTCTATGGATATCACTCAGACTAAACATTATTTTTTTCTTAAGTATTTTCAAAGCTTTGTTACTTTTTAACATTGTCTTTTCACTGTTCTTTATGTAGCTATTTATTTATTTATTTATTTTTATTTTTTTTTTTTGAGACAGAGTCTTGCTCTGTTGCCCAGGCTGGAGTGCAGTGGCGCAATCTCGGCTCACTGCAAGCTCTGCCTCCCGGGTTCACGTCATTCTCCTGCCTCAGCCTCCCAAGTAGCTGGGACTACAGGCTCGCACCACCATGCCCAGTTAATTTTTTGTATTTTTAGTAGAGATGGGGTTTCACTGTGTTAGCCAGGATTATCTTGATCTCCTGACCTCGTGATCCACTTTTTTTTAGTGCCATTCTTTATAGTACAATTCATTAGTCCACCCTCAGCCATGCTTTATGTTACCAAAGCCATATTATTTTCAGTTCACGCTTTCCAGAGAGCAAACTCCAATCTTCTGCTGCAATGAAAGAAGTTTACCTGGTTTTCAAGGTGAAAACCAGAACACTGGGGCCTAAGAGCTTCAAAAAGTTAATTTCACCCAATTCTTCTCTCTCAGTTCCACTCTGCTCTGTGCTTTGACCTCAGCAGCACCTTTTGTTTCTAATGCCTGGTGTTGTGGCACTGATCAGCTTGCTTCTTGCTGGCATTTCACACTAGGTATTTATGTTGTAGGCACTACTCCCCTAGAAAAGATCCAGGAAAAAGAGCTCTTGATGAACATGTGAGTTCAACCTGTTTTAAAAATAGATATATTTGAACATCATTATATATTATATCTCACCAGCAAAACCATCATTTCAGTTTTAAGTTTTTTGTTTGTTTGACTGTTTTCCTCTACTTTATAAATGGTTCCTCTTCATTTTTCAGGTCTCCATTGAAATGACATCTTTTCAGAGAAGGCTTCCCTGACCATGACTCTAAACTCATCACTTTCTCTCAATCAGTGCTTTTACCCTGATTTCCTAGAACTTATCTAAAATAATTTATGATATTTCACATATCTCATTTCTTTTATCTGCCTTGTTCAACACTATATCCCAAGGACTTTGAAATGTCCCTCATGAAAGGTACACAGTAAGTGCTTCACAGGTATTTGATGAGCGAAAGTATGAATGAATGTACGTAACATCTTACCTATTGAGGATTTTGATCACAGAAAATATGTAATTAAAGTATAGCTTATTGCCACAGGTCACATTACTTGTGTGTACCTTGGCATGGATGATGTCCTTAAAATGTTGCTTACTTATAGGAATGGAAATAATTATCACACCCTAAGGAATTTCTGTATTAGACACCCACTTTTCTAATAAGCAAAGCCCATGTGTACTGGAGATTGTGATGTGTTCAGAACATTGATTATGTGATACTAATCCTTTAAATCATTTTTCAAAACAGCCCATCTGAGTTTCAGTAGGTAAAAACTTCCTGGCTTTTAACTACAATCTTGTTAAAGCTTTAGTTTACCAAGTTTTGCTCGTTTATTTTTTTGGTCTTTTAAAGTATTCTAGGGCTACATGAGTTCTCTGCTATATAAGCCCAGAAGCATGATTAGTTATTAGATGATCTTGCTCTTCTCTTTAAAAGAATCAATATCCTGCTATTTTACTATTTGTGAACTTTTACACATTATTGTATATTTATTGTTAAAAAATACACCAAAAGAGAGGTCCCTCAAAGGACTAGAAAAGAAAAATTGAAAGCTTTAAAGCATCAGAGTAAAATGCATATTTCATGTCATAGTGGTAAGTGCTGCATTATATTAGCAATTTAGCTATAGGATCAGTGACTTTTCTGTCTTATTGAATTTCTAATATCATAAGAAAGTTACTAATGTGATAAAAGTCTTAAAGTATTACTGACTTTCTATCATGCTCTTGAAGTGAATTTTTATAGCATTAGCAAAAACAGAGTTTCAGAATACCATATAAACTGACCAAAATGAAAATAAAAAAAGCTTTAGAAATCAATAATACAGTTTATTCAGCGGGTCTATTTGAAGCTTCTCATATTTCATTTTTAGAGTTTTCTCTTTTAGTGGCTCCTGCTCATTGACAAAAGTTGCAATATTCCCACTTCCTCTGAAACAACATTTAGTCTTGGGTAGACTGTCCTGTTTAGAGACTCTGAAAATTGCTGGTAATATTATTTATAGAAAAGAATGTTAACAAAGTACCTGCAGCACAATAAATGTTCCTGCCATTTTTACAAAAATTCCATAAATAAATAAATAAATAAATAAATAAATAAATAAAGTCCAGTGAGTGAATCAACCTTTAAAGGTTACCAGCTGTTTTAGATTTTATACGTATGGAATGATTCAGTTGTGACAGACAGAACTGCCATGTATTAGGGGTGTTACTTTTATTTTCTGTAAACATCATATTAAATATGAAAAGTGAGAGAAAAAATGACAAAACGTTGACTTTCCTTTAGTCCCAGAGACAAAATAATTCTTATCACTTGCCACCCACTCAATTTTACTAATGTTAATTCATTACATTTGTTTGTAAGTGAAATGCAACATAAACCAACCAAAAAAACAGATTTTTAAAATACACATAAATTCAACCTAGTTTTCAGTAGGTTGAATTTTCCCTAGTAGTGTTATTTGAAGAAAAGTAAATTCTTAAAACTTGCCTAACTCATTGAGAATTTTTATACTGTCTTGTAAAAGAGCTACTTTGGGCTACTTATTACTTGCCCAAACATTTTTTTTTTTTGATATTTTATGAACTACTAAATGCCAAAATTGTGGTTTGGGAAATAAAATTTCAAGAGGATTAAGCAGTAAAACATTTGGTTCCATAAATTTGAAAAAAAAATCACAAAAATTATTCATGTTTCCATATTTTATTTCTGTACAAGACTGCAAAATGGGAATTAATCATTTAAGTGAAAAAACTAAAACTGGTTATTTTTCTTTAATCCTTTGGTTACCTCATGTTACTTCCTCACTAGTTATAAATCATCAGATTGATTTTTCAATCTTCTATGAAATCAACTCTTAATTATATTTATTTGGTCTCTGTGAACTTTGTAATGTATATCTTTTAATTTAAAAATGGTATTTGAACTTTATCTTTTCTCACAATTTTTAGGTTTTTCATAGTTTGTTTTGATTAAGAGAATAATGGCAGTAAGGAGAGCCAAAATTTGTATTACAGCCAATCTTGAATCAGGGACTTACATATTCCTTCTGCTCTTACTATCTCTTCTTTTAAATCTTCACATAGTGACCACGATGTGTCTAGAGCTATCGTGCTGTATAGATTTGTTTTCCTTACTAGAGTAAAAGCTACAAGTGGGAAAGTTCTCTTTAGACCATGACAGTCAGAAAGTTCGCTTGAGATCATAAACCAACCTGGCCCAGGAAACATAGATCTAATTTAAACCACAAGTCAAAAAGAAGATTGAATTAATCATATCATTCATTGTCGAAGACCACTGTCTTTCCCAGAAAACTGATGTCTTACTGAAGTTAACTTTTCATGGTTTTATGTCACATAGGTATCTTGTTAAAAATACAAAGTTCCAGTAACATCAGGTTAATGACTTCTAGTCAAAGACCAGCTAGAACACACCTATAAGTTTAACAAATTTGGTTTATTATTTGTTGAAGTGAGGGAGAAATGGGGTTTTGCTCCTCCAAATTGTACATTATCAAGAATTGAAGTAAATCTATGATTGCGTATTTTGTAATTCTTGTCTATTGTGAGGAAAGACTACACTGAGGGTAAACGTATGACTTATTTTTATAAAAAAGTATTCACTTACATTAGGCAGAGAGGTTTATATTTGTTATTTTCTAACTTAAGAATGTTCCTTTTTTGTCTGTTCAGATATGATTATGTAGTGGTCTGTTCTTGTTTTCATCCATCAGGGTCAGAGTGACCTTGCGTGATGTTGATGTTCTTTGACATTTGATGTTTAAGAGGGGAATATTTAGGCCTAGCTGTGTGTGGTGGCAGGCCAATTCATAGTAACACCAAAGCCTAGCTGATATTACTAGGATAGTTCCTGGTTGTCAGAGATTACTTTTCTCTTTCTCAGTAATTAACATATCACTTTACTATATTTACTAGCAATCAAAACTTAATTAAATTTAATTTGGATGTTGTATGATGATAAAATATAGAAGAGATGACCATAAGTATTTTTTTGGAATGATTTGTTTTCAGAATGATATATAATACTATTTCTTTCAAAGCAACACATAATATCATTTACATTATTCTAACAAATCAATAGAAATAGAGAATAAAATATAAATAATTCTTATGGGTGCTTAGTCATCATAGGTACAAAAGCAGATCAATTTTGCTTTTTATTTCACTAAAATTGTGTCATCATTTCTAAAGAAATCCCTAACATACATAAAAATAGCTTTCCATCTTCCAGAATGAGCCTAATTTACACTTTCAATATTATCTTATGAGTTGATGCTAGAGACTTAAGGCAACTTGGATTTTCATTTTGGATATTGTAGTTGAATCTTCCAGAGGAGAACCAGCTTCAAGCTTCATCTATGTGTAGATCAATTGTTGCCCCTCTCTGATAAAGTATATTGTAGATATAAAAAATTCATTGTTAGGTTGGAATTGTCAATTTAAATATTATTAGTTGCATTAATTATTAGTGAATGTTTGACAAATCAAATTCAGAACAGGTACTCCTGGGTGGGGACATGGCAGGTTTTACAAGTATTCCATCACTAGAGTCCTGCTTTGGAAAAATAGATTAAAATTTCATGAATGTGCAATTTAAAACCATATTCCTAGAGCTCTCAGTGAAGAACCTTTTAACTAATTTAATAACAATTCTCCTTTGTATGGGCCTGAGGAATAAAGTCTCAGAAATTTATAAAAGACTCTGCCTAAAGGCAGAAGAAAAGACTAAACCTTAGTAAGATTATCATTTCCGCAAGTTTAGCCTCACAACTGCATCAGGAAACCAATAGTAATTTTATTTGCTTTGTGAATCCAGAAAGAAACCTGATCCATTGTGCAGGGTGGAAGGTAAATATTGCCATGCAGCATGGGTGCCTTGAAGTGCCTGGCTCAATCTCACCAGGAATAGAGGCTTATTTTTCCATTCTTTCTGCACCACACCCCCTCCACAATATTGCCAAGAAAAGCTGAAACAAAATTGTTCAGACAGAAGAGAAAATTTATGACTGACATTGAATGGAAAACGTTAATTGGATATTTTCTATGTAAGGACACTACTGCAATTGCTAACTCTATTCTGGTCACAGAAGAAGCCATGTGTCTAGGAACATGATGATATAGCCCCTATTACTGGTCAATTAAGAGATAACAACACTGTGGCAGGAATTTGCTTCTCCATCTGCAGCAATCTGTCACTAACTCTAAAAGCCACTTATCCTAGGAAGACAACCCTAAAGTAACCTGAAGAATTAAGAATACAAGCAACCAGCAAAGGAAAATTTCAGGCAAGAGTTGCTAAGCAGCAAAATCAATTCGACATTATTATACATTGTTTTGAATGTCGTAAACGTTATTTCTACTTAACATCATGGTTGAAAATAAATATTGCCTTAAATTTATTTTATTTTATTTTATTTTATTTTATTTTATTTATTTATTTTGAGATGGAGTCTTCACTCTGTCACCAGGCGGGAGTTCAGTGGCGCACTCTCAGCTCACTGCAACCTCCACTTCCCACGTGCAAGTGATTCTCCTGTCTCAGCCTCTTGAGTAGCTGGGACTACAGGCATGTGCCACCACACCCAACTAATTTTTGTATTTTTGGTAGAGACGGGGTTTCACCATATGGGCCAGGATGGTCTTCATCTCTTGACCTCGTGATCTGCCCGCTTTGGTTTCCCAAAGTGCTGGGATTACAGGCGTGAGCCACCACGCCCAACCTTAAATTTATTTTTTAAAAAATGAGAAAATTATATTTTCCCAAGCAATAGGGTACTTAAAGTAATTTGTATTTTATTGCTCTTAAGAAAAGTTTTAGATTTTGAGAATAAAATGAATGTCCTGATTTTCTAGGCATAGTTTATGTTAAAACATAAAAACATACAAACATATAAACAGAGTTGCACATTTGTATTGCAATAAGATTTTACTGTATCTATCACCTCAGACAATTTCTAGAGAAATAATTAGGTATAATTTTTCTCATTAATTAATGAAATTTTTTTTTCTCATTCAAATGCAAAGTAACCAAATAATTTACATAGATTGATCTATTTAAGTCTCATGAGCAGGTAATATACTTATTTCTATATTACAGATGAGGAAATTGATAATAAAAATTATTAAATTGCAGTCCAGGGGTCATACAACTGGTATGAGGACACAATTCATGTTTGTAAGCCACCATATAATTCAATAAGAATAGTATCAAAAATATTATCACCCAGTTAATAGCTAATAAAGGATTTTTTTAAATTATGATTAGAGAAAAGGTCTCACTTTGTTGCTCAGATTGGAGGAGAGTGGCATGATCATAGCTCATTGTAACCTTGAACTCCTGGACTCAAGGGATCCTCCCACATCAGCCTCCTCAATAGTTAGGACTATAGGTGTGCACCATCACGTTGGCTAATTAAAAAAAAAAAAATTGTAAAGACAGGATCTTGTTATGTGGCCCAGGCTAGTCTCAAATTCCTGTTCTCAAAAGGATTATTATATAGCTAATCCTCCTAATACATGTACATATCAATAATAAATTCCCAGTTGACACAGAATAATTATGTAGTTAATCTCCCTAACAAATGTTTATGTAAATCATAAATATTGGGAAGGTATTCAATCACAGTAAATTATAGAAGCCATCACAAATCTGTCTGTGGTGAGCTTGCATTAATTTGCTTGAGGTGGAAATGTTAGTAAATAATAGGTTAACATAACAATAATAACAGTGTTTATTAACAGTAAGACCAAAGTAATTTCCTGCTTCTGTAGGCTGTGATACAAGAGGCAAGCCAAGAAAAATTACATTAGAAACTTATTTGAAATTAATGTTGTTCTTGTGTTGGATGAAGAAAGAATAGAAGGCTTGGCCGGGTATGGTGACTCATGCCTGTAATTCCAGCACTTTGGGAGGCTGAAGCGAGAGGATCACAAGGTGAGGAGATCGAGACCATCCTGGTCAACATGGTGAAACCCCGTCTCTACTAAAAATACCAAAAAGTGGCTGGGTGCGGTGGCTCATGCCTGTAATTTCAGCACTTTGGGA
Source organism: Homo sapiens (assembly GCF_000001405.40). Lineage (NCBI taxonomy): Eukaryota > Metazoa > Chordata > Mammalia > Primates > Hominidae > Homo > Homo sapiens. Next base: position 106,187,398 of record NC_000005.10, on the reverse strand, counting down.
AACTAAGGTGGGTGGATCACAAGGTCAGGAAATCGAGATTATCCTGGCCAACATGGTGAAACCCCGTCTCTACTAAAAATACAAAAAAGTGGTCAGGAGCAGTGGCTCACACCTGTAATCCCAGCACTTTGGGAGGCCGAGGCGGGCAGATCACGAGGTCAGGGGTTTGAGACCAGTCTGGCCAACATAGTGAAGCCCCATCTATACTAAAAATACAAAAAATTAGCCAGGTGTGTTGGTGTTCGCCTGTAATCCCAGCTACTTGGGAGGCTGCAGCAGGAGAATCACATGAACCCAGGAGGCGCAGGTTGCAGTGAGCCGAGATTGGGCCATTGCACACCAGCCTGGGTGACAGTGTGAGACTCCATCTCAAAAAAAACCAAAAAAACAAAAAAGTTAGCTGGGCATGGTGGCACGTACCTGTAGTACCACCTATTCGGGAGGCTGAGGCAGGAGAATCACTTGAACCTGGGAGGCGGAGGTTGCAGTAAGCCGAGATCAAGTCACTGCACTCCAGCCTGGCAAAAGATGAAACTCTGTCTAAAAAAAAAAAAAAAAAAAAAAAAGAAGGCTCATCTTCCTCTTCTCATGATAATCTTAGAAAGCAAATATTCTCCCCTAGAAAAGAAAGAAAAGGTGGCTTTATCTAATAGAAATGAGACTCTGTTTCTCACAAGACATGCTGGGTGATTATGTATTCTTAATCCTCTCAATATAAGTATCCTGGTATGCCACAAATATGAAAAACATTTTCAGAGTGGAAGTAATTTAGCTTCATCTTCTTTCTTGCAAATATCTTATAGATTGTAAAAGAAGGCATTTCTTCTTAGAATTTAGCAAAGTTGCCATATTCATTTTCAACAAGAATATTAACTGCCATTGAAGCTTGAAACACAAACATTTCATTGTTAAAAAGTTTTCTTAGAAAACTGACAGCTATAAAACGGTAAGAGAAAAAGAACATTTAATAACAAGATTATATAATCATCTCAAAATCTTCAGCAATATTTCAGTCTTTTGCTATTTACCATCAGATTTGTATATTTTACATTGCTTCAACGAATGACACTCAGTAAATTTCTCTGCAAGAAATTTCTTTTCAGTAATTTACATTTGACATTTAAAACTATCATTATACTTCTCACCATTGATGCATATTACAAATTCCTCTATTTTATTTACTGTAGTTTCATGCATAAGAGAATACACTGTTAAATTTAAAATATCAAGTTTACAATTCTTCCATCTCTTCGGGTGACCTATTTGAAGCAAAACTCAAAACTGTTAACCATGTGTGATACATAAATTTGATGAGAATACTTTTCAGTTAAGTTATGATGGCACGAGAGGTTTCAATTTAACATTTCAAAATATTTGCAGTCTTTCCTAAAGCTCTGGTTTCATTTGAGACATAGTTTTGGTTCTCGTTTCAGATGAGAAATTTAGTAATTATCTTAGTCTGCTGAGGTAAATTTTTTGAATGCAATTTGGGTCAGCTTATGCTAAAAATTGCCTCCGGAAATGGACCCCTAAAAACAATAACTCAAATAACAACAGAAAGTGTTTGTTTGTTTGTTTGTTTGTTTGAGACACAGTCTCATTCTGTTTCCCAGGATGTGGTGCAGTGGTGAGATTTTGACTCACTGCAACCTCCACCTCCTGGGCTCAAGTGATCCTCCCACCTCAGCCTCTGTAGCTCAGACCACAGGTGCAGGCCACTGTGCCTGGCTAAATTTTGTGTTTTTTATAGAGATGAGGTTTTGCCATGTTGATCAGGCTGGTCTCAAACTCCTGGGCTCAAGGAATCCACCTGTCTCAGCCTACTAAATTGCTGGGATTACAGATGTGAGCCACTGAACCCCACCAGGTGTTTGATATTAATGGCTGGTGACAGTCATTCGTAAAGGATCTTATATAGAGAAAACGGAATAAAAGGACTATACAATAAATTATCTCTCATATTTTGGTAGGCTCTTTTTGGTCAATTTATAATAAATTTTACATAGTAAATATTCTATCAGTATTTGCAAAATTAAAGTAACATTATCTAATCTGTAACTTCCCCAAGCCAAAAAAAAAAAAAGTGGTGACTGCAGTTTCTAAATTACATAAAGGACTTATTTCATTAGATCAGATGTGATCAAAGTCTTGAGATATGCTTAGCATTTGAGGATACTTTGCTAGTCATTCAGACTGTTTTCTTTCTCTTAGGTGAGCTTGATCAATACTGAAGATCACTCCTGTAGATTGATCCTGTGGATTGCTTGAGGAGCAATCTAGTAGATCCCTTATGCAAGGAACTGACTAAATTTTAACAAAAGATTGATGGATCCAATAATAATTGAAAACAGTATTAGACTGTATTAATAGAATTATATGGTGGCAATAGTTGATTTTTGTCTAACCAAATAAATGAGTCGTTTCAAGATATATGTCTAATCACTATAGATAAAAGGAAATAATATATTCTTTTCAAATATGGTTTCTAAAATAACATGAAACATTGATTACAGTAACAAGAAAGCAATGTAATATTTGGAATAATACTAACAAAAGCAAAATATGAGAGTACATTTCATTATTTTTACTTTATATAAGAGCTTTAAATCCAAGGACAAGCCATGTTAGCAAAGAACATGATTAAAATATTTTAAACAAAAAATGCAAACATCTCAGAAGCACGTTGAGTTTTCATTAGTTTTTCCAAAATTCTTATGCTTGAGTGTTACTTTTTTTACCTTAAACTGTAAACGATGTTAATTAATTCAATAAAAAGGAGATTCTAGACTTCATGACATTTGAAAAATTTTGAAATTTACATGTGCATATGAATATATATGTGGCTATCATAACTTTTTTTGTATATTCCTGGTATTTTTGAACTTTTTCTGTGTTTAAGTACCTTCTCTTAACACAGGAAATTTATAGCTTTACAAATATTCCTTTTAGCATGCCACGGTTTTGATGGAAAGCTATGTTAAATGATTGCAGAATATTTATTGTAACTAGAATTAAGTTGTGATCTTAGATAAAATTTTGATGCTTTTGCAAATATTCAAGAACAGAAATTAATCTATATTTAGAAATTAAACCAAGGTAACTAAAGCTAATTTAATATTCTGGTAATTTAAGGAAAATAACAATGAAAAGTAAACAAGGTCTGTTCATAAATTTTTAATGATTCACAATATTTGTCTTTTTGTGAGAAAGGTCATCTTTTTCAAGGTTTCCTTGTAAAACATATGACTAGGATAGCATATTATAAATCTATTAACAGACCTATAATCCACATCTCCTTTATGATACAAAGTGTTTTGGAAAATAAAACTAATGGTTCTCATAGGTTATGAAGTCAAATAACTGAATAAGATTTGGAATGGGAAAATAATTCACAGTCATATCATCATAACTACATTAATTTTGCCAGAGATAATATCTTGTACTTGTTTTGAATATAAAGCAAACTCCACAAAAAAAAAATGAGACAGAGCAAAATGCTTTTAAAGTATTTATGATGAAATTGAACATTTACTACAGAGTAAATCTTTCCTTTTTATAAGCGTCCACATATTTCAGAAAATTTCAGTTTTTGGAATTTGAAGTCCAAACTGATCACAGCTCTATTTTTCTTAATCTAGTCTGTATTAACAGACCTAAACTTTCCATAAATTATCTGTATTCTCAGCATAGTAAATACTCTTGTGCAACACATACACACACACACACACACAAAAAACAATTTAGAAGTCAGTTTTTTAAATGTCTTGAGAAAGGCATTATTACAACTTAAATACCTTAATATCAATGCAAAATAATACCTACAAGCTGTTCAGGAAATAAAATACTTATTTTGAAGAAAACTTGAAGAAAAAATTCTAATCTCTTATTTCATTTTTATTCTGTTTTAATCATATCTAAAAATAACAGTGGAGTTTTAAGCCTCAATATTTGTTCTCAAAGGACATTCATTAAATATACTAGTCAAGTAAGATTTCTTGCTTCTATCTGAAAGTGTATAACATTAAAGCATCAACAACTTCTGACAAGAAATTGTGAAAAATATATCAAATAGGTTACATATGTATAGTACACATTACACATATTTGAAATATCATGTTTCCCAATATATAACTGTGAACTTCTAATTTTACTGTCATAAAAATCAGTCAAATTTTGTGTATAATGAGATATATATTAAATAAAAAATGTTAAACACTTTACAAATCCATTATGTTAATATATTACTCAGCGTACTTTATCAGGAAATGAGGTGAAATGAGAAATTTTTATATACTAACTCTAAAATGTACTTAGCCCATAAAATGTTATTATCATGGAACTGTTTTTCATTCACAGGTATTTTAAAGACTGAAATGCAAATTAATGGTAAGCTATCTTTGTATTGTTAGAACTAAATAAATGGGACTTGAATTACCAAAAAAAAATAAATAAATAGAAATCTAGGGTTAGACAAACACCCTGCTATCACTTTTGTTCACCACACTGCAAACTCAAAAAGAGAAAAAAAAGAAAGATAAAAGTGAAGTTCTGGTTCTTTCAAAAAATCTTCACAATTCATATGCATTCATCTGCCCCAAAAAATTGTTTTCCAATGGATTCATCCATGTTGATTTTCTCTGCTAATACTTTTTAAATTGTGTAACCTTTTCAGGCAACTTTATAAAACTAGAGGTAGGGAAGGTAAATTTTCCAAAAGGTATTAGACATTTAATCCTAATTCAAATGTTAGATTTTGGATTTAATAGTTTACTTTTATCTGGCCGAGTATTCCCATTATATATTGAAACTATTTTTTTATTGTATGGTTTTAAAGCTTTTCATTAGTTTCTTGCCTATCATACCCTTTACCTACCTGAAATTCAGCTTAAGATTCACCACCACTGGTAAAACATTCTAATCTGTCAAAATGCTTCTTATTCCTTAGTGCATTCTGTCATGCTTATTCTAAGTGTCTGAAGATGTAGTCGTTTTTTAATATTCTCTAGTAAATTGTAGTCACACTACACGGCTTTGAATCCAGGCACACACAACCACTTACTTTATGTGTGACCTGGGGCAAGCTAGTTGATCTCTCTCTATCTTACTCCTTGAGGACTGTCTGAAGGAAAACCTATCAGGGACTTAAATTACTTCAGTGTGAAACATAAACAAAGTGATCACAGGAATGATAACAGCCCACCACTCCAAAAAGGCCAAGAATATACTGGCAAAACTGTCGGCATCATCTTTATAGGAACTCTGAAAATTCATTAAAATTTCATAGCAATCAGATGAAAATTTAAGAAAAATAAAACAGATTAATTTAGGTAAGAGAGCCTTGTGGCATTTTACGCACATCTCATTCATGGCCCAGCTTGCCGTAGGCCTTTAAAACAATAACCTAGATTCCTGGTATAGTTTCCTAGCACTGTTACAAGCAGAATGAATCTTGTTCTCAAATAATTTTTATTTTAACCTCTCTGGTAGCTTTCTGAAGGACCCACTCAAGTGACTTCCCTCTACTTTGCCTGACATGCAACAACACTTCAAGGGCCAAGGAGGCTACCCAGGGGTCATGTGTTGAAAACATCTAAAGCCAAATTCATGACCTGCTTCTGCCTGGAACAGGGATTAAAGTTAGGACAAATAATAGACAAACTGAAATCTTGGAGAAGGTCTGGGGAATGAGATGCTTTGGTGAATAAGGATTTTTAAACACTCTAAAATAATCTTGGCAATCTAGAAGCCATGTACATCTTGCAGCTTTGTGCACACTCAGAAAGAATCTGAAAAAGAAAAAACCTCTTGTTGACCTTCAGGTTCTGGGTCAGCAGGAAATGGAGACCAAAAACCAAAACAGAGTTATAAACTCCTAAGTATTGAAGGTGTACTCCAATACATATGCCATCCATCTTCAAAGACTGTGAATTGTTTCTTGGTTCCAGGTGTTTAAGGAAACTTCCGTCGAGTCACTATCTGATCACTCAGTTAATGGAACAGAGACTTCAGAGTCCACACATAACAACAAATATAGACTGTTTAATTTGCTGAGCTATTTTTTTAAACAAAAACAACTATAACAGAAAAATACAGCAAATCTTCATGAGAGGGGAGAGTCTGATTTCTATAATTATCACATTATATAATTCAAAATGTTCAGCTTTTAACAAAAAATCTTATAAGGTATCCAAAGAAATAAAAAAGTATGACCCATTAACAGAAAAAAAAAGAAATCAATAAAAACTATTTCTGAAGAAGTCCAGACATTGGACTCAGACAAAAACATTAAGTCAAAGATTTAAAATATGCTCAAAGAACTAAAGAATATCTTGTACAAAGTACTAAAAGAACCCATGAGGAAAATGTATTTAGAATTAAATAGAAACTCTTAAGTTGAAAAGGGCAAAAAATAAAAAAAGGAAATAAACTACAGAAGTATAGACACTGATTTGAGCAAGCAGTAGAAATTATCATTTTTCTTAAGGAGAGGTTTATTGAGATTATCCTGGCTGAGAAGAAGAAAGAAAAAAAAGATAAATTAATGAAACTTGAGGGATCTGTGTATCATCATCAAGCATATCAACATATGCTAAGAAAACAAAATTGATAAGCCTTCAGATAGGCTCATCAAAGCAGGAAATAGGAGAGAGAAAATCCAAATTACTAAAATTAGGAAAAACTAGGAGTTTGTTGCTAGCAGACCTGCACAACAGGAAAGTCTCTCTGGCTTAAATTAAGTAACTCTAGGGAATAATTCAAATTCTCGTGAAAAATACAGAGCCCTAGTAAAGGTAACCACATAGATGAATGTAAACATCAAGTTCTATACTATTTTTGGATTGTAACTCGTCTTTTTCTATATTATTTGAAAGACAACTACTCAAAAAATTATGAAACTATATTGAGGCAATTTTAAAAGATGCAATTTTGACAATAACAACATGAAGGCAGGCATAGCTAATAGGAGCTACATAATATCAAAACTAAGTTGGTAATTCAAGCTTGACTTCCATAAATTAAGATTTTACTTGTAATTTGCAAGGTAAATACTAAGGAAATTACTAAAAATATGTATAAAAAGAGAACCAAGAAGGGAATTAAAATAGTACATAGAGAATATCTATTTAACACAAAAAGGAGCCTGCAATGAAACAATTGCAGAACAAAAAGATACAACATATTGAACACAAATGGCAAAATGGCATAAATAAGTCCTTTCCTACAAGTAATTACATTAACTATAATTACATTAAATTCTGGATTAAAAGACAGATTGTCATAATCGGCAGGGCAAAAACATGATCAAGCTGTATGCTGTTTACAAGAGAATTACTTTAAAACCAAAGACACACGTAGGTTGAAAGTTAAAGAACAGGAGGAACAAAGATATTCTATGCAAACAGTAACCAAAGGAGAAATGGAATAGCTATATTAATATTATATAAAACAGGTTTTAAGACAAAAATTGTTACAAGATACAAAGAAGGGCATTATGTAATGATGGCAAGGGTCAATTTATCAAGAAAATGTAACAATTATAAAACATATATGCACTTAATAACAGAGATCCAGAATATATGAAACAAAAAGTGACAAAATTAAGGAAAGAAATAGGCAGTTCAACAACAATAGTAGAGGCTATAGCATTCACTTTCAATAGTCGATAGAATGATAGTCAAAAGATAAAGAAATAGAAGACTTGAACATGCTATGAAACATCTATACCTAGACTTAACAGACACATATAGAACCCTTCATTTAATAACTGCAGAATATACATTCTTATCAACTGTATATGTAGCAATGTCCAGGATAGGCCATATGTTAAGCCACAAACAATTCTCAATACATTTTATAATATTAAAATCATACAAAGTATCTTTTCAGACTATAATAAATGAAAACAAAAATTAATAATGGAAGGAAATCTGGAAATTTTACATATGGAAATTAACACTTTTACAACAACCAGCAGGCCAAAGAAAAAATCACATTGGAAATTAGAAAATACTTTGAAATGAATGAAAATGAATACACAACATACATTTTATAGGATGCTAACAGAGTGCTCAGAGAGGAACTTTCAGCTACAAACATCTACATTAAAAATAAAGAAATATTTCAAATAAATAACCTAATTTTCCCCCTTAAGGAAGTACAGAAAGAAAAATAATTAAACTTACAGCAAGCAGATGGAAGTAAATAAGAAATATTACAGCAGTGATAAATAGAATATAGACTAGAAAAGTAATTGAGATAATCAATAAAACCAAAACTTAATTATTTGAATATTTCAACAAAATTGATAAGCCTTTAGATAGATTCATCAAGGCAGGAAGTAGGGGAGAGAAAATCCAAATTACTAAAACTAGGAAAGATAGTTGGGACATTACTACTGACCTCACAAAAGCAAAAAAATTAAAAATAAAAGATTATTAGAGAATACTGTGAATAATTTTATGAGAACAAATAGAATAACCTAAGTGAAATGAAGAAATTTCTATAAACATACAAACTACAAAAACCGACTGAGGAATAAACAGATAATCTGAATCAACCCATAGAGTAAAGAGATTGAATCAGTAATCAAAACTTCCAATTAAAAAAGCAAAAAAAAAAAGGATTATTAGAGAATACTGTGAATAATCTTATAAGAACAAATGGAATAACCTAGGTGAAATGAAGAAATGTCTATAAACATACAAACTACAAAAACTGACTGAGGAATAAACAAATAATCTGAATCGACCCATAGAGTAAACAGATTGAATCAGTAATCAAAACTTTCCATTAAAAAAGCCCAAGACCAGATGATTTTACCGGTTAATCTATTAAACATTTAAGAAATAATTAATTTCAATTCCTAAATTATTTCAAAAAACAAAAGCAGGTGATATGATTTTGTTGTGTCCCCACCCAAATCTCAACTTTAATTGTAGTTCCCATAATCCCCAAGTGTTGTGGGAGGGAACAAGTGGGAGGTAATTGAATCATGGGGGCAGTTTCCTCCCATGCTGTTCTTGTGACAGTGAGTGAGTTCTCATGAAATCTGATGGTTTTATAAGCATCTGGCCTTTCCCCGGGCACTCATTCTCTCTTGCTGCCCTGTGAGTAGGTGCCTTTTGCCATGATTATAAGTTTCCTAGGCCTCCCTAGCCATGTGGAACTGTGAGTCAATTAAACCTCTTTTCTTTATAATTACCCAGTTCTGGCTATTTCTTTATAGCAGCATGAAAATGGACTAATACATAAGCGAACACATTCTAACTCATTATATGAGGTCAATATTACCCTGACGTCAAGATCATACAGTGTGGGTGTAGTGCTGTATGCTTCTAGCTACAGCTACTTAGGAGGCTGAAGTGGAAGGGTCACTTGAGCCTAGGAGTTCAAGACTTCAGTCTGCTATGATTGTGCCTGATACTAGCCACTATACTTCAGCCTGAGCAACATAGTGAGACTCTGTCTTTAAAAAAAATAACCATTTTTAGGCTGGGTGTGGTGGCTCACGCCTGTAATCCCAGCAATTTGGGAGGCCAAGGTTGGCATATCACCTGAGGTCAGGAGTTCGAGACCAAATTTGCCAACATGGTGAAACCCCATCTCAACTAAATATACAAAAATTAGCCAGGCGTGGTGTCAGATGCCTGTAATCCCAGCTACTCGGGAGGCTGAGGCAGGAGAATCGCTTGAACCTGGGAGGTGGAGGTTGCAGTGAGCCTGAGACTGTGCCACTGCACTCCAGCCTGGGTGGCAGAGCAAGACTCTGTCTAAAATAATAATAATAATAATAATTTTTAAAATAATAAAAATTTGAAAACATGCAAAACATTACAAGAAAAGAAAGGTAAAGACAAATACCTTGTGAATACAGATGCAAAAATCCTCAACAAAATACTAGCAAACAAATATTCGTAACATATTAAATGGATTATGCTCAATGACAAAGGAGGCTTTCTTTATCCCAGGGATTTAACTTTTGTGTAACATACAAAAATCAATCAGTTCATCAAACCATACTAATGCAATGAAGAAAAAGAAAACACCACAATTGATTTAAAAAAGTGTTTGAAAAATATCCACAATATTTTCATGATAAAACACTCAAAACACCATGAATGCAAGGGAATGTTATGAAGCTGATAAAAGACATCTATGAAAACTCTAGAGATAACATTAACTTAACAGTGAACTACTGAAATTTTTCCCCTAAGATCAAGAAGAAAACAAAAATGTATGTTCTTGCCACTTCCATTTCACATCAATCTGGGAGTTTTAGCTCGAACATTTAGGCAAGAAAAAGAAATGGAAGTTACCCAAGATGGAAAGGAAGAATAAAATTACTTCTATTCGTAGATGATGTAATTTTGTATGTATGAATACCTACGAATTCAATACACCAAAGAAAAACAAACAAAAAAGGCAGAAAACCTCACAAATAAACACAAAAAAAACCCTGAAAATTATGTTACAACAACTAAGTAAATTGAGTAAAGTTGTGGGATATAAGAGTATAATATCAGAATCAGTTGTATCTCTACGTATCAGCAATAAAAATTTGAAAATTTAAAATTATTAAAATAAAACAGTTCTATTAATATTAGTATCAAAAATAGTTCACTACTTAGAAATCAATCTATCCAACGAGGTGTAGGGCTTCTACGCTGAAAAGTACAAAACGTTGAAAGAAATTAAAAATTACACCAATTAATGAAAATGTTATCTGTTAATGTATTCAAACGCATAATATTACTAAGAAACAATAGTCCCCGAATAGACAGTTTGATGCAATTCTTATCAAAGTTTCAACTGCCTTTTTTGAAAAAAAATGGGGAAACGGATCTTAAAATTTATATGGCATGGCAAGATATCCTAAATAGCTAAAACAAACTGGAAAAAGAGAAGCAAGATTGGCACGGTTGCTCATACCCCTACTCCCAGAACTTTGGGAAGGCAATGAGGGTGGAATTCCTGAGCTCAGGAGTTTGAGACAAGCCCAGGCAATAGAGCAAAAACTTGTCTCTACAAAAAATACAAAAATTAGCCAGGAGTGGTGGTGCATGCCTCTAGTTCCAGCTACTCAGGAGGCTGAGGCAGGAGAATTGCTTGAGCCAAAGATCATCAGTGAGCTGAGATTGTGCTACTGCACTCCAGCCTGAGTGACAGAGTCAGACCCTGTCTCAAAAAAATAAATAAATAAAATAAAAGAAAGAAAGAAAAAGAATAAAGTTAGAGGACTCATCTCTCCCAATTTTAACTTACTACAAATCTACTGTATCTAAATTAATATGACACTTCGCAAATAATAGATATATGAACCAATAGAATAGATTTGAGTTTCCAGAAATGAACTCAGACATATATGAGTATTTGATTTTTGACAAAGCTTTCAAGATCATTCATAGGATTTTGGGGAAAAAAAAATGTAGTTACACATGCAAAAGATACATACCTGGTATGCAGCTGTAAATGTTCAAGACCTCAGTGTTTTTAGTGAATTTCAGATATGCCATTAAAAGCACAGGCCAAAAAAAGCAAAAATACAATAAAATGTATATCCTCAAACTAAAAAACAAATTTGTACATCTATGTACACCATCAAGAAAGTGACTGATCAACCCATAGAATAGAACACAGTATTTACAAATTGTGTGTCTGATGAGTCTAATATCCAGAATATATAAAGGACACTTTAAACAGAATAAGGAAAAGAAAAAACAGCCAAATTTAAATATTGTCAAAGTCCTTAAATAGGCAGTTCTCCAGATAAAATATACAAATGTCCAATAAGCTCAAGAAATTATGCTCAACATTATTAGTCATTGGGAAATGTAAATTAAAATCACAATGAAATACTAATTTACAACAAATAAGATGACAATAATAATTAAACAAAAACCAGAAAATAACAAATGTTGGCCAGGCACAGTGGCTCACACCTGTAATCCCAGCACTTTGGGAGTCCCAGGTGAATGGATCACCTGAGGTCAGGAGTTGGAGACCAGCCTGACCAACATGTAGAAACCCCATCTCTACTAAAAATACAAAATTAGCCGGGCATGCTAATGCGTGCCTGTAATCCCAGCTACTTAGGATGCTGAGGCAGGAGAATTGCTTGAACCCAGGAGGCGGAAGTTGAGGTGAGCTGAGATCGCACCATTGCACTCCAGCCTGGGTAACAAGAGTGAAACTCTCTTAAAGAAAATAATAATAATAATAATAACAAATGTTGACAAGCGTGTGGGGAATTACTAATCTTCACACATTACTGCTGGAAATAAAGAATGAATCAGTCATTCTTTGATGTGGGAAACAGTTTGGCTGCTTTTCAAATAGTTAAATATAGAGTTACCTTATGACCCAGCAATTACACTCTTAGGTTTAAATCTAAGATAATAGAAAATGTGTGTTAAAACAAAAACTTATGCATGTATGTTCATATCAATAGTGTTTAAAATAGCCAACAGATAGAAAAGAAAACAAATATCCATCTACTTATGATGGATAAATAATATGTGATATATCCATACAATGGAATATTGTTCAACCATTTTAAAAAAGGATGAAGCACTGATACATGCTATGGCAGGGATGGGCCTTGAAACATTGAGTAAAAGAAGCTAGACACAAAAGGCCACATGCTGTATTATTCCACTTATATAAAATCTCCAAAATAGACAAGTACATGGAGACAGAAAACAGATTAATGGTGCCAGAGATTGGAAGGTGAAGGAAATGCAGAGGGACTAGTGAATGGGTAAGGGGTCTCTTTTCAGGATGATAGAAATATGCTGGAATTAGAAAGACTTGGTGGTTGTACAACATTGTGAATGTACTAAAAGACACTGAATTATACACTTATTTTAAATGGCAAATTTTATGTGAAATGTACCCCAATAAATCAAGTAAGTATATGTTTCAGAATATAAAGAAATTAAATTTCATTGATTTGAAAATGAACAATATTGAATATGTGCTCATGTGGACTGGAGATAACCAGGATTTTAAACTTCATGAGAAAAGTTCATGGACAACTTAACAAGGTATCAAATAAAAACAAATACAGGCAAAGCGAAGAGACTATTTGAAAAGATTATTGCAATAGGGAGAATGCTCTGACTGGACTACAAAAACTATTAGAAACCCAAAAGGCCAACAAAATGGAATTTCTCTTATAGAAAAGAATAAATAAAGCTGAAAAGAACAGATTGTGGGTGAAGTTGGGTATCAATGCGATGTTATTGAGTTATTCAACCTATTCCAATGCTTGCATTAGCACAGGATGGGAGAAAGTCAGAGACCTTGTGTAGTCAGAGACAAAAGCCTGACTACATTTTGGTTAAGTCAAGTTCATGGATATTTTGGCCAGATTAATCAAAGCCTTATAGTGATGTGAAATACTGTAGGGAAAATGCCTAATTAACATAAAAGGATGATCAGTTATTTTATCTACTTGTAGATACCTAAAACTTATACAAAACAAGAATATGCTCCTTTTAAATGTTTTCCATCTCTTTGGTAAAATATGTCCCAGTAGGTGCTCTGGGTAATAGTATTTGGTTAAGCTATTTTCTGTTACTGCAGCTACTTAAAGTACTAAATTTATGCTTCCTTAGGAAAACTCTATAGCTCATATAACTCACTAATTCAAGGAGACCTTTCTTTCCAGTTATTTCAAATTAATGAGGCTAGCTAAAAGAACTTGAAAGGATCATAAAATAATCAAGAAGTAGACGGAAGTTGAGATGAGTGAGGTTCACATGTGCTACATTCACAGAGTTTGGTAGGAAATAATGAGGCCATTAAAATAAAACAATATTTAAGTGTGTTTTTTAGGGTACTGAGGTTGTATGTATTATCAACCTAATTTGTTAGTAGTATGTAGAAAGAAGTTCCTATAAGTTGAGGAAGGCAAAATTTCTGAGCCTCTGGGCTCCTTATTTCATGGTTTCTTTCAAGGTCCTGGGAGAAATTTTTGTATATTTCATTAAAGTAAGATAGTTTAACCATAAATATGTGTCATATTTATGTGACACAGCAAAAATGCTGTGTCATGGTGATGATAATTGTAAGAGTTGAAGAAAGAAGAAAGAAACACGAAAAGTGGCTCAACAGTCAAAGACAGGTTTATTTTGGAGAACAAACATGAGAGGGGCTTCTGGCCTAACTCGGTCAGAAGTATTCCCTGTTACAGACTTAGGGTATTTAAGGGTTTAGGGAGGGAGAGCTTATCGTAGGCTCGGAATTCTTCTGTGTGAAGGAGAGTTTTACTGCAGAGTTGGAATGTCTCTGGTTGGAGGGGAGGTTATCTTAGGGTTAGCATGTTTTTGGTCAGAGGTGTCACTTGTGGTTTATGGTTATGCTGACATTAGTCATTAGGCTGCTTGGAGGCTGCATTTAGGTGGCTTTTAATAAAGGGGAACTTAAAATGGCGTGTTTGTCCAAGATGGTGATGCCCTTGCTCTGTCAACAATGGCACCAATAAAATTTCTTGGATTCAACTAAGGGAAAGTTGATTTGGGAATATATTTGCATTGAGTTTAAGAGGATATAGTTACATGGCTCACATTTCTTTTATATATGTCTATGTTATCGTTAGTTGCCTAGTGCAGGAGTGGGGTCTGGAAATACTTCTACTGCTGATAGTGTTGACTGTGTAGCATTGCATCACGTCACAAAGGGCTAGGTTGTATTGTAGTATGAATGTGTCCTGTGGTGCTTGGCACAGGAAGTATGCAGTAGTAGAAGATAACTGAATGAAGCCAGAAGCTTTGTGCAAAATGTTTCCCAAAATCAAATGTATAAAATTTGGTCCTTATCAACACCTGGTCAAAACAGAAGTTCCTTCCTTCAGAGTATACAATTATAATTGATGCATATGTTTTGAAAGAAATTGTTCAAAATATCATCTACTGGAATTACTGTGTATTTAAGGCACAACCCTGAATCTGTACTAAAAATAGTGCATACTTCCGTGTGTGGTGTCACATGCTTTAGGCATCCCAACAAGTGGTGATAATAAACAAAAAGAAACATATTTTGATTAACTATACTGGAGGAAAGATTGAGGCATCTGTGTATTCTCTAAATGGACAAAAATATAGAATTGCTGTCATATGAAGATTCAATCAAACAGCATGCAGACGAAAAATGCAGGAAAGGTTACAGTGGTGTGAAAGGGAATTCATGCAAATATTACAGTATTTTCCAAAACTTTCATGATAATTTAAATTTGTCTGTTTGATAGGCTGAATATGACCCCAAAAGACATCTGGGTCTGGATCGCTGGAGCCTGTGAATCTTACGTCATATGGCAATAGAAACTTTGCGGATGTGATTAAATTAAGGATATTTGAAATGGGAAAATATCCTGGCTTATCCAGGCAAGCTCTGAATGCATCACAAATGTCTGTAGGAGAGAGGCAGAGTGAAATTTGACACAGAAAAAGGAGTAAGTAATGACTCAAATACCCTGTTATGCTGTTGGCTTTGAGGATGAAGGAAGGAAATACAGGTCAAAAAATGCAAAGAATGCCCTTCTAGAATCTGGAAAATGCAAGGAAACTGATTTTCTCTTACATCATGGCCCTGCCCATACCTTAACTTAAGTGAGAAACTTGTTTAGGACTTTTGGCCTCTAGAACTATAAGATAATAAATTTTAATTGTTTTATGCCAATAAGTTTGAAGTAATTTGTTATAGCAGCAATGGAATACTAATATACTTCTTTAAGTATACCAGCAATGGAATACTAATATACTTCTTTAAAATTTTTGTATAAAGACTTGGGATTTGATTTTCTCTTTCAAAATAAATATTGAAAGTTGTTTCAAATTTACTAATTTTGTATACTTTTTCTTAAAGATGGCTTCACAAATGGTTTCTTAACTAACAAAAGCTGTCTCCAATCCTGGATAAAGTTGTATAGGTACTTTATGACCATCTACTGATATTCATCAACATTATTAAGGAAGTTGTTAATATAAATAAATGCTAAATGCCTTTTTAATGCCAGCCACTGTGCTAGTCATGATGGAGAACAATGCAGTCATAACTCATGATTGAATGTCTATTGTGTTAGGTCCTGCAGAGGATATTGAGTCATAAGTTTATTTGATATGTAAGTGATTGTGACATTTGGAAGCCCTATATTGTATTGAGCAAACTACTTAATTGCTTTGAGATTGACTTTCTTCATCATGAAAATGAAAAAAATCAAATTGAAAGAAATTACCATTCTACCTTCTGTCATGTTACTAAATATTTATTTGCTATTTTTAGACTCCTTAAAATACAAGTGTATACAGCACTTTGTCAGGCCAAGGAAGGCAGATGTCTTGAGGTCAGGAGTTTGAGACCAGCCTGGCCAACATGGCGAAACCCCATCTCTACTAAAAATACAGAAATTACTCGGGCATGGTGGCATGCATCTGCAATCCCAGCTACTCAGGAGGCTGAGGCAGGAGAATCGTTTGAACCCCAGAGGCTGAGGTTGCAGTGAGCCAAGATCGTACCACTGCACTCCAGCCTGGGCAACAGACTTTGTCTCAAAAAAAGAAAAAAAAGCAATTGTATAAAAAGATAATGTAATATTAATAATTCTTTAGAGAAAGTTTTCTAAAACATAACATACCATTTTATTCTTATAGTATATCAGAGAAATCATAGTATGTAATATTTATAAAGCAATCTGAACTATTAAGAATATAAAATTCAAAATTAATAAGGTATTTTATAGATGGAGAAAGCCATCTTTCTCACGCTTGTGCTCTCATTCTCTTTTCTCTCTTTCATATTTTCCTGCTCTTCCTCAGGGAAATGTAGTCACAAAACCTCTTATAAGAATTATGCACAATAGCATGATTTTGAGTGGTCATTGTTTAGAATTTCTATTTTATCATGTAATTAGGACCACTTGACATTTGCTTGACATAAAAAAGAAAGGAAATAAATTAAAGCTAATGACAGTAAAGGAGAATGATGTTTCTCAAATTAGTTCTTAATTTCTCTTTTATCAGAAGTGCACTAATAAGAAACCTTAAGTAAGTTCCAGTATGATTGCTGTATCTGATGTTTCCCTTCCCAGGAGTAGAAATAACAAAATTGTTATTTGATGATTTTAAAAAATTTAATGGGAAAGTTTATTGCTATATGTATATTTCTGGGCATATATATATATACACACACACACACACACACACACACACACATACACACACACATACACACATAAATTTTTGTGTGTCTATGTGTATGTACATCACATACATATACACAAATACACACACAGATATACAAGTAATGTAGAAAATAGCTCTCTCTTAAGGGAAGAGCTGTTGCTATATTAACCAAAATTTAGCTCCTTCTTTACTTTCAAACTTTAAAAATATCTCAGTGTCTGAATTGATGTAAAATAATAATTGATTTTTTAAATTTTACAAATCTTGTTAAATATTAAGGATAAGATTAACATTCTTTTGCTTTGTAATAGAAAAATATCTTCTGATTTAAGAAATGAAGGCCAGGCATGGTGGCTCATGCCTGTAATCCCAGTACTTTGGGAGGCCAAGGTGGGTGGATCACTTGAGGTCAGCAGTTTGAGACCAGCCTGGCCAACATGGCAAAACCCTGTCTCTACTAAAAAATACAAAAATTACTTGGGCGTGGTAGCACGTGCCTGTCACCCCAGTTACTCCGGAGACTGAGGCACCAGAATCACTTGAACCTGGGAGGCAGATGTTGCAGTGAGCCAAGATCGTGCCAGGGCACTCCAGCCTGGGTGACAGAAGGAGACTCTGTCTCAAACAAAAAAAGAAGAAAATATTACCTTTTGTTAAGCATTTTATGGGCATTTTAACATGTCAAAATATGGTAACTTAATTAAAAGGTTTAAGAGATCATGGCAATGCTGTGTTGTTTTTCATATTAGGTGATATTTAACAGGAAATCTTAGTGAGTTGTATTTTCATTGATGCTTCTTAAAATAGAGCTGAGGTGGGGTATACTTATTTTTTCTTTTCTATACTACATTCATACAAATTGCACAATTACTAAATGCACAATAATGCCAAAGAAAGAGGTACATGTTATTAAACTACAAATTAAATGTAGATTTGCTGTAAAAACTTTTGTTATGAGAATGAATGTGTGTGTGCATAAACTTGAGTTACTAAATACTAGAAGGGGAATTTCCCTTTTTTAGAAAAGAGAATTTCGATGGTAACTTAGATCGAAGTCTGAAAATTAAAGTAATACAACAGTTAGAAGAAATCAACTTCATGGCCTTCAAGTGAGCAGGTATTTCGTAAACAGGTCACAAAACTCTAACCAGAGAAGAAAAAGTGCATAAATTGGACTATATTAAGCATAAGAACTTCTGTTCTTCAAAATACTTCAGCATATGAATGAAAAAGCAATGCAGGGGTGACAGCACTTCATGATATATATAACTGACAAAAGATGTAGATCCAGATAATAAAAAGGCATCATACAATTCATTAAGAAAAAGACAATTGAATAGTAAGTGGACAGACATCTTGACCAGACACTACACACAACACACAGACACACACACACAGTCAGAATTGCTAATAAACCTCAGAAATGGTGCTCAACTTCATTAGTTATTCTGGAAGTGGAAATTAGAAACACAATGCAGTACCAACTGCACACTTACCAGAACAGTTAAAATTAAAAAGGTAGAATGTCTCAAGTATTTGGTGAAGATGTTGAACAAGTTACACCATAGAAGTGTAACTTAGTAAAATAGAAAAACTTTTTGGAAGTTTTCATAAATGTAAACATACATCTACCATATTCCACAGCAATTGAACTTCTAGGTATATTCCTAACAGAAGTGTACCCAAATATTTACCAAAAGACATTGACTAGAATCTTAATAGCTGCATTAATTACAATAGCAAGAAATTGGAAACCACCAAAATAACTAATCTAGAGTATAATGGAATAGTCTCCAGGAATGAGAATAAATGATCTAAAGCAAAAAGAATATGAAAGAATTTCACAAATCTAATTTTTCACAAAAAAGCCAGAAAAAAATAAGTATTATTACATTGCCTCAAAATACAAAAGCAAACACAATTAATTTATGGCATCAGAGATCAGGCTAGTGGTCGTGGGGCAGAGAGGAAATCAGGTAGGTTTTTAATCTACGTCTGATTACAATGGTAAATTTGACTTGCAAAAAATCATCAGGATGCATAATTATGTGCACTTTATTACGCATATATTTTATTTCAATAAACAAAATTTAAAAATGTATTTATATTCCCTAAGTCAATTCCTATTTCCAATAAAGTATGAAATGAAACAATAAAAAACTCAAGATATAAAAGTAATTTTTTTTCCTTGCTCCTTCCTGTTATTTTCTCTTTAGTGTTCAGTTTGGCTATAGTCCCATGTGTTCAAGTCTGCCAAACATCATAATGATTCAAGGCAAAATGTTCAATCCAGACATGGGATTTCAAAGCTGAAGAAAAAGAACTTCTGAACAAATGACTCTTTCCATAAGAGTCCATCCTATATTGAATATAAGGGCTGACTTTTTCATTGTAAGTCAACAAATGGTGAGAGCCTTCTACATGTAAAGTAAATTAAAAATTACCAATTGAGAATGTCAGCTTTGAAATTACTTAAAGACATTTTCTAGATGAAATCATCAGTTTTAACATGCCTCCTGTTTTTAAGGTTTTTTTACTTGTCTTTTGTTTTATCTTTCATAATGTGAAATGTCTACTGTTATGAAACAAATGCTGAGCTCAGGAAACCCCTTCAAGAATATTGTCTAACTTCTAGCAAATGATTTTTGACACAGTTTTCTGGTCTAGTTATTCTAAGTATCCTTTCAACTGCTTATTATTTAAATTGTCAGAAAAGACTGTAATTATTCAGGTAGGATACACAGAAGGTCATAAGCATCCTATTGCATCTTCATTTATAAATTGTTTTTAATGATCTACAAAGTTCTAAGTTTTTACGTGAAGTAAAATTCTCACCTATAATAATGCACAAGAGAAAAATACATTAGTTACTTAAGAGGAACAATTTGCATCCCTACTCAGTAACTCCAAGTTCAGATGTTTGGCTGGCCCCTGCTCACCTTCCCAACCAGACCAAGGTGGAACTGGACCCATCCTCCCAGTTGTCCTAACTGGATTTTGGGGAATTGCTCTTTTTCTAAATATAACAGGAGCAGCTTGGCTCTGTTTTTGGACCTAGACACTCATAAAGCTCTTTGGCCTTGTTTTCTGATGACAACCGGGTGGCCTGAGAGGTTAATGTACTTACAAAAGTGGCTAAATGCCTCAGAATGTTAGAATGGCAACATGGAGAGCACTTGATTATCACTAACCCCACCCCCACCTGAGTGTTGGTCATATCCTCTGGAGATTCACAAGCTAAATAATGCAATTTGTTAAAAAAAGATTTCCTCCTAGTAAAATAAACTCTATGTTGAAAGTATTTGGACGTTGTGAACAATTCGCTACATTTTATTATTTTAATAGTTTATAGAAGGTCATTAGAAACTGTACATCATTTTTCTTCTTGTTACATTTCATTTTACTCTGCTTTAAAATTTCATTATTTTCTGTGTCAGTGGAAAAAAGTTAACATTTACTGGCCCTTCTGTTAGATGTGTTCTGTTCTCTTGCCCTGCCTCCCTAACAGTTCAGCCAGAGTCCACAGTAGACTTAAAACAAGGAACACGAGTTTGACTTTTGTATTAGTCCGTTTTCACATTGCTATAAAGAACTACCTGAGACTGGGTAATTTATAAAGGTAAGAGCTTTAACAGACTCACAGTTTCACAGGCTGTACAGGAGGCATGGCTGGGGAGGTCTCAGGAAACTTGCAATCATGGCGAGAGGCGAAGGGGAAGCAGGCACAATCTTCACATGGCAGAGTAGAAAACAGAAAGAGCAAAGGGGGAAGTGGTACCCACTTTCAAACAACCAGATATCATGAGAACTCACTATCACGAGAACAGCAAGAGGGGAAATCTTCCCTCATGAGCCAATCACCTCCCACCAGATCACTCCCCCAACATTGGAGATTACAATTCAACAGGAGATTTGGGTGGGGACACAAAGCCAAACCATGTCAACTTTCATTTACTCCCTCAATCTGAGACACTTCCTGCCATTCAGGCACACAAAACACACAAAACAAGTGTGATTCTGGAGGCTGGCACATTCAATCCCACAACTCAATCCATCATCACTGAGGAAAACACAATTTCCTAGTCTTACCTAAGGACAGCAGAAGTGGCATTTTCTAAATTTACTTGAGGATACTCAGATCTAGAAAAAAGAAATTCATCAGTTATTTCTCTCATTCTTTCATGCAACTCTTCCCTTTGAAACATTAATCTCTTGATGTAATACATTTTTTCTGTTCTTCAAGTCTGTCTTTGCTTGTTAATACCAAATTTTTGGTCGGAAGCATTAAAATGTGCTACTTTGACACCCCTTCCCTTGAGCCTTTTAAGATCTTAAAGCACATGCAAAGACTTATGCCAGATGAATCAAATTCATCCTTTTATCTTAAGAAATAATCATCCACATTCTGAAAGACTCACTATTAAATCCTAATGCATAAATAGTGTTTTTTAGTTAACAGTGGACTTTTACATGTAATCTCATTTTTGTTTTTATTCTCATAATTACTTGGGTATTTCTTTTTACAGGGAAGCTGTGATTATTTATATTTTCAATAAAAGAAAATGAACATAATTTGAAGTGCTCTCTGATCCACCTTTGAATCCAATGGGTGCTATTATCTAGACCATGCTGCTCTAGAAAATTTGTATACCTAAAAGCCTTATGTTGTAAGATCCTTAAGGGCATGAACTGAGTATATTGGAAGTTAGCCTAGGATGTGGCACATAATATGGGTTTGTGAATGAGTTCTAAATATAATAAACAAGTTGGTCAAAGGCATCAGATAGTAAGTGGCAGAAGTATTATTTAAATTTGGTCATTTGAGCTCGGCATTGAAATGTATTCTTGCCCAATCCTATGAATAGGCAACAAGCCACCTGGTTAAGCCCTCTGTCTTAAATTACAAATGTTTTAGACAATCTATGTAGCCAAATGACAATAGCCATGAGATTAAAAAAAAAAAAAGCAGCAGTTTCTTTGAAAAAAAATTACATTTTGTCTTGATTTTCACTTCCTAATTGAGCAGGTCACCTACCCACTTCATCATTATTTATCTTAGCAGAAAGCACTTACAACTCTTGCTATTGCCTTTTTAAATTTAAGCTTTTAACTTAAATTTTAACTTTTCAGAAAATATGTCTAGAAATAGTATTGTTATTATCATCACAAATGAAAGATGCATACCAGCTGACTTGTAAGAATTTGGGGGTGAAATTTTGCATGAGTTGAAAGAGAAGCTCAAAGTGAATTTACAAATAAGAGCCTTAATAATGCCTGTTTATGAAGATAATTCAATGGGCAAACTAATTTCCTTTCCCAATAAAGTAAAAAAGAAAGAAAATGAGGTAAAACAATTGTTGACTAGCTTGAAAGAATAAAGTGTCGGTTGAATGAACTTTGAGATTAATGCTGAATTCATAAGAATTACAATTTTTTTCTCTATTAAAAGCAAGAGTGGAATCAAAATGACATGGTTTTGCTCTGTAATTCATAAACTTTTAGAACATTGTGTTTTGAAACTGAATGTAGTTTGGAACAGTGTTATAGCATCACATATATGCATCACATATATGCATTTTATTCAGGAAATCTTTCAATAATTGTTTGCATTAAGACACCCAGATCCTTATGGTTTAAACAAACAAACAAAAAAAGGAACTCCACAATTTATACCACAGATAGTGTTAATATGTGGAAACGAAGAACATTATATTTCAGACATGAACCTAGTATGTTTCATTGGTGGTGGAGGAAGTGTCTGATCAAGGCTATTTTATGTATATTTACAACCACAGAGCTGAAGTAAACCTTGCAGAGTCATCTGGTCCAGTTCTTTGCCTTGAAGCAGAAGTATATCACTGGAGCAGGCAAAAATCGATAATGTCTATTAACACTCCCAGAGAAGAGCAACCCAAGCCTTCTTCATAACCTTTGAATATTTTTTTTCTTGTGGCCATTTAAAATGGTTGAAATCCATGTGGTTTTCTGAAGCCTTGAGGTTTCTTTAGGAGACTTGAACAAATAAGCTTCTGAAACAAGTCAGCCTCCTTTAAGGATATTTTTGATAAAAGGTCTAAAGATTACTTTAAAATATTCAACTAAAGGGGCAGCACATAATTTTTAAAAGCCAAACACCATATCATTACCATACTTACATAAAAAGTGCTCAAATAATGTTACTACTAAAATAGTTTATTCATTCTGTAAAAGAGAACCCAATCTAATGATTGATAGAAAAAATGTAATGGGTACAATTGTATTGGTCGTTAGGTCAGGGAGGCCATTGAAATAAAATAAGGCTACTCATCCTAAAACGGAAAAAGTTCGCTTTTCCCCCTCACAGGGCGTGCGATGGGGATGTGGCTCGCTTCTTCAGTGCCCAGCTGCTCAATCCTCTAGGGGAGCACACAGACGGACAGGCTGTGGGGCTCCGACCCTATGGCACTGTCTAGGGGTGAATATTTACAGCTCTTGAAGCCCCAGTGGGCGTGTGTTACAGGGTGCTCTTTTAATTTGCCATCTATAGGCGCTTGTGTTAGCTCAATTAGACCCTCCACCTTGTTGCAAGGACATAGGGCTTTCTGCATCCTGGGGTTTCCTTGCCTTGGTATACCAGAAGAATCGGAACACACTCGGGCTTGGAGAATGAGTACAAGGTTTTATTGAGTGGAGGTAACTCTCCGCAAATGGGGAAGCCGGAAGAGAGATGGTTTTCCCCTGGAGTCAGGCCAGTTGGTGGCCTGGGATCTCCTCTGACAGCCCCGGCCAAATTCTGCCTCATTCTGCAGGTCAGTGGCCTGCCGGCACGCCAACGCGTTCATCTTCACGTCCAGCCGCCTGTGTGTTCCTCCTCTCCAGCCACTTCTGTCTCTGCCTTGGTAGGATCTTGGGTTGTTATAGGCACAGGATGGGGGCATGGCAGGCCAGGGTGGTCTTCGGAAATGCAATATTTGGGCAGGAAATGCCTATCCTCAACTGGGTCCATAAGGGTGGAGCCCTAGGCAGGGGTGACCACACCTTTCTCTACCCAGCACTTCCCTTCCATGTCATTTAAAGGGACCATGCTCTTCTTTTCTCAGCTTTTCTCTTCCCAGCACTTCTTATCAATTCTTTACTTCAATAAAGCCCTTTTCCATTTGGGATATGTCATTGGAGAAAACTGTTTACTCAACCACATAAAATGTTTTAAAAAATCACCAATAATTTATCATTGCTTTTTATAAAAGCTTATAGGTTGTGAGCATATTTAAGCTCAGATTTATAAGTTTTAACAAATAAAGAATTATTCTGAGATCCTGAGCTAAGATTATCTTTATGCCCAATATATTACACATATTTCCTATCTTCAAAATGAGTGAATCATAACTTTTAATTTTGCTTTTCTTTTCTAAACTGTGCCACCATTGTTCTTATCTTTATTCCACATCTTCTTCCTTCTCCATAGAGCCCTTCCCACAACAAGCACAAATGTATAGACTTACTGTATTTTATGGCATATATATTTGCCAAATGAATGATGTAATAAATGGATTGTGTAATTTAAATGTGTTAAATTTTGCAGCTTTTTTTTATAACAGTCTCCATGATGTTTGAAACCATCTGTGACAGGCTTACTTCAGATACAGCACAACCATAGATTTAGCATGCAGGATTCTATAATGCACTCAACATTTACAAATATTTTCATTTCTCCTGGTATTTTTCATATTCATTTTCTTTAACTTATGGTAAGCATTTTGTTATAAACCTATTTCAGTTGATTTTTTTCCTTTGCTGTTTTTGTCATGATGAAAGTTTTCAAACATATATAAAAGTAGAGAAAAGAGTATCACTGTAGTCATCATTCATCATTAACCTCAATAATTACCAGCATATATTATGTTACCCTCACTTGCTCCCCCATGCAGTATAATATTAAAGCATATACAAAGTATTATATTATTATCTCTATGATCTTTAATCAGAATTTTCTTAATGACAATTAGGTTAATGCCTCATGCTTCAAAATGATATTTCTGTGAAAATTGGTAATATCCTTAATAATGCAGCTTCATCTATAATCCTAGAATTGACTATGGGTAATGAGTAAGAAATAAAAAGTATCAAAACTCTTGGACATTACCTGATAAGGATATGTGTGATGATCATGTCTTGTACAATAGGATTGCAGAAGAAATGTAGATGGAATTTCTGGACCATAGATATCTAACAAACAAGTAGGAAAATAATTCAGATTTAATTTGGGAATGTATTGTGTTCATACCGCATAAATTTCTTTGATATAAAAGTAGCAAGAAATTGATATTTGATAAGCCCCTTGTATTCACATCCATAAATGTGAGAAAATTATCAGCAAATCATCTACAAGAAATACAGGAAGAAAATATAACTCTTATGGCATAGGGAACTTAAAGCAAAACAGCTTTCAAACACTATAACAAAAAGAACACCAAGAATGAAAAAGTTTAAAAGAGAAGTAGTTTTTCACATAATTAGAGAAAAACAATTGGTTAAATAGAAAAAAATAAAAACCCAGAAAATATAGTTTAAATATTACAGAAAACATCACAACTTAATAAAGTGATTTTGGAAAATCTCTAGGAAAGTATTGAAAATTATTCCCAATCTTCTCTGAACATATACATAAGTGTTCATTTAGTCATCTTGCTTTTGCTTTGACACAGCTCAGCCTGGGCAACTGTGGCATATTACATCAGAGAAAGTGACACTCACATAACATGAGAAGGTGAAGCTCAGTAAGCCCTGGCTCAGTATATTGGAATCTCCTCCAATGGCATATAAGTAGTTAGATAGTCAAACCTCAATATCACAGTAAAAAGGTGATTTCTAATACCGACTTTGAAGAAAATAAAAGTAAGTCCTAATTAAGAGAAATATTTCAATATGTAGGGGACATAGGTAATAATACATTAATAATTTTAGTACAATTTTATATACACATACATTACTAGATGATTAGAAATCTGGATTTTCCTTTGCAAAGAGGTGTTTCCATATGCTGCCACTGGTATCATGAACTAACACACTAAGTGTTTTTAATTTAAGAGCTTAATATATCTAAAAGATATTCTCTATAGAGAGATCCATGAATATATGCTGTTTTTTAGCAAAGTGTATCATGCTGTGATTAAACTTTCTTTCCAAAATGAATAATGGAAATTACTCCAGAATTTTGAAACAACCAGTATCCCAAAGTTCATTGATTTCTGTAAAGCTTTTAAAAGCCCCTTTCCATTAACATTATTCAGGGAAGCTATTATCCTTTCCACTGAAGTTGTATTTTGAGGAATGTAATGGAGATCCGTGGAAGAGATTAAATGAGGATTCAATGATAAGACAGCAGCATATTTTTACCTTTCCTTTTTTATCATTTCATTTCAGATATTGTGAGTACAACTTTGTGGAAGTTAAAATGCTTCTCCTGTTTCCAATAATAAAATTCCAGTGAAAATGTGGGATACTACCTTCATCATGTCATCTTTTGGCCCATACTGAAATTTAAGGGACTTTTCTGAACTCTATTTCTAATTAATGAAAGGTAAGGTTTTTAATGAAAATAATAACTACCTTTTATAATTTAGTGCCAGTTATAATCTATATATGTAATATATATAATATTTATACATTGTATTTACTATATGTATAATACAAACAATATAATATTTATACACATGCACAAAATATATACAAGGCATACCCTCATGGATAGAAAAGATTAAAATTGGCACTAAATAAATGGTACTTACACACCTACACATTTACAATACTTCAAAGCTATTATTATCTCAATTTTCCAGATGCAAAAACTAAAGCTTAGGAAATTAACGAACTTGCTCAACACCATGTACCATTTAAGTGGTAGACGTAAATTAATAAAATCCTACTTTGTTACCTTCATAGCCCAAACCTCCCTCAGTACAATAGAAGGAATTGGGCTAACCCTTAGGACAAATAAAACTTGTTAACAGTTTTCATATATCTATCATTTTCTCATTTTTTATTTTTTGAAATGAATGAAAACAACTACAGGGCCTACAACTCTAGGAAACTTTGTCCATCATCTTGCCGTAATGGAATTTTTTTTAGCAATGTTCTATTCAAAAGAATATACTATTATGCTTGGCTGTAGGAGAACAAACAAACAACATAAAACAAATACATACATACAAAAAAGAAACAAACAAAAAACCTTAGGAGCTAGTAGTAGGATAAGCTGAGTCTTTTTCCTTCACTGATTAACATCAAAGGAAAAACATTGATTTATAATGTGAGAATTTTTCACTAGATGGAAAGCAGAAATCAAGAGCTTCCTCCCTCACCCAATGCTGATAATCTGTGAGTACACACTGGTACAGCCATATAGCTAAAATATTTAAATCCCATCATGCACATTGTAAAATGAGCTCGGTCCTGAGCCCCCAGGCAGAATTCTGCCCCGCCAGCCCTTTTCCTAACTAGTAACTAAAGAATAAATGAACCCTGGCAGGCACAGGGTACTTGGGACCCTGTTCTAGCCTCTGGTCATGTCTACTCTGATTGATCCATGTCCAGGCATACTGGTGGTTTTGTGATTTGAAAGTCACAGCTGCTCTCAGCACAGATTGAATCACTTCAGGAGAAATAAACAGTTAAATAAATATGAAGGGAAATTTTAACTGATCATTGGATAAAATGAGGCTTAGCACAAAAGCAATGAAAGAAATTTCAAAGAGAAACATCAATAGCTTTGACAGTCTTTCAAACAAGTTTTACATACAAAATTAAATGATGCAGTGGAAAATATGTATGAAAAACAAATATAATAGAAAAAGTATGAATATATAAAATTCATATCTTAAATGTGAAAGTAATTGAACAACTTAAAAGGTAAAGGAAAACTGGAAACATATACAGTTTTCTTAAAAGTACAAATAAACAAGAAATACATTTTAAGAATTACAAGTGTATCTTTTTTTAACTTAAAAAATGTAGCATAATTGATCTCTTAATAGTGAAATCCTCCAATTTGAAGCGATTCAAACATTTCCTTTACAAATGACAATGGGATACTAAACCCACAGATATGTAATATTTCTTGGCAGTGACATTAAAATACATTTATAGCTTTTAAAGAGGTTTTATATTTTTCTAATTGTCCAGGGGTAGTTATGCTAGTTAAAGCTGTAGCCATATAAATCATGATTGAAGATGTTACTGTCTATAAGATCAAACAAATTTGCAGGTGAACTCATTGAAAGACCTCTATTTCTGTATCATACATGATTCTTAATATTCTGTTCAAAATTAAGGTGCATTCTCAAGCCAAATTAGATGTTAATTACGATAATTATATTAAGTATGATTAAACTTTTTTCTTGATTCTAATTTTCTGTTTAAAGTTTGCTATATCAACCTTATTATGCAGGTACTTACGGTTATTTTACATGTCCTTTGGAAAGAATCGTGATGTACATTCAGATGCATAAATTAAATTAGGATAAAGTTTGGAACATTATATTATTAATTATTTGCAGAACAACTAGGTGGTCAAAATTGTCTTAGCTTTAGGGTTATTCTCAAGTAGTTTGCAGTGAAGATTTTTAAAAGGATCTTGTGCCATATCTGGTGCTTCTTTCCAATGGAGTATCATCATATAAATATACTGTTTTGGAATTACAATTGCATTTCTTTTAGCAATAGAGGTGCAAATTATTCACATTTGAACCACAATGCACACACTTCTTAAAAGCCCATTTAAAAATTATGCTTTTAAAAAGGTTGTTAGTGGAAATATGCATCACTTTATAATTAACCAAACCTACAACAAATTAATGTGCTGATTGTGAAGGCAAAATAACGCTAATCTATAATTACAATCAAGAATAGCAGAAACTGAAAACCATAGCCAACTCAAGATAAAATTTTTATGAAATGCAGAATCCAGAAGGACTTTTTAGTTGAATCCAAAGTAAACCAGACAAATGTGCCCATATTATATCCTTTCTAAATTTTGGTAAGTCTTCATCGTTTTTTTAATAGTTTATTAGTTGTTTGTATATAAAACAAAATTATATGTGGTTTTCTGTCATGTTTTCAACAATGAATGAAAAAAGATCTTGAATGTTAAGCTTGAAAACTCCCACTGGCAGAGCACTAGTTACTCCATGCTAAGAATCATATTATAAAAGTTACTACTAAAGGACAAAACAAACAAACTAACTGGCAAAACAAAAGAAAACAATATGCTCTAAATCCCACGATGTCAATTTGTCCTGGCACTTTCATTTTCACCTCTATACATTGAGGTTATTTCATTGATCATTTATCTTCCTAGAAAGAGAAATATTATTACATAGATGCCTGTGTTTATAAGATGGCATTGACTTGTAATTTTTATTGGCAAAGGGTAGACATTAGAGAATTCTAGCTGATCATTTGCAATAAATATACATTCTGTATGTTGGAGTTAGCAAAATAGTTAAATAATCTAGATTGCTTAGGTTCAAATATCATTTCCTCAGATTATTGACTGTAACCTTATCTATGCCTCAATTTCCTCATTTTCAGAGGATAATAATCATATCTATTTCCTAAAATGACCATGAGAATTAAATGGGAGAACATACTTAGTATTTTATGTGGTATATGACACATAGTAAGGATTCAAACATTTTTCTATTATTGTTGTATATGGCTCTGTAATTATTTTCTACCCCTGCATGAAAAAAAAGTCATAGAAAAACTGCATAAATGTTTCACATTAAAACATTGAATGCTTCTTCTTGCTCACTCCAAAAGCTCTTTGTTTAAACATCTTGCCACATTAGAGAATCAATATGTTTTATAAATTGTTTTGACTCTGCTTTAGTTTTGAATAAGAGTTCATAAAGAAGATGTTATCATGTTTCTTAATGTGAAAGAGATGCTAATCATTTATATAATTGTTAAATATTCTAAAAGCATTTCTAGTGGTTTTACATGAACTAAGAACAAGGGTTAGAGCACACACATGCCAGCCTGATAGAAATTCACAATATCACTTTCTCTCATTCACTCACACATATCCTTAATATTCTATATCAAGCTCAAGAAATGAAATTTGCGTAATTCAATCCTATGATAATAATTTCTCTCAGATGAGATAATTTATCATAGAATGAATAAATCAATGTTTCTTTTGCAAATTAAATACTTAGAGTTTTGTGCTTGGAAAAGTGCCCTTTCCGGGCAATACATTTACTGGCACATAATTCCTTGTGGGCCCCTATGTAGCAACTTTTCAAATTCATTGTTAGATTCAGTTTGAGGAAAGCTTTGTATTCAGAGTGGTTCTTTTTCTAAGATGGGAATAATCTGTGACAATAAAGCCATTAGCATAATGGGTTGTATAATAGATTTTCAATAAATCAATGAAGGATTGAATGATTTGGTTGGCTGGAAGAGAAGGTGTAAGAGAAAGAATATCCATAAGAGCAGATTACCTTTCTGTGAGAAAATACAAGCAAATATTTTTGATACAGAGACTATATATTATTAAAGTTTATAATTAAGGGTTATGTGCCTAAAATATTCCTTATTATTAGAGTGGAAAGTAATTTATTTAGTTATATATTTTATTTTTATTTAATGCTTATTGGCTATTTGGTTTATTCATTACAAAAAAATTGGCAAGAAAATCACATAATTTTTTAAAAACAATATAGAAAATTAAAAGTACAATTTTATAATATAGGGTAGACTTTATATAATTATATAACCTCTTTCACAATCCAGGAAGTTGCATTTGCTCCCTATCGTGTGGATAAAGGAAATAACTAGTAAGTAGATATGGTGTTAGTGGTCACTTATCCAGATGTTCCCAAAAGGTGGTCAAAAGGAACTGCTAGAAGATTGGCTGCATACGTATCAAACCTCCCTTAAAAAAATTATAGGATAAAAATATGTATATTTTGCTCCTACTAAGTCCTTCTAAAAAATGATAAGCAGTCTAACAATTTTTTTTTAACAAGAAAGAAACTTGGAACCCCTAAGACATTAAGAGGTTTGTTTAAATTCATGAACTTACTTAGGAGCAGAACAACTCAAAACAATTAATAATCTCATTCTATTGCCAAATAACAACCTTTTATCATTACATTTCTCACAAAATTAATATTTGTGTTATCTTCAATGCATGCATCTTTTTGCAGTGTTTATAACACAAATACTTTGCAAAGAAAAATAGAAGTTCTTTGAAGACAAGGAGTGTTTTTATTTATTTATTTATTTATTTATTTATTTATTTATTTATTCATTTTTTGAGACAGTCTCACTATGTCGCCCAGGCTGGAATGCAGTGGCGAGATCTCGGCTCACTGCAAACTCCGCCTCATGGGTTCACGCCATTTTCCTGCCTCAGCCTCCCGAGTAACTGGGACTACAGGCGCTCACCACCAGGACCAGCTAATTTTTGTATTTTTAATAGAGACGGGGTATCACCATGTTAGCCAAGATGGTCTCAATCTCCTGACATCATGATCTGTTCGACTCGGCCTCCCAAAGTGCTGGGATTACAGGCATGAGCCACCGCACTCAGCTGAGTTTTTTTTACTCTTCTTCATACCCTTGGTACCAAGGATAATGTTGAATTAAAAAAAAATGAATTTTCACCTTGAATTAAATTGCTCTTTCAGAGATATTGCTCCAGAAAAAAAATGGATTCAATACTACTATACTATTGTGTCCGGAATTGGTGGGTTCTTGGTCTCACTGACTTCAAGAATGAAGCCGTGGACCCTCGCGGTGAGTGTTACAGCTCTTAAGGTGGCGCGGCTGGAGTTTGTGCCTTCTGATGTTTGGATGTGTTTGGAGTTTCTTTCTTCTGGTGGGTTCGTGGTCTCGCTGGCTCAGGAGTGAAGCTGGGGACCTTCCCAGTGAGTGTTACAGCTCTTAAGGTGGCACATCTGGAGTTGTTCGTTCCTCCCAGTGGATTCGTAGTCTTGCTGGCTTCAAGAGTGAAGCTGCAGACCTTCGTGGTGAGTGTTACAGCTTATAAAGGCAGTGTGGACCCAAAGAGTGAGCAATAGCAAGATTTATTGCAAAGAGCGAAAGAACAAAGCTTTCTCAGTGTGGAAGGGGACCCCAGCGGGTTGCCACTGCTGGCTAGGGCAGCCTGCTTTTATTCTCTTATCTGCCCCTACCCACATCCTGCTGATTGGTAGAACCCAATGGTCTGTTTTGACAGGGTGCTGATTAGTGCGTTTACAATCCCTGAGCTAGACACAAAAGTTCTCTACCTCCCCACCAGATTAGCTAGATACACGGTGTGGACACAAAGGTTCTCCAAGTCCCCACCAGAGTAGCTAGATACAGTGTCGATTAGTGCATTCACAAACCCTGAGCTAGACACAGGGTGCCGATTGGTGTGTTTACAAACCTTGAGCTAGATACAGAGTGCCGATTGGTGTATTTACAATCCCTTAGCTAGACATAAAGGTTCTCCAAGTTCCTACCAGTCAGGAACCCAGCTGGCTTCACCCAGTGGATCCCGCACAGGGGCTGTAGGTGGAGCTGCCTGCCAGTCCCGCGCCGTGTACCCGTCAGCCCTTGGGTGGTCGATGGGACTGGGCGCTGTGGAGCAGGGGACTGCGCTCCTCAGGGAGGCTCCGGCCGCACAGGAGCCCACGGAGGAGCGGTGAGGCTCAAGCATGGCGGGCTGCAGGTCCCGAGCCTTGCCCAGCGGGGAGGCCGCTAAGGCCCGGTGAGAAATTGAGCACAGCAGCTGCTGGCCCAGGTGCTAAGCCCCTCACTGCCCCGGGCGGGCGGGGCCGGCCTGCCGCTCCGAGTGCCGGGCCCGCCAAGGCCACGCCTACGCGGAACTCCAGCTGGCCAGCGAGCGCAGCGCGCAGCCCTTGTTCCCGCTCGCGCCTCTCCCTCCACACCTCCCTGCAAGCTGAGGGAGCCAGCTCCGGCCTTGGCCAGCCCAGAAACGGGCTCCCACAGTGCAGCGGTAGGCTGAACGGCTCCTCAGGTGCCACCAAAGTGGGAGCCCAGGCAGAGGAGGCGCCGAGAGCGAGCGAAGGCTGTGAGGATTGCTAGCACGCTGTCACTTCTCACTATAACAGGTATTTAGAATTAGAATGTTAATAGTTTGGGTGAGTGATTATGCAGCATGGGGGTGGATTTAGTTGCAGCAGGTGTGTAATATTTGAAAGTCCACAAGTAATTCTGACAAATCACCATTGAACTAAGCTTCTCTTCTCTCCTTGAAAATTATTGATTTATAAACAAATGCTTTATTTTGGAATCATGTCAGAAAAAGCAATAGAAATAAAATTTCCTAAATTAATTTCTCTAATTTAAACAAGACTAAAGATATATTTATTTTGCTGTTTATTTCAAAAACTCAGAGCTCTTCCAGTTTATGGACTCCATCCCAAGACACACAAATGAATTTTTTACGAAGTGTTTAATGTGTCTTATCTGTATACTGGAAATCTTATGTCTAGTTTTTTAGTATGTTTCTTTCAAGTAGAATGTACTAATATTTTGAATGGTTTTTGTTCAACTTTTTGCCTTTTCAGACCTTTTCTCTTTTCTTCCTTAGTAATCTAATTTACTCCCTTAGTTGATAACATTTATAGCTGTAACTCTAAGTCAGGTATTTCTATAGCTGTAGACATGCATTATAAACTGAAATTTATAAAGTTCAACTTGTATATTCCAGAGATAATTCTGACTCAAACTGTCCTAAACTAAATTCAGCATTTTTCTTCTATGAACTGTTTGCTTTTGACTTTTCTAGTCCAATCACTGGTGCTATCATCATCCATCTGGTGGATCAAGACAGAAATATAGATCTTTCCTAGAAGTGACACATACTACTCCCAATATTTCCAGTTAATTACCCATATGTTATGTCACCCCATTCTTAAACTTCTTCTTTGGCTTAATGACAAGTCCAAACTCCAAAGCAGGGCTACTGAGAGCCGTTATGAATTTGATGCTGCCTATTTCTTCAGTCTTCTCTTCTGAAAATACAAGTTGTTTCCTTTTCTTGGGAAACTCCAACTCCCTCTATCTCCCAGACAAGTCATTTCTATTTAACATTTAGCCTTCAGATTACCTTCCATTACCTCCAGGCAGACTCCTGCAGGATCAGTGTCTATTCAGTGGATTGATAATGTTGTATTTTATTTCTCAGTTTGTTGGTCAGGATTCTCACCTCTGCTCAAATAAGCCACGTTTCATAGAACAATCTTACTGTAAATGAAATCCATAGCCCCATTACTAGTTTGCAAATGATTAATAATATAAGATTTAAAAAAGTAAAGAAAATCAAAAGTGTTTAGCAACTGTTTTAGCAATTTGACAGAATCATCTTATGTTTGATGGATCATATAAAGAATTGGCTATGTATGTCTATTTCACTTCTTTGGCAGTCTGTTTTTATTGTGTCATACAAAAATGTCAAGTCAGCAAAGGAGTCACTGCCATCAAGGAAGAGCAATGCACTATTATATCACCATAACCCAACACAGGGCTTTACTCACAGTATTTATGTATATTGATTTATTACGTGAATAAAAATATTAATGAAAGTTATATATATCTTAAACCTTACTTAAATTTTGTAACTAAGGCTTAGATGAAGCAGACATGTCAAATATTGAAAACCAAGAAATATGAAACACAACTCTTATGGAATTGCATCTTCTATATTTATGAGTAGTTAGCAACTTTTTCAGTTGCTTACATTACTTTCACAATATTCAAATTGAATAAAATCAAATTTTGAAACAATTCTTGTTCCCAAAAAGTATCATTTGCAGCATTTTATATTCAAGAATATTGTATCTAAAATTATTACAAATTCTTAGGAACATTAAGCACTTTTACTGACCAAAAATACATACTCTGTCTTGAAGATGGACAAAGAAAGAGTCTACATAAAAAGTTTCACATCACTGAGTCTTTCTCCCTGCAGTGTTTTGTTTGTTTGTTTGTTAGTTTGTTGCCTCTAAAGTCTTCTCTCTCCTCTAAACTGTTCCCTCTCACCAATTTTTTTTCTGTCTTAACCAGAAAGCCAGGAAGGAATTTTTTTGAGCAATGCCTTCATAAGAAATGAGTGAGTGTTACTATGTTCATTAGCAGGTAACAAATTAACTTTTGTATTATCAATAACCATAGTGAATTACATAGGTCTGCATTCAGACTACACCTTTAGGAACCAGGCACTTGTTTTTAGCTGCTGTCCGGGTTTTTAGGTATTGATATTTCACAGCTTACTTCCTCCCTAGGAATTGGCCTTTGCTGATCTTGGCTGCCTCACTTGAGGTTTCATCTTATTTCTAGGGATTTTTCAAATCCAAAAATTAGTGATGAATGGGTACAAATGATCAGTTTTACTGCTTCATTTTGCAACAACTCTGCAAGTCCCTCCTAGCTCTTTTGCATATCACGAGATGGACTGAGGTCTTTGTTGCAACTTTATTGCATTACAGCTTCTCCTTCTACGCAAACCTGTTTTCTCCATTCCATACAAGTGTGTTTCTTGAGGACACTCCCTAATAAACCATCTAAGTATATAAATACATCTTAGAAGTTGTTTTCTGGGGGAAACTGATTTAAGAGAATAAATGAAACAATTTACATTGGAGATATATGTATATATATGTATGTGTATATATATACAGTTTACATTGGAGATACATATATATATATACAGTTACATTGGGGATTTATATATTATATATACAGTTTACATTTGAGATATATATATATAAAATATATATACAGGAAGCCATATATGAACATACCATATATAGCCATATATAGAAGCCTGAAGACACATATGTGAAGACACATAAACTGAAATAAGTTTAATAGTACGGTAGATGTCACAAAGGAGAAATATATAAACTAGTGGTTCAAATCTATACCTGGGCTACTCACAAAGTATTAAAATGCAAATAGAATCTCTGTGGAGAAAAACACAACAGTGACTATTTAGTGCAGTGTTTCTGAAACTTTATTAAAACAAAATCACAATGTTGAGAACATGTAACAAATTCAGTTGCTTTGAGGCAGGGCTAAGGAATCTGTGTTTTACCAAAGAACTCAGTAAATTTTGCCTAAGAGTATATAACATGCTCATGAGAGAAACTTTTCATAGCAACTGTAGGCAAAGTCTATTTATGTGTCCTTAGTGTTTAAGCAAAAAAAGGAAACAGGTTTAAAAAAGCAAGAAAGTTAAATGAGGAAAACTATTTTGTGTTTTTTTTTCCCAAAAGAATCATGTAAAATTTTGCATAGCAAAATTTATATAGACCCCCTTTAAAAGTTTTTTCTTTAATGTTAATTAAATGAGATTGACTTGTAAAAATTTACCTCATATTGCAAACTTTTTGAGTACATGCCCTTTGGATTATATGAAAATCACCTCTGGCATTTTGAAGTGAACAGAATTATTGCTTATCTTTGGGAAAAGCCAATATGTTGGTAATGTGTGGAGTTGTGCTTTTTTTAAGCTACAGCATTTGCAATATTAATCATTTTCAGGCTTGCAACTGTTACTTTGTCCTAATGGCAAAACTGCTTGCTTTCATTCCAGATCTTTCCTTGGAATATCAGATATAAATGTATATTTGCCTTCTCTACTTTTCTGAGTACCCCATAGCCTTTTCAAGCTCAGCATATACAAAAGCTTTCCTTATTTTAGTCACCCAAACATGACCTTGTCATATATTTGACCTTTCAGATAATAGTATCTTCATTTACTCAGTAGACCAAGCTCTTTACGAAAACATCTTTTCTTAATTAACTCTACACAGTTTGGTATTAAATTGTTCCTGATGATTTTACTCATACATATCCCTTGGATATAACCCTTCCTTCTTTCCTACTGATACTGACTTGGTCTAGATCTCATTCACTTAGATTTTTGCAGTCATTTACTGGTTTACCTATATTCGTTATCTTCCTTTTAATGTTCCACGTGGCCAAGAGGGTTACATTCCTGAAACTTCTGAATATGCCTCTTCTTTGTTCAAAAAATAAAATTTCTAGTACCTTGGCAGCCTATTCATAAACCTTATCTTACCAACTCTTCAATCTACATTTTACATCAATGCAACTCCAATACTTTGGTTATATAATTCTCTCTTGCCACCTTCCATGTGTAGATATAATATTTAATTTAAATTTAAAATTTTTAAATTTAAAACAGAACTTTAAAAATATTTTAATTGATTCCTTTAAGTATAACAATAAACCACTACATGCTAATATAACTGTTACATAGTTCTGGAAAAGTAACTATGTTTTAAAAAATAATTTAATAAGAAAGGTGGTATGGGTTTTACAAATCTCCTCTATGGCTTGGGAGATGACAACTAGATTCTTCTATTTACTTCTATAGTCAACCTATTGAGATACTTTTTTTTTGGTTAAGGTGTATGATGAAAATATGACCTCACAAAGATATGTAAGTGGAAAAGGGAAGAGTGTTTAATAGTCTTTTCAGATGATCATGGAAATTATTTTTTGATATGATATTGAAACTGTACAAGTGGTGGTTTCTTAAGGCCTAATTATATCTGAACCTATACCAATGAACTTTTCATACACTGAAAATCTATTGACTTATCTTCCCTTTGAATGGATATTTTACCCATAATTATGCATTTGTCATTCAGAAAATATTGGCTCATTTTGTTACACAATTTTTTTCAAATGTTGAAATATTTCATTACAAAATGGTGGCAAATAAAAATTTTCAAAAAAACCTATTTACTTGGAGGCTCAAATTTTATCACTGGGGACAAATCAGGTCTTTTTCTTTTTTTTCCTATGACATGTCCTTCTCAATTCATTCATGTTCAAGAAGTCTGCCAGTATCCAACTCTGAAAAGTGCTACTTTTTCTATCACTCCTCCTTTCAAGTAAAAACAACAGAACAGAGCCCTCAGAAATAATGCCGCATATCTACAACTATCTGATCTTTGACAAACCTGAGAAAAACAAGCAATGGGGAAAGGATTCCCTATTTAATAAATGGTGCTGGGAAAACTGGCTAGCCATATGTAGAAAGCTGAAACTGGATCCCTTCCTTACACCTTATACAAAAATCAATTCAAGATGGATTAAAGATTTAAACGTTAAACCTAAAACCATAAAAACCCTAGAAGAAAACCTAGGCATTACCATTCAGGACATAGGCGTGGGCAAGGACTTCATGTCCAAAACACCAAAAGCAATGGCAACAAAAGCCAAAATTGACAAATGGGATCTAATTAAACTAAAGAGCTTCTGCACAGCAAAAGAAACTACCATCAGAGTGAACAGGCAACCTACAACATGGGAGAAAATTTTCGCAACCTACTCATCTGACAAAGGGCTAATATCCAGAATCTACAATGAACTCAAACAAATTTACAAGAAAAAAACAAACAACCCCATCAAAAAGTGGGCGAAGGACATGAACAGACACTTCTCAAAAGAAGACATTTATGCAGCCAAAAAACACATGAAGAAATGCTCATCATCACTGGCCATCAGAGAAATGCAAATCAAAACCACTATGAGATATCATCTCACACCAGTTAGAATGGCAATCATTAAAAAGTCAGGAAACAACAGGTGCTGGAGAGGATGTGGAGAAATAGGAACACTTTTACACTGTTGGTGGGACTGTAAACTAGTTCAACCATTGTGGAAGTCAGTGTGGCGATTCCTCAGGGATCTAGAACTAGAAATACCATTTGACCCAGCCATCCCATTACTGGGTATATACCCAAATGAGTATAAATCATGCTGCTATAAAGACACATGCACACGTATGTTTATTGCGGCACTATTCACAATAGCAAAGACTTGGAACCAACACAAATGTCCAACAATGATAGACTGGATTAAGAAAATGTGGCACATATACACCATGGAATACTATGCAGCCATAAAAAATGATGAGTTCATATCTTTTGTAGGGACATGGATGAAATTGGAAACCATCATTCTCAGTAAACTATCGCAAGAACAAAAAACCAAACACCGCATATTCTCACTCATAGGTGGGAATTGAACAATGAGATCACATGGACACAGGAAGGGGAATATCACACTCTGGGGACTGTGGTGGGGTCGGGGGAGGGGGGAGGGATAGCATTGGGAGATATACCTAATGCTAGATGACACATTAGTGGGTGCAGCGCACCAGCATGGCACATGTATACATATGTAACTAACCTGCACAATGTGCACATGTACCCTAAAACTTAGAGTATAATAAAAAAAAAAAAAAAAAAAAACAGCATTCCATCGAAAAATGGCTTGTTGAGCCTACAACTCAATCAAACGTGTGCATTTTTTTTTAGAAAAACAATCATACTTTAGTATTCATTGCTTTACGAATTCCTTCCATTTTGTCACACAACATAAAAAGCATGTATACACAAGGATCAGGTTTTAATCTGAACATAGTCTCACTATCACTGCCTCACTGCCTCACAGAAGATAGTCATTTTAAAATAAAACCCTTTTTTTAAAAAAAATTATACTTTTAGGGTACATGTGCACAACGTGCAGGTTTGTTACATATGTATACATGTGCCATGTTGGTGTGCTGCACCCATTAACTAGTCATTTAACATTAGGTATATCTCCTAATGCTATC
This sequence comes from Homo sapiens, assembly GCF_000001405.40. Lineage (NCBI taxonomy): Eukaryota > Metazoa > Chordata > Mammalia > Primates > Hominidae > Homo > Homo sapiens. Next base: position 106,147,567 of record NC_000005.10, on the reverse strand, counting down.
CCTCCCCCCTCCCGTCACCCCACAACAGGTCCCGGTGTGTGATGTTCCCCTTCCTGTGTCCATGTGTTCTCATTGTTCAATTCCCACCTATGAGTGAGAACATGTGGTGTTTGGTTTTTTGTCCTTGCGATAGTTTGCTGAGAATGATGGTTTCCAGCTTCACCCATGTCCCTACAAAGGACATGAACTCATCATTTTTTGTGGCTGCATAGTATTCCATGGTGTATATGTGCTACATTTTCTTAATCCAGTCCATCATTGTTGGACATTTGGGTTGGTTCCAAGTCTTTGCTATTGTGAGTAGTGCCGCAATAAACATACGTGTGCATGTGTCTTTATAGCAGCATGATTTATAATCCTTTGGGTATATACCCAGAAATGGGATGGCTGGGTCAAATGGTATTTCTAGTTCTAGATCCCTGAGGAATCACCACACTGACTTCCACAATGGTTGAACTAGTTTACAGTCACACCAACAGTGTAAAAGTGTTCCTATTTCTCCACATCCTCTCCAGCACCTGTTGTTTCCTGACTTTTTAATGATCACCATTCTAACTGGTGTGAAAACCCTAGAAGAAAACCTAGGCTATACCATTTAGGACATAGGCATGGGCAAGGATTTCATGTATAAAACACCAAAAGCAATGGCAACAAAAGCCAAATTTGACAAATGGGATCTAATTAAACTAAAGGGCTTCTGCACAGCAAAAGAAACTACCATCAGAGTGAACAGGCAACCTACAGAATGGGAGAAAATTTTTGCAATCTACTCATCTGACAAAGGGCTGATATCCAGAATCTACAATGAACTCAAATAAATTTACAAGGAAAAAACAAACAACCCCATCAACAAGTGGGTGAAGGATATGAACAGACACTTCTCAAAAGAAGACATTTATGCAGCCAAAGGACACATGAAAAAATGTTCATCATCACTGTCCATCAGAGAAATGCAAATAAAACCCTTTTTTTAAATGTTTTATTCTACAAGTACCTGGCGGTGAAGGATACAATGACTACTAACAGAATTTTGTGCCACTGCATCCAGTGGTTTTAATTACCAGTAACTTGACAACTGGACAAGCCATATTGGAGCCTGGGTCAAAAGGAAAATGTGTGTGTGTACCATACTTTTTTTTAAATGTATGTTTTAATGGTTAAATTTTTTGCAGAATATTATTATGGTTTAAAAATATTGAAACATTAAAACATTCTTTTTTTTTTTTTTTTGAGACAGAGTCTCACTCTGTCACCCAGGCTGGAGTGCAGTGGTGTGATCTCAGCTCACTGCAACCTCTGCCTCCCGGGTTCAAGCGATTCTCCTGCCTCAGCCTCCAGAGTAGCTGGGACTACAGGCATGTGCCACCAAGCCCAGCTGATTTTTTTTCTATTTTTAGTAGTGACTGAGTTTCACCATGTTGGCTAGGATAGTCTTGATCTCCTGACCTCATGATCTGGCTGCCTCGGCCTCCCAAAGTGCTGAGATTACAGGAGTGAGCCACCGCGCTTAGCCTAAAACATTCTTTTTCTTAGACCCCAGTGTGCCTCAACATGGCATCAGTCTTTAATTAAAATTTTGTTGTTTTGTTCATCTTGTTTTTTTTTAGTTAATTTTGATTTTTAAAATATTGGACTAAAATATCCATATGGTTTGGCCCTGTGGCCCCACCCAAATGTCATCTTGAATTGTAATCCCCAAATGTCAGGGGAGGGACCTGGTGTTAAGTAATTGGATCATGGGGGTGGATTTCCACCATGCTATTCTCACGATAGTGAGTGAGCTCTCCTGAGATTTGATGGTTTAATATTGTGGCATGTTCCCCCTTGCTCTCTCTCCACTGCTCCTCCATGGTAAGACATGCTTGCTTCCCTTTCTCCTTCTGCCATGATTCTACGTTTTCTGAGGCCTCCAAGCCATGTCTCCTGTTAAGCCTGCAGAACTGTAAGTCAATTAAATCTCTTTTCTTCATAAATTACCCAGTCTCAGGTAGTTCTTTATAGCAGTGTGAAAATGGACAAATAAAAATAATATTTGTCTTGATTACTGAGTTTTTCAGTGCCCCCTTTAATTATGCACTCAACAAATGCCTCAATTTCCTCACCCCAAACCCCACTCTAATCCCAAAATACCTTTGCTTTTGTAGCATCATGGTAAATATCAAAACAGTAAAACAGGCAAATGTCATTTTAGAACTATTATGAATCTTGTTGACCTCATAGACCTCCTGAAAGGATCTCAGGGACCATCTGTGGATCATACTTTGAAACCGTGCATCAGGCTAAAATAATTAAAAAGTTATTTAAAAAAATTTTATTCTCATAATTCATCCCTCCTACCACATCTCACAAAAGAAAGTAAAACACATTGTTTTTCAAAATTGCCACTATTAAGTATAAGAAAGTATATCAATTCTTCAAAAGATATACCTATTTGTTGAGCATGGTGGCTCACGCCTGTAATCCCAGCACTTTTGGAGACTGAGGAGGGTGGATCACCTGAGGTCAGTAGTTTGAAACCAGCCTGGCCAACATGGTGAAACCTCGGCTTTACCAAAAATACAAAAATTAGGTGTAGTGGTATGTGCCTGTAGTCTCAACTACTCGGGAGGCTGAGGCAGGAGAATCGCTTAAACCTGGGAGGCAGAGGTTGCAGTGAGCCTAGATTGCACCATTGCACTCCAGCCTGGGTGACAAAGCGAAACTGTGTCTCAAAAAACAAAACAAAAAAGATACACATGTTTAAAAAGAATTGTAATGGATTTTAAATGGATATGTAGAACAAGTTAGGTGGAAACACCCTCAAAAAAGTTAGGTGAAACAACCTAAAAATAGGGGGAAATCTTCCCGTATCTGTGTCCAGTTGTAAAGTAAATAAAGTCAGTGAGCCTGCACTATTCACATGTAACTCAAGAAAGATCTTTTCAGAATGATTTTCTGAATATTGGCCATGACGCATGTAATTATGTAACAGGTGATTGTGAGGTTGTTCAAACTAACAATCTTTAACTGTTGCTCATTATCACTATCATTAGAGTGAGGCATTTCTAATTATCTGCAAGATTATGAACTTTTTGAAATTAGAGATCATACTTTTACCATCTTGAGGTTCCCTACACCATTAAGTATCATGATTTAAACATAAATGTTTATTAAAGTGAATTGAGTGCATAGGATGAAAGTCTGATGACACGGATAATATGATTTTATTCTCAAATTCCAAGAAAATTATATTTATTTAACTAAAATATATTTCTCATGCTATAATGTACTCAAGTAAGACCTAGAAGCTTGCTAAATTATTTTCAAAAACATATCGTAACTTTAAAAGGTGGATTCTCAAAAAAATTTATGTGAACACTGAACAATTATCCCTTAACTTGTACTTTAGTTCATCAACTTTGTATGCGAATAAATTGTATACATGGTCACATTTTCAAAAATATCTTGTAAAACTACATTTTAGAAAAGGGTAATTAGAGATAGCCTTTAACATTCTGAGTTTTTTTTTCATCACAGTTATTAGGTTAATTATTAACCCTTTATTCCTACCATTAGAGAAAAGAGTCAATATGTTATGATAATTGTCATGCCATATTTGTGCATTGTATCAAATTAAGAAGTTGCATGAGGCCACCTTTCCAGAGTATCTAGAAAGACAATTTTGCATAATTAAAGTTAGAATACAAATTGCCATAAGAGTGATTGGTAGGCTGTTTGCTAAGTAAGAAATATTAGTGAGCAGTAATATCTGTGCTAAAGTCTAGGAATCATACAATTATAGCATATAATATAAACAATAATGTGGCTTATTAGGTTTCATAGATGTTCAATGTTAATAATAAGAGAGTATTTCAAGTAACACTAATAAAGAGTAGGAGAAAACAGCTGTAATCATCCTGTGATTAACGACAATCACAACAACAACTCATGGCCTTATTCTGGGAAATATTTTCTAATAGTATATTCCATTCAACCTATCTCAAGAAGTAACAATTTTATTGCTGTACAGAAACAGAAAGACTAAGAGGTTCACATAAACTAGAAAGGCAAAGGATTTATAAACTAACAGTTTATTCCATGGAGGTTTTATATAGATGCTTTGCATTGCTTAGTAAGGAAAATTATTTTAGTTCACAAAAGGATTTAGACTGAAAAGTTCAAAGCCTGGGCATTTTTAAAAGTATCTTTACTGCCTTAAGTGCTAAACTTTATGAAACTAAATCAGGGTTAGGGTGGAATGAAACTTGCTCTTTGGAGTGAAAGTTCCTCTCTAACAAGACAAATGCAATCAGTTTAATGAACTCTTTCTTCTAGGAGACAAATGAGAGATGGAAGAAATTACTTGTTCATTATGCTAATTTTAAAAAGAGAATCTAAAGCCTATGAAAACAAAACTGATTAAAGCATATCCAGTTTGGCTACTTAGAGCTGTGAAGCACAAAATCCTCACATAGTGTGCAAGCCCGGATATTGATTGGAGATTCCACATAATTACTATTTTTTTGCGTGTGATGAATATGGGTTTTGGATTTTACCTGTGACTTTTTGACATATTAAACACATATGGGAAATAGAAATTCAAGAAGAGAGAGATCACTGAGCAAACCAGAAGGAAACTCTTAATTTTCCATTAAAATTAAGCAGCATATAAACTAAAGCATATGGGATAATTCCTAATGGTCTTCTTTTATGAAACTGCTAAGAAGTCCAATTGAAACAGTGTTCACAATAATAATGCTGGCCTGACAACAGAGAAAAATGTTTTTCACCAGCTTTTGTCCATTAGCCAGTCAGAGAGAACTTACAGAGATATAAGAGTTTAATAATCATTTAACAGCTCTTTTTGATCCACCCCATATCCTTGGTGAGGGTTGGAAAGTGTTCCTGTTGTACTCACAGTTTCATTTGTGAGCAAAGGTCCTAATGTATCATGAGATGTATGAAATTGAACTCTGAGCTGCTGAAAACAAAGTTTATTTCTGGGTGAGGTTAAATTTAGATCAAATTCTTTCCTAAGAATCAAGAGATCAAGTGGACTAAAATTTGAAATTAATTCCACCTGAAACTTAATATGCCATATTAGAAAAAATGTTCATATTTTCCAAACAGTTTTATATGATGAAATATATCTCAAGCTATAAATACAGGACTGATGAAAACTCTAGAAATTTTACAAGCTTTTAAAAAAAATAGTTTGATGCAAGTGATATGGATTTATTAAGTAAATTCAGGACTCCCCACTGGCATTTTACCAGATCTAGTTCATATAACTAAAATGAAAAAAAAAAACTCTCTAAGCACAGCAGATATAAAACAGTTCACATTTCATGCCATTTTAGTAGGTTCTTCCTTTATTCTTAAGACTTTGTTTAACCAAGTCTTTCCCTGTGAGGAGTGATGTGAGGAATTCAGCATGTAGGGACAATCAGTTACATTCTATATGAACTTAAAATGTTCTTTCCTTCTTTTATTATAAACTAATTGGGAAGACCATTTGTGTCTCAGATTTCAAAATAGTTAATGGTATGGACAAAAGTGCCAACAGATAAATAACATTCTATCTCTATTGATTGGATTTTTATCTTTGAAGATTATCTATGCTCCTTTTACTCATATTTTTAAGATAATGTGATATGCTGAATGAAAGCATCGAAGTAAAAGTCAAAGACTTTTTTCAGTTTGAGTTCTGAAACTAACACATACCAAAGTTAGGACATTTGACAAAGCATTATCTGTCTAAATACATTTCCTCATTAGTAAAATGGGAGAATAATCTGACTCTTTATATCTAACTAACAGTGTTAGTAAAGGACAATATATCCCAGAATATAATCTGCTAAGCTTCCTTCAGAGGAGTCAGTAAACTGCATATTATAAATATTATATATATTATATATATAAAATAAACAAAGTTTATTTCTGGATGAGGTTAAGTTTAGATCAACTTCTTTCCTAAGAATCAAGAGATCAAGTGGACTAAAATTTGAAATTAATTCCACCTGAAACTTAATATGCCATATTAGAAAAAATGTTCATATTTTCCAAACAGTTTTATATGATGAAATATATTTCAAGGTATAAATATAGGACTGATGAAAACTCTAGAAATTTTATAAGCTTTTTTTAAAAAAAATAGTTTGATGCAAGTGATATGGATTTATTAAGTAAATTCAGTACTCCCCACTGGCATTTTACCAGATCTAGTTCATATAACTAAAATGAAAAACAAACAAAAAAAACTGTCTAGGCAGAGTGGATAGAAAACAGTTCACAAATTCTGCGGCCAGAGGTGACCCATATAATTAACATCTAAGGATTCATCCCAAGAACCTGATTTTTAAAAAATGCCCCAGATGGTTTGAATTATTTGTAATATAATTTCTAAAGCATAATGCATTATGCAAACTAGTAGTTCTGTATATCATATGCCTTTAGCACACATAGTTTTCCTAAAAAAAAAAAATTGTACCTACTGAAAGAAAGGGCACTAGCACCCTTAGTGCAAAAGCAACATAATGTAATCTTGATCTGTAGCCTTATGGAATATTCTTACTCCCTTGTTATCATTATTTCTATACTTATACTTTTCATTTGGTTTTGTCCACATGAGGGAAGCAGCATATACTATAAATCTTGCAAATTAACTACCTTAAGATTTGGAACCACTCAATAGTATCTCGGCTTTAAGTTAGTTGTTCTCAAAGTGTGGACAGGGAGCCAGAGGCATCCTGATCACCTGAAAACTTGTTTGAATCAGAAAATCTGGGGTGGCATAGAGCAAGCTGTTTTGTAAGCCCTCAAGGTGTTTAGAGTGGATGCAAATGTATGAGAGCCATTGCTTTAGGATAACTGGATTAAGGGCCACTGTTGTAGGATAGCTTGACTAACAACTTAGGATACTTCTGACATTAAGTTTGATCTTTAGTGAGAAAATGAAGCACATGCTCCTTAACACAATTTACACATTGTATTTCTCTTTTCTTAATTAATTCAGGATAATTGTGCTAAGACCAGTGTTGTTTTTTTACAACTTATCCTATCATCAAGCCACTCTATTTATGTCTCCTCAAAGGCTGTCTAAAGAATCCTTAACTCTTATATTTTGACATAGGCTTTAAGACAACTCCGGATAACCATTAAAGATAAATTTTCTGGTAGGAGGTATCTGCATCTTTTAGCAAAAGGCTTGATTTTTTTCTATACCTAATTGTACTGAAAGATTAGCTATCTTTTCTCTTCTATTGGAAACAGAGATAAGGGAACTGACTAGAGTTTGCTTTCAGCTGGAGGCCCACAGGGGAATGAAAGTTATGCTAATGGTATGCTGAGAATTCTATTTTGCCACAATTTGAGATCTGCATCTAAAACATATAAAATAAATTTTACGTATCCAATTTTTATCCAGTCTCTTAGAGTCATAATTTAGGAGATAAATTAAAGAAAATTAAAAAATTAATTTTCTTCCATCATTTTCACTAGGCTTATTATGGGGAAACATCCATGCTACTATGAAAATATGTGAAAGAAAATCATTTTGTGGTTGTTGTTGTTGATAATGAGAATGACATATTTCTAGACTGGTGTATACCAAGATGAGGTATTTGTAACATTGGCTTTGTGTAGTATACTGAACATGCTTCAGCTGAAATACACAAATGAAAGGCTGCCATTTTATCATCCTTCTTTTGGTTTTCTTTTTCTTTCTCATTTTATTTTCCTTCTGCCAATGGTTCTCTTCTGAATTCTCCCTTTCTTGCCTGGGCCATGCTACAGAATACTTGCTAGTTTCATCATTGCTGCCCACTTGGGCTGTTTCTAGTTTTCCTGGCTAGATATTCAGAGGGACATCCTAATTCTATCCCACAACACCAGCAGTTCTGCATTCTCCAAGCACGTGGTTAATGTAGGAGAATCTAGATCCAGAAAATAGCATACTGCTCTCATGAATACGACTAACTAGTTCAGGATAGATTCATCATCCAGGGCCAATCCAATTCCCTGCCCTAGGAATTAGAACAACAAATACATATGGAATGGAGACGTAAACTTGGGAGCTGGGGTCAGTCATGTCTAATTGCGTAAAGTAAAAATCATGAGACTTTGTCTTTGGTAACAGAAGAGAAAATAACTGTGCTCAGAAAGTTACAGAAGACAGAGATGGAAAGAAAGGATCCTGATCCTATTTTAGTCCTGGTTCTAATTTATTCTTGATGTTAGGATTTACCCCTATATTAGGGTCTGAGATGTTGCACAAATGGATTTCTTTTTTGTAATAAGCTAACTCAATGGGATTCTATTTCTTTCAACCCAAATCTCTAAATTAATTTAATATTATCTTCTAGTTTGTTACTGAAAATGGACAGTTAAATTGATTGTTATGAACCAGGGCAAGAAATCTAAAGAACATATCACACACTTCTGCTGTTAAATGTGGTTTGAGTTCAAAACATTAATAAAAGTGAGTGTTTTACAGATAACCTACAGAATGGGGAAAAATATTTGCAAACTATGCATCTGACAAAGGTCTAATATCCAACATCTATCAGGAACTTAAACAAATTTACAAGAAAACAACAAACAACCCCATAAAAAAGTGGGCAAAGGACATGAACAGACATTTCTCAAAAGAAGACACACATGCAGCCAATAAACATAGGAAAAAAACTCAATATTACTCATCATTAGAGAAATGCAAATCAAAACTACAATGGCAAACCATATCACACCATTCAGAATAGCTATTATTAGAAAGCCAAAAAACAGATGCTGTTGAGGCTGCAGAGAAAAGGGAATGCTTATACACTATTGGTGGGAGTATAAATTAGTTCAACCATTGTGGAAAGCAGTATGGCAGTTCCTCAAAGAGCTAATAGCAGAACTACCATTCAACCCAGCTATCCCTTTATTGGATATATACCCAAAAGAATATAAATCATTCTATCATAAAGACACGTACACTTGTATGTTCAACAGAGCCCTATTCACAATAGCGAAGACATGGAATCAACCTAAATGCCCATCAATGATAGACTGGATAAAGAAAATGTGGTATATATACACCATAGAATACTATGCAGCCATAAAAAAGAATGAGACTATGTCCTATGCAGGAACATGGATGGAGGTTAAGGCCATCATCTTTAGCAAACTAATGCAGAAACAGAAAACAAAATATTGCATGTTCTCACTTACAAGTAAGAGCTAAATGATGAGAACACATGCACACATAGAGGGCAACAGCAGATTCTAGAGCCTACCTGAGGGTAGAGAAAAAGGGGGATCAGATACAATAACTATTGGGCACTAGGCTTAGTATCTGGGTGATGAAATAATCTCTACAACAAACTCCCATGCCACAAGTTTATCTATATAAACAAATCTGCATATATACCCCTGAGCCTAAAAAAAGCTTAAAAAACGTAAAGTTTAAAAACTATAGTCCTTTTTGGTAAAGAACTTTGTGTTCTTTATTGATATTTTAAATATTATGGTGCTCACAACATTTTTAATTCATTGTGATTTAAAATAATGTTCCTTTGAAAATAATTTAAGTAGTTTATATTGTTAATTATGGTTTTTAGATATTTGCCATATATTATAGTTAAGAATAAGCATACAAGAGATGCATGATATAATGTTCTGCTCTCATACATACATACATTGATAGATGCCTTTTTCTATTCTGATCCACAATAATGTAAGAACCAAACATTCAAAATTAAAATACTAATAATGTTAAAAGTGAAAAACGGGCAAAGAGACATTTTGAATTTTACTCTAATTTCCAGAATAAAATGAATTTGTTATGAGTTCTATATTGTAGATATGTGAGTGGCATGTTGAGCATAGTCTCATACTATTGTTTTCTTCTTAGCATAGTTTTGGATCTGAAATAACATATATGAATATATATATAACAAAATAAATTACAATAAAAAAGACTGAAAGTTTTGTTAGGTGCTGATTCTAAGATACTTTCCTGATTTCACGCTTCCCTTCTGAAGAAGCACTATTTTTATAGTGCTTCTTCCAAATTACAGCCATTTGGTTTATTAACATAAGAGTGCAAATTTGTCTGCGTCTTGTTTCTCTAATTCTTTTGTCATCAAATTAATTCCAGAATGTATATTCTTTGCATATGTTTCTGGATAACAGTATTGTTTTAGACAGAATTCTTACAATATCTACCTAGAAGAGGAAGAGGGGGACTGACATTTATTGATTACTTATTGAGTGCCAGTCAACTTCTTTGGATTATTAAATTATGCTTCCCACACAACACATACTCATAAATTTACATCTTGAGATTAAGATTTTCCCCTAAGTAACTGAGGCTCAAAGTAATTGAAAAACTTGCTGAACATCTTAGACCTTTGAGAATTGAAGCTGGAATTTCAATCAGAAGCCTTATGCTCTTTCTAATACATCTGTCACCTGTTTCAAGTAAACAGTAATGTGCTGAATACACAGAACTAAATTTCACATCACTGAATAAATGGTTTGATGCAAATATTTGCTTGATAGTGTAGGACTGACTTTTATAGTTGGAAACCATTGTATTTTGGCCAAGTCACAGTTTTTGCATTTGTTGCAGTCAAATAGAGACATGTGAAGGAATAGATGATTCTGCCTTATTAATTCTATGAAAGTAAGTTATAGAACTTTTGATTCAATGGCAAATTGTTCTAGTAGATCTTTTTGATGTTTAAGAATGTACACTTATGTTTGTCTTAAAAAGATGAGGTATAGGTATAGAGCATAAAATGAGCGTCTTAACTAATTACCTTTACCTTTTGGTAGGCATTATACTCTCCTATCTGAGAGTTTAAGTGTTTGATATATATCGTCTTCACCTAGAAAAGAGAGGCTTTGGTGTTAATATATATTGCACATTTCACTTTTAATTCACTTATTTGAGAGAAAAATAATCAGAATTTTTATAAGGTGAACACTAAAAATTGTTTTGAAATGCAACTATAAGATATGAAGTATGTGCATTTTATATATTAGCACATAGAAAGTAATGAACTCTACATACTCTCTTTAATAAATGTACTATATCCAAAACAATGTAACTATAATAGCCAGAATATGATGACATTTAGTTTCTTCAAAAGTCACAACTAACAAGGTATGCAAAAAAAAAAAAAGGCTATTTTAAGTAGGGAATTTCCTAAGACAAAGTAATAGCTTTCTTCTGAGACTATCTTTGGATACCCCGAGAAGACTTGATTTTTTGTATGTGTTGGATGCTTGCCAGATATATGTGCCTTCCTGTATGTTGAATTATTAAAAGGGCATGAGTCCAGGAACTCATTATGCATAAACACTGTTGTAGTCCACTGAAGATTGACAGTCAATTAGAGACACTGCATCTTGGCAAACATTTTGGAAAAAAAAATTTTTATCTCTCTGATCCAAACAACATTTGGGGGAACCAAGCCGCATGATATGGATGAATATAATTCCCTTCTATTTAAACACCAGATAACAGGCACATCTTATTAATGTTTTCTGGAAAGAAAAGAAAGAAAGAAAAAAGAAAAAGAAAGAAAGAAGGAAGGAAGGAAGGAAGGAAAGAGCAATAAAGAAAAAAGAAAGAGAAGAAAAGAAAAGAGAGGAAGGAAGGAAAGAAGGGAGGGAGGAAGGAAGGAAGGAAGGAAGGAGGAAGGGAAGGCAGGCAGGAAGGAACAAGGAGGGAGGAAGGGAGGAAGGGAAAGAAGGAGGGAGGAAGGAAAGAAACATGTATCATGTAGGTCATTTATGCAGTCCAGAATAACCGGGAAATTTTGTGCCTTGACATATATTACTAACTTTGGTTTCTAGCAGAGGTCCAACAAATCTTTTTATAAGTTAACTTTCTAATTGTTATCTATTATGGTACCTTTGGTCCTTCTCACTTTCATTTTCTATTACTGGTGACTTCTTATGTTGCAGCCACATACACTTTGTGAAAAAGTGATAACACTTTGTCTCCAACTCTTATTATTTCTAAGTTTTTATACTATTGAGAATCTTGCCCTGAACACCTAGAAGGGACAAAAATACCAACATTTCTTCTCCACATTGTGCCAAGCAGTTGAATTGACATGTTCACACTCTTGGAAAGAGACATTTTTCAACTATCTAGGTGTCAGTGAACTTTAGCAAAAGCTATACATTACATTGATATTATTTTTTGGAATGTAGAGTAATCCACATGCATTTTTCATTCACAGTATCTGAAAGTGTAGTGTGCTTAACTCATGTGGTCTTCTAAGGCCTTTTGCTGCTTCAAGACAAATGAATGACATAAATCTGTGCAGAATAAAAAGTATTAACATTGATGATTGCTTTGGGTTATTGTTAACAGCAAAAGCATTTTTTTTTTTTTTTGGTATCTGTGTTGTGTCTTTTTTTTTCCCTGATGAGATACACATTTTTCCTCAATAGGCTAACTGTTTAGTGACATTCCACATTCATAAATGGTAGAAGGCTTTCTAAAAGCATGGATTTTCTACAATTGCTTTTACCAAATGTAAAATAAGTCTTGCCTCTTTCACTCATATCCTTTCTCCTTGCAATGATATCCAACAGTTAACAAGAGGTAGACAAGATGTCTTTTGGCTTTAAGATCAATACTCTATGTAGGCAAAAGTCAAGACCAAATATGAATTATTTAAGTGTCAGTTTCTTTTTGAAAATCTGTTCATGAAACAACTTACTTCTATTCAGTCTGAAGCAGCAGCAATAGCAACAATCAGAGTCAATCTCAGGAGATAGCAGAGGGCCATATGTTCTAGATGACAGAGGCATTCTGTAAATAGTTGTGCTAAGATTGAAACTTAGATATATCTGAGTCCACAAGTTGTGCTATAAAGGACTGTACTCTGCTCTCATTGTAGTACATACATGTAAGCACTAAAGGTCACATTTCCTAGCTTTGGGTTCTATATGACTAGTTTTCTTTATGCATTGTTGTTCTCTGGTTTTTGAAAACTGATGCTAATTCAATAAGTGATGTGCCATGTATTTGAGGGAGAAGAAGTAATGTTGTAGGAGTATATCATAATAATAATGCTACATAACAAAATGATTCCAAAACTCGGTGGTTTAAACAATAAGCATTTATTATTGCTCACAAGCTTACTGGCTTCCTGAACTGTGCTTCAAGTTGGTTCGCACCAATGCATCTGAAGGTTAGCAATGAAGCTTAACTGATCTCTGCTAGGCTCTTTCCTGTTTCTGGGGTTTTAGGGAACAACTAAACTGACTTGGATCTGCTCCACATAAACTCCAGCAGTTCAGCCTAAGCAGGAGGCCAATAGAAGAAAAAGAAAGAAGGCAATGAAGACTTTTAGACCCAACTTTGACATTGGGACATCATTATTTAAATCATCTTCTTGTTTTTTTAATTTTATTTTTTATTGTTTGAAGACAGTCCTTCTCTGTCACACAGGCTGGAGTGCAGTGGCACAGTTGTGGTTCACTGCAGACTCAGCCTCCCAGGCTCAAGCGATCCTCCCCTCTTAGCCTCCTGAGTAGCTGGGACCACAGTTGCATGCCACTGTACCTGGCTATTTTTTAAACTTTTAAATGATACTCTTAGGCAAAGCCACGTCACAAGTCTGTCTCAAATTTATTGTGTAGAGGAATAGACTCCTTTCATGGACAGTGGCTGCAAAGTCACAATGCAATGTGGATAATGAGAAACATGAAGAATCAGAATTATTTTTGCAATAAATCTACCAAAAAGAATTCTGCATATACTTAAAACATATAAAAATGTGTCCTATAAGTGTTCAGTCCTCAATTCTAACCTTTATAATTTAGTATTAAACTTTCAGTAGACTTGGAAATTATCTGGAATTAATTCCAGCTATCACAACAAAAATTTTCAACTAAGGTTTATTATTGTTATTATTAAAAATAGAATGAGTGCAACATGAAAGTTACATCTTTGTGTTTCAAGTCTAACACTGAACTGTGTAATTGCCAACCTCCTAAAACACTAAACTCGGCAACTTGGTGTTATGCTCTAGGAATCTCTCTTTGGAACACACATCAACGTAGCAAAACATTGTTTTTAATTAACAAAATGCCAGGCCCATATGTTGCCCACATCCTCATTGGAACACCCGTTGACATCAACAAGAATATCTTGTGCAGCATATGGTCTTAATAGGTAACAATTTTAATTTTGAAGAATTATTTTACTTTAACTCTCAAGCAGTAGAAAAACCTTTTAATTATGCCATTTTCCTATAGTTATTCTTTTAAGCCGTCTGAAAGTTTATTTTCAAAAACATTGTAAGACATTTTAAATGCGCATTGATTTAGACAGAAGACAGCCTTCTAATGCTGATATATACATTAAAGTAATATTATGCAAAATAATATTTGACCAAACATTTCCATTAAATATAGTAATAGAAACTGTTCCTTGTAATAATTTAAGTTTTTCACTTTTAACTTTCTCATATTTTATTTTTATGTATGCTTGTCATTTGAGGAAGAAAAAACTCAGCTGAGTTTATAAATGTTGTTCTCAAGTTTTATCTGAAGGTAAAATGAACAAAAATTTATAGCCTCAAACAATTTACATTTTATTTTACTAAAATAAGTTATAGTGGGCTGACATCATCCAAGAATGTACAAACATGTAGAGTTCAATAGCACAAATTTTAGAGTCTGACAGAGATAAATATTAATTCAAGTTCTGCAATAAAATGACACGGATAACTATAAAGTTTCTCACCAAAGCCATAGTGTCTTATCTGTAATGCAGGTATAATAATGCCTGCATATGTAGATGACATGAGAATTAAATGACCTAACACACAGAAAGAGTTTGTATAGTGCCTAAAGAAAAATTACCCAGCTAGATGTGGCGGCTCACACCTGTAATCCCAGCACTTTGGGAGGCTGAGTTGGTAAGATCACTTGAGCCCAGGAGTTCAAGAGCAGCCTGGGCAATATGGCGAAACCCTATCTCTATAAAAAAAATACAAAAATTAGCCAAGCATGGTGATATGCACCTGTAGTCCCAGCTACCCGGAAGGCTGAGGTGGGAGGAACACCTGAGCCTGGGAGGTCGAGGCTGTAGTGATCTGTGATTACGCCACTGTGCTCCAGCCTGGGCAACAGAGCAAGACCCTAACTCAAAAACTAAAAAAATAAAAAATAAATAAGTATATGAAAGAAAAGAAAAAATTCACCCCCCCCAAAATAAAATAATGTATACTAAGAAAACGGCAACTTCGGTGTTTCGTATTAGTTCGTATCATTATTGGGGATAACCCTCTCATTCACTTTTACCTTCTTCATCTTCCTTGTTCTTCTATCTTTTCCTCCTTCTCCTCCTTCTTCTTTCTTTATGTTAAGATTAATATTAACATTAGAAAAATGTGATTACTACAGACAGAATAAAACTGTTGATTCATTGCTTAGTATTTTACAATCTTTCCTCTTCCACTAGATAAGCATGATAGTAACTGTTTAAGATCATAGATCTAATTAGCATTGCATTTGGTAACTCAAGGTGTTTTGTTCTTGCCATTCTTTATATAGGTTGTTGATCTTGCACATAAGGCTTTTCGTAAACCATAAGCATCAACTCACTCCAGGGAATCACCTGAATGACCTGGCAAGAAATTCACTGTCACTTTTCCCAATTACAGAAAACCTTTTGTGAGGTGGAAAATTAAGATGACATTTAAATTTTTCTTAGGTTTGCTTCAGTAAAGTTTGGACTATAAAAAACTAAGTACTATGTGGTTCATAATAATAAAAAGGGAAGGAAGTGATTGAATTAAATGTGTTAACTTCTCCTTCTTCAAAAAAATCTGTATTAAAAACATAATTTTTAAAATATATTTTTACATTGTTTTTAGAAGAAATTTGCTTAAGAAGTGTTATTTAAATTATCACAGTTAAAATCTCTTATAATCCTTTAGCATAAAGAATTTTTGTTATCAGTGGTTGTCAGTTTTCTCTCTCAGTGTATGTAATAGAAAACATACAAAGATAAACATTATATCACATGTCTTGTGGAAAAATATTTATAATAGTAAAATATCTTTACAGATTAAATTTAAATAATTAGATAAGTACTTGTCATCTAGGACATGAAAAAAGTTTCACTCATATAAACTAAATTTCTAATTCTGTTATAATGTAATTTTTATGGTATTTAGAGTTAGATTGAACTTTGGATTTAGTTAATCAGCTTTTCATATCTATTATGGATAGATTTAATACAAAGTTTACCATTCTTATTTTATACAATTGGAGAGTTTGAAGTTTACATTGATATTTGGAGGCAGTCTTAGGATGATTTGTGTTTACAGGGATTTGTACAAGAGAGTATGGAGTAATGGAGGAGAAAGGTAAAGAAGGTACTAGTTTTAAAAACAGTGAAACTGATGTGAACTACAGAGATTTAAGACGTATATCCCATCAAGATTCACTCTGCTTTCTGAATAAATGTGATATTCAGGGCTCATAGCACAAAAATACCTGGGAACCAAAGACCCCCTCTGCCTTTTTAAAAATTATCAATATCTTTTATAGTGAGTATAAATTTTAAATTGTATTATAAATTTACCCTCTGGAAGAGTGTGATTAAGGGATTTTGTGACTCTTTTAAAGGTACTGCTGTTTTCCTTTTTGAAATTATGACTGGAAGAATTTTAAAATAAATGTCAAGATTTTTGTTGTGTTTATTGTTAAGGTTTAAAGTATATAGATGTATATTTATACACCACATAATTATAGATCTCCTCCTACAGCTAATCATGCATGCATATCCATTACACTCGAAGTTTCCATTCCTTAATCAAGCATTCTGTGATTATGCAAATTTGAGAGATAATGAGGTACACCCTATAAGAGATAGCAAATCAGTGTTATTAAATAAGTTCTGAAAAATCAGAAAATTTACTTTTTTTGGTCCTGAAAATCTTAAAGAGCTTTCACAATTAGTAGATTAGTCACAGAGAGGAAAGTAGCATATTTTCATGTAGTGTATTGGTTTTTATACTTGCTTTATTTTGTTGTTTTCTTTCCTCATTGTCTGTGACTAAATATTCCCAAAATTTCTGGTCACAGCTAGTAATCAGAAAAACTATAAAGAAGCTCAAAGAGGACTTAACCACATATGCTCGTCATGCCTGTCTATTGCCTACTGCTAGGACAGAATGTGTTTTAAGGAATTTGTTTCCATGCATCATTTGCCTCATGAAGGCTTTGATGGTTTCAATAGTAGTAGAATTTTAGGTTTTGGCATTTTTTAGCAAGAATATGTTTGGCAGTAGAATATTATGTAGATAGCAAGAAAGCAAATGCATTTTTTCATAATTTGTTATTATTTATACTGCTGTTGAGCCCTTACATGTAACTTGCTTTCATCACTGCCATGGACTATGAGTTGGTCATCTGCAAGTTGAAGTGTGCTTTGTTGAAAGAATTGTTTCTAAATTTTGTTTCCCTGTCAGAAGAGAACATATGGCTAGGGAGGAATTGGAACAAAATACCAATGTGTTATATTATCTAACTATCTCTGTTCACAGGTATTTGTTAATGGTGGCTTAGCAAATAGTATTTCTGCAAAAACAACACATCATAATATAAACATTATTTTCTCGAAGAGATAAGAACAATAATTACATATTATTTCAGGAGACCAATAGGGATTCAACAATGTGTTGTAATATTGAATTTGTTAAAGTGCTCCTCATCCAAGAATATTTTCTCTAGCTACATGTGATGAAGTCCAAGATGTCAGCCACTCTTTCAATTAACATACAAGAGGCCCAGTAAACCACCTACAAGTTTCGTTCATGATAGTTATGAATAAATAGTAAGACACTTGATTCTATTTTACATATATAATACTAATATGCAATTATATATATTTATTAAAACAAATGAAATTCAGTGAAAAATTTTGTTTATAGTTTGATTAGAATAGTGTTGAATCTGTAGATTGCTTTGGCCAATATGGTCATTTTAAGCATACTGATTCTTCCAACCCATGAGCATGGAATGTTTTTCCATTTGTTTGTATCATCTCCAATTTCTTTCGTATCATCTCCAATTTCTTTCAGCAGTGTTTTGTAATTCTCCTTATAGAAATATTTCACATCCTAGGTTAGATAAATTCCTAGGTATTTTGTGTGCGTGTATGGTTATGGTAAATGGAAATATGTACTGGATTTGGCTCTCAGCTTGGATGTTGTTGGTGTATAGAAATGCTACTGATTTTTGTACGTTGATTTTGTATCCTGAAACTTTACTGAAGTCATTTATGAGTTTGAGGAATCTTTTGGCAGGGTATTTCTAGGTATAGAATCATATCATCAGCAAAGAGAAATAGTTTGACTTCTTTTTCTATTTAATGCCTTTTATTTCTTTCTCTACCCTGATCACTCTGGCTAGGACTTCCAGTACTATCTTGAATGGGAGTGGTGAGAGTGTCACTCTTCTTGTTCCAGCTCTCAAGGAAATGCTTCCAGCTTTTGCCTGTTTTGTGTGATGTTGGCTACGGGTTTGTCACAGATGGCTATTATTATTACTTTGAGATAGGGTCTTGCTCTGTCACGTAAGCTGGAGTGTAATTGTCAAGATCACAACTCAGTGCAGCCTTGACTTCCTCAGGTTCAAGCAATCCTCCCACCTCAGCTTCCCGGTAGCTGGGAACACAGGCATGTGCCACCATTCCCAGCTAGTTTTTGTATTTTATGTAGAGACAGGGATTCACCATGTTGCCCAGGCTGGACTCAAACTCTTCAGCTCAAGCAATTCACCTGCCTCCAGACTCCCAAAGTGCTGGGATTGCAGACATGAGCAGCTCTTATAATTTTGAGGTATGTTCTTTTGAGGCCTAGTTTGTTGAGGGTTTTTATGATAGAGGGGTGCTGGATTTTATTGAAGGATTTCTCTGAGTTTATTCAGTTGACCATATGATTTTTGTTTTTAATTATGTTTATATGGTCAATGATATTTATTGATTTGTGTATGTTGAACTGACCTTGCATTCCCAGAAATGAAGCTACTTGATGGTGGTGAATTGACTCTTTGATGTGCTGCTAGATTTGGTTTTCTAGTATTTTGTTGAGGATTTTTGCAACTATGTTCATCAGGGATATTGGTCTGCAATTTTATTTTTGTTGTTGTTTTGTCCTTGCCAGCCTTTGGTATCAGAGTGTTGCTGGCTTCATAGAATGAATTAGAAAGGAGTTGCTGCTCCTCGATTTCTTGGGATAATTTCAGTAGAATTGGACCATCTCTTCTTTGTACATTTGGTGCAATTCAACTGTAAATGCATCTGGTCAGAGGCTTTGCTTGGTTGGTAGAATGTTTATTACTGACTCAATTTCAGAACTCAATATTGGTCTGTTCCAGTTTCAGTTTCTTCACTACCAGTCAAGCTATTTCTGTACTTTACTTTTGTGTTCTGATTTAAATACTCACTATCCATGTTGCAGAGCGGAGTTCTCTGAACCTCTTTTGGTTCTGAGTTCTGCCTAATTTATGAATTATTCTTTGCTAAAATAAAATACTGTTAAATTTATTTGTGTAAATTTTTTTGATTAACAGACCTGTTGTCAGCAGTGGTATGTATTTTTGATTGGCATGCATAGCCTTCTAAAGTAGAATTAAAAATTTACCTATCTAAAAGGCTCTTTACAAAGGGCAAATGAATCTTGAGCTCAGAGAAATATTGAAAGATTTCCCTGTCTGGGAAGAAAGTTGCTAATGAATTTTAAATTCTCACTGGAGTTTTATAATCTAGGATTTTTTGATCTCTGCCAATTTATTCCCATGATACAGGGACTTAGCTGTTAAAGTATGTTCTGGCCAGCAGACAAAATGAACTCCTTGTGGCTAAAGTTAAAATGAACTCCTTGTGGCTAAAGTTAAAAGCAGAATCAGGCAGCCATAGCAGGTTGAGAGAGTGGCCACATACCTTGAATGCTGAGATAATGAGTCTCTGTTCTCAGAAAGCTGTTGTAAAGGTATCACAAGACTGCCTCTTCTGCAATCAAACAAAACCAGTTCTTGTTGTTGGTGCTGAGATAAACTGCAGCTGAAAATTCCCAGATGACCACCAACCAGCTCACCTGAGGCCAGCCAAGGAGGAGAGATTCATTGTGATGTCTTGCTTAAAGGCCATCCAATTTGGACACTACACCTGATCCGTCCCCCAGCCCCCAACACCTTGCAGATTTTGTTTGTTTTGTTTTGTTTTTTGAGACAGAGTTTTCCTCTGTCACCCAGGCTGGAGTGCAGTGGCACTATATCAGCTCACTGCAGCTTCTGCCTCCCAGGTTCAAGTGATTCTTCTGCCTCAGCCTCCTGAGTAGCTGGGACTACATGCATGCGCCACCACATCTGGCTTGTGTGTGTGTGTGTGTGTGTGTGTGTGTGTGTTTAGTAGAGATGGGATTTCTCCTTGTTGTTCAGGCTGGTCTCAAACTCCTGGCCTGAAGCAATCTGCCGACCTTGGCTTCCCAAAGTGCTGGGATTACAGCTGTGAGCCACCACACCCAGCCCAGGTTTTGCCTTTATAATCTTCTACACCCTGCTTGCTCCTTGGAACACACTTTTGTTTTGCACAGAAGCCTGCATCTTCCCAGTCTATAGATAGCTTTCAGAAAATAAAGTTCTCCTTTTAACATTCCACAGCCTTTTATTAACATGGTGAAGCCTGTAAATGGATAGCTAAATTCAAATGAGAGGTACCTAAGAAAGATATAAAAGACCTAACCATTCAATCTTTCAGGCACTGACCCCCACAAAAAAGGAGGGATGGGGGCTAGAAAAGTATCAAACAATTTATTAGAATATAAGTATTTCCTCAAAAGAAAAATAATCCTGATTGGTCTGTCATTCAAATTTGTAAACAGAAAAAGAATGAACTAGTCCTGAGTATAAGGAAAGACTAGAAACACTATTAGTAAAATGTTTTGGCCTATCAATGCTGAGTCTGGGCATAGGAAATGCCTTGTCTACCCTATTCATTACTGAGCTCTGCCCTGCACTCTGTAATCTAGTTAAAACAGAAGCTGGGTTAGGAAGGTGCATATATAGCTGCATTAGCCTTCGAGATACACCTTTCCTGCATTCAACTGATTTGTTTTTGTTTTTGTTTTGTTTTGGGTTTTTATTTTTTTATTTTTATTTATTTTTTAGATGGAGTTTTGCTCTTGTTGCCCAGGCTGTAGTGCAATGGCACCATCTTGGCTCACCACAACCTCCGCCTCCCGGGTTCAAGTGACTCTCCTGCCTCAGCCTCCCGAGAAGCTGGGATTACAGGTATGTGCCACCACGCCCGGCTAATTTTATATTTTTAGTAGAGATGGGGTTTCTCCATGTTAGTCAGGCTGGTCTCGAACTCCTGACCTCAGGTGATCCGCCTGCGTTGGCCTCCCAAAATGCTGGGATTACAGTTGTAAGCCACTGAGCCCGGCCCTCACCTGGTTATTTTAATATTCTTTGTAAGAGAGATTTTCTTCTGTCAAATAAATCTCCATTTGTAAGTATGACTCCCTCTCTGCATCAGGAAAAGAAGGATGACTAAAATTACTAGAAACTCTCACAAAGAAAAAGCATGAGCTTAAATCTACATAACTAGCCTTAACTTTATTTAAGGTAGTTTTTCTCTGCAGCCATCTTGTCTAAACTAGGCCTTTATATATACCCTTCTTTCTTTGTTTCAACAAATGATAGTATTTAAGTCTGGAGTCTAAGCTCTGTGCCTTTGATACATGTTTTCCTAAGAGCCATCCCTTTGGAAATGCAAATTTGAGAGAGATGATTCGCCAAAAGTAGAATAAGAAAAGAGAAAGACAAAAGGAAACTATGTGAAAACTGGCACATGAAAACTCTTCTTTTTTCAACAATTATTACTAGAAAGCTTTGACCATCTCTATAGGTAAACTTAATTTATCCCATCTTCTAAAAACATAATTTATATTTAGCTATTATTCTATAAGTTAGTGTTTTGCATTATAGTACCTGATTTTAAATGAAAGTTGTAAGATTTGTTTCTGTCTCTATGTTTATTTGTGTCTCTGTATGTGTGTTAAAGATATGGAATAGTTTCTACCTCCAGATGATGTTGCCAAAATTAATTTATAAAACAGCTCTGTTTAATTGGCTCTATTTCATAGCACTTATAAAAGCTAAGTATTCCTTAAACTTTTAGAAAGTTAGGAACTAATTTGAAATGTTTTCTACACATATAAGACTCTAGAATTATGAGTTTTAACATAAGAAATGTGCAAGTGAAAGTGCAGTGTCCCTTACTTTATATACATTAAGGACAGCAGTAAAACAACGAACCCAAATATATAACATTTTAAGAATCCTGCTTTTGTGATGGCTGCCTAACAATCATATTCTGCAAAAATGGCTAAGAGGGAAATAATTTGATAATGGCTACCTTTGTTTTGTGTTATAATATGCCTACTTAAAAATAGCTTCCCGGATGGGCGCCATGGCTCACACCTGTAATTCCAGCACTTTGGGAGGCCGAGGTGCGCAGATCACGTGAGGTCAGGAGTTCGAGACCAGGCTGGTCAACATGGCGAAACCCCGTCTCTACCAAAAATACAAAACAAAATTAGCCAGGCATGGTTGTGGGCGCCTGTAATTCCAGCTACTCAGGAGGCTGAGGCAGGAGAATTGCTTGAACCCAGGAGGCAGAGGCTACAGTGAGCTGAGATCGCAGCATTGTACTCCAGCCTGAGCAACAAGAGTGAGACTCTGTCTAAAAAAAAAAAAAAGAAAGAAAAAAATAGCTTCCTAAATCTCCTTGATCACTTACAACCTTAGAGTTTTGCTAAATTAAATGATAGATAATAATTGAATATCTAGTTAGTTTCTAAATAAGTTTAAATACTGAAACATTAATTACTGAATGTTCTTACTATAGAGGAACTAAAGATATTTGGGTCTGTTAGCAAACAGGTCCTGTGTCACATTGAAAAATATAATATGAAGAAGTACATGCTTCTAGGAATTATGATTCATGGATTTGCCAGTCTATAAAATGCTAGTTTGACAGACAGTTAAAACTGGAAATATTAAGAAAAACAACTCTGTATTTGAGAAAAGTAAGACATGTTTTTGGTACGTGAAGTTATAAAGTATGAAGGATATATCTTTGCTAAGAAAAAAAAAAATATTTTTCCCCAAAACAGAATGATTGATTGTTCCACAGTGGAAAATAGAAACAGTATAGGACAAACAGAATGGATATAAGAAATTTCTAGAAGATACGGGGAAGAGAAATTTTGGAAAATGAATTCTATGTGTAGCAAAGCTGGCTAAGAGCTGAGTGGATATCTATATGTGTGTGTATGTATATATATATGTATATATATATATATACACATACATACACACACACGTGTATATATGTTGATGCTCTTGTTTGAATGTTTGTCTCGTCCAAAACTCATGTTGAAATTTAATTGTCATTATAATATTATTAAGAGGTGGGACTGTTGGACAGTGATTAGGCCATAGACGTGAGGGCAGAGGGCAGATCCCTCATGGGTCAGATTAATGCCTCTATAAAAGGGCTAGTTCATCTCTCTTTTGCCTCTATGCCCTTGTGTCTTCATTATGTGAAGACAAAGCATTCTTCCTCTCCTAAGGATGCAGCTTCAAGGTGACATCTTGGAATTAGAATTGCCAAACCTGCTGGGCCCTTGATATTGAACTTCCTAGCTGCCAGAACTGTGAGGCAATAAATCTCTATTCTTTACCAATTACCCATTCTTAGGTATTCTCTTACAGTGCTTCAAATTAAACTAAGACAGTTACTGAAAAAGAAAAGGATCAACCTTACTATTGAAAGTACATGGCTACAAAGTTTTCTTAGAATACTGGTCTGTTCTTAATTTATTAGGTCTTTGGTTACTTAAGAAAACTGTATCCTCTCTATTAAAAGAGCTAAGATTTTTCTATAATTATGTAACTTTGCATATTTGCCTTTGAAGTCTTTTTAATGATCACTCTGGTTAAATAAATGACTACTATCAGAGAGACTTGTAATCCTGTTTAATCGAGTGTTTTACATCTAATTTTTTGACAAACTTCCCAAAATCCAATTCTAAATTATGTCTTTTTGACTTGGACTAACTTTACAATCTTCCAGAGGTTCCCAACAATAGCTTTCAAAAATTTATTCTCTCTCCTCCTTACTAAAAGAGAGATGTTAAACTAATTAAACTAATTCGATATTGTTAAATTTGCATGAGGAGATTTGTCAAATAAGAAATGATGTTTAGGGAAGCAGATAACATGGAGCAAGGATGACACTCAAGAGCCTGATTTTCCTCTATGTAGTTGTAATCAGCTTTTCACAATTCTCTGCTCTCTACCCCCAGGATCTCAGGATCACTACTGACCCTAAAGGCCCTGCATGCACTGCCTCTCCACCACAACTAAACTTAGATGTTGCCATGAGAGCCGGGAGGTTGTTTTGCTTCAAGTTAAAATTGCTCTGAGGCTGATCTCTTCCTCTAAGTTTTTGTGTTCAGGCCATATGGACACTTCCTTTTGCATTATTTTTCTACTTAAGATCCTTTACTAAACTCTCCCCCTGACCCTTCTGTTTAAAGTCTTCACCAAGATGAAGATGCAGAGAAAAGGGTTGGTGGGAATGTAAATTAGTTCAGTCACTGTGTAAAGCAGTCCATTTTCTCAAAGACCTTAAACAAGAACTACCATTCAACCCAGCAATTTCATTACTGAGTATATATCCAAAGGAATATAAATTGTTCTACCAAAGGGACACATGCATTCATGTGTTCATTATAGAACTATTCATAAAGGCAAAGACATGGAATCAACCTAGGTGCCCCCATCAGTGGTGGATTGGATAAAGAAAATGTGGTACATATACACCATGGAATATCACACAATCATGAAAAAGAATGAAATCCTGTCCTTTGCTGCAGCATGGATGCAGCTGGAGGCTATTATCCCAAGGAAATTAATGCAGGAACAGAAAACCACATACTGCATGTTCTCACTTATAAGTGGGAGCTAAACGTTGGGTACACATGGACATAATGATGTGAGCAAAATCACTGGAGGCTACTAGAGCAGGAAGACACAGAGCCAGCAAGGACTGAGAAATTTCCAGTTGCGTACTATGCTCACTACCTTGGTAATGGGATCATGTGTAACCCTAACCTCAGTGTCATATAGTATACATACAGTATACCCATGGAGCAAACTTGCACATGTCCTGCCTAAATCTAAAATAATAGTTGAAATTATTAAAAACAAAACAAAACAAAAAACTTCACCAGAGAGGTGGGGTAACGTCCCTTGCGCCACGCACACTTCCCCTTGCCGGCCACTAGAGGGCAGTGCCGCAGCCCCAATCCAGGAGTGCTGGTGTTCTCTTCTTGGTCCTGGGATTCTGCAGACTCCACCCCTGACCTGAGACACCACTTCTCTGGCCCTCACTTCATATCCTTCTCCTTCTCAGGCCAGGTCCTTCTGCCCCCAAGCCTTCCCTTTGCAATCACCCCTCCATGCTGAGAAAGGTGACCTGGGCCTGTTCTGTGCCATCTGATGCTCTTATGCCCCAAATTCCAACCAGCTGGAAATGTGCTTTTCTGGAATGCAGGCATTTTATTTCATCTTTCTCCTTTTGAATGTGTGTAAAGGGGATCAGGTGTAATATGGTTTCAATGTATGTCCCCTCCAAATCTCATGTTGAAATGTAACCCCCATTGTTGGAGGCGGGGCCTGGTGGGATGGGTTTGGATCATGGGAGCAGATCCCTCATGAATGGCTTAGTACCATACCCTTGGTGATGAGTGAGTTCTGGCTCATGAGAGATCTGGTTGTTCAAAAGAGTGTGACACTTTCCCTCCTTGCTCCCTCTCTTGCATGTGACATGTCTGCTCCCCCTTCACCTCCTGCTATGATTATAAGCTCTCTGAGGCCTCACCAGAAGCTGGGCAAATGTTGGTGCTATGCTTGTACAGCCTGCAGAACAGTGAGCCAATTAAACCTCTTTTCATTATAAGTCATCCAGTCTCAGGTATTCCTTTACGGTAACACAATAAATGAACTAATGTAAGGAGAGAGACACAGAGTAACTAAGAATCATAGACAACCTGAGAAGGAAGAAAGAAAATAAGGAAGAATCATGAACAGATGGCAAATTAGAAGATGGGTGAGAAATTTGCAAGAAGACAGGAAGAGAGAAAAAAAAAAGTGGCAGGAGCAGAAAAGAAAAAGAGCAATTTAGAGAAAAACTGTATCTCCAAAGAGGTAAAAGAGAGAAAAATACAGAGGGGGACAGTTAAGGGGGAGGCACCTCAGAAAGAGAGTGAGGGGAGAGACTGAAAGCTTTGGAGCCATGGCAGACAGAACAAGGTGGTGTTGGAGAGAAAGCAAGAGCAACTGGTGACGAGGAGAGCAAAGGGAGAACCACAGCAGGGAAGACGCATAGGAAGCTTCCCCACTCACCATTTCAGCCACATCCTCACCCCCACACCTGGTCCATATTGACTGTTTGGCATGTTTCTTCTCCTTGACCACCCACTGTCTGGATATTGGTGACAATGAGACCCCAAGAAGAGAGCAGAGCCAGAAGGCGGGAGGTGTGCTGAGCTTGCCCCTATGAGTGGTGCTCAACCCTGGCTTCACATTAGCGTTATGAGGCATTCTGCACATATATCCTTTTGTGCTGTAACACTACACTATTCAATTAGTCAGGTTGGGGCTCATCTTTAATATTTAAAGTTGATTTTAATCTGTATCCAGCATTGAACATCATGGCTCATTGACCTCCATTTCTGAGATCAGCCTGTGAACCTGGAGGCAGGAGGGGAGTTATTCTCTGCATCAAGTTTGGTCAGGGCCTAGTCTGTGCCTTGAAGGGGAGCTCAGTCCAGCCAAGTTCCCCACTGCTGTGGCATAGAACTGGGTTTAACCAGGACATAAGGGGTTCTGAAAAAAGAGGTCAGACACGTGTTTGTTGGTTTCTTGTAAAAGTTTATTGTCCCTTCATCTCCCCTGGTACAGTGGGCAGCAGAGGACCATCTTTCCATATGGTGAGGTCTTCCTCGTGAGTGTGGTCGTGGTGCAGGAAGGGACTGTGTTTATTCTAAGCATTAAATGACATACTTTTGACATTCAGGATGGACTTCTAAAACCTCATGTTACCCAAAGAAGAAGTCCAAAAGAGGGAAGAAAAAAATGTCAGGATTGGCTTTTACTAGGTAAAGTGGTATTCTCAATTTATGTGTTCCTTCTTTTCTGAAATGGCAGGCATTTGAGTTGCTAATGTTCTCCTCACTCTGCCCGACATGTTTGCTTGCACTCACCATGCCTTCCCTCAGTCCCTCTCATCTTCACTTAGATTCCATCCCATAGTGAGTCAGTGACATGAACTTGTGGGGAGACATGGTCCTGATATGGGCTTCACATCCAGTCATAGATTAGAGGTTGGGTGTTGGCCCTATGGTGTCACTGCTGTTGGGCAGCAAAAATTGTTTAGGGGCCACATCTGGATGTACTGTCAACTATCTGTAAATCAGGATTAGAAAAGCTACATGTGAAAGTCACATATTAATGTGCACAAACACCTTCTAAATTCTAGAAAAGGAGACCAGTAAGGGGTTAAAAAAAAAAAAAAGAATGTTTGCCTTCTTTGTTATGTTGGTATGAATATGCTACTGGTGTGTATTCCAGAAATTATATTAAATTTCAGGAAGTCTGATAATCCTGGTATAATATTATCAGTCATAATTCTAGTTATTATAAAATGTTATATGCCACAGATATAGCCAATTTTCCTTGTCAATTACATTATTATTATTATCATAAGCCTTAGTAAGATATTTAACCATAACTATTTAAGTATTGTAATCCAAAGTCAGTTAATTATTTTACTCTGGTACTTAACTGGAAGCTTTTGTTAGCAACTATAATATGAAAGTGTTTTGTCTTTAAGAAGATTCATGTAAATGACTCTAAAAAGTACGGGTTTCTCATAACTTTAAGATTATACCATTGGACTGGGTAAGAATTTCTAGAGCTCTAATTAGGAGACTGTTTGGATCATAAAACTGTTAACCCAATATCAATCAGAACAACCATTAATTTAATACCAAGAAAATGTCTTGGTATGTTTTTATGCTAAGTTATTTAGTACTAAAACTATTAGAATATGCAACTGAAATAAACTCCAGAAGATTGATCCAAGTCAAGTCACCTATGATAATCTATTTAATAAACAGTCCTAGGCATCTGATTTTGAAAAACAAAATTGGTATCTAAAAGGATATAAGTTCAATGTTAAGTGTGAACTCAACTAAGACAGTTGCTTGGTTCTTCCTGAGTTCTTAATGCTTCCATTATGAAAACTCTGTACTCCATATTTCATCATAAAGTAGATCAAATGATATATTGTTGTTCAAAACATTGGAAGGGAAACTCTTCTAAAATTGCAAAAATGGTTTGTAACCAATGTTTAGTTTTTCAAGCCCATAAACATGGTAAAAAAATTTCAACTTTAGGTGGGACATTTCTGACACCTGGTGGACCATTTGGATAGACAGATTTCATTTAATTGCCACTATCAGTGGGATATCAATATGTTTTTATAATAGTTTGTATATTCTCTGGTTGGATAGAAGCTTTGCTGTGTATTATAGAAAAGCTCTGACAGTCACTTGCCAAACTATTGCAGGGCTTTAATGCTTTATGCCAGGGTGTGTTTTCTCCAGATAAAAGAAGCTTTTTTAATCCATCAACTGAGGACAACCAAACTTCCTAATCTAGAGCCCAGTGATTAGGTCTTCTGGAAATGACATCAGGGAAAGACTACCCTTGAACCTTGTTGGAAGGGACCATGCCAAGTTCTTACCAACCATACTGCAGTAAAATATTAAGGCCTTGAATCTTAGGTCTATCTCACAACTCAAGTATTCCCTTTCAGACTTTTGGAGCTGTAAAATTGTTGAAGATCTTAAGGTAAAACTGACCAGGAAAGTTTCTCCCCAGAATCAAAGGACATCCTAGATGTGGACAAGTTTTCAAAGATGACAGATCAAGATTTAGCTTCTTTGCCGTCAAGAAAACCTTATATATGTATATATATATATATATATATATATATTTTTTTTTTTTTTTTTTTTTTTTTTTTTTTTTTGAGATGCAGTCTCACTCTGTCACCCAGGCTGGCCCAGGCTGGAGTGCAGTGGTGGGATCTCGGCTCATTGCAACCTCCACCTCCCAAGTTCAAGCAATTCTCCTGCCTCAGCCTCCCAAATAGCCAGGATTACAGGTATGCACCATCATGCCTAGCTAATTTTTTTTTTTTTTGTATTATTTGGTAGAGATGGGGTTTCACCATGTTGGCCAGGCTGGTCTTGAACTCTTCACTTCAAATGATCTGCCCACCTCTGCCTCCCAAAGTGCTGAGATTACAGGCAGGAGCCACTGCACCCAGCCATTTTTTTCTTTTTTCTTATATGTTATTGTCCTTTTTTTCCCCTTTCCCCACAGAAAAACCAATGGGACCATAATAAGTTGATGGCTTTAGCAAAGGCTCATGCTGTAGCAAAACACCAGAGCAACTATTGAGTTTGTAGGCTAATGCCAAAAAACACAAAAACAAAAACAACAAAAACAGGAAACAATTCCACTATTACCAAGGCCTGTCCACGTTCCCAATGACAATCACCTTGAAGCACCAAAAGAACAGTGGGAATCTATCTTTGATGTTCTAGACATCACTGCCACTTGCTTTGCTATTAATAACATAACCACCACCAAATACAGAAAACCTATCTGAGAGATGCCTGCAAATGGTATGTTGTGCTTCCAGGCATCATGTGCTCAAGACCTGGGGACTATCTATCTGGTATGTAATTGCTTGTATAATTCTGTTGGATTAAATCCTTTTCCACTAATTGTGGCTGCATACCCTTACAGCATGTTACAAAAAGATGACAAAAAAAGTTAATTTTCTACTGAATCTTGTTCAGAAACTCTGCTGACCTATGAGCGAACAAATTTAGCTGACTCGTATTCAAATAACACAAGGTGGCCTTCCTTTTCAGCCCCTGAGGGCCTGCATAGGGTCTGCAGACAATTTGCTTACTCTCTTCTGCCTTCCTACTGACTCAGATATTTGGACGGGCTCATTCACACCTTTTGAGTAGCTTCCCTTTGAAAATTCCTATAATAAGAAAATCAACAACAGAAATTAGTAAGAGTCTTAAATGTTTGTATGCAGGTATACATCATGCATTAAGTGGTCTCACTTTGACTAGAACAGCAAGAATGTGAACAATCGTTCAACTGAACTGAGGTTCTGACTGGGAGTTCCATGCTGAGACAAAACAAGTGCTTTATAATGGTGACAGAGTGAATTCACTACCCAAAGTTTCAGTCCATCTCTCAAGATTGAGAAACTGACCAAAAGGTGGAAATTTTAAAATTGTATTTGGCATAAGACTATCTTAATACCTTTCATTCCTATGTATTGAACTGCAACCTTTTAGTATGCAAACAAACTGAAACCTAATACGGGAGAATATATTTTTGTAATAAAGAGCTGGATCTTAGCCAATCACAAAAGCTTAGCAGCTAACGGATCAAGTCATGTCTAAATAAGGCAAATGCCTCCATATAACCATTTCAGCTATTTCTGTACTTACTTCCATATTCTGGTATAAATGCTCACTGCCCATATTGCAGAGAGGAGCTTTCTGAACCTTTTCTGGTTCTGAGTGCTGCGTGATTTGTGACTCACTCTTTACTCAAATAAACTCTGTTAAATTTATTTTCTCTGAAGTTTTTTGTTTAAAGAGGGTAAGGGGACCCTGCATCTGTCCATAAGGAAATAAATGTTTCAGAAAGTTAAATCAGATTCACATAAAGCCTTTCTTGGTGACTTTAAGATGGTTATTGGAAAAGCTAAAATTAGAAGAGACTGTTTTTTTGTTTTTGTTTTTGAATGTGAAAGGTATATTTGTTTCAGATAAAATAGAAGTCAGATGTATAAGAACAGTATCTAAGTGCTAATAGTTTTGATCTTCATTTGTTAAATTGTGTTTTTTCAAATGTATTGCATCATGTTGATTATTTACATTGGATGCTCGTATTTGAAGAGAGTCACATAGTGTTTCACTTTTCTAAAATTCCCATTAATTTTTCTCTTTTTTCAACAGTTTTGTCTCTCTTGTTATCAAAAAGTTTAGTTTATATCTTGCAGTCTTTTTGGTTACTACTGCAAGATTACAGTAAAATTTGTCATAGGGTAATATTCAAAGATTCAAAGATATTTTTAATTAAGATATTTTTATTTCTTCAAATATTTCTTGCCACCTAACAAATGATATTTCTCCTCCTTGGGGAAGGAGTGAATAGAACCTTGAGGAAAAAAAAAAAACAAAAAACTTAAATTTTGAAAAAATATATTAGCTCATAGTAGGTGGGTTTTTTTTTGTTAGTGTTGTTTGTTTTTTGTTTTTGTTTTTGTTTTGTGACAGAGTCTCACTCTGTCACCCAGGCTGGAGTGCAGTGGTATAATCTCAACTCACTGAAACCTCTGCCTCTAGGAATCAAGCGACTCTCTTGCTTCAGCCTCCTGAGTAGCTGGGATTACAAGCACCTGCCAACACACCTGGCTAATTTTTGTATTTTTAGTAGAGACAGGGTTTAACCATGTGGGCCAGGCTGGTCTCAAACTCTTGACCTCAAGTGATCTTCCCGCTTTGGCTTCCCAAAGTGATAGGATTGCAGGTGTAAGCCACCACACCCAGCCTCATAATAGATACTTTGATTTGAAGTCAAATACTTTTGACTTGAAAGAGCTGAAAATATAGACAGAGATTTGTTGAATTTTTAAGGGCTCTGTTTGGAATATTCAGACAAGCTTTATATTGCTGAAGTCTAGATTAATAGATAATAGATTTGATGAGAATAAATGGTGGAGTCAGGAATGATACAGGATCACCTCAGGCAGGAGGACCATGGAAATACTAACCCTAGATATGTTGAGGAGAAATTCAGTAGCAGAAGGCTTGCTTTTTGCTTCCCATTTGAAAGGCTGAGGGGAGACTGTATTAGTCCATTATGGCACTGCTGTAAAGAAATACCTGAGACTGGGTAATTTAAAAAGAAAAAAAGGTTTAATTGGCTCATAGTTCTGCAGGCTGTAGAGGAAGCTTGGCTAGGGAGGCCTCAGGAAACTCACAATCATGGTGGAAGGCAAAGGAGAAGCAGGTATGTCTTCACATGTCCAGAGCAAGAGGAAGAGAGAGAGGTTTGGGGTGGGGGGTGGTGCTACATACTTTTAACAACCAGATCTCATGAAAACTCTATCACAAAAACAGCACTAGAAGGATGGTAGTAAACCATTAGAAACCACCCCCATAATCCAATCCCCTCCCACCAGGCCCCACCTTCAACACTGGGGATTACATTTCAACATTAGATTTGGGTGGGGACATAGACCCAAACGACTTCATTCTGCCCGGGCCCCTCTCAAATCTGATGTTTTTCTCACATTGCAAAATCCAATCATGCCTTCTCAACAGTCCCCCAAAGTCTTAAGTCATTCCAGCATTAACACAAAAATGCACAGTCCAAAGTCTCACCTGGGACAAGGCTAGTCCCTTCCGCCAAGAGCCTGTAAAGTCCAAAATAAGTTAGTTACTTCCAAGATACAATGGGTAACAGGCATTGGGTAAATGCTCCCATTACAAAATAGAGAAATCAGCCCAAAGAAAGGGGCTACAGCCTCCTTGCAAGTCTGAAACCTAGCAGGGGAGTCACTAAGCCTTAAAGCTCCAAAATAATCCCCTTTGACTCCATGTCTCACACCCAGGGAACACTGGTGCAAAGGATAGGCTCCCACTGGACAGCTCTGCTCTTGTGGTTCTGCAAGGCTTAGCCCCCACAACTGCTGTCAAGGGCTGACATTGAGTGCCTGAAGCTTTTCCACATGCAGGGTATAAGCTTCTTGTGGATCTAACATTCTGGGACCTGGAGGAAGGTATCCCTCTTCTCACAGCTCCAGGAGGCAGTGCCCCAGTGAGGACTCTGTAAGGTGGCTTCAACCCCACATTTCCTCTCTGTGCTGCCTTAGTAGAGGTTCTCCATGAGGGATTTGTTCCTGTAGAGTGCTTCTGCCTGGACCTCCAGAATTTTCCATACATCCTCTGAAATCTAAGTAGAGGCTCCTAAGTATCAACTCTTGCATTCTGTGCACCCATAGGCTTAACATCTCATGGAAACTGCATGGCTTATGGCTTGCACTCTCTGAAGCAGCAGCCCAAGCGGTAACTGGCTACAGCTGGAGTGGATGGAATGCAGGGACCAGAGTCCAAGGGCTGCCCAGTGTAGCTGCACCCTGGGCCTGGCCCACAAAACCATTCTTCCCTCCTAGGCTTCTGGGCCTGTGATGGGAGGGGCTGTTGTGAAATTCTCTCAAATGCCTTAAAGGCCTTTTTCCTACTGTCTCAGCTATCAGCATTTGGCTCCTCTTTACTTATGCAAATGTCTGCAGTTGGCTTGAATTCCTCTCCTGAAAATGGCCTTTTCTTTCCTACCACATGGCCAGGCTACAAATTTTCTTAACTTTACACTTTGCTTCCCTTTTAAATATTATTTCCAGTTTCATTTCTTTGCTCACATATATGAGCTTATGCTGTTTGAAACAGCCAGGCCAATGCTTGAATGCTTTGTTGTTTAGAAATTTCTTCCACTAGGTACTCTAAATCATCACTCACAAGTTCAAAGTTCCACAGATCCCTAGAGTTGGGGTACAATGCCACAAAGTTGTTTGCTAATGCATAACAAAAGTGACATTTGCTCTAGTTCCCAGTAAGTTCCTCATTTCCATCTAAGACTTCCTCAGCCTGACCTTTACTGTCCATATCATTATCTGCATTTTGTTCACAATGATTTAACAAGTCTCTAGGAAGTTGTAAACCTTTCCTCATCTTCCTGTCTTCTTCCTAGCCTTCCACACTCTTCCAACCTCTGCCTGCTACCAATTCCAAAGCTGCTTCCACATTTTCATGTATCTTTAGAGCAAAGCCCCACTCCTCAGTACTCATTTTCTGCATGTATTCATTCTCACATTTCTATAAAGAAATACCCAAGACTAGGTAATTTATAAAGAAAGGAGGTTTAATTGGCTCATGATTTTACAGACTGTATAGGAAACATGGTGGCAGAGGCCTCAGGAGACTTACAGTCATGGCAGAAATTGAAGAGGAAGCAGGCATATCTTCCATGGCCGTAGCAGTAGGAAGAAACAGAGCGAGGAGATGCCACACACTTTTAAACAACTAGGTCTTGTGAGAACTCTATCACAAGAACAGAAGCAAAAGG
Organism: Homo sapiens; assembly: GCF_000001405.40. Taxonomy (NCBI): domain Eukaryota; kingdom Metazoa; phylum Chordata; class Mammalia; order Primates; family Hominidae; genus Homo; species Homo sapiens. The sequence goes on along the minus strand of NC_000005.10, from coordinate 106,113,196 downwards.
GGGAGTCTGCCCCAGTGATCCAGTCACCTCCCATTAGGCCTCACCTCTAACATTAGGGATTACAGTTTGACTTGACATTTGGGTGGGTACATAAATCCAAACCATAACTGAGACTATCTTACATCAAAATTGGGAAGCCACAGCTTAAATCTTATATTTGAATAAATACATATTCAAAGGGATCTAGATTTTAAAACAGAAATAAGTTCATTCTGACTAGTAAAGGTTATTATAAAATGGCAAAGTTTAATGTTTTGTTATACAGGAATGTATTAGACATCTACCATAGTATGCAGAAATAAAACAATGTTTGTGTTCTCATTGAACTGACTTCTAGAGTGGAGGGCTAGGATTAAGTTTTCAAATATCAGTATCAGTAGAATTAGTTGCTTTTTAGCTAAGTAGAATTACGTTATTGAAAAATAGTTACCTTTGTGTACATCTAAGTAGTGAATACACATTTAGAATATAAATTTAGAACTTCCCTAGATGTTTTAGATACAAAAAGAGAACACTCTTTATGTAAGGAGGCACACAGTTTTATTATCCTAACAGCAGCTGCTAAAGAATAGATTCAACAATTATCTGTTTATTTGGTAACCACTATCATGGTTCTTGATACCTAATAGATGCTCAGTTTATATTTTAAATGTATTAACAAGCTATCCATCATCAGTTATTAGAAATACTTCAGTATGTCTAGGTTTGAAATGCTTAGTTACTTAGTGATTTGTGTATGTGTGTGTGTGTGCGTATGGGTGTGTTTTATTTTAGCTGCGTGATCTTTGAAAACAGATAACTAAAGAAAGGAAAATTACCACTGTTCTATAGAATAGGAGAAGGACCTTACTAGAGAGTAGCACTGTATTCATGGGGTCTTAGAGTTGGGTCATCCTCACCTATTAAAAAAAACAATGAGATCATTAGACTTTACACAGTAACCCAGTAACAAAAGGGATACACATCATCGTCTCCCATCGAGAAGATGGGGGAAATACCAAAGACAAACTTTCCTTTATTTTGTAACTATTCCAGGGTTTGCTTTATTTTTCAGTTATGATTTATAACTATGGGAGATCCCTAAACACTTACATTCTTTTAAATTATCATCTTTGGCTTTCTGGAAAGATTTATGTACATTTGAACAGCTGACATTGATACAAAGTTTTGTTTAGCATGGAATTGCTCCAAGAATTTTAATTTATACTAGGGAGACCACTTGTCACCTAATGGTATTGTACATGACACTTCTGTGAAGAAATTTATAATATTTAACCCTCTGCAAACGTATATGAAAAAACAGAGGCGGTGAAGACACATAATAAGGCTTTAGTTGACCTTTTCCTTTTTAGAATTAATGAAACTTTACTTTCCCTGTCTCCACCACATAGGGGCCCACTGTTGCTAAGTGCCAACACTGTCACCTACATAATGTTCATCAAATATTAGTTCCATCATAAATGGAGCCAGTGCAGGAAATGCTTGCTGCAATCTCTAGCTAGCAGTAATTTCTGTCCTGCCCACTTCGAAGAAGAATACTTGGAATAAGTGTAAGCTTGCTTTTCTCATTTTTTTAATCAAAGAAAGACTCATCACAAAAAAAAAAAAAAAAATACTTTGAGCAACTTAGACCTAACTGGGAGTAATGATCTGGAGAGAGGGTGCCGAGGGAAGTTTGTTTTATATTCATGAATAGGTGATTGCATATGAAGAGGAAACAGAGCTGATAACTACTGAGATAACTATGAAAGCCATTATTCACTTAACGCCCGTATATGCAACTATTTTAAAAAACACTTATTTTACAGGGTTTAAATACCAATAAGGGGAACCCGGAAACATATCACCAGGTTTACTTACAAATCTGTGAATAGTTTTGCTTGGCCCATTTTAGGATTGAGAAACAGCTGTACTCATTCATCGCTAATACCATTATTACTTACAAACACAATTTTATTAGGTGAATAAATACAAAAGACTTTGACTGCACTGTGCTATAACAGAACAATTCAAAGAGATACTATCCTTTGTAATCTACAGCAAGTTGAACTAAATTTTACAGGGATATTTAAGACATGAATAATACAAGTTCATAATTATATCTTAGTAAAAAAAACTCTTGGATAAAAAACATACAAAATAATTAATAATAATAATAAAGAGTGTTGCTCTGTCAGTTGTAATAAAAAAATCAAAGTTATTTCGGGAAATGTGGTTGGGAAGCAAATTGTTTTTAATAAGTTGAAATCTTAAATATTTGATTTTTTGACATATATAAAGGCATTTAGTATTGTCAAGCTAAAGAATAAAAATTATATGATCATATCAATTGATGTTGAAAAAGCGTTTGACAGAACATCCACTCTAAACATTAAAATCTTCAGCTAACATTATATTTAGTGGTGAAAAAGTGAATGCTTTCCTATATTATAGGTGAGTTATATGCCTTATTCAATATAATACTGAAAGTTTCAGTCATTGCAATAAATCAAGAAAAATAAATAAAGGTATACAGACTTGAAAAAAACCAAGCTGTCATTATTTGAAGATGGTATGATTGTATATGTAGAAAATCCCGAAGAATCTACAACCACTTATAAACCTAATAAGTGAGCATAGCAAGGTTGCATGACACAAGACTGTAATGAGGAGTATGAATTCAGTTGTTGAGATTTGAATACAACAACTTTTAATTCCCACTTCTGCTTCTCCTTATGCCCCACATCTGATGTGCTGATGAGATAGCCTGGGCAGTCCATCATTTCACACCAGTAGAGAATTCAAATGTAGAAGCCCCTTTCAGTGTGCAGGAACACTTACTCCAGTCTCACACCCCAAGCACAGTAAAAACCCTGGCTAATTTTTTTTTTCTAGTTCATTTTAGACCTACTTAACTGGTTTGCCCTGGTCCCCCAGGGACTTCACTTATATCATGAATAAACTTTTTAATACCCTCTTGGTGTGTGTGTGGCATCATCAGCCTCCAAATCTGAATCAAACTTTGGGAAGAGTCCGTCTGCCTTTGTGGATGACCATAAAAATGACCAATATGTTGTTAATACAAAACCAAAAACAATTGTACTTGTATATACTAACAATGAACATTCAAACACCAAAATTAAAAACAACAAATAAAAACATTTACAACCATGTCAAAGAAAATGTAAAACATAAGTATACACTAAACAAACTATGAACAAGAAGTGTGTGCTAAAAATTATAAGATTTGAATAGAGAGACATACATGTTCATGGAGTGGAAAACTCAAAACAGCAAGTATACTATTTTTCCCCAAACAGACCTATAGATTTAATGGTGTAAGTATAACAATCCTAGCAAATATTTTGTAAACACAGACAAAGTTATTCTAAAATTTACGTGGAAAGTAAAGAAGCTAGAATACCCAAAATAATCTCAAAAATGAATGAAATAGGAATAATCACTCTACTAAATATCAAGGCTTACTATATAACTACATTAATCAAGATAATTTGTTTTAGTGAAGTGATAGACACATAGGTCAATGGAACCAAATACACCACTGATTTTTGATAAGCAATAAAAGCAATTCAATAGTTAAAGGATAGTCTATTCAATATATAGTGCTGGAGAAATTGGTTATTCATAGACAAAAGTGAACCAAAATTTCACCTCTTATTAAAAATTAACTCATAATGGATCATGGACATAAATATACAACATAAAGCTATACAACTTTTTAGACAAACAAATGAGAAAATATCTGGGGCCTAGGGCTTTGAAGTTATTTATCTTTCCATAAAAGATAAATACATAAATTGAACCTCATCAAAATTAAATATATTTGTTCCGCAAAAGCTCATGGGAAGAAGATAAAACGACAAGCTACATTCTTTGAGAAAATATTTGTAAACTATGTATCTACCATAAAATTAATATCTAGAATACACAAAGAACTCCCAAAATTCAGTATTGAAAATTAAATGAATGAAAATTAAATTTGAAAATGGACAAAAGTCATGAATGGACATTTCACAGAAGAAAATATTCAACATCTTCAGCCATAAGTGAAAGTAAAATTAAATCCACAATAAGATATCAGTACATACTTATACATAACAGAATAACTTTAAAAAATCATGGCAACAACAAATGACTGAGAATACAAAAAAAAGGGGTCACTCATACCTTGCTGGTAGAAATGTAAATGGTACAGCCAATCTAAAACATTTTGACATTTTCTTGTAACACGAAACATGCAAGTACCATACTAAATAGCAAGGGTACTCTTTGGTTTTTATCCCAGAGAAATAACATTTGTGTTCACAGAAAAATTGATACACAAACATTTATAGCAACTGTATTTGTAATAGCCAAAAACTAGAATCTTCCCAGATGTTTTTCAATAAGCGAATGGTTAAACAGACTGTGGTACATATACCATGCAATATAACTCAGCATTAAAAAGCAATGAACTAGATACATGCAACAACTTGTATGACTTTCCAGGGAATTATGCTGCATGAAAAAATACCAATCTCAAGAGAAATAGAGACCATATGATTCCAGTAATATAACATTTTTAAATAAAAACTTTAAAAAGTGAAGGACAGCTAAGTGGTTGCCAGTGGATACAGAGAGATGCAGGAGGGATGTGAGTGTGATTACAAAGGGCAATAGGAGAGATCCTTGTCGTGTTGGAATTGGTCAGTGTTTTGCCTGTATAAATTTAGCATGGAATTAAATACACATACATAAATTAGTATAAGTAAAAGTGGGAGAATCTGAATAACCTTGGTGAATTGTATCAATGTAAATATACTGGTTTTTGATACTGCACTATAGTTTTGCACAATTGGGGAAACTGCATAAAGTGTACGTGGACTCTTTATTTCTTATAATTGCATGTGAATCTAAAATTATGTCAATACAAATTTCAAAAAAAAACTTCGGTGAACCAAAAAGTGAAGACACATTTAGTTGTATTAAAGACATCTGTTGATTCACTGTTTATGACAAATATCTCATTAGCTTTCTTGCACAACTCAAAATGTTACTTGTTAAAACATATGTTCTCCAATTATAATTCAGTCTATTTCCTAATGAGTCCTAATCATAATGCCTTTAGTACAAATAGTGCCTTTCTTTGAAGTTGCTTTTACTCACATTGTATTTAGTGAAACGTATATTCAATTAAGGTCTATGAAATCTAGAGACATAAGAATTAGCAGGATATAAAAGGAGAAATTATAAAATACCTACTTTTGTCACTTTTTAGGATTTCTAAGAATTACTTATTTTCTAATCATTTTATTCATATACTTATAATCTATTAATATCAAGGAAATTTAATTATGGTTCTTGAGTAAAGTGTCTCAAGTTCTTCTATTGTATCTCATAGTAATGTAGACATATAAAGTAAGTTCCATGTTTCACTAAATTGCCAAAATTATAACTAGCCTTTAATATTAACTGTCATAACACACATCCTTAGACTTTGACAGTCTTCACTTCGTATTTCTTTCTAATTTCACATGCAAAAGTTAATACTAAATGTAGAGCATAAAGAGTGTTTTTTTTTTAAAAAACTAAATTAAAAAAGTTCACAATGAAATATGATTAATATTAAGAGAGTGAAATTTCCAATGTCATCAAAGATGAAGCTCATTTTCTAATTGTTTTCCTTGTTACTTCAGTGGTAGCTGATAATTTTTAATTCTGCTGGAAAATATAGAAATGATGTCTACATAATTTCTGCTGGAAAATATAGAAATGATGTCTACATAATTTGTTCTAGTCTTGATCTCAGAGATTAGGCATTATAAAATTAAAACTTTAAAATATTTAGTTACTTTAAAAAGTAACATAATATATAAGTATTGCTCATAGGTCTTATTTTAGAAATGTATTGCTATTGTTTTAAGGAATTCAATCATTGTTTTACATTTCTGAAGAATTGTTATAAATATATACTTTTTAAAGGTTTGTCTGCAGAGAATCACATGGAATGCAATGGAGCAAGGTCTCTGGGCTTTTCCTTATATAGCATAGCTAAAAAAAAGAAAAAGAAAAAAAAGAAAAGAAAACGTCATAGAAATGACCTCTGCCTCTGGCATAAATATATTTCATTAAATGCAATATTTCTTCAGTATAACTATGTTTGTATACATATAAGTAAGTTGTTTATGACATACATAATTTTCAATTTTTTATGGTTGGCACAACAGCAAGAGAAAATTTTTTAAATCTCATAAATCAGCCTAACAGAAGTTTCAAAAAAGTTAGCCAGATAATACTGAAGAAAGCTTAGAAGTTTCTTACTGGACCATTGATTCAGTACATTTTTAAATTTTCAAAAACTGGAATAATTTCATGTTTACTTCAGAGTATAGAGATTGACTTATATAAAAAGATTTTCAATTAAAGTGTTTTTTTTTCTATATAGTGCTAAATTTCTTCCAAAGGTCTGAAAACTTTTCCAAACAAAATCTTGTTTTTCTGAGATATTTTATTTGAGATTAGCAAATATTCTTGGTATGTTAAATAACAGTGGAAAGTATTCTAAAATCCACAGTAGAGGGAATACCGAACAGAAAATATCTGTGAATTACCAAAATCAACCCACTAAAAAGAATAGTTTACATTGTAAATACTCTTATAGCATACTCAGTGTTTACATAGTTCTGGGGAATTTCTAAATGACAAAAAGTAAAGCGAAACAGAAACTTAAACCTTTTTTAAAAAAATTACTAGCAACATGTTAACATTATAAATTGTATTTATTTTAATTGAAATGATTAATACAATTAATTGTATTAATATAAATACACATTTCAAGTTGCAGAAATTTCAACGTAATAACAGAGACTTGAGTGCTTTTTTTCTTTCTTGTATCATTTATAGCAAGTCAGCAAATGCTGCCAAACCTTCTTTCAGACCCTTTTTATCCTCATCTTTCTACTGTCAAAGATCTATAACTCATGTAGACCCTTAAGTGTGGGTCCTGGATTACGAATTTTGAGCTGAATTATTAAGGTTATATCTTGACTGTCATTACCTGAAGTATCACCCTTCATCTCCCTTTATCTTCTCTGATTTAATAACTATAGCCAGATGAAACTTTTCTTATAAAAACATTATTTCTTAAGCATGCAACTCTTTCATTCAGAGATTTCAGGATTTGGAACATTCTCTGTTGTCTTCTGTTTAAGCAAACATTTTATTCCAGAGCACTTACCAGCTCCATTGCTCTTTCTAGTATTTATTCTTATAGCCGTTTGCATTGTTGGTCAGCTGTTTAATAAGATTTTATAATTTCTCCATTAGATGGTCAATATCAGGAATATAAATAGATGACATATTATTTTTAACTATTTAATTTCACTATAATTTTGAACATGTAACATGTTACAAGAGGAAACATCAGCTCTTTGATTAGGTATGTTCCTATTTCATTTGATTTTTTGCAGCTGTTTTAAAAGGATTGAGTTCTTGATTTGATGGTCAGCTTGATCACTGCTGGTGTATAGCAGAGCTACTGATTTGTGTACGTTAATTTTGTATCCTGAAACTTTGCTGAATTTGTTAACCAGTTCTAGGAGATTTTTTGGATGATTCTTTAGGGTTTTCTAGTATATCATCACAAACAGTGATATTTTGACTTCCTCTTTACTGATTTGGATGACCTTGATTTCTTTCTGTTGTCCAATTGGTCTGGCTAGGACTTCCAGTACTATGACGAATAGAAGTGGTGAAAGTGGGCATCCTTATCTTGTTCCAGTTCTCAGAAAGAATGCTTTCAACTTTTCCACATTCAGTATAATGTTGGCTGTGGGTTTGTCATAGATGGCTTTATTACCTTAAGGTATGTCTCTTTTATGCCAATACTGCTGAGAATTTTAATCATAAAGGGATGCTGGATTTTGTCAAATGCTTTTTCTGCATCTATTGAGATGATCATGTGATTTTTTTCTTAATTCTGTTTATATGGTGTATCACATTTATTGACTTGTAGATATTAAACGATCCCTGCATCCCTGGTATGGAACCTACTTGATAATGGTGAATTATGTTTTTGATATGCAGTTGAATTCCATTAGCTAGTATTTTGTTGAGGATTTTTGCATCTATGTTCATCAGAGATATTGGTCTGTAGTTTTCTTTTTTCGTTATGTCCTTCCCTGGTTTTGGTTTTAGGGTGATACTGGCTTCATAGAATGATTTAGGGAGGATTCCCTTTTTTTTTTTATCCTGTAGAATAGTGTCAATAGGATTGGTACCAATTCTTCTTTGAATGTCTGATATAATACAGCTGTGAATCTTTCTGACCTTAACCAAGCAGGTGAAAAATCTCTACAAAGAAAACTAAAAAACACTGCTGAAAGAAATCATACATGACATAAACAAATAGAAACACATCCTATGCTCGTGGATGAGTAGAATCAATATTGTAAAAATGACTGTATTGCCAAAAGCAATCTACAGATTTAATGCCATTCCCATGAAAATATCACGATCATTCCTCACAGAACTAGAAAAAACATTCCTAAAATTCATATGGGACCGAAAAAGAGCCCGCATAGCCAAAGCAAGGCTAAGCAAAAAGAATAAATCTGAAGGCATCAAATTAACCAGACTTCAACTTATACTATAAGGCCATAGTCACCAAAACAGCCTGGTACTGGTATAAAAGTAGGCATATAGACCAATGGAACAGAATGGAGACCCAGAAATAAAGCCAAATACTTACAGCCAATTGATCTTCGACAAAGCAAACAAAACATACAGTGGGGAAAGGACACCCTATTCAACAAATGGTGCTGGGATAATTGGCTAGCAATATGTAGATGAATGAAACTGGATCCTCATCTCTCACCTTATAAAAAGTCAACTCAAGATGGATCAAGGACTTTAATCTAAGACTCGAAATCATAAAAATTCTAGAAGATAACATCAGATATTATGGAATTTAGTGATTTTTCTGTCACATAACAAAGGATCAATTGTGCATATTTTATGTGTATTCAAAAAAATTTATTTTCTATTAGTAGAATGAAAAGTTTAATATGTATCCTTAGGATCTACCTAATTTTTAACATTCTTTAAGTTTCTTGTATTCCTTCTTATTACTTATCTTTTTATAGTGAGAATGGTGTGCACTGACCTCTATTATTAGTATGGTGTGGGTCTATCTATGCCTCCCTGGATCTTTTGCAGTTATTTCCCTATAAAGCTGGTTGCTGTGTTATTTAGTGCATAGAAAACCATAAACACTAAGTGTTTAATACAAGTAATTCCTTTAGGATTAAAAAGTACCCTTTTTGTCATATTTAATACTTTTTGCTTGAATTTTACTTTTCCTTTTATCATCTGCCAGATACAATTTTGCCCATTCTTTTATATTTAGTATTCCTATTTGTTTTAGGTATTTCTCTTGAATGCAATACGTTAATGAATATAAAATGCCAAATTGAAACTATTTTGCTGTATATAAGTGAATTAAGCACATTTATATATTTTACATACCTTTTATATTTCATCTCAACATGCCCATAATGTTTTATAATTATTATGTGTATTATAGTTAACTTTTTTCTCATATATATTTGTTTTATTTAAATTTGTATATTTTTATTCATAATTTTTAATGGCTTCAGTATTTTCTTATTTAACTTTCAGCCATATTTTTTATCAGTTTAATGGCATCTTTCAATTATGCCTATTGCTTATATTGTAGCTGATGAGTTTATACTAGGTTACTTTGTATTTCCTGAATCTTCTCACTTTTACTTGCATTATTTATACTTGGCCACAACATAAAAAATGTGTGTATTTATCTTACACCCTTGAGATAAGTTTTGTGTTAGTTGAGACCTAGAATTCTATCTATCTAAACATCATCATCTATCACTTTTTTAGCTTTCAAAATGCTCACTAGAAATAATTTTGCTGACATTTTTCTAGTTATCTCATGGTTGGATCAAGTTGTCCTGGAGTAAATTTTGCAAGATGGGATTGCGGATTCAATATACTCTGAGCGTTTGTGTGGTCAAAACTGTCTTTCTATAGGCTTGATACAAGAAGGACAATTTGGCTTTATATAAAATATCTATGTAACATTTTTATTAATTTTGAAATTGTGACTCCATTGTTGCATTATTTCATATGTTACTTTTCGAAGATGTGAAACCTAATTCTTTTCAGTTATTTTGTCTTTTCTCTGGAGTCATTGTGGGTTTTCAAAAATCTTGGAAGCAAAATAGTTTTAATTGGATATGGCTTGGGGTTGATTGAGATTAACTTACTCACACGTGCCACGGTACTCTTCTGCATTTAGATTTAAGCTTTTATTTTTAAATTCTGGAAAATGTTCTTAGAGGATGCTTCTAAATATCACATGTTGGATTTATTTGTTATTCTTTTTCAGTGGCTCAAATTATACATTTATTAAAATTTTTGTTTGCGTTTTTCCATTTTATTAATTTATTCTGTAATATTTTGTACATCTTTCATGATCTCATTTTTTTCTTAGAAGCTTTCCTATCTTTTTTAAGAATTTAAAGATTTCAAATTGATTCCACTTTCCTTTTGACACCTCTTAGTTTGTTTCTAATTTTTGAAATAAGTTCTCCCAGCCCCATTTCTTCTGTGAGATCAATCTTATATTGGTTTTCTTTCATTATTTTGTACATTTCTAATGTTAACTTTTGATATCAATGTTTTTTTCTCATATGCTTGTTTATGTATATAGATTTAGTTTGGAATGTTACAGTTTTGCTAGTTTTTTTCATTATGTACTTTCAGTAGCTGTGGAGTATTCATCCTCATGTTCTATTTTCTTTTAATAATTTGTTATAGAATTATTATTTTTTAAAATTTTGTGGTCCGTAGAATTCTTATCTCAATGACATCTGTTTTCATCATCATACCAAAGTACATTTAGTGGAGGGTTCTTTTTTCCCTTGGTGAGGGAAAGGTTATGTCTTCTACATTTTGGTTGTCTCCAGAAACCTAAGTACCACTCCCCCTTTTGCTTCACCATGTAATGATCAAATGTCTACTTTTTTTTTCTTACCTTTTACTTCCCCAGAAGCTGTGGCTTTTTAATTCTTCCTCCTTATACATTATGTAAATGTTTACATCTCTTCCTGTAGTCTGTGCTATGATCTCCCAGGACACTTTTTGAATACTTTTATATACTTATTGTGAACTTTCTCATTCCAGTGGTGGTTATACACAAATTTGAATCTATTGCCACCTCCTCTCTTCGTCATTCCCTGCAGTTTTTCTTGGACGTCTCTTGCTTGCCACAAGTCTTGCACTAGGAATATAATGACTTCCTGTTGGGATATAGCTTGTATCTTTTTACATTCCAAGTAATTTGAAGTTTGGGTAGGCTTTTTCATGTATATTGAGTCTGGGGACTTCGAGCAAATTTATTTGTTGTTCTATATTGCATTTGCAAGACTTGAGAATCAGTGCATGGGAATGAACTGGGTCATGTATTAGGCAGCTGTCATTCTCCTTGGCAAATGAGAAGTCTAATTGCTCTTTTGTTTCTGATGCAAAGACAGTCATCAGTTTTTATTCTTTGTCTTCTTCTATGTAAAGTATATATTATTAATTTGACATTTTCTAAATTTTTTCTTTATCTTTTGTTTTTTAGCAGGTTGACTATGCTGTGCATAAGTGTGGTTTGCTGTATTTTGCTTGGAATTTCTGATCTCCTTGGGTATGTAAGTTCATGCTTTTTTACTAAATTTGGAAAATGTGTTATTTTTATTTTCTCTGTATATATATTTATGTGTGTATATATATTTGCATATACATGATACTTTTTATTATTTTGTTTATTTATAATTAATTACTTACAGATAGGTTAGACAACTTGATATGATCCCCTGGATCATTTGTTTTTCAATTTTTTAAATTAATTTCTGTTTTTCAGTTTCTATAATTTTCATTTATCTGTCTCTAAGCTCAGTAGCCCTTCCTTCTGCTCCATCTTCAACTGTTTTTTTTGTTTTGTTTTTTTTTTTTTTGAGACGGAGTCTCGCTTTCTCACCCAGGCTGGAGTACAGTGGCCCAATCTTGGCTCACTGCAAGCTCCGCCTCCCAGGTTCACGCCATTCTCCTGCCTCAGCCTCCCGAGTAGCTGGGACTACAGGCGCCCGCCACCACGCCTGGCTAATTTTTTTGTATTTTTGGTAGAGACAGGGTTTCGCCGTGTTAGCCAGGATGGTCTCGATCTCCTGACCTCGTGATCTGCCCGCCTCGGCCTCCCAAAGTGCTGGGATTACAGGTGTGAGCATCTTCAATTGTTTTTTATGTTTGTATAGCATTTTTTTTTTTTTTAACAGATGGTGTCTCACTCTGTCATCCAGGCTGGAGTGCAGTATACTGATCATGGCTCATTGCAGCCTCAAACTCCTAGGCTCAAGAGATCCTCCCACTTACTTCTGCTTCCTTCATAGCTAGGACTATAAGTGTGCACCACAAAGCTGGCTAATTTTTATGTTTTGTTTTTTTTTGTAGAGACAGGGTTGCATTATGTTTCCCAGGCCAGTTCTGAACTACCAGGCTCAAGTGATCCTTCCACCTCAGCCTTCCAAAGTGCTGGGATTACAGGCGTGAGCTTCTCTGCCAGGCTGAATTTTTTTATTTTACACATTATTGTTTTAAAATTTATGTTGTTTCCTTTTAATAATTTTAAATTATCCTCTGAAATTATCCATTTGTTTATTCATTATAACCATATTTTCTGTTATTGGACATTTTAAAAATAGCTACTTTAATGTCCTTGCTTTCTAATTTTATCACCTTGTCATCTTGATGTTGCTTAATAATGTCTGCATTTCCCCCCTCCTAGTTATGAAAAAAGTACTTATTCTAGAGATTAGTATTTTTTACTGAATGCTAGTCATCGTGGAGGATATAATTTTCAGTGTTTGGAATTTGTTGTATTATTTTAAGTGTATGCAGTTTTCTGATAGCCAGCAATTAATTTACTGTTGAATAAGGTTAATTTTTAAGTTTGATTATGGAGGTTACTTGTGCAGGATCTGAGAGCAAAAGAACTTTTCTCTAGAATGTGCATGGCTAACTCATATTGCATAAATACATTCATATGATTTTATTAGCGTTTGAATAAAATGTCTGGAAATATGTGTAAGTAATGGGGTTAAAATTAATTGGAAGTTAATGAAATGTTAATTGGGTGTCTATTTTTTATAGGTTTTAAGGTAAGTAGGATAATTGGCAAGAGGAGACAATAAAAAAATAACATTACTTGAAGGTATACACAGTGTATCGAGAGACAGTACAGAGAAAAAAATTACTATACCTGAGTGAGTTAAATTCTACTTCATACAAGGGCATTGTTCAAATGATATCAACCAGTAAAAGAGGTGAAGAAAAATGCTCTGAAAAGCTGGAGAGAGCTTGAGGGTAATAATCACAAGAAATAAAGAGTGATAAATTAATATATTAAAGAAGGTCATTGAATTTTCTTTTTAAGAAAATTTGCAAAGACTATTGGGAAAGAAAAAGCATTAGGTTAGGTGGAAAATACTATTTTGATGAGTTTGGATAGAGGAAGACAGAAATAGCATTTTTAAATTGATAGGAAAACTTGAACTAGATTATGGCTTGAGGTGGAGATTTTAGCAGAGAAGTATAGCTAAATATATAATTTTTTACTTTGAACACTTGAACTGCAAAATTACTGGACAAATTGTAGTGTAGTATCAGCAGCACAGGAAGAACACCCATTCTTTTGGGCATTAACAAGTATAGTAAAAAATACATGTAATTAAATATATGGTGATTGAATTAACATAATTATGTTTCTATAGGGAGAATAATTTGGGGGGCCTATGAGACATGAAAGTGCAAGTTTTCTAATGCAGATGTAGAAAAGTAAAATTGTTGAAAAGAAGATAAAAGAAATGATTTGCAGGGGAGGGGTAGTGTGATAATGTAGAATATAAAAGTTCCTGTAGTTAACCAGGTGCTTGCTACATGAAAGAGTCAGATCAGAATAGGCTTTAAAAAAAAGTGAGGGCTGGGTGTGGTGGCTCACGCCTGTAATCCCAGCACTTTGGGAGGCCGAAGTGGGCAGATCACCTGAGGTCAAGAGTTCGAGACAAGCCTAACCAACATGGAGAAACCCCATCTCTACTAAAAAATACAAAATTAGCCGGGTGTGGTGACACATGCCTGTAATCCCAGCTACTCGGGAGGCTGAGGCAGGAGAATTGCTTGAACCCGGGAGGCGGAGGGAGGTTGCAGTGAGCCGAGATCAGCCATTGCACTCTAGCCCGGGCAACAAGAGCAAAACTCCATCTCAAAAAAAAAAAAAAAAAAGAGTGAGGAGTGAGGATCCAGGGATTGAAGATATTGAAGAAATGAAGAACAGAGGTAGAAAGAGTAAACCTATAGGAGGAATTAAAAAGTTGCGGTCAGGGTTTCAGAGGCAAAAGTAATTCTGGACTGTGAGAGGTCCAGGTCAAAGTCCTGAAAGACAATAGCTGAAGTAGATTGGAGGGTGGACCATCACTGTGAAATCAGGCTTCTATGAAGAACAACATAGACATCGTCTAACATGGTGCCAAAAGTTGCATTCAGAAGAAAAATTGTAAATCAAGTATGTGTTTTGTGTTAATGTTCTCAATAAATATGAGTGTATCACCGAAAGGTTACAGTCATAGTCCTGAATTGGAGGTTCAGATTGTGTATCAAATCATATGAAATTCAGTGAATGTCATTGAATAGTTGGTTTGTTAGGAAAGAGTGAAATGTTAATTAGCTGGATAGGCTGTAAGAACATGGAACTAAAGCCTGGAGAGGTGGGATTTCATGAGAAAAAGGAGAAAGTTTTTATCAGAGAGCTGCAAAAGACACTCTTTTTTGAGAGGGATGGTGGTTGAAGAGGCAGTTTTCTGTTAGTGCATAAAGGACATGAAAACAGGAATGCCCTCAAAGTGTTCATTATTTCCCCCAAAAACATGTTTTTAAAAGTAACAGAGATTATCAGAGGATGGCCAAGCCTGTTCTTCATCTTCTATAGCTGTTGGAATATATGAAAGGTCTCAGAAAAAGGAGGTGAAATCTATGAGGAAAAGCGTTTTGTTTTCTTCTCATTTTCCTTTCCCAGAAGCCATCTCCAGAGAGCATCTTGTATTTCACTATGCAATGGTGGCCTGCAAAATCTGTGATTGGAGAGAAATTTCTTCTTATGAAAGATGAGAGTATAGTAGAAAGGGATTAGAGGAGAACTCAGACCTAGCCTCTCATACTTTTCTGAATGACCAGAATTACAGAAACTTAACTGCAGAATAGAGGGTAGTAATAAAAAGTTTTGAAATAGGAATTGCTGAAGAAGGAAAGAGAACCTGGATTATCAATTCCCTGCCTTCCTCTATATCTAGTTTCTTCCCACAGGCCCCATTCAAAGCCTGTTGCCTTCACAGGAGACAATTAGACTCTCTTGCTATGCCCACTCAAATATTTGTTTTAACATAGGGTAATTTAGATGCTGTAAGCTTGTCTCCTTAAATGTCTCTCCAAGACCATTTACTGTCTCTATGGCATGTTTTAATGTGCTGCCATGTTTTCAGTACTTGGCTGCCAGACCCTATTTTAATACTGGCATATCTCTTGCAAAGGAAGCAACCTGATTCATTATTATTAAGTTATCTTTTTTGGCAGTAAGTGCTGCCTGACTCAAAGATTATGTAGAAGAAGAAGAATGTCCTTTCACAATCATGGTTGCCTCTTTGACATTTTCCTGATAAACTTGTTTTGTATTATCTCCTGTTTTCTTTGTAGAGCTTTTCTCCCAAGATTTCATTACAGCGTGGGTGACAAGGATTTTGTTGTTGTTGTTTAAGTAAGTTGGCATGTACTAAATTACCTCCGATAGAAGAAGAACTCAATCAAAACTGACATTGTGTGTCTAGTGTTTTACTAAAAGCCCACTAGGTTGTGATATGTTTTAATGTTTAGACTTCAGTTCTGCAATGAACATTAAATCAAAAGCTCCAGCCCGCATAACAATTCAGGGAATTAGCACAGAGCATGGAAACTCTTGAAAATAAGGTGTGACCCTGCTGAAGATAATTCTGGCTTCCAGGCTTTCATGGAGGATATATTAACTCATTAAATTATTTAAGTATGCTGCATACAAATGCTGACAGGGATTCAAAGGTTTGTTGCCTCTTATTAATCACTATTATTCATATCATTCTTTCACTAGAGGCATTAGAATATGTGTGATTAATATCTTATTTTTGTTGTTCTTGTGAGCAATGTTCATTGGCTCTGCTCTAGAGGACTTTGTTTTCTTTCAAGTAAATGTGAACAGAACAATAAATAATTATCAAATCTTGATGCTGTTTGCTGTGATTGCACAGTGTCTCCTAATAACCATGGCCGTTACCCCTAGTTCATCCTGTGGCTCAGATGGATGGTAGTGTGATAAGGTGTCTCCACTTAATCTGTTATGAGGTGAAGAGTCTCTAAAGATCACTTGACTTAAGACAAAGCTTAGCAGCCTTTAGAGTGTTCCCTGGTTACTTCACTGTTCTCCCATTTGGTGGCTATTACATTGTAATCCTATTGATGTGATCTGAATGTCAGATCAAGAACCATTTCTTTCATTCATTCTGCTAAACATAGGGAGAGATGAGGGAAATTTTAGAAGATTCCATATTTGATACGTCAAATATTGAGCTTAGTATTGCATAAGATTCTTGCTCTAATCTTGAAGGCAAAGCCACTGGGAATATTATAATGGTTTACATGCTAGGTAATTTGCTTAGCTTTTAGGAGCATAAATTATTCTGGAACATGTTTTGAATTGATTTAGGAAAAAAATCCAGATTTGGATGCATTTTATGTGCAAATGTCTTAACACCAGGCATTTGAACATTACTATTAATGTTTTTTTAAATAAATAAAACAACAAAAAAGCAACATTTACTACACGAATAGTAAGCAAGCTAAACCTGAAGAAAAATGGAAACAGTGTACACAGAAGCATGTTTCATAGTTGAAAATATCTAGTCTCAGTTCCTGACTTTTTTTTTTGTAGTCCCTAAATCAGCAAGTAAGGGTCTATTTTTTTTTCCTTAAATACCCAGGTAGTTGTCCCTGACACTGGGGTTCTTCTCCTTCTCTGCTGCCTTGCGGTGTATTTCTGGGCAGAGCAGCTCACCACAGGAACCTCCGCGAAACACCATGATTAGAGTTAACTCCTCACCATCCATATGGCTTGGTCCAGATCCTTTACAAGCTTGATTGCATGCACGATGTACCTAGTATTTATTGACCCCGCTGCTTTCCTTCTGTCCACTGTGTTGCCACTGTATGCTTGTTCTTTTTTGGCCTTCGCAAAGTTAATAATAATCAACCAATTGGGAAGAAGATTGCCCCACAAAAGTCAGCCATCTCTCTTATCTTGATTTCAGTTTTTTGGCTGTCTTAATTCTATAAAATTTAGCTATCGATAACAGCAGATGTACAAAGGAAAAGCTATTGAATTAAAGCTTAGATTTATAAGCGGCAGCAAGTCAGCACAATAGTAAAAGAAAGAAGTGTGGATAGGTTCTCATAAGTATCACAGCTTAGTGCAAGTTATCTCACCTCTTTGGCACCACTTTGCACACTCCTTGTGTGTTTCAGAAGGTAGGTGGGGAGAAATAGGATGGAAATGGCACTTGGGAAAGAGCATAGTATATGGGAAACTTAGTACCTTTTAAATGCAGAGAGACAAAGTTTCAAATGTTGATTATGCCACTTACGACATTGAGGAAATTATTAAAACTTAAGTTTCCTTTTGTCTATTAAATGAGAAAAATATTAGTTGCTTTATTTTGTTTAAAAGATTTTGTGGTTTCATCTAAGGTTCATGACCCATAATAGAATTTCAATAATTGACATGTCATATTTTATTTTCTTTAATTTTTTGGTCCAGATTTCCCTTTCTTGAGGACACATGTCATTTTATTCTTTGTATTTTCAACACCTAGAGGTTGTGAACATAATAAACATGTATTATGTGAATACATGAGTGAATAGCTAACTCACAGTGTACTCTCAGAGAAATACAGACTTTTGTTAATTATCTTAACTCTTATTTTATCTTTTCTAATAAGGATAGTTATCTAGTTTCTCATGATTCAGCAAATATGGAAAAAGTAAGTTTAGAATAGGGCTTGAAGATCTCTGGGTAGGAATACAGACAATTGTAAAAGTTACAACTGACTGGTTGAGAATAAAAAAAAAAAAAAAAAACTGAGAAGTATTTGTGTATAGCCCTTTCTCTAGCTCTCCAGGCCACAGATTCCATCTGATGTCATCATATTACAGAATAGATCAGCATTCATATAGATAGTTACTTTGACTTTTAATGGATAGGAAAAACTACACTAAATTCATTCCACTTTAGAAGCCATAAATGTGTGTAATGTGTTTTAGAAATATTTCTATTAAAATGGTTAGCTTCAGTGCTTGAAAAGTTAAGCTTCACTTATCTGTAAAATTAACATGTGCGTACAGATCATTCCCCATCAATGTCAGGTTAATAGAGTGTTCTGCCTATTGTCATTACCAATCATTCTTCTGCCACCCCTTGGCATTTTTGTCCTACCAAAATATCCTATAGTGATATATAGATCTTTTAATGAAGGTTCCTTTTAGGAAAGTTGATAGTAAGGAGATCTATTTTAAAATTTGCAAAGGCCATCCTTGACGTGTTTCAGTTGATCATTGAAACTTTCGTGTTTCACTCTGATGTCGGTGAAATCCCCAGGCTGAGCCTGGCATCAGTGCCATTGTATATGTTTGTAATCTGAGCCAGACATCTGTGAGTGCATGAAACAAGCCCCAGGGCAGGAAGGCTGGCATCTTTCCACCTGAATGACTGTTTAAGTAAAAGCAGCACACGGGAGAAAGACAGGCTAGTCTGTTTTCCTTGTAATTGGTGTTGGCTTGAATATATGCAATTCATAAACTGGCTCATAGGCTGTTCATTTTCAAGAAGACAATGCTTTCACATAATGCAGCAGTCAACAAAACCTGGAATAAACAGTCGAGTTTTAACTATATGAATAGTCTAAACTTTTCCTTATAGCTTTCCATGCATACCACATCTCCCTCATTCCCAAATAGACCACCATATCACTCACCACACACACACACACACACACACACACACACACACACACACACCCTTAAAGTATGTAGCAATTTCCTTGCTTTCTTGTCTATGTGATAAGTGCTTTAGTGTATTTCCATAAAAGTAAGTCCCAAGTATTTTCATGGCTTACTGAACAGAGAAATTTATGGATGGATGGATAAATATTGCCTATGAAAGAAAAACTACTTATAAAAAGAACATCATAAATATATCTTAACATTTCAAAGTAAATTCGAATTTAGAAATTTGTAAGAAAGTAAACGGTGATTAATATTTCCTGAATGTAGAAAGTAAATGAAATGCTAGCATCAATAATAATTTATGAGAGCAACTTTAACATATTGCTTTAAACATGCGTCCAGGTTATTTGGCATAGGCTAGAACTGCCAGGCAGAAGGGTCAGCTGGTGGCAAATAATGAAGGAGCATTCATTGTCTGATGCAGAAACAGACACAAGATATGGGACTGTCTCTTAGCAATGGGACTCTCTCTCTGTACAAACTGCTCACACTTTGTTATGAGGCAAGAGTGAGAACAGGCTCATCCTCAGAGAATAAATTCTTCGGGTCTCATCTGAATCAAGCTGAGCCTACTTGCCAGTTTTGAAGAGACTGCAAGTAAATGTCATCTGCTTGACACAGCAGACATTAGGGGTTTTCAGCTCCCATGGGCAGGTTGCATTTGGACAGATCCTTTCCCTTGAAGGAAGGGCAAGTTCTGGGTCCCAAGTGAGTCATTGCAGATAATCCTTAATGAATCTCTGAACTTCCCTATCTGATTTCCTTGATTGCTTGTCTCCACAAAGAGTTATACAGTCATTAAATATCAAACTTAAATTTAAGGTTTTATTATTATTTAAGAGAAAACATGAATTTGATAGGATTCATTTAGAAAGCATAGAAGTAATGAGAAGCTGAGTTGGGGCGATCAGCTGAGCCCAGGAGTTCAAGACTGCAGTTGAGCTATGATCATACAACTGCACTGCAGCCTAGGTAACAGAGTGAGAACCTATCTCAAGAAAAAAAAAGAAAAAGAATTAAAAAAAGAAGAAGTAAGAGGTTACTATAATTTTAATGGAACCCTTTTTTTACATGTTAAAAAAAAAAAGTTTAAGGTCTTCAGTGACTTCTTGGGATTTCTGACTTTTCTTGGTTTAAAGCCTTTATCCCTAAAACATCTTCTAATATTCAACCTGCATTTCAAAGATAAGTAAATCTCACATGTCCCAGCATTTAGCAGATATTGGTTACCTTCTACTTCTAATTTTTACAGTTTATTTTTATACTGATTCTGTGGTCAACCAAGCTCATGCTAACTTCACTGGCACAAATTAGTCATTGTTAACAGGTCCTCAGTTACTGGGAGTTTCAAGAATGATCCCTAAAATGCCCACAAATCAGTCTGTCAGCTGAAGTCACCATGGGGCTTGTGCTCCCTTTTTCTGTACCACTTTGACACTCTCTTGTTAATGTCTCATCTTGTGAATCCTCACCCCGGCTTTGCACAGGATTGGATCTACAAAACTCCAGATTAGCAGTTTCCAGTTAATCAAAATATGTCAATTATTAGAGTACAAAATATTTCTTATGTTTTATAAAAAGACAAAGAGAATGACCTCAAACAGGTCCCAAGAGCCGTATGCAATAATGTTTATTTCAGCTCTAAAACAAACAAATAAAAATCAAACTAACAGAAAAAATCATAAAGGAGATAACTAAATAAACCATAGTAATATATATCTAAATTAAGCCTAAACTACTTAAATAAGGAAGTAGATATATGGGAAACTCTCTAAGATATTATAATAAATATATAGATGATTCCACAATGTTACTTTTACATTAAAAATAATAGCAACTTCCCACCCTCATACAATATTTATATTAAATTAATATATTAATATTAAAATACAATATTTATGGTTTGAGTACTTTGATAGGTTTTCATGTACAACAAAAAAAGCAAGAAAAAATTCAAACCAAGTTCAGAAAAGTAGTTTCTTCTTAGGAATAAGAGCAGCATTAGGACTGGGGATGTTGATCAAGAGGACTTTCATCAATTTTTTTTTCACTGCAGAAATTTATTTACACAATTCTTATATGAATCAATTAACTTAGCTACTCATCTAACTTACTGAGTCATAAGACTATAAGAAGAAATTTAGGGAAGAGGTCAGCAGTGTTCAGGAGATTAAATACCAATTTCTATTGGATAAAAATAATAGTTTGCATTTACTTGGTTATTTGTTTGGCTCTTTTAGTGACCCGGAATGAGTATTTCACACTATGATGAAAGCATCTGAAGTCACAGAGATGAATTAGTCTTCAGACTTGAGCAAATATTTCAAATAAATATTCTCAATTCTTATTAGAAAATATCAAACCCGGTTAAAGAGCACTTTCAGTTCATGGTTGTAATTTCTCCTACCTTCTCTGAGACCTTTATTCATTAGCCATTTTATATTTCTCTGTACTCCCATCCCACCTCTCTACAGCAAGTCCTGACTTTCCATTTATTTTTTGTTTGTTAGAATATTTTTTGTCTTACTTTTAATTGACAAATAAAAATTGTGATGTTTCTATACATGTGTACATTGTGGAATGAACAAACCAGGCTAGTTAGTATCTTTATCACCTCAAATAAGTATGATTTTTTGTGGTGAGAACATTTAAAATCTACTCTTTTAGCTATTTTGAAAGATATAACATATTATTATTAACCATCATCAAATTTAAACCACAATCAGTTATCACCTCACATCTATAAGTATGGCTTTTATCAAAAAAACAAAAGATAACAAATGTTGGTGTGGTGAGGATATGGAGAAAAGGAAACCTTTGTACACTGTTGGTGGGAATGTAAATTAGTACAGCCATTTTGGAAAATAGTCTGAAAGTTCCTCAAAAACTGAAACTAAAAATACTATATGATATAACAATCCCTGTTATGGGTATATAACCAAAGGAAATAAAATCAGCATGTTAAAGAGAGCTCTATACTACCATGTTCATTGCAGCATTATGAACAATGTCCAAGATAGGAAAATGGTCAAAGTGCCCATTAACAGATAAATGAATTTTTAAAATGTGTTGTGTATATACACAGCAGAATACTATTCAGTCTGTCTCTCAACTTTTAAACATAGTCAGTTTCTTTCCATTTAAAATAAATGACCCAACTAACAAGCAAAACATCTTCTCTGATTCCACTAGTGTCTATTATTTTTTGCTTGCTTCTTGGGCTCTTGTTTCTTTACCTTCCGTTTATTTCACTCCTCAGTTAATTGTAATTAGTTTCTGACACCAATTATTTCTCTAAAACTTCTCTCATTAAGGAAGAAAAAGTTTAGATTTTAAGGTAAAAAAATTGCCCTTAGAATCAATTCATAGCATTAGGGTCCAATCCCTAGAAAAATAAAATGTATATGCTCACAATATACTCATAAACAAAATTTGTAAAGGCCTATCTATGTGTCTATCCTGACATTATTCCTGAATTAAATATATTAATTATCTCAATTTAATAATTATTGCTGAACTTCAACTCCATGAATCCAGAAACTACAACTGTCTTGTTCTTTATTATGTCCATAATAGAAGCAGAATGTCTGGAAGCTAGTACGTATTTAATAAATAAGTGTCAAATGAATAAATCAATGCCCTAGTTGTCATGAAATCAGATGAGTATTTTAATACTGTGTTAATAACCAGGACGTTTTGAAAATGGACTATTCGATGCACTTAGCTATTGATTTTATATGTGTAATTCCCATGAATTCTGGAATCAATACCTGTCCATTATTACCCTGGGTGGGATTCAAATCACTCAATTCAAATAGTTGCAAGGAAAAAGACAGTCATTCCAGTCCTTATATTCTTTTCCTCAAAACATGAAAAAGCATGTGATTCATAACCTCCAGCAACATTTCTCAGTGTACCTTAATTTTCACAGTTCAAAGTTCTCTGAAACGTATTCACCCATTCTCATCCTAATTTATCTCTCCTAAAACTACCCTCTATCTATTGTCTGTATTTCCTTTCATGTGTTTTTCCCCTCAGAACTTAATGGCTTAGACTGGTTAGTCTTTTCATCTCATTGTTTTGCTCATCCAGCCCTAATGATTCTGCCTTTGTTTGTGTCTGTCATATTACACTGCACAAAAATCTAGAATTTGTCTGATAGAGGCAAGGGTAAGTAGGAAGAGACAGCATTCTGTTCTGAATCCCAAATAACCATCGACTTTCTTATTATCCTTCTATAATTTACCAGGAACAAAAGCTCCAAGATAAAAAGCAACTTGCCCACAGGCTCACTGAGGGGCTGAATCAAGACGTCCAGATCCTTTTGATTCTAAAAATCATGTTCTTTAGCAGAGTACTCCACTGCCTCCTTGAGACTGCGCTCATTCATTCAACAATTATTAGGGTTATTTACTGTGTACCAGGGAATTTGGTACTTGGGACCTAGAAATTGACAAAAAACTATACAAAAATTCTTGCCCTTGTGGATCTGGTTTTCAAGGGGTAGAATATACAATAAAGAGTAAAATAACAGAAAACTAAAAGGTGTAGAATTTACAAAGTGCTAAAAATATAGAAAAAAAAAGGGCTGATCTGGAGAGTGAAAGGTAGTGGAGAGATTAAAATTTGAAATGTCTATCTGGTTGGTGTCATCCATATGAGAAAGTGACATTTAGCAGTGATTTGTAGGAGGTGAGGGAATAAGCCAGACCAAAAATTCCAGGAGGATTGTTCATGGCAGATGAAATAGCCAATGCAAGGCACTAAGTGGTCTGGCTATTCAAGAAACAGCAAAGAGGCTACTGTGGCTAGTGTATAGTAAGCCAAGAGAAGGGTAAGAAAGAGAGATATATAACATATTTTATTTGTTGGTTTCTCTTTAAGTTAATGGCTCATAATTTTATCAAGTTCTCCAAAGAGTCTTTGAATCCAAAGGTTAAATTTCACTGCCTTGGAAAAAAGAGTATTGGTAGGTGATTGATGTACTCATTAGGGTTCTCCTACAGAACCAGTAAGATATATATTTATCTCCAGAGAGAGACATTTATTATGAAGAATTGGTTCATGTGATTATGAAGCCTAAGAAGTCCCATCATCTGCTCTCCAGCACCTGTAACCCAGGAAAGTTTGCAGTATAATTTTGTCTTAGTCAGAATGCTTGAGAACCAGGGGAACAAATGGTGTAAATCCCAGTCTGAGGGTAGGAGAAAATGAGATGAGATGTCTTGGCTCAAACAGTGAGGCAGAAAAGGAGAGGTAAATTCCTCCTTCCTCTGCCTTTGATTCTATTCAGGCCTTCAGTGAATTGGATAATGTCCACCCATATTGGGAAGGGCAGTCTACTTTACTGCATCCACTGATTCAAATGCTAATCTTCTGCAGACAACCTCATAGGCACACCCAGAAATAATGTTTAATCTGAGCATTTCATGACCTACTCAGGTTGACATAAAATATTAAGCATCCTAGGTGGGATGTTGTCTTATTCACATTAGCTGTTACATTTGACTATATTATTCATTCAAAATTTTTAAATCTTAAATCCCATAACCATGTGTACTCCTAGATTGCCTCATAACTTTTAGAATTTGACACCTATTTTAACCATAAACTCATATTTTCAACCTAAATGATTGGCACGTGCCCACTGAAAAAATGAATGTGAAGAAAAGTGAATTAATAAAATGTCTGGAACGTGTGTATTTAGAAACAAAATAGAAGTTAATGTTAAGTGAACCCATCAGGGAATTGAACTATATATTGACTTTCATTGAATACATATCAATTTTGTTGAGACTGACATTTAAGAAAACCAGGCTCTCCATAATTTCAAAGTTCTATCCCTGTCAAGAGTTAATTCACCAAAGTGGCCTCCTCCCTGAGTTAAGTTTTCAGTTTCATCCTTGACTTTTATAAAATATTTGTAAGAAGTATCTATCTGAACACTGTGTTTTTCCTTGGAAAATTATATTTAAATATATTCTTTATTAAGTTATACATTCCTTCTTACATGAAGGTCTGTTGGACATTTTTTTCAGTGGAAGGAAATCATTTGTTTTACACATGAACTTTTACACTTTTGTTGCTATTGTTGTTTTGTTACTGAGAACAACCTAAGTCTAACTCCTTTCCTCCTTCCCTATCCATGGAGTTCAAAGCTGTATTAAAAATTTATTGAAAATTTGTAATATAAAAGATACTGTGAAGGGTACAAAGATTGATTGAACACTGATCAGGAAACATCCAGAGGGATATTAAACTTATGTGTAAACAACAGTGGCACAAGAAATAAAGTGCTAATGACTTTAATGAGGTTCAGGAAAGAGATGACTTTCAATAGTGGAAAACTATAGCAATTAACTCTTAAAAGCATGTATCTATCATCATTTAAAATCCTCTTAAAAGTGTGTGTCTGTCATCTTTTAAAAATGTGTTTTTCCTCAATTATTTTTATTCTTCATGACAAAATTAAGTCATATCCTTTCTAGAGATAGGCAAGGAATATATCATTACTTATCACAATTATAAACCCTTATCATACTCAACATCACACATCCTGATAATCCCCTACATAATTTTAGAATTGTCTTTAAATTAGATGGAAACAAGGAATTTTTTTGCTATCGAAGAATGATAAAATTTTAAAAAGATTAAAGAAGATTGTGAAATTCCCCGGAAAGGGCAAAATAATAATCTGTCCTGGATTATATAATTGTTCACCTTTTTGAAGTCAGAAGTGAACCAGATAAATTATGAGGACAATTGTCATAGCTCTCCTTTTTATGCTGTTGATTTTCCTCATTAGAGTGAGAGAAGCACTACGTACACCTAATTCTGTGTGCATATTGTCTGGTCAGTGTGTGGTGTAGGGGTATATGTGTGTCTCTCTGTGGCTTTGTGTGTTTCTGTGGGTCTGATGTCTATGTCTGTGCAGGAGTAATATTTACCATGACTGGAATCTAGAACTTTATCAAAAATTTATTGACATAAAAGTGATAACTGTGAAATAAGTAAAATCAGTAACAAGACAATATAAAAACATATTTTTGAAAATAAGAGATTGTGTCATAATTAAATATTTGGAGGAGGTAGAAATAATTATGTGGCTTCTCATGAAGCAGCTGCCTTCAGATGCTCTATGTACAAAATGGAGTTTTGATGATTCCACATCTAATATTTAATTGTTTTTAAAATATATTGAGAGGTAGTATGCATTTTTTACAAAAGTGTCCTTTGTTAAATATTTCATTTAATTTCAATGTAATTTCATGAAGTATAGTTTTCTGAGCACCATTTTATTTACGTGAAACTCTCTGTATCACAGATAACAGTGGAGGAAATGAAAATATTTTACCCCCAAATAAACTTCTTTGATATATTTTGAGATGGCTGTTTAAAGGGCCTGCAGACAGGAATAGCCCTGCAAAGCTGTGTTTTGTTCGAGAGATTTGCATCTGTATGGAATGTGCATTGATGTAGCCAAGCTTTCTCTGAGGCCCTCCCTTCTCAGGATCTAGGAAAAATTAACTGAGAGTCTGATACCTTAAAAGTCTGAAAGAAACATCCACCATCTCTTCTCTGGCAGCTGCTACCTGTAAAGTTTCAGCTATACAACAAGACCACCTTTGCCAGCCAAGCCTGCCTGATCTTCTCTCCAGTAACCTGTCTTGAGACTATAATCTGATTTACCACCGTAACCTGTTTTTGGCCGCCATTCTTTCTGTAATCTTGAGATGGTATATAAGCTTCTGCACCCCATTAGAGAGTTGGGAATAATCACTCTGTGATTTTCCCCTGTGAACACGAGTAAATTTGTATGCCTTTTCTCTTATTCATCTGCCTTTTGTCAGCTGATTTTTCAGCAGACCTCCTGAGGGTAAAGAAGTTTTCCCTTCCCTACAAAAACTAGATGTTGATGAAATTTTAATCACTAGTCAAAGCCTAACTTAGCTGACCTTCGGTGTTGTGGCGTCCTCTCTATTTCAGGATAATTTAATCCAAACTTCATGGACCAAATTGTTTCTATGATTATGTTTGACAGAAAAAAAGGAAGCAGAGTTGCTAGCTATTTCTAAGTTGGCTAGTGTAGCTAGAGGCTTTTCTTAGCCCACATTTTCCGTTTGCCAGCACTGTGATCAAGGCTCAGCTTCCCTTTGTGTGATATAGAAAGCTTGTTAGAATGTCATGATTCCATAAATGTGATCACCACTGTTAAAGGTGCCTTCGCTAGTTAATTCATCTCATTTCACAGTTTGGGTTGTGGCAGGGTGGCTGTGTTTAGAAGTCCTTTAAAGTAGGGGTTCTATGACAGTCTTTTTGTTCACACAATAAGCTCTCCATGATGAAAGAGGATCTTACATAAAATACATTTATGATCTAAAGAGTACATCCTCATTACATTTTTAGATCTCCATTTCAAAGATATCATGCCTACTTTACTCTCATGAAGTAAGACCTCTCTAAAGTGCATCACAAATGGGCTGTCACGTACTGGGTCATAAACTGTATATTGGTTGATTAGAGCAAAATAAAAGGCAACATCAGGATTCACTCCCCTGGAAGTTGGCATTCTCACCACCAACTTTTACCCTTACCTGTCTGTGGTACCTCTCTCAGCACCCCACCTCATTTCTTTTAGATCAATCTGTTATAAAACACCCCTGTAAGTGGCTTTATTCTCATGGTAAGGCTTGTGAATTTGAGTTTTTTGTTTCACAAAAGGCTAACAAATTCTGCTTTCACTCAGTCTCTGAATAGTGTTAACCAGCTAAACAAGAATAATAAAAAGCCCACAGCTCCCTGGCTTTGCATAGATTTTACCTGCAAGTAGAAGATCATTTCAAAGAATTTGAGCCTGCTGATTTTGATGACAACTCAATTAATTTATTTCCCATTTGTTATGATCAGCTGCAGCTTAATACTCAAAGGGTGAGGAGATGGGAGATGTAGCATAAAGACAAATGAAGCTGAACAACAAAATTTCTTTGTATTCAAAGGAAGTACTGTGGAAAATATCATTTTTCAGACATTCATTGACTTTCTCTAGAACTCAGTAGCATTAAACACATCCTTTTACAAACTGTAGCAGTCCCTGTCTCCTCAGAGTCAAACCATCTTTAAAGAAAAGGACAGGTGAAAATAAAAGTTAAGTGACTGGGCAAAAACAAGATATAAGAAGGAGATACTTGCGGGTGTGGTTTAAATAAAGAACACAGAGTGTGAACCTACTAACAGCAAAGACATTATTGAGAAAAAATAACCAAAGCTCAAACATGAAAACATGAAAATTAAATACTCATGAAAAAACAGCTAAGAAATTAAACAAAATGTTGAAAAACATTGTTATAGCATGACCCATGTCTAAAAATATCATGAATTGTGGAAAACGTCTAGAAGTTATATATTAAAAAACAAGACAAGTTAGAAGCAATATTTTACCAACATCCAAAATATAGATTAAGAGACAGGCATAAGTTTAAATTTCTCTTTTCTGAAATTATATTTTTCATAAATTATGGCAAGTTCGAAGTGAATGTATGTGTCTGCACATTTTTCCAGATTACTTACAAGTGGTGTGGAGAGGAATGGGGTGGGAGCAGATGCTTGGCAATATTTTGGGAAGGTAGTTAATTTTGAAGCAGCTGCTGACAATTTTCCTACAGTATTATTCATCATTTAAAAAAATAAAATGATTATAATTACCCTGATATGTCATATCATGTGTGACTGACAAAAGGAAATGATGGTGGAGATAGACAAAATGTCCACATCCCAGGAGTAGACGCTCATTACTCCAAAACTCCTGAGCAGCAGACTTCCAAGGGATGTTGCCCCAACGAATGAAGCTCAGGTAAGTAATAAAATCAAGCAGAAGGCCTGCAAGTGCCAGGAGCCACCTGATCAGAGCTCATTTAGTGATTGTCATCACTTTGTAGCAACCATGCAGTTAATACCCAGTGTATCTGACACCTGCTATGTTAAATTAGTACTTGCAGAATTAACACCTGCTGTCAGCCACCCAGCATGAATGTTGCTTTCTTCAGAATAAAGGACAAATAAATTATTTCCCTAGAAATTTGTGTAAATTATTTTTGTGGATGGAGAATTACTTGGAAACAATTGGGGACTGGCAATCAAGATTCTTCATTTTTTATAGTGTTAGCACCGTGTGTAACTCATAGTCTTTTTCTGGCTGTCAGTGTAGAAGGCTCAAAATTGAGCTTAATATCATCCCGTGCATCAAACAAGAGACTGGAGGTAAAAATGTTTTCTAAAGTATGAAAACCTATGCAGGTGTGAAGTGGTATGTTAATTGCCCATTAATAATAATCATAATAAATTTGTCATTTTAAATTCTCATAGATTATTTATGAATAAGAAAATCTTCTGTTTTACATTTGCTTGCAGTAGGTTACAGCACTTCTTTTACTCATATAAAACTATACCTATTTCTATTATTACTATACATAATGTATTGGTGTCTTTCTTTTAAAAACGTTCGTGTATCATAATTAATATTATATGTTACATGGTATAATATATAATGTATACACATATGCATATACCATGAGCAAATTACTTAATTCCCTAATATCTATCTCCCTATACATAAAACAATGATATTATTATGGTATAATGTTTCCATTTATTATTACATTATTGTATTATTCTTAGTACAATGCCTGATACTGTAGGATAACCCTTTCCCTAACAAAAAAACAAAATGAACAATATAAACCAAAACAAAGACAAGCCCAAAACATCATTATACCACAAAGATTTCCATATTAAATGTTGTGGAAAACACTATTAAGTATAAAGTTTCTGACTTCATAGTGCTTAAAATGACATTGGGAAAGTGATTTTATCATTCCCTGTAATTCAAAAACAATTAAATAAATATTCTCAAGAAGCAAAATGATAAAGTAGACATTGGGGAAAGTTTCATTTTGAAGAACTAGGGTTAGGTATTAAGAACTTGAAACGGAAGCAAGAAAGTTGCATGACCTCTAGCAGGTAACTTAATTTTTCTTTTTTCTTTCTTTTCCTTTTTTTTTTTTTGAAACAGAGTTTCGCTCTTGTTGCCCAGGCTGGAGTGCAATGGCGCAATCTTGGCTCACTGCGACTTCTGCCTCCCAGGTTCAAGCGATTCTCCTGCCTCAGCCTCCCAAGTAGCTGAGATTACAGGCATCTGCCACTGAGCCTGGCTAATTTTTGTAGTTTTAGTAGAGATGGGGTTTCACCGTCTTGCCAGGCTGGCCTTGGGGTTTCATCATCTTGCCAGGCTGACCTTGAACTCTTGACCTTGTGATTCACCCACCTCAGCCTCCCAAAGTGTTGGGATTACAGGCGTGAGCCACTGCGCCCGACAGGTAACTTAATTTTTATTTGCCTAATTTTTAAAATCTATAAAATAGGGGTGGTGACAGTACCTATAACATAAGGTTAATATAAAGTTATTTAGAGATTTGCACATGGTAAACATCCTAAGGATGTCCATTGTATGTTGAAAAAATGGTGAATCTGAGAAAGGCTTTATTAGTAATTTTAATCTGTGTTGGGCCTTTGTACAATTATTTCAATCCACAGACTTAATGGGGAAAGCTATTCCATGTGGAGGAAGCAGTGTGAACATAAGCATCCTTGGAAAGTGCTGACCATCTGTATATTTGTGATAAATCATAATGGGAAATAAAGCTGAAAGGCAGAGTGGGGCTTTGCCCATGAAGCACCGGAAATCCATAATCAGAGGCTGCTTTTTATTTACAGGTGATAATAATCATTGAAGGTGTTGTAGCGAAATGCCTCTTGTTTTCAGAGGTCAAAAACAAGTAAAAGGTGGTGTGAAAACTGAAGGAGTTTGAAAAAGAGGGTGTTATAATAAAAAGGGTCAAAGAAACTAGGCCAGTGATAATATTTGTCCCTGGCCTCCTGTCTCCTAAATCCTCCTTAGTAATTATCATTCATTGGAACAATTACATATAAACCACGCAGTCCCTAGAACCCAAAATTCAAATTCATTCGTCTTTTCTTGTCTGGGACTCAGGCCATGGACATTAACAAACACTTCTAGAGTGTTGGCTACGTGGAAAATTCTATCAGGAACTTATTGGTACTATAGTATAAAGTTTGCAACAATTATACAAAACTTGAAGAAACAGTTTTAGAGACTAAATTGCCTAAAAGACACCACTTTAGGTAGCCTTTTGTAGTCTTCTTAATTGGATCTGCTAAACCCCAATTTAAAAACATCTGTAAGGATGAAGTGAAACAAGCTTTTGGAATTGAATCAAATACAATAATTTTAAGGCTGATAGCAATATTATTTTTTACACTAGGCATCAGAAACATAGAACTCAAGAGCAGACTAGGCAAGATTCTTCACTAAAGCCTGACTGAAAAAAAAAGGAAATAATTAATTGAGCTAATGTTAATAGATGTGCTCATTCCTTTAGAAAATGACATAAATTCACCTCCAAGTTTACCTCAACAGTCTCTTTAGAAAAAATGCATTGTATGAGGTGAAGGGGCAGCATTCTGAGGACAGAAAAATAGTGGTTTTCAAATCCATCCTTTCTTCTGCCTCCTGGATGTAGGTTTTGGTTTCATGGAGAGATAAAACATACATTTTTAAAAAATGTAAAAGTGACTTTTCTAAACTCTGAAGTATATTTGGGCATAGTTGGTATTGTATTTGGAAACTTCAGTAATAAACCACAGAACAGCTTGATTTTCCTGAGATGGCATTTCAGAACTGTGATGCCAGAGAAAAATTAGAAGCACCGAAATGGCCTTGTGGAGCACTGGAAATTTATAAGCACAGAATAAGGGAAGCATATCCTGTAGAGTCCAAAATAATTGGAGTATTTTACAGAGGTCTAAAGAGCTAATGTTTTAGCAAATGAAAAGTACTAAGTCAGTAAACATGAACATAAAATTCCAATATGACCACTCTGCCCACTAAACCCTACAGTGGCTTTCAATTTTATTTGGGATACATTCAAAATTCTTACAATGGCCTACAAGGCCCTTTGTCAACTGGGCCTCTCATCAACTTTCTGTTCTTATCTCCTTCTCTCAGGGCCAGCCTCATGGGCATGTGACGTGAGCAGCCACACATAGTATGTGTTGGCATAATGCTCTGCTGACTTCTTAAAATTCCTGTTGTTTCCTTGAACATATGATTTGTAAATGAAATCCAATGGATATGCACACAATAGTACACTGTTCCTTGCCATCTCACTGTCATAGAGCATTTGCAATGACCCAAGAACACAGAATCCTTGTGGTTGCATAGTGCATGGATCTTCAGCAGGATTCAAGTGGAGAACAAGAAAAGCATATTGTGTCTATGACTGAGTAATCAGCAGTGTGTTGACAACCCTCAGAAGCTACTCTACATTTGAACAAAAACTTGCATTGAAAAAAGAATGAAGGCAATGGTTCTGAGAAACACAGATAATCAAGGAAACCTATCATAACTTTCTTCCTCATGTTAACACTCATATAAACACTCTGGTATTAGCCAAACACTTATACTGAAAATGATGGCATAAGAGGAATGGGAAAACTAGGGCAACCCTTAATTCCTTTTCTTTTCAGTACTCTGTAAGCTGTGAGGGTTGGGAGAATGTGCATGTATGAGGTAGTAGAATAAAAGCAGTGGAATTTGTTTTTGCACTGCTGCCACTGATAATAACAAAATGCATATGCATGTATTAGTTACAAAATGCAAACTGTGTGATTTCAGTGTTTCTGCATATGACTTAATTGCTCTTACATTTGCATTTAAAAACTCCAGTGTACAACATATAGATAAACAGTAAAATTAAAGGCAATAATTTAGAGGTTTAATTTTCCTTTATTTAGAACAATAAAAAGTAAATTTAAAACACCATGGCAAGTCAAAAGATAGGCCATTAAAGAAAAGAGAAATCTTTATACTGCAGTACCTTAATAGCATTTTCCCCTTCCTTTTGAACAAGGGGCCTCACATTTTCATTTCTCACTGGGCCCCGCAACTTATGTAGTCAGCCTTGCCTATTCCTTTCCAACTACCTCATTCTTATCCAGATGCAGTTGCTCCCTTGTTTCTTCCTGAATGTGCCAAGGTTTCTGGCATTTCAAGCCCTTTACTGTTGCCCTCGCCTCTGGCTGTCATGCTCTTTGCCAGATGTCCCTATGGTAGCCTTTTTCACTTCCCTCACATTATTTCGCCAGTAACACCTTTTCATTAAAGTTGTTTTTTAATCTACTTAACTAAAAGTGTAATCTCCGTTAATAAGAGTATTTGGGATTCTTCTTTTTTTTTAAAAACCTTAAAAATTTAATGGTACTTATCACCTTCTAATTTACTATGTATTTTACTTAATTGATTTGCTTGTTTTCTGTCTGCTTCACAAATATTTGAGAGAATGAATGAATTACTCTCCAGAAACACACAGGGTAAATTATTCATGACTTTTTCCTACAGAATATATCATTTTAACCAAATGACAAATTTTAGGGCTTTTGTGTTTTGAGTTAATATTCAAAATAAGATTGAACTTGGTGGTCAAATGGGATCTGAGTCTTAGTATAAAATTTGAATTCTTTGTCAAGACAATGGATTCACATTGTAATTGTGTAATAAAATTTAATTAAAACAAATAAAAGTTAATATTATAGTTTATTTAATTTAAAATTCTCAACCCATACAAAGTGTTTAGTATAACTTTTTAGTGTTTACTTGAAATTAGTGAGCATTAAACATTCTGAGCAGTGAATGGCAGGTGTTCATTCTAATTTAACAAAGCAGGTGTCAAATATTGTTTACAGGGGCTAACTGCTACTCCTTCTGGAAAGTGCTTTACTTTGGAGTTTCTCCTAATTAGAAATATCTAGCCATCACCTGTCAACTTTGTCTCTGTGGGACAGTGAAATCTTTAGGGAACATGACTTGAGCAATCTTTTCAGATAAAGAAAGGGGAAAAATGCCATTAATTATTTAGAGAAAATTCTTTATTGTCAAAATTATAGCTGCACAATATAATTCATTTATTCTGGATAAATATAATACAGACTCTGAGACTAGTACAATCTGATAAGTAAATTAAATCCCAAAGATGATGTATAAAAAAGCCAAAAAATGCAATGTTAGGTTATAAATTTCATATGTCTTGCATTATTGTGCTTCCTATAAAATTTCAAATACCAACATGTAAGTACTAAGTTCTGAGAATACCCCAAAGAAACAGAGAGGTAAAATGTGTAACTTAATAATAATTTGTTCACTCCAGTAATAGAGATTTTACTACTGCTCAAACTACAAAATAATACTGGTTTCCAGGTAACTGACTCATGTGGATCATTGCTTATACTCACTGCATTGTGACTACTATGTTTTTAAAACTAGGTATACTGTGATTTGTGTTGCAAGGAAAGAGCAAGGAACTTCATCTTCATAAAATAAAACTTGACCGTTCCCATACAGAATGGTGTCAACAAGTTAATGAGGTTTTAGTACCTGAGGAAAGTTACAAAAATGACATTTATTTAATAAGAATAAAAGTATTATTTTTATCTAGTCAAGTCTTTGAATTATATCTAAAAGGCGCAACTATATCATGATACACTTGTTAAATGTATAAACCTCAATTGTTGAGTCCCACCAGTGTCAAGGAATATGTATTAGATTGAACCATATGAAATCAATGAGATAAACACAAGCTATTTAATGTTTAACCTAATGCATGTACATCTCTGCTAGGATAAACTAAATGTTAGTTTTTCACTTAAGTTTGGTTCTCTATATGTTGTGGTGGTGGGAGTGATAGGTACCTGCATAATATGCATAAGGAAAATAAACTGAATGAATGTGTTCTATACCAATTTGGATTAAATTAATAGAAAGATTTTGTTTCAAATCAATTAAGATTTATTTGAGCCATGACTATTCAGCCACCTCAACCTATATTTTCCCATGGTCTCATAAATTTGATACTTAAGTTTTCTTGTTGTAAAGCTATAGTAGCAGAGATTTCTCTCTGTCTCTCTCTATATATGTATATATATATATATATGTAGATATATATGTAGATATATATGTAGAGATATATATATATATATATATATATATCTCCCTCCCTCTCTCTCTCTCTCTCTCACACACACACACATGCACATTCAAAAATTGCCATTGTGTTGATACTAGGCTATTGGAAATTGCAAATTATATACCCTCAACAACAGGCATAGAATCTCTATATTGTAGGTCTCTTGAGGTATTTGAATTGACATCTGAGTTTATTCAAACACCTTTTATTTTATTTATTTGTTATTCCTTTTGATACAGGGTCTCACTCTGTCACCCAGGCTGTAATGCAGTGTCACAGTCAGCCCATTGGAGCCTCGACCTCCAGGGCTCAAGCGATCCTCCTGCCTCAGCCTCCCAAGTAGCTGGGGCTACAGGCATGCACCACCACATCCAGTTAATCATTTTATGTTATTTTTTGTAGAGACAGAGTTTTGCCACATTGCCCAGGCTGGTCTCAGACTGCTGAGCTTAAGTGGTTTTCTTGCCTCAACCTCCCACAGTAGAGAGATTACAGGTGAGAGCTAATGCACCCAGGCCAAACACTTTTTAGAAATGATTTCTTTAGAAATGTGTTTTTTTTTCAAATTCTACTAACTGTAACAGGAAATTTAAGAATGAAATAGCACAAAAAATGGTGATCAATTTGGTTCTATAAGCTAAATATAATCTGAAAATGTAAATTGCAGTGCATTAGAGCGAGTTATTATTTCAATTGGATGTTTCTGTATTATTGTCTTTTGTTATCTGAACATTTTATGTTGCTGGATAGAAACTTGACATATATGGACAATATTATTTTCATGTTATAGAAGTTAGTTTTTGCAGTGCCCTCTCTGCTCTACTGGAAGCAGTGGTTTTGATTTCAACTTGACAGTCAAACTCATACACAATAGGCTTCATTCACCCAGCTCACCTTTACTTTGAATTAGTGTACAGCTGAGGAAACAACAGAGAATATAGATCAACAGCATACTAAATACCTTATGACTTCCAGGCACAGCTTCTGGTGTCCCTGTCATTCTGACCTTGGCACATGTCACAAGAGAAGAGGCTGACCACGTGTGCACAGGCTTCATGAACCTGGGGTTCTTTCAATGTCACCCCTAGTTGGTCATGCAACCTCTGAGGTGGGTATGCTAGCTCCTATTCTCTAGTGTATCGGCGTCTTTTTCATAGAGGTCTCTCATTAAACAATACATGATATCGACAGTTAAGTGTAGGTACTTGGTCCTCTACATAATCTTTGGGGGCATTTTCATTCATGTTGGGCCTGGAGAATCCCTTACAATCCTGAGTTAATATTACAAGAAAAATTGGCAATAGGTTACATCCATAGATGTTCCTAAAACTACAGCAAAGGCCACAGAATTTGCTGCTAACCCTTTTTATATAGGTAGGTAGTGTGAGAAACACAACTATAATGTCCGGTAAATTTGAAAGAATTAACATAGTTTAATAATTTCTTTGAATTTCATATTGAGTTTTATTTTTTTGAGGATGTAAGTGTTTTATTATATACGTATCTTTTATTTTTCCATAGGTTATTGGGGTACTGGTGGTGTTTGGTTATATGAGTAAGTTCTTTAGTGCTGATTTGTGAGATTTTGGTGCGCCCATTGCCAAAGCAGTATACACTACATCCTATTTGTAGTCTTTTATCTCTCACCCAACTCCCAGCCTTTCCAACAAGTCCCCAAAGTCCGTTGTATCATACTTATGCCTTTGCATCTTCATAGCTTAGCTCCCAAATATGAGTGAGAACATGCGATATTTGGTTTTCCATTCCTGAGTTACTTCACTTAGAATAATAGTCTCAATCTCATCCAGGTCGCTGCAAATGCTGTTAATTCATTCCTTTTCATGACTGAGTAGTATGCAAAAGATAAACATTTTAATTTGAGTAACATTAGCTTGATAGGAAGGATCTTGTTTTTCTCATTTAAATTTAATGTTTAACATGTTGGTTAGAAAAATAAATAACTGTTGTTTCAAACAATTTTAATAGACTCAGAAACACTCTGAAAATTCTAGATTCCATTATATATATATTCCTCTATATATTATGTAGATTATATATACTATATAAAATATATTAATTATATAATATATAAAATATATTAATTATATAATATATAAAATATATTAATTATATAATATATAAAATATATTAATTATATAATATATAAAATATATTAATTATATAATATATAAAATATATTAATTATATAATATATAAAATATATTATATACAATATATATAATATATTATATACTATATTATATTTTATATAATATATTAATTATATAATATATATTATATTTTATATAATATATTAATTATATAATATATTTTATATAATATATTAATTATATAATATATATTATATTTTATATAATATATTAGTTATATATAATTTATATAATATATAATATATAATAAATATATAATATATAATATACATTATATTATATATCATTATATATATATTATTTATATACATTATATATATTATTTATATATTATATATATAATGATATATAATATTAATTATATATTATATATTTATTATATATAATATATAATATATAATATATTATATATAATATATAATGTATATATTATTTATATATTAATTATATACAATATATTATATATTCATACATTATGTATATAATATATTATATATAATTCATATATAATTTATATAATTTATTAATTATATATAATATATATTTATTTTTTATAATTTTTTATAAAATTTTATAATTTTTTATAATTATTTATATAATATATTATATACAATATATATTATATTATATATAATATATATTATATATAATATGTATTATATTATATATAATATATATTATATATAATATGTATTATATTATATATAATATATATTATTTATATAGTATGTATTATATTGAGCGTTTTTTTATATTATAATATATATTATATATTAATGTTATATAATAACATTATATTATATAACATATTATATATCATATATATTATATGGAGCATTTATATAATATATATTGAGCATTTTTCATGTTTGTTGACCATTTGTGTATCTTCTTTTGAGAATTGTCTATTCATGTTCCTCGCCCACTTTTTGATGGGATTGTTTGTTTATTTTCTTGCCAGTTTGAGTTCATTGTAGATTCTGGATATTAGTCCTTTTGTCAGATGTATAGAGTGTGAAGATTTTCTCCCACTCTGTGAGTTGTCTGTTAACACTGGTGACTGTTTCTTTTGCTGTGCAAAAGCTCTTTAGTTTAATTAAGTCCCAGCTATTTATTTTTATTTTTATTGCATTTGCTTTTGGGTTCTTGGTCATGAAATCCTTGCCCAAGCCAATGTCTAGAAGGGTTTATTCAATGTTATCTTCTAGAATTTTTAATAGTTTCAGGTCTTAGATTTAAATCCTTGATCCATCTCGAGTTGATTTTTGTATAAGATGAGAGATGAGGAGCCAGTTATATTCTCTTACATGTGGCTAGCCAGTTACCCCAGCACCATTTGTTGAAAAAGGTATCCCTTCCCCACTTTAAGTTTTTGTTTGCTTTGTCAAAGATCAGTTGGCTGTACATATTTGGGTTTACTTCTGGGTTCTCTATTCTGTTCCATTGGTCTATATGCCTATTTTTATACCAGTACCATGCTCTTTTGGTGACTATGGCCTTACTATATAGTTTGAAATCAGGTAATGTGAGGCCTCCAGGTTTGTTGTTTATGCTTTGTCTTGCTTTGGATATGTGGGCTCTTTTTTGGTTCCATATGAAATTTAGAATTGTTTTTTCTAATTCTGTGAAAAATGATGATGGTATTTTAATGGAAACTGCATTGAATTAGTAAATTGCTTTTGGCAGTATGGTCATTTTCATAATATTGCTTCTACACAACCAGGAGCATGGGATGTGTTTCCATTTGTTTGTGTTGTTTACGTCTTTTAGCAGTGTTTTGTAGTTTTGCTTGTAGAGTTCTTTCTCCTCTTTGGTTAGATATATTTCTAAGCATAATGAGTTTTAAAAGATCAGAATTTAGCAAGCAAAGCTTTAATTTGTTTTCTCAAAAACTAAAGTGTTTAAAATTTTGAAAAATGTTATCTTTAGTATTATGTAAGTGTACAGTATAAGAAAATTGATTCTTTGTTGTATAAAATAAATCAATTTGTGAAAACCATATGGTAATACAGTTTCAAGTTGAATACTGTGGGTCTTTCTAAAATTAATTTAAGGATATAAGTAATATTGCACATATGTTATC
This sequence comes from Homo sapiens, assembly GCF_000001405.40. NCBI lineage: Eukaryota > Metazoa > Chordata > Mammalia > Primates > Hominidae > Homo > Homo sapiens. Next base: position 106,073,651 of record NC_000005.10, on the reverse strand, counting down.
TCCTCATATATTTGCAGATAACTTGGTTTACTGTATTACTTTCAAAATGTACTTTCTTATGAAAGTGTTCATTGTGGTAACTTTATTTGATATATTTTCACCAGTTCATATTGACTTTTTACTTTAGGGTTATTACTGTTATCACTTCTAAGAGCAGGACCACTTTTTTTTTTTAGTGCAAAATATCAACTTTTTTGTGTTAGATGACATTAAGCGTATTATTTATCTAATGTTTTCCCCAAATCCATAATATTTTATTATCCGAAAAGAAAAATTTTAATTTGAGTAACATTAGGTTGATGTGAAGGATCTTGTTTTTCTCATTTAAATTTAATTTTTAACATGTTGGTTAGAAAAATAAATGTGTTGTTTCAAACAATTGTGATAGATTCAGAAACACTCTGAAATTTCTAGATCTATTTTGATATATTGATAGAGAACATGGACATTCTAGAAATCTATTAATGACATTCATTGATTAAAAATTCAAGTTAGAAAAGAAAAATTTATATTCAAATATTCAGGCAAGTGATAAATCATTTGTTTAATTGAATGAATAACATAAGGCACTTACCCTATTTTCACTCACAAAAGTTTCTAGTGCTATTAATAACTTTCTTCTTGAATTGCAGCACAAATTGGAAAGAATAGATATCATTGTTGAATTACTTTCATTCAGGCTGACAAACAACGATAACCTTGCATTAACTGGTCAACTGACAGGACCATTTTTTAAGGAATATCAATCAAAAGAGAACCCAACTATAGATATAAATTTAAAAGGAACATAAAAAGTTGGGCTTTAGCAGATCTACATCTAATTGAGTCCACTATTAATTAAAATCAGTGAGTGTCTGCAGGTGTAAATAAGGGATAACTTGCTCTATTTTTATAATCACAAAGAGTATACTATATGTGTAAGTGAAATTATCAGATACATAGGTCATAACATTGATCAGAATACACTACCATTAGGTAAATAAATATCCCAGACTTTTGAATCTATGAAGCAACAAATATGCAATCACATATAATTGGTTCTCAATAAACAGTAAATCACAGAATTCAGAACTTTTAAAAGAGAGATTTTCCAGAAAATCTGACATTATTATTTTTCATTGTATTGTTTGTAGTATTACCTAACAGTGAAATTTCTATGCTTTATAAATTTGGATGTTTTAAAGAATAAATAAGAGCACAAATGAATTGTGCATAATCCAAATGCAATTATGATAGCTGACTAAGCAGAATCCAAATTATTAAAACCACAATCTAAAAAACAGTCGTAATAGCAAAAGGCTGCATTTACCTTTCATGAAGTTATTTAATTTTAACAAATTTAGAATGAATTTAATAAATGATTCTAGGAAATTCTGTATTAAAAATCACATTGGAACCCGATAATCTGTTAAGCACATTAATCAATATCCATATACTATTCTTTCTAGTAAAATCACAAAGCACTTATACACTGCGAAAGTAGTGCAATACTTAGTTTATAAAAATATAATTTTATCTGATTTTATCTTCTCACAGTAATGATAAGGTTATTTTAGTGATTTAAATATTAGAACTACTCACTTGAATCAGCTGATTACAATAAGATTGTGTACTTAGTGTTTGATCTTAAACAGCCAATCCATTTTATTATAAAGACACTGCCTTAGGTTCCCCTTTTGGCTATTAAAATTTAACTTGTCTTGTAATTTAGGCAATGAAGGATCTGTTTAATCAGTTTAATAATTTTAAGTGACTGTGTTTGACAAGCAGTTCTTTTCTGCTTTCAATTAGTCCCTGATGTAGACAGCCAGATCTGATAATTCGAAAGTGTGATTTTTTTTTTTAACCTGAATTATCTGGTTTGGTTTACCACCTTGGTGAAGTTAATTGAAAAGTTGCCAAATAGCCACTTCATGCTGTGCTGTGCAGACAGAGCAATAGCATGTTTAATATACCAAATGGTTGGATAGATAAATACGATGAAAACAAGATGCTTCATTGCCATATTTATCTTCAGCTCTTCAAACAAAACATGGCCTCACAAATCTGGCATCTCATTTTGGTTATCATTGTGATTATTGCCATTGCCAAAACCAAATTTATGGGTTGATCCAGGCAAATCATTTATTAATCTTATGAAAGAATAATATATATCAGTTAACATCTTAGAAATGTATACCTATTTAGAATTAATTTATTTGTTTGGCTGAACATATTTCCTTCTTTGAAGCTTCAAATTTGGATATTAAAGAATTCTTCCAGATTATTTGTATGTTTCTAGAAACATTTCCTTTATAGTGTTATTTTTATCACATATGTTTCAACCACCAGTACAAATACTACTAACTCCTCACTATTTTTTTAAACACATTTTATAGAATAGTTTGTATCTTGGTTTTTTAAATGAGGCTTTCTGGATAACTTAGAGTTGCCTTTGCTTCTATTATTCTTTTTATGAAGCTTTTTAATACTCAATATTTAATTCAATTGGCATTTGGATACTATACATTTACTTTGTTGATTTTAATGGCTTATCATAAAAAGGAAATGCTGAAAATATGAAATCAAACTTGTTGAGATGATAAGTTTCATGATTTTACAATCCTGATTTCTATTTTTATAGAATTAATATTTCAATTAACTAGAGCTAAATTCCATTTCTTTATTTTCTTAAATAAAATACAACTTTGCACTCCCGTGAAGTTGGCTGAAAAATTGAATCTTACAAATGTTGCAGGTGTGCTTTTTCCATTTGATGAGACTATATGGGAATTCTGGAAGGTTTGGAGCGCAGAAAATCACAGAGTGAAATAATTGCCTTGACTGTTCAAGTGGTCCTTGACCTTGCTTGTACAATCCAGCCTGATTCCCAAGTCAACAGCAGTTCTCTTTTTCTGTGCCATAAAAGTGACTGACTGGGCCACTCTCAGCCTTCAGATTTTTCATCCAGAAGCTAGGCTACAATCTAATTTTTTAAACTACTGCAGGAGATACATATCAAGTTCTCAGAATAGTTCTCTTAAAGCCCTTTCCACTAGACTTCAAGTGAGATGGGGGTTTCCTGGTTGAGACAGGGGAATAAAAGAAAGGTGGAACTCACAGCTGTTCAGTAGCTTCTGCTAATAGAATTCTCTACAACTCAACATCTTTGAATCAAATTCTTACTACAATTCTCTTCTTAACAAGAATAAATCACCTGAGTCTGACCTTATTTTGAAATTTTTCCATGATGGGTTGTCTTACATCTCACTTGGTATTTGCTAACTAGCTTAGCTGAAATTTCCATTTTAATATTCTGCGCTTCATTTTCTTCACACATAAAATTGGGAATATATTTTTAAAACTTCTTTTATGGAAAACAACTTTATAGGGTTATTGTGATAAACAAGTTAATCCATGCTTAGAACTATTACTGGCCCATAGAAAAGGCTTTTTTTAAAGTTAGATTTTTTTTCCTCCAAAGTTATAAAATCTGCCTATGATAGTACACAAATGGTCAAGTCTCTGGGACGGGTTTGGACATAGCATGCTCTGAGTTATAAATCTGAAACTACTTCCTTTCCACCTTCCCAATCCTGTTCACTACAGATACTGAGTTCTATGTTTTGACACAAATTTTTAATCTTATGTTAACTTGTGCCTTAGTAACACCCTTGAGTCTTATCTCTGATTAATTTTAATGCTGCAGAACAGAGAATCTAAACATTTGAGCTATTTTATCTGACAAACTTTTAATTAATTAGGAGCCACCTATCTTATTAATTCAGATAATGAATTTTTAGGTAATATAGCAGGCCTTGCTACTTGCCTACGAGGTCTATTATAATATTGCTCAAAATAATTGTTACTTGACTTTTGGGTACTTACACTTCCCTGTGCCAATGGCATGAGGCTAGCGATGGCCAAGCAATGTGAGCAAAAGTGATGTGTCCCACTCAAGTACAATGACGCCAAATTACTAAGTTTTAGTGTATATATTTGGTTAACTTTTTCACCATATACAGACATGTACGTAAAATTATATGGAGTATATAATAAATAGTATTTCCTAAAACAGATTAGTAATTTCTAGATTCAACTAGAGAAATGAAACCAGTTTATAAAAACTACCTCTATACAAAGTCTGATGAAATTAGTGAGCATAGAAAATAAAAATAGACCAAGGAAAATATTAAAAACTATCAAACTAAAGAAAAAATTACCATCAAATAAATTTATATATGTTCTTTAATGAAAGTAGAGAGACAACTTCAAAAGTAAACAGACAGTTCTTAAAGCAGAGCTGGGAAAGAAAATAATTTTTATTAGCGAAAATCTCATTGATTCATCTCATCAGTTTTATGGGTAAAAGAGGATGCCCTGATGGAAGGTTTTCTGAAAACCACAGTTTCATTAAAAAAAAAAAAAAATTAAGATGGCTAGAGTTTTTTTTTTTTTCTTTTTTAATGGTACAACAGAGGGGAAAGATCAGAAAATAATCATGATTACACTGAGCTATTTGCTGAACAAAAGAAGATAAGTGCGTTGTCTACTTCTGATTAGGATGTAGAAAATTATGAGACACTTGCTTTCAACTTAACACTAAAACCAAGACAGATATGCAAAAAATCACAGCTATTTGAAACTAGTAGAGAGCTGAAGATCAAACAAACAAACAAAAAAGTTCTGAGGAGCATTTAAAGAGTAATTATTCTTTCCTGAGACAGAGAAGACATGTAACTCTTTTAAGCCCTGTAGGAATGATGGAAGGAAGCGGCATCTGTAACAGTTGGGTCTCTGGAAAACATGTGTTGCCAACTTTAATTTAGGTTGTCAAATCATATATGGTATTATCATGAACTCTTCAACCACATCCAAAAGAGAATCCAACTACAGGCATAAGTTCAAAAGAAAAATAAGACATTACATATTAGGAAACTAGCAAAATAAGAGTAGATATGAATAAGAAGAAATCAGCCAAACTATTTATGTTTGGGCTGGCTGGATGAAAATATCCCAAGTAACCCTAGTCACAGAGCAATTCTGCAGTTACTTGTTAGTGTTTTCCATGGACCATCCCTGAGTGAATGGAGATGGTAGCTGGTCTGCCAAAATAGAAGACAGGGCAGGAGAGCAGGAAAACATGACCTTTGAAGTATACAGGATCTTGCTTCTGTACAAAGCCATGGAATACTGCCTGAGACAGGTCAAAAGAGCTAAGAAATATTTCTTACAGTCAATTCAGGTTTTTGTTGGGAGGCTTAGAGACAATGATCCTTGGGTTTCCTGCATTCCTATGTTTTGTCAGCAGACACACTGATGGTTTTTTGTTCTTATTTTTTCAAGAGTGTTTCATAACATAAAACTATGGAAGGTAGAGATGACTGTCTACCTCTAAAAAAGAGGGTTAATACTACACTACTCAGTATGATAAACTCTTTTTTTTTTGGAGCAAAGTCATATAGGTTTGGTTGAGGTCCATTATAAAGATTTGGGTTTCCTAAACTCAGTGTTCCTCAGTTGTAATGCATACTCACTGTTTGTGTAGCATCTAGCAAAGTTCACCTCTACCTCATTGCCATGGGACTTGACGGGGATGAGATACTGTAAACATAAAGCTTATGTTACTTGCTGTCTTGTGAGTAATAAAGTCTTTTGTCTCTGACCTAGAAATCTCCTGATGTCTTCCAGCATCCACAATATTATGGCAGGCTAATTTGCTACCTTGCCAAAAGAGAAAACTATTAGATCTTTCACAGTTCTTGGTAATTTTCACCAAGTTCAAGGCATTAACTAAAGGCTGGATGTTAATAAAACAAAAACCAAGATGAAAGAGATCACACAATGTGCAGAAAGACCAAGTCAGAACTGCAAGGCAAAACAAACTTCCCAATAACCCCAAAATATGGCAGGTAAACTGAAATCCACAAAGAGATCTGTCATTGCTCAGATTTCAAGCACTGCTGGAGTGAAATATCTGATCCCATTCTCAGAGTGTTTGAAACCACTGGTGAACTCAAACTGAAAGTGCAATGAAATGCAGACACAGCTGAATTAAATAACAGAGTCAGCCCCCAAAACAACCTGCTCTCCACAATAAGGAGCAAACTCTTCTATGAAATAACTATTATTAACTTAATTAAGTCACGTGGTCAAGAGAATAAAGAGTCAATATAAGAAGATTCACAGATGTCCTGAAGGTTGGAATTATCCAGAAGATACTTTAAAATAACATTGGTAAATATGTTCATGCATATAGTGCAAAATAAGGACAATATTCATGAGCACATAGAGGACATAGCAAAGGTAAGAAGGTAGAAAAAATATACCCAATGAAAAAGAGAAAAATTAAAACAAAATGTATAATTTTATTAATTTTAAACTATAAAATAGGAAATGAAGGGCTGTTTGGACTTAGCAGTAGATCCACACATTAGAAGAAAGACTCTGTGCCTATAAACATAGGGGCTATAGAAATTATCAAACACAGTATCAATAAAAATGTGAAAAATATAAGAACATGTATTTGGGATATATGGTCAATAGTAAGTGATATAATATATGTCCAATTGAGTATCCAAACAGCAGGAAAAATAAAATGAGAAGATATCTTTGAAAAGATATGAAAGGGAATTTCCCTAAACTGTGAAAATGTCTCTCACAGAGCCAAGCAAACAAACCAACCAACAAATGTCACTTAACATTCACAGGATAAATACAGAGAAAGCCACACCTAGGCACACCAAATCACAATGTAGGAAGACAAATTCATCAGAAAAAAAGACACGTAGTATATTAAAAATAACTATATTTATGCATGTGTCTACACACACACACATACACACACATAAAACATATTACTCAGTTACTCATCAGAAATATAGAGGAAAGAAGATAGTACAATATTATCTTTAAATTGACAAAAATGAAAAGACTATTGAGCTGTAATTCTATATCAACAGAAAATATATTCAAAATGAATTTAAATGAACATTTGCAGAAAGCAAATTGAAAGAAAATTTTTAGCAAATGTGCATTTCAAAAAAGTGGTAAAAATCTTCAAGCTGAAAAAAAATAATAGCACCTGGAAGTTGGATTCAACAGGTGAAAATGAAAATCACTAGAAAGAATATTATGGAAGTAAATATACATTATAAAATTTCATAAACTATGATTCTTTAAGTTAAAATAAATTTAATAAAAAATTGTAGGTTTTGCAACATATATAAGAATACCAAAAGGAGTAATAGGGGATAGATAGAATGATGTGGTTATAAGGTACATACATAATTCATAAATATGAAATTATGTGACAGGAAACTTCCATAATTTAAAGATGCATATTGTAATCACTGGGGCAAACACTGAAAAGGAAACGAAAATCACAAGTAAGTTATTTCTAAAATGTTTTAGAATAAAATAGAATACTTAAAAATACTATATTCCACTGGAATGAGGCAGGAAAAAAGAGAACAACAAACAAATAACAATCAAAACAAAGGCAAAAGATGTGAGAGAGAAAATAAATAAAAATAAGGTAGATTTGAAGCATCTTTATCAATTATTTTATAAATATATAAAGTAAATAATATAAATGATTATATTAATACATAAAGTAAAATAAACCACTAAAAAAGAAAGCATAAGATTAGAGAACATAATAGAACCAAGCTACATGCTATGTACAGTAAACTCATTTTAAATATAAAGACATTAGTGAAAATTTAAACTGAAGGATGTAAATAGATATATAATGTAAACACTGAACTTAAGATAGCTGATATGGCTATATGAATATTATAAATGTAGGCTTAGAGAAAAACAATGCTATTACATAGAAGAAAAAATTCTCAATGATACAAAATTCAGTTTATCAAGGAGACATGATAACCAAAATGTACACACACCTACTAAAAGAAGTTCAAATATAAGAACAAAAAGATGATACAATTAAAGAGACAAATTGATACATTCAGAAACATAATTAGAAATTTTAACATCCCTTTCTCGATTGTTAATAGAAAATTTATACCAAAATAACCAGTAAGCATTTACAGTATATGAGCAATGCTAACAACAAAATTTCCTAAATAAAATTTATACAATTCTACATCAAATAACTATAGAATACATATATTTTAAGAACATTTGTAGGGAAATACAAATTAAAACAACAATATAATACCACTACACACCTATTAGAATGGCCAAAATTCAAGACTTTGACAACAATACCAAATGTTATCAAGAATGTGAGGCAACAAGAATTCTCATTCACTGCTGGTTGAAGTGCAAAATGGTACAATAACTTTGAAAGACCGTTTGGTAGCTTCTTACAAAAGTAAATATACTCTTACCATACAATCCAGCAATGGTGCACCTTGATATTTACCCAAAGGAGTTGAAAACTTCTGTCTATGCAGAATCTTGCACGTGAATGTTTATGGCAGCTTTATTCATAATTGCCAAAACTTTAAGTAACCAAGATGTTCTTCAGTAGGTGAATGGATTTAAGAAACCTGTCTTGTATCTAGGCAGTGGAATATTATTCAGTGCCTAAAGGAAATGAAGTTTTGAGCCATGAAAAGACATGGAGAAAACTTAAGTACATATTACTAAGTGAAAACAAGCCAATCTGAAAAGGCTGCATACTGTGCGACTCCAACTATAATAGGAAAGGCAAAACTATGCAGACAGTTAAAATATCAGTCATTGCCAGGGATTTGGAGGAAGGGGGGATGAACAGGAAGAGCACAGAGGATTTTTAGGGAAATGTAACTATTTCATATGATACTATAATGGTGGATACATGACATTGTAAATTTGTCCAAACCCATAGCATGTGCAAGGCTAAAAATGAATCCTAACATAAAGACTTTGCATAATAACGTATTATCATAGCTTCATCAACTATAATAAATATACCACTGTAGATGGCAGGTATTGATGATGAAGGCAATGAATGTGTTGAGGCAGAGAGGAAAAAGGAAATCTCTGTATCTTCCACTAAGTTTATTGTAAACCTAAAACTGCTCCAAAAAATAATCAATTAAAACAAACAGAAAAAGAATATATGGAACATTTAAGTAAAAACATTCAAGGTAGAAATCAGTAAAAATATAATATTAAGAAAAAACTCAGGTATTTGAATTCAAGTAATAAGCTTCCAAGCAACCCATGGGTAAGATTTCTTTAATCCCCAAAGAAATTATAAATTTTTTAGTAGAAAAAAATGACAATGTAGAATAATAAAAACTATGAGGTATGTTATCTAAAGCAGTTGCTAAAGTAAAATTTTTAGTTAAAATGACACTATAAGACATAAAAAAGTATAAAAGCAATTATCTCAGCTTCTATTATAAAAAAATTAGACAAAAAGAACAAAATAAACCAATTACACAAGTTAAGTAGAAGAATGGATATAAATAAACATTTTAAAAATGAAAATCAGTGAATTAGATACATGCAAAGAATAAACAAATCAACAGTTAAAATTTTGGCCTATAAGAAGATGAGCAAAACTAATAAAACCCTAACAATAGTAATCAATGGAAAACTAAAGAAAGACATAATTTGTTGTTGTTCTGTGCATGTGCATGGGAATGTTTGTGTTTGTGTGTGTGTGTATGTGTCTATAAACATAACTTAAGTGATTCTAAAAATTACATGAAAAATGAATGTCACCAAGATAATGTTTAATAACAAATGTAGAAAATACTTTTCTTTTTGAGACGGCGTCTCACTCTGTTGCCCAGGCTGGAGTGCAGTGGGGGCGATCTCGGCTCACTGCAACCTCCACCTCCAGGTTCAAGCAATTCTCCTGACTCAGCCTCCTAAGTAGGTGGGACTACAGGCATGAGCCATCATGCCTGGCTAATTTTTGGAAAATATATATTAACAAGCTTTTAATATATGAAGTTCCAGTAATTAAGAAAATCTGGTAATGCTGAGGGTATACAACATGACAATGGGAAAGAAAAAATGCAAAACACAGACATATTAATACATGTTCCTTTTTTATAACAAAGGTTATACTTCAGAATAATAGAACCAACAGACATTTTAAAAAATTGGGCAGGGTCAAATAAACGTCCAGAAAAAAGCAAAAACATAAAACTTGAGCCTACCTCACACAATATACAAAAATAAATTCCAGGTGAATGATTGATCTAAATGTGAAAGTTGGAAATAATAATTTTAGAAGATAACAATGGAGAATAACTTCATGATATTATAATAAGCATTAATTACTTAAATGTGGCATGTAAATAAATATAAAATATTGATTGATAAATTAATATTTATTAAAATTAAGGAATTGTAAACTAAATTCAACAGATTAATGAAAAAACAAAGCAAGTCATGTTAGATAATACATCTTTAACACCTATAACTATAAAGAACTTTTATACAGAAGAAATAAAGTACGTTTATTATCAGTAAGTACAAGACAGAAAACTGAACAGAAAAATAGATGAGAAACTTGAAGAGGTGTCACATGATAGGATATTTAAAGAGCCAATATGCATGTAAAATTTGCTCAGTATCGTTAGTCCTTGAGGAAACACAAATTTAGCACACGCAATACTCCCTACATAGCCAGCAGAAAGTTAAATATTAAACAGACGATATTAAGTGATGGCAAGCATTGGGAATGATAAGTAATTTCAAATAATGCTGGTAGAAATGTAAACTAAAACTATTATTTTGACAACAGTTGTTATTATTTCTACAGTTGATTCTTAAACAACATAGGGGTTTTGGACACTGACCTCTGTACAGCTGAAATTACTTTTGATTTCCCAAATCTTAATTACGAATAGCCTACTCTTGACCAGAATCTTTACTTATAACATAAACCACAAACATAAACCATTAACTCATATTTTGTATGTTATGTATATTAAATACTGTATTCTTACAAAAATTTATGGTAATGTTATTAAGCAAATCATAAGGAAGAGAAAATACATTTACTACTTATTAAGTAGAAGTATATCATCATAATGGTCTTCTTCCTCATCTTCATGTTGAGTAGGCTGAGGAAGAGAAAGAGGAGGAGGAGGTGGTGATGCTGTTTCTGGGATAGCAGAGGCAGAAGAAAATCTGCATACAAGTGGGCCCACACAGTTCAAACCCATGTTGTTCAAGGGTCAACTGTACATCTATATATCATAATCCAGAAATTTTATTCCTAGGTATATACAAAACAGAATTGTACACATATTTACATTTCTAAAACTTGCACAAGGCTTTATAATTGCGTTATTCAAAAGACTCCACACTGGAAAAAAAACTCAAAATCTATTTGTAATATAATAGATAAATATTCCATAATAATATTCACCTTGGGTAATTCATAATTAAGAGTGGGAACAAAGAGAGACTAATGCTTGGAATTTACTATATATTTATCTTGATAAAAAATTGCTATGGGGTATGGCTTACAACTTATTACTTAAAATATATCTGATTTTAATATTTTTAGAAGAAGAAAAACCTGTCAAACCAAAAAAAAAAAAAAAAAAACTAGTCCTACAAATGTTATAATAAATGAATCTGCAATTGCAATTATTTTCATATAAAACCATCAGGCCTATGGGCTTCACTGGTGCACTCTACAATGTATTTAACAAAAATATAACGCTAAATGAACAAAAAAATCTTCCAAAGATTATAAAGAAAAAGAAATACTACCAAAAACCTTTAAAAGACAAATAGAACCATAATAACAAGTTGACCACATTAGTAGAATATAGGAGAAAACATAATTAGCTTGATAGACACAAAGGTGTTATTAAATTGAACATATGTGTATGATTAAAAATTTATAGAAAACTGTGATTGGAATGGAAATTTCTTAATCTGGTTTGGTATTAATAAAATAAACATCAAATATATAACAGTTTTAAAATTTGAAATATTTTTCTTTGAGAATATGACCAGGCAAATATACTTATTGAAAGATTTTGGTTGATAGTGCATTGGATTGCTAGTAGTCAGAAAATCAGAGGAAAAGAGATAAATTGAGTTAGATTTGGAAGACAAAAATAAAATGCTTATTATTCCCAGAGCAAAACTGGCTGAGATCAAAGCAAGTAGCAAGAAAATTCCACTAGTGACCATGTAGTAGAGGACACACATACACAAAAACAATGCACAATCACATATTCAAAACCACTGTCTGTGGATAGTACTTCAATCTCAGAACAAGGAAAAATTAATAATTAGTGTTTGATACCAAGACATGTTCTGAAAAATTATTGAAATTTGAGCATAATAAATCTTTCTGGCTTTTAGGGCAAAAAAATTTACCTACTTTACCAGAAGGATAAATTATTAGTCTCAGACTATATTTCAAAAACATTGAATATTTGATTACCATGAAACAGCAATAAAGATGTCTGGTGAAAAAAAAGAATACTCAGGACTTAAGAATTTTAATACCAGCAAGTTGCTGTTCCAGTGTTATAGTAACAGGATGTTCTAGACATGTGAATTCAGAAAATATAGAAATTATGTGCCTATTTTGAAAAAGCAAAAATCTTGATTAAATTTAGCCAATCAAGTTTTGAATTTAAAGAAAAAAAAGAATAGGGAAACTGTGGAACTGTGGTATGGGGGAAGATTCTTTAATATGTGCAGAATCAGAAAGAGTATATACATGGTATAAATTTTAAAAGTGTGTGTAAATGTTATATCAATATAAATATTGCTAATGCATGAAGGAAAAGATCTCAGAACATGTAACAAAAATCTTGAGAAAATGGTAGGGTGAGATAACCAAAAAGGATGAATACCTGTGTTATCTTCTCTAAGTGTCATGGTAGACCACTGATACAGTTATGTCATTTGTAAAGTATTGTATCAGGAAATTTATATCTAGAGGCTTAATTTAAGATTTTATAGGTAACTGCAAAGTGGTGGAAATAGCAAGAAAACTAGAGTTAGATATTAGGAGCCTGAATATATAATAGCTTATGATAAAACTTGAGTGATTGATGAGTTGCTTATTATGGATGAGCAAAGAAAGTGGTGAGGTGGAATCTACCTCTGGTAAAGATACTGTGAACATTGTTGAAATGACAAAAAAAGATTACAAAATAGTCCATAAATTTAGCTGAAGGAGCAGCAGTAGGATTTGAGAGAATTGTCTTCAATTTTTAAATAACTTCTATTTTGAGTAAAATGATATCAAACAACATTGTATGACACAGAGAAATATTTCATGAAAGGAAGAGTTAATGAATGTAGCAAACATTACTGTTGTTTTATTTTAAGAAATTGCTGTATCCACTTCAACTTTCAGCAGCCTGATTAGTCAGCAGCTATTAACATCTACGCAGGACCCTTCACCACAAAAAGATTACAACTTAAGAAGGCCTGCATGATCATTAGCAGTGTTTTTTCATTAATGTATGTACCTTGTTTTTACTATTGCACACGTAATAGACTAGTCAGAGTATAACCTAAAATATGACTTTTTTATGCACTGGGAAGCCAAAATATTTATGTGACTTGATTTATTGTGATATTCACTTTATTGTGGTGATATGGATCTGAAACCACAATATCTCTGAGGTATGCCTGCAGTCTCAAAACAGCAAGTAAAAGATGCCCTTTTTAAATGAATGATGGCTTGTAATGAGAAGATGAGCCTTAGAATGAATGGATTTATCTAATAAGGGACCAAAATTTTATAGTTGCTTTAGAGAAAATAATTTTACTAAATAATTTATCTTAAAAATAAAATCAACATTTATGATTACAAACGGATGTTATATTTTAAACATTTGTTTTTTTCTAATTTGTGAGTATTATATGTAAGACTGCTATGAAAACTCAAGCACAGATTCTTGTGTAAACATGAGTTCTAATTTCTCTGTCCTAGGAGTGTAAGTGCTGGGTAATATGGTAAGCATATTATTAGATTTTTTTTTTTTTTTTTTTTTTTTGAGACACAGTCTTGCTCTGTTGCCCAGGCTGGAGTGCAGTGGCACAATCTCGGCTCACTCCAAGTTCTGCCTCCCAGGTTCACGCCATTCTCCTGCCTCAGCCTCCTGAGTAGCTGGGACTACAGGCGCCTGCCACCACGCCCGGCTAATTTTTTGTATTTTTAGTAGAGACGGGGTTTCACCGTGTTAGCCAGGATGGTCTCGATCTCCTGACCTTGTGATCCGCCTGCCTTGGCCTCCCTAAGTGCTGGGATTACAGGCGTGAGCCACCGCGCCCGGCCGTTACTAGATTTTTAAGAGCTGTCATCCTATTTTCTAGAGTGGCTATGCCATTTACATTCCATCAACATTATATGGTGATCCAATTTCTCTGTATACTTGTCAGAATTTGTTTTTGAAATTTGAAGTTTGTATTTTTTATTATATACTGACAAATTATAGATGTATGTCTTTGTGATATATAAAGTGATGTTATAATTTTTGAATACAGTGGGTGATAATTAAATAAAGCTCATTAACATCTCCATCACCTGAAATATTTAATTTCTTTGTGATGAGAACATTTGAAATCTATTTACTTAGTGATTTAGAAAAATACAGTATTCAATTATTAGCTATATTCACCATGTGCAGCAGATTGGGACAAAAAAGCAAATTTATTTGTCTTATCTCACTAAGACTTTGTACCCTTTGACTATCATCTCCCTATTCTCCACCCCAGCCTCTGGTAATAACGATTCTACTCTGCTTCAATGAGATAAATTGTTTTACATTCCCCATATAAGAGAGAACAAGAGGTATTTATCTTTCTGTGCTTGGCTTATTTCCCTTAGCATAATGTCCTCCAATTTTATCCATATTGTTGCAAATGAGAGATCTTAAAAAAATTCTGAATAGTATCCCATTGTATATGTATATCACCCATTCTTTATCCATTTATTCATTGATGGAGGCTAAGGTAGATTCTATAACTTGGCTATAATAAACAGTGCTATAATGAACATGGGAGTGCAGGAGTCTCCTTGACATACTGGTTTCAAATCTTTCAGGTAAATGGCCAGCAGTGAAATTGCTAGTTTGTATGGTAATTCTATTTTTAGTTTTATGGGAACCTCCATACTGTTTTCTATAATGGCTATACTAATTTACATTCCCACCAGCAGTGTACAAGGGGTATCTTTGCTCCACATATCATTTTTTAATTTAGTTGTTCTAATGGGTGTGTAATGACATGTCATTGTAGTCCTAAATTTCATTTCCCTAATTACTAGTAATGTTGAAAAATTTTTCATCTGTTTCTTTGATATCTGTATATCCTCTTCAGTGAAATATCCCTTTATGTCTTCTGCCCATTATCTAACTGGTTTGTTCATTTTGAGAGTTCTTTTCATAATCTGAAATTACAGTACACTAGTAATTCAAAAGACGTGATAAGCAAATATTTTCTCCCAGGGTTTAGATTGTTATTCATTATTTTAATACAGTCTGTTGCAAAACACATGTTTCTAAGATTGGTAAAGTAGAATTTACTGATTTTCTTCTTTTATGAATTATGTTTTTGGTGACATGTGTAAGAACACTTCATCAAGACCTAAGTTCCAAATATTTTTTTTCCTGTGTTATCTTCTTAAAGTTTTATGTCTCTACATTTACATCCATGTTCCATTTTGAGTTAATTTTGGCCAACATGGTGGAACCCCATTTCTACTAGAAATACAAAAAAGATTAGCTGGGCATGGTGGCAGGCGCCTGTAACCCTAGCTACTTGGGAGGCTGAAGCAGGAGAATTGCTTGAACCTGGGAGGCAGAGGTTGCAGTGAGCCAAGATCACGCCATTGCGCTTCCAGCCTGGGGGACAAGAGTGAGACTTCGTCTCAAAATAAAAAAAAAAGGCATGACGTTTAGATCAAGATTTATTGTTTCACCTATAGCTATCCAGTTGTTTGTCCCAGGACAATTTGTGGAAAAGACGATTTTTCTTCCTTGGATATGCTTTTGCACTTTCGTCAAAAATTAGCCACCCTTTCATAGGACTATTTTTGGGTTCTCTATTCTGTGCCCATGATCTGTGTTTTGATTCATTTGCCAATAACACCCGGTTTCGATTATTGTATCTGTATAAAATTGTTTTACTGATACTCACTGAAATCTGGTAGACTGATTCCTTTATAATTGTGTTTTTTTTAAAAATAAAACCTCATAACTTTGGGACCTTATTTAAGATAGACACTGAATAAAAAGGTTTCTTCATAACCAGTGTATGCTCTGCTTTAGACATATGTGTGGCAACATTTTATATGAATTAGATTACTCAGTATCTAGCAACAAAATGTCTACAATTCTGTATGATAGTCCTCTCTTTATCAATATATTCACAGCTAAAGATGGATATATTTTGTATTGACTAAACAAATGTTATGATGAATATACTGTGTTATGTGCACTACATTAAGTGATACCGATAGAACAGTGAGAAACCAATAACTCCATATTTAATACACATTTTGGTAAATACAATGTACAGATATTTCAGGATCCAATTAATCACAAATAAAAGCATCAGATAGACTGAGACTGGAGAAGGCTTCTGACAAGACTTCCACAGGACAATATGCTTCAGGAGTTACGAAAGATAAGTACAAATTAAAAATAAGTTAAACTACGTTGGTATGGCTTAGTAACTGTAAATATGAGTCAAGTCATCATACATATCTACTGAAAAAAAATGCTCATTCAATCTTCAGCTAAGGTAAACTCAATGCAAAAGACAAATTTTCCTATTGGATAGCATATTTCTAAAAACTTTTTCTCTTTGTTCTGTTAGAACAAAAAAGAGGTACCACCCTGTAACTTCTTTCAATTTCCTTTAATTCTTCTGTAAGAAACTTTGGATTAGATATTGTTTTTCATATATGTATCCTTATTGGCAAGAAAATCATAGTACAGTAAATTATCTGTCTATGCATATACTTTCTGGAATTAAAAAAATCTTTCACTGAAAACATTGACAATATAAACTCCCATATTCTAAGGAAATTATGAATCTCCTCTTTTGTATGGCATAGAAAAATATAAATGAACATTGTATAAAAGGAACATAGATACATTTCAGACAGCAGCATATACATTTTCAGTGTCAGGCAATCTTGTCTCAATTATTGTATAAGTAATTTATTCTATTTTCACATAAATAGAAATGGTCGTTGTTTTAAACTAAATATTAGCTTTAAAAGATGTGCAATGTTAAGCAACTTAGTAAAAATTCACATTTAACATTTAAATATTGCTATAATGGTGAGGTCCAAAATATTTTAGTGATTCAAAATGAACATGATAGGTTTGAGTCTGTTCACACAGCAACACTCATGAAAATCACAGGATATCATTGTGAAAATTATCCAAGAGATGTTCTAGTCTACTCTACATTTGCAGGTAAGAAAGGTTAGACTGAGGAAGCTGAATCCTAAATTAGTTAGGTTCAAGGTCACATAAAAATAGAGCACTAGTTTATTCAAATGGATGAGAATTGAGGCTGAAGGAGTAAATATGGATAAAAATAGATATTTTCTGTGGGAAAAATTGAGCATTAGAAGAGGTCACTTGAAGATTGTGCCACCATTTTGAGTGGTGTGCTGAAACTGCAGATTTGACATTTTGTTGTAATGTTTCCAGGGAAATTGGAAGAATAAATGGTTATTGGGGAGACACATAGTTTGGCACAGAAAAATAACATCAAATCTATGTATTTCTACTCCTCCATCCCTAAGACTTAAGATGTAGTTTATGTCAAACATCTCAAAAATAAATACTTTTTGCTTGTTTGGTTGTTTACCATCGGTAGTGTTTAATATATGTCCTGAAACATGTCAGAGATTTGTGAGATGCAGAAATTCTGTATTAGCCTCAGTGAGAGCCTTTTCATTGAGATTATATTTGTGGTCCCACTACACTTTATATAAAATTTGGTTTTTTTTATTCTAAATAGAGCTTTCAACAGAGTTACCTTATTTACCAAATTATCTGATGTACTATATAATGCATTAAGAAGCATTGTCCTTGTTTCAAATTATTGCCCTTATCCATGAATGTTTATGAAAATGTTCTTGATATTGCTACGGACTAAATGTTTGTGTCACCTCAAAATTCATATGTTAAATTATAATAATATTTAGATATAGGGCCTTTGGGAGATAGATTCTCTCTCTGTCTCTCTCTCTCTGGCTATTTCTCTCTCCCTCCCAGATAGGATAGAAGAAAGTGACTATCTACAAGCTGGAAGTTGAGCCTTCACCAGATATATGGATGCCTTGATTATGGACTTCCCACCCTTCAGAAGTGCTTAAACTATTTAGTCTATGGTATTTTTGTTATAGCAGTCTTGATAGACTGAGCCAGAGATATTAAGATAATTTTCTATATACAAATAAGCATTGATATATTAAGGTATTGTAATATTATCTCATTTGAATGAGTATATATTAAGATATATTAATATAGCTCATTTGAATATGGATAATTATCTTAATATCTCTGGCTTAGTCTACCAAGCCAGTATTGATATATTAAGATATCAAAATTGTGTCCCCAGGTTAATTTCTGAAAAGAATGAACTATTTTACAGTACCAGCTACAATGTATCCAATCATCAGCTTTATTGGCTAGTATAGTGGATATTTAACATTCTTGTTACATCAGCATTTTTATATATGTATATTTTAAATGAAATATACTTTTTCCTCTTGGGAAAGATATTCAACATGGTTTGAAATGTGGCTGACATAATCAGGATATTATAATCAGAATATTCTCTACCTTTGAGCCATAGAGATTAATGTAGGTGTGAGCAGTCGATCAATAAGACACCTTCAAATGCTATTACTGCCAGAGTTATCAGTGGAAACACCATTTTACTGAGTTTTATGAAAAGTGCACATGATCTTGGTAGCTATCCTGCTTACCATGTAAAGAATGGATATCTAATACCTTGGAGCGAAGTGTGGCTCTGAGTGTTTAATTCAAGATCCTGGTTCCAAGTATGTCTACAGAAATTTCTGGCTGGGCGCCATAGCTCACACCTATAACCCTGACATTTTGGAAGGCCAAGATGGGAGGATCACTTGAGGTCAGATGTTTCGAGACCAGCCTGACCAATATGGTGAAACCCATCTCTACAAAAAATACAAAAATATTAGCCAGGATTGGTGGCACATGCCTGTAATCCCAGCTACTCAGGAGGCTGAGGCGGAGGTTGCAATGAGCCGAGATCTTGCCTCTGCACTCCAGCCTGGGCGACAGAGTGAGACCCTGCTTCAAACAAAAAAGAAGAAATTTCTATCCCTACTTTGTTTTTTAGTAAAGTCATTAAATTTCTATTGTTCTTTACCTAGGTTGAGCTGCATTTCTATCTCTTGTATACATAATTACTGATTAATAGAAATAGTATTTTAAAATATAACTTTTGATAATCACATAAATGTTAAGATTTTTTAAAAAGGATAGTTATTTGAATAGTAGTGGCATTGATTTTTTTTATCTGTTTAGTTTGTTATTTCCTATTTTCCACATTATTAGTTGTGGTTCTATGAATGATGTCTTCCTATTATTTGTTCATTAATATTTGCTGAAGGAGATTACTGATTCTATGAAAGAGCAATTTCTCATATTTGTCCACTAGTATTTGCTTAAAATTTCTCCCATTTTTCTCATTTTAAATTTAGTGTTCAAAACTGTGAAGAGTTTAATTTTTATATTCTTAATAGTTGTGAACCCAGGCCACCTGGATGGAACGTCTTTTAGAATATAGCCTATCTGAAGTGACCCAACTATGATTTTTGATTTTGCCCTCTCAGTCCTTCTTTGCACCTTACTTTAGGTCTTCTTCATGTTGGGAATTCAGCTGTTCTTTCTCATTGTTTTCATTATTCTGACTTCCTTGGCAGACATTTTCGTTATAAATGCCAGAGTAGACCTGATTGGTTCAGCTTGTCATCATCTACTACAAAGCAACTCTACTGAACAAAACATCAGCATTCCATTACCCTATTGACTGGGTTGGGGTTCTTTTGTTTTTCTTCCGATAATTCTTAACACAGGTAAATGGAACATGTGATACAAAGTGTAATAAACTTGTGAAAGCAACCTTTCAGAAGGATTGAATACGGCAAGTAGTCTAAAATTTCTCGGGTAAAGTTACCTTAATTGTCAGACACCTTGTGAGAATTTTATAGATGAGCCTTTCTTAACTTTTTCTGGAATGAAGTGAGCCCTTTTAGGATTCATAGACAAGTCTTATTTCCTGCAGTTTTGAATTTATTATTCCTTTAATTCCAATCAATTTTTATCCTCCATAGCGAACTGATCAATTTATTACAACATTGTTAGTAATGCATGCAAATTCCATTTTTCCTACAAACATACCTGCAGTTGAAAGTATTACCTTTTACTAAACTTGCCATTTTTAATGCATTGATTTGGGATGCTAACATAATTATATAGCAAGTATTTATGTCTGCATATTTCAGTTTCTGGGCTTGCCGTTCTGTTCTATTTATTTTCCAATTACTAGTGTAGTTACTGCACAAATTGCATGTGGTTTTAATATTTTAACTGCACCATGGAGTTTAATATTTTTTAGACTTTCCTTTTCTGAGGCAGATACTCTTATAATCCCAAAACATATATATATATATTTTCTTTTTTTAAGAAAATAAGTGTGTTTACTAGAAATCATTTATTTTAATGGACATTCACATGTATTTGCTAAGCTCTCCAGAGCACTGTTGAGTAGTGTTGATGATAAACACTTTGTAAATAAACTTATTTTATATCTCTAAAGTTTCACCATTTTGGATGATGTGTACTCATGTACTATATTTTAACTGTATTTATTGCTGGAAAATTTTGTAGCTTAAAATTTTAAATATTTGTAAAAAATGTTATTCTGAATATTCAGCAAAATAAATAAGTGCTCTATCCAGGATTGTTAATTTAAGATGAATTCTAGAAATTTAATGGTGGTCAAAAGATTTTACAATATATTTGGGTTTTCCATTTAAATTACCAAATTGTCCTCTGTAGTTTTGTCATTATGAACCCAAAGTGCTATTTGAGTGGCCAATTTCTGAAGCAATTGAGCTGAAAACGTGTTAGTCATTTGTCTTCTGAGACAACTGAGTACTGGGAGTCAAAAAGATTTCAATAATTTGGAGCAAGTAAGCAACAACATAGACTTTGACATTAAATAGAGAAATTTAAGATAGTTCAATGGAGAAATGAGCTAATTCAACTAGCAGAAAGCAAAATAATTGTTCTATAGAGCTGAAAGTCGTGCATCCTGTAACTCTATCCCATAGTCTTGAGTGACTATCTAAAACCAAGCAAAATTCAGAGCATGGGGGATATTTAAGGGGCATTAGATTACACATTTAAACATCAATGAAAATTGTGAGAAATGTTTGTGGAGAACAATTTTCAGGAAGAAAAGATTGCTATGTAATCAAGCAGATAGGAGTTTAAGGCATAATTTTTTAGATACTACTATAAAAGTGATCTCTATTTTATTTACTCACTACCAGTCTCATAACATACATATATTTAGTATGCTTTCAAAGTTAATTGTTTTATATATAATACTTCTTTGATTAGCCTGCAGTAGTTAATCAATATTATATGTAATCTAATCAAGTTATTTATCAAAACATGGGTTTGGCAAATTGTGTTTTGTGAACCAATTCCTCCCCACAGCGTTTTTTTTTTTTTTTTTTGTACAGCCCACAAGCTAAAAATATTTTTACATTTTCATAGAGTTGAAAAAAAATCAAAAGAATCAGATTTTATGCCATGTAAAATTTTATGAAATTCAAATTTAGTGTCCATAAATAAAATTTTGTTGGAACACAGTCACACTCATTTGTTTTACATATTATTTATGGTTTTTCTGGTGCTATAACAGCACAACTGAGTAGTTGGGAGAGGTATCATGTAACTTACAAAGCTCAAAATATTTACAGCTTGACTTTATACAGAAAAATTTTGCAGACCCCTGATTTAAACTTAAGACAGAATGTATACTTCTTCCTTTTTTTTTTTTTTTTTTTTTTTTTGAAATGGAGTCTCACTCTGTTGCCCAGGCTGGAGTGCAGTGGTGCAATCTCGGCTCACTGCAACCTCCGCCTCCTGGGTTCAAGCAATTCTCCTGCCTCAGCTTCCTGAGTAGCTGGGATTACAGGTGTGTGCCACTATGCCCAGCTAATTTTTGTATTTTTAGTAGAAATGAGGGTTTCACTGTGTTGGTCAGGCTGGTCTTGAACTCCTGATCTTATGATCCACCCGCCTCAGCCTCCCAAACTGCTGGGATTGCAGGTGTGAGTCCCTACACCTGGCCTGTATACTTCTTTTTATAGTTGGTAAAGTACTTTACTTTTTGACATCTCTCTTGCATTTATTCCAAACCTTGACATGCTGTTTATTATTTACGTATCATTGGTTTTCCTCATTGTACTTTCTCCTCTGTCCATCAATTCATCAATATTCCACATATTTGCAGTGAACCATAAAATGTAAATTCCCTTCCTGAACGTTTGAATTTATTCTTGATATGATTTAAGCACTTTTATAGCACCATTTCATGTATATTATTAATTATGCTTAAGATGAATAACTTTTGTAAGGAATTTATATTGTAATATTTTCAATTAAGAACACTTTTAATGCATTTATTTGTATATATGCACCATTTCTATATTTATTTGTTATATTCATTAATCTTTATTTTTCTCCACTCTCTATCATTCCTTTCATTGCTATCAGCAGAAAGTATGTTAGAATTTTTTTGTTTTCTTGTTTGCCTAAGGATGAGCTTCTTTTATAACCCACATACAGTAAATATCAATTTGGCCTAGAAAATATTTTCTGATCACACCTTTTGTTTTTTTAAGGATATATACTGTTCTGTCTTAGGTTGATATAGTTAATAAATCTGATACAAATAGATTTTGAATCCAATGAACTCTTTCAAAGTTTGGATGATTCTTTCCTTTTTCTTTGTAAACCTAAAAGGATATACTTAGGTAATAGTTTATCTTTGTTGCTTTTATGTGGAATAAGTACAAGTCCTATGATTTCTTGTTATTTTGCTTAAATTTTTATGGAGCAATTTTAGTAATTCATATATATTTCTCTCCTGTTGGTTGTGTCTTCTAACTCCATGACTAAATGACTTGGATACTAAACCACTATGCTCTGTACACCACGCCTGCCATGTTTCCTCTCAAACTATTCACCATCCTATTAATTTCTTTTGAATTCTACATGTTGCCCATTTTGTATATTGTTTTTGATTCAGTAGATGTGTTCCATTATCATGACTATTTCTCTATTGATTCTGCCAGCTAGCACTTCCAGTGTTCATTTGAATTATACCACAATATAATTAAACCTATTTTATTCTTGTTTTATAGCTTCAACACATTTCTTTTCCATCCCCTTGAGAAGAGAAAAAGCCATTTTGTATATTGTATATGTATTTTCTTTGAAAGATTTATAGTTTATAGAACTTTGAGTAACAGCATACAGAGCTACTTTATTTTCCAGTATCTACAGGTATGTCAATTCAATGTTTAGACTTGTTTAGTAGACCTTCCCTGCTACCTACAGTCCTGAGAACTCATGATTATGGCTTCATGTGCTACATTTGCCTCATTTGCTTTCAATCTACCACAAACTTGCTCCACGAATTCTCTCTGTGTTTTATTTCACATTCATTTTCTCCATAAATGCCTTGAATTTCTGCATTTATGGGTAATTTTCCTCTAGTTATCTTTATTCTTTGGGATTATCAATTTTCAGTTATTTTATATGATTTTTCTAGAATATTATTATGGAAAATTAACAAGTCCATGTAGATCATCTCTCATTCATAATTAGAATTTTAAATAATACTATTTTATTATAATTGTTTAATCTTAGCTTCATAATATATACACATCTATTTTCTTAGGTATTTATCTCAAAATTGATTTCCTAGGGATTAGAGATATTGTCATTTATATCAAAATACTTGTAACTTTCAAAAAAAGTAATTATTTGAGTTTGATGCTTAGAAATGGATTGTGATGGGGAAAGTCAACCCGTTGCGGTGCTGACGTCCCTCCTTGAAGTCAGTGAATGCCTGGGGCTAATATCTGGCAATCTAGAATGTCTTTCCACCAACCTTGTGCTGCTCTTCTGAAGCATCGTCCCTGTACCTTGTTCTGAATTAATCAGTCATCTATTACAGTGACAATATTAGGGAAGAGATTTATATCATCTGACATTTTCTTTTAGGATGATTTTTGTTAAATAATAAACTATGGGCTGAGCACAGTGGTTCACATCTGTGATCTCAGCACTTTGGGAGGTCAAGGCAAGAGGAGCACTTGAGGCCAGGAGTTTACGACCAGCCTGGGCAACATAAGACTCCATCTTTCTCTAAAAAAAAAAAAAAATCCCTGCACATAGTGGCACATGCCTGTAGTCTTAGCTACTCAGGAGGTTGAGAAAGAGCATCACTTGAACCCAGGAGATCAAGGCTAGAGTGAGCTATGCTTGTGCCACTGTACCTCAGCCTGCTTGACAGAGAGACCCTGATTCTAATAATAATAATAATAATAATAAACTGTGGTCAGCTAATAGTATTTTTTCTTTCCTGCCTTCATGGTTGTTTTCATGAGAAAATTGAACCAGGGCCAGGGGTGGTGGCTCATGCCTGTAATCCCAGAACTTTGGGAGGCCAAGGTGGGTGGATTACCTGAGGTCAGGAGTCCAAGACCAGCCTGGCCAACATGACAAAACCCTGTCCCTACTAAAAAATATGAAAAATTAGCTGGGCCTGGTGGCAGGCTCCTGTAATCCCAGCTACAGGAGAGGCTGAGGCAGGAGAATCGCTTGAATCTGGGAGGCGGAGGTTGCAGTGAGCTGAGATCATGCTACTGCACTCCAGCCTGAGCAACAGAACAAGACTCTGTCTCAAAAAAAAAAAAAAAAAAAGAAAAAAGAAAAAAGAAAATTGAACCAGGAATTGCTAACATTTTCACTTTTCTCTATTGTTCCAGAAGCCTTTGTGAAGTGATTTTTTTTTTCTATTTCATTATTTTAGGATGATAGTACACTTAAAAAAAAAACAACTTGTATTTTAAGTTCAGGGGTATATATGCAGTTTTGTTACATAGGTAAACTTGTGTCATGTGGGGTTGTTGTATAGATTATTTCCTCACCCAGGTATTAAGTCTAGTACCCATTAGTTGTTTTTTCTGATTGTCTCTCTACTTCCACCTCCAATAGTCCCTAGTGTGTATTGTTCCCCTCTATGTGCCCACGTGTTCTCATCATTTAGCTCCCACTTATAAGTGAGAATATGTAGTATTTGGTTTTCTATTCCCGCGTTGGTGTGGTAAGGACAATGGCCTCCAAAAGAATTATCAACAGAGCAAACAGACAACCTACAGAACTGGAGAAAGTTTTTGCAAACTATGCCTCTGACAAAGATCTAATATCCAACATCTATAGGGAACTTAAATTTACAAAAAATAGTACATTTTTATTGGATGGAGAGAACATTTTAACATCAGGGACTGTGCTAAATTCTTTATGTATATTTTCTCATATAATTTTTATAAAAACCTACATTATTAATATATTCATTTTAAAGAGAGAAAAATGAGGCTCTTAGAAGTTATATAAGTTTATAAAGTGGACAGAATTGGTAAAGGACACAACCACAAATCAAATCAAATGATTTCTGGCTATGAATGTAGACAGGTGTGGTGTTATATAGTCTTTTCCACTGTGGTTGTAGTGAAGTAGGAACCAGGTATCTTGGTTTAACTTTTTTTCTTCAACATTTTTAAAGGTTAGAAATTGTTGTGAACACACTCAATGTCCAACGAGTTTACTTAACTGAGGTATATTTTTAAAAAAAATACTTTCAAAAATTGATGTAGTCTGAATTATTTTATTGTAAGAATCAAAACCAAGATGCTTCTTCTCACTATAATCAATACATATAAAATTCTTGAATATCTTTTAAAGTCTTTTTTTAGTACAAGACAAAAAGTAAATACATAAAATATTTTGCTGAAATTCCTTTGTGTCCTCTCATGTTGGTAGGTTGCTGACATATGAAATAGTATTATGTTTACATTGCATAATATATTTGCAAAGAGATTTCGGTGAATACTTTTCATCTCATATTTCCATCTAACAATGACTTATACACAAAGGTTTTAGATTGCAGGAGTATGGCTAAATATCCCTTTTATGTTGAATTTTGTTTTCTGAGAATTTATTCATATTTATTAAACATATAAAATGTGTATAAGAAAATGGATAGTACAAAATAAAGTATTGCTAATCACTCCATGTAGACAGTATCAGAGATATTTAAAGTAAAAAATAAAATAAAAACACACACTATAACAGAACACAAATGTAAGTTAGAACCACCCATAGTTATATGTTTCTATCATCCAGTCTGTAAATAAAAGTTTTTGGTGGGGACGGTTTCCCACTTTTCTCCTCATTCTTGTAGATTTCCTACGAAGATAAATTTAACTTTACTGTTAAGGGGACTAGTAACCTTGGATTAGCTCTGTGAGTTTGCAAAGTCCAGTGAGAAATGGGCTATATTTATATTTATATTTAGCTATATCTGGATCCAGTGTATACAAAAATACCACTGAGCTACTGCCCTAACAGGGTACCACCAACTGGGAGGTTTAAAACAACAGAAATGTATTACCTTACAATTCTTAAGGCTAGAAGTTCAAAATCAAGGTGTAGTCAGGGCCACGCTCCTTCTTTGTTACCTATAAGGGAGAATTCATCCTTGGTGCTTCTGTTTTCTGAGGTGATTGTTATCCTTGCTGTTTCTTGGCTTACAGCAGCATCACTCCAGTGTCTGCCTCCACTGCATGTGTCTTCACATACCTGCCTTCTCCCTGTAAGTCTCTCTTCTTATAAAGACATCAGTCATATTGGATTAAGGGCTCCTCCTGCTGCAGTGTGACCTTGTCTTAACTAACTATATCTGCAAAGCCATTATTTCCAAATAAGTTACTTTCTGAAGATCTAGGCATTAGGAAGTTAACATATCTTTTTTGGGGACACAGTTTAACCCATCACATAATATCATATAGCATGCATAGAGCTTGGAAAGACTCCATATACAGTTGGCCCTGATGGGTTGAGCTCTCTGATAATCTGAAAGGAAATATGCAGTATTGACAATCCAGATAAGGATGATAACAATTAGGCTAACACATGAAATCTAGTGTCAGACACTATAGAAATCACCTGTGATTACATAAAACTAATAAACTTCTAAGACCATTTTGGGCATTTCTATTTGTAATGAACACAAAAATTATGATAATTTTATATTTCTTTTTTTTTTTCCTTTGAGATGGAGTTTTGCTCTTGTTGCCCAGGCTGGAGTGCAATGGCGCCATCTCGGCTCACTGCAACCTCTGCCTCCCGGGTTCAAACAATTCTCCTGCCTCAGCCTCCCGAATAGCTGGGATTACAGGCATGTGCCACCATGCCTGGCTAATTTTATATTTTTAGTAGAGACGGGGTTTCTCCATGTTGGTCAATCTGGTCTTGAACTCCCAACCTCAGGTGATCCTTCGGCCTCCCAAATTGCTGGGATTACAGGTGTGAGCCACCACTCCTGGCCTATTTTCTTTCTTATATTTATTTTATGGCTTTTTTTGTTATTTGAAAGAAAACTTGGTAGTCTGAGGCAGGTGGATTGCTTAAGCTCAGAGTTCAAGATCAGTCTGGGTATCATGATGAAACCCCATCTTTACAAAAAATACACACACACACACACACACACACACACACACAAAAAAAAAAAAAAAACTACCTGGGCATGGTGGTGCACGCTTGTAGTCCCAGCTACTCAGGAGGCTAAGTGGGAGGATTGCTTGAGCTCAGGAGGTTGAGGCTGCAATGAGCTGTGATTGCTTCACTGAAGTCCAGCCAGCTTGGGTGACAGAGTGAGACCTTGTCTGAAAAAAAAAAAAAAAGAAAACATATTATTTCCGATAATATTCTAATAGAACTTTTAGTTTCTTAAAATGGCACATTAAACCATCTGACCTGTTGTTCAACTCTGCCTTATATTCACTGATATTATTAAATAAAGACAATTTCTTTTTAACATAAAATATATAACAGATTTTTGACATCTTATGGAGAGACAATGAGACTTTATTTTATTGTCAGTATAGTAGCTTTCTTTTATCAAGATGAACTGAAAGAAACAAATAAAACATATTGGAGTAGGAAAATAAAATTGATTAAGCCATAAAGGACCAGTATGCATGACTGATAGTATGATATTTCCCCAAATGAATTTGCTTAAGCTTAATGGTCTAAAAATCAGCTCTAAAAATTGTTATAAATATATTAACATTTTAATATTTTAATATAAATTCCAAATATAAGTCACATGTTTTAACTCACTTTATCTAGATGCATAATTTTATAGTTATTCTGTTAAGTCACCCTTTCGAACATTATGGTTAAATCCTTTAAAACAAGTCTTTAGAGTTTCAAGATCTTAGTATAAAATATTTGAATTCAATAATTATATTAGAACATTCATTATGATGATATTTTTCTCACACCAAATTAACATTTACTTTGACATTGAAGTGTTATCATCATCATGGAATAAAATAATCTCTGAATTTCAAAAATTGATAAATATCATTTGTCCAGTTTTCTAGCTGATGCATAAATTTACTTTTCAAATTAATATGTATTGAAAATAAACAATATTACAAATGCTATTCTGAACAAATGAAGTATCCGAATCTGTAATGTAATCGTTGAACAAATATTGATGATTTTTTCATGATGCTTTTTACTTACTCTTTTTCCCTTGAACTTCAAAATCATACTTCTCATAATAGTTTTTCTTTTACTATTGTCCACTATATTCAAATCATGAAAAAAACAAAGAGAAAGAAGCACATGTTGAACAATTAGCCAAAGCAGACATAGATAGGATGTTAGTTCTGCGACTGACAAAGAAACCAGATTGGGGTTACCAAAACAAAGCAAAGCAATGCAAAACTAAACAAAACAAAAAAGGCAAACTTTTAATAGACTATCTCACAGATTGTAGCTATTTCACCAACACCGAATAACAGCAACAACAAACCAGTGAGGATGTGGAATCTATCACAATTTAAAACATTTGTAAGATAAAATAATAAATGGGCTCACATATTGGACTATAGGTATTTATATTGTCAGTTAAAAGCAGCCAACCATGGTGAGAATTGATCACCCTGCCTTTTGCCTACTGATGGGCTTTTGGACTGGTCAGCATATTGAACACCAAATTCACTTTCAAGAATTGAAATTTATATGTGGTGCATTCTCATCCAAATTCTGCATTGAGGTCAAAATAAGGGCATTGCAATAAATAAAGTAAGAGAAAATACATTGCAAGGAAACCATATCTAACTCAGAAAACACAGCAAGAAAAACAATATTTCTTTTTGACATCTTCATAGAAGTAGAATTCTAACAGAAGTTGTGTTTTAAGCCTTTTCTAGTTAAAGTTGGCAAATGAGAAAACAACTTTAATGAATTATCTAACTGTCCTTTCACAAACCAATCAATGACAACTCCTTCCCTTTAGAGATAATTAAAGTTGATCTAATTAGATTGCCTTCACTTACAAACTTGTCATGTAAATAAAGTTAATTTATTATCCCACCTGGTTCACCTATGGGAATTACCATAGTATAATAATGGAAGTATTGTTGAAAATCTTAAAACAAATTATGTATAGATGCCTGATCTTGTTGCTTGAGATTCCTTCTTTATTGTGAGCTTCAAAATCATAAATACAGTTCATTTTCTGTCACATTATGTAAACATGGGTGATCACATATAATTATGTATCCTCAGTACAACCAACTTTTAATTAGAATACAGAAAATATTTTTCACACAAGAAAACTGTATGTTTGAATGTATTACAGTATGTATTACTTAACATCCTATGCAATATTCTATACCTATGTAGTGAAATGTTAGAAATTGCTATCAATACAATCTTATTGTAATATTCAAAATAAAAGACAAACATACTTAAAAGGAAAATATTTTATATGTGTTACTTGATGCTTTTAATCATTCATGAAACAATTCTTGAGATTTTGTTTTGGATTGCAATATGCTTTATTAATGGTTTATGCTAATGGACTATAATTATAATGCTACAATATTTAGGATATTTAATTCAAAGCTCAGTTGGCATATGGGCAGGTTTTCTCCATTGGAGTAGGGAAATTCCTTGATATTGTAACACGGAACAGAACAGAACAGAAGAGAGACTCCCAATGATATAGTTCAGATGTTTGTCTCCTCCAAATCTCATATTGAAATGTCATCCCCACTGTTGGAGGTTGGATTGAGTGGGAGATGTTTGAGTTATGGGCACTTATCCCTTATGAATGACTCGATGCCCTCCCTACAGTAGTGGGTGAGATCCTGCTCTGTTAGGTCATGTGAGATTTGGTTGTGAAAAACAGCTAAGACCTCCCTCCTTCCTTCTCCCTCTCTCACCATGTGACATACCAGCTCCCTTTCCCATTCTGCTATGACTGAAAGCCTCCTGAGGTCCTCACAAGAAGCAGATGTTGGTACCATGCTTTTTTTTTTTATAGCCAGCAGAACCACAAGCCAAATACATCTCTTTTCTTTATAAGCCACCCAGCCTCAGGTATTTATAGCAATACAAAGTAGACTAATATAGCCACATATCAGTCATTATTGTACTGTCATCATGTTTTGTATCATGCACGAGAATCACCTGAAATATTTTTTATTTTCTTCTAATTGACACATATATATACATAACATGTCTTAAATTTTTTTAATCTACCTACATGTTTACCATTTTCTTTGTTCTATATTTCTATCTAAGAACTGCCTTCTGAAATAATTTTTCTTCTTCCTAAAATACAGAGTTTAGAAGCACTACTGGGGGACTTGTGATACAAATGTCCCTTAAGTTTCTTATTTTTGTTTCTCCCTCACTTGGCAACTCTAGTCAACTATAGTTGATGATTAGTTATTCCTGGTCTGTTGAAAAGTTTGGCGTGTACTGTCTTTTTGTTAGTTTTGAGAAATCTTTTGTTCATCCTACATTTAATTCTTAAAAAAAAAAATCTGTCAGCTATTTTTTCCCTTTTTTTTTAACTTTAATATTTTTATTGTGGTAAAATACATGACATAAAATATATGATTTTAATCATTTAAAAGAATACAGTTCAGTGGCATTTAGTACTTTTACGTTATTGTGCAAATATCACCAGTGTTTAATACCAGTACATTTTCATCACCCCAAAAGGAAACCTGTACCCATTCAACAGTCACTCCTCATTCCATCTTTCCACCTACACTCTCACAGTCCCTAGTAACTACAAATCTGCTTTCTGTCTCTAGGGATTTGCCTATTCTGGATATTTTTAAAAAATGGAATCTTATAATACGTAGCCTTTGGTGTCTGCCTTCTTTCACTTAGCATAATGTTTTTCAGATTTATCTACACTGTAGCATGTATCAGAACTTCATCCCACTTTTGGCTGAATAACATTCCATTGTATGGATATGCCATACTTTTTTTTAATTTAAATTTCCTTTTGTTTCTTCTATATATTTTAAGAGGGGAGTGACAAATGGTGAACTGGACACAGAGCATGGATTATTTACAAACAGAAATTTTAATAGGAAAATTAAAGGATGATCTAAAAAACACTGAGAGAAATAAATTTCAAGAGTTAAATCATTATTTAGTTGTCTACTGCAAAGACCCTATTTCCAAACAAGTTCACATTCCAAGGTTCTGGGAAGGACATGCATTTTCAGGAGACACCATTAAACCCAGAATGATATTGTATATTTTCTACTGATCTATTGAGAATTTCACTGGTTCACTGAATCTTTCCGAAGTCATCTCTACTCAGACACCGCGCCCCTCCTTCACCTGAACTTTTTATTTCAGGTGTAGTAATTTTCAGTTTAAAAACTTCAGTAGTTTCTTTTCTTTGAGTACAAAGTTTGTTTTGGGGGTGATGAAAACATACTGGTATTAGACACTGGTGATATTTGCACAACACCATAAAAGTACTAAATGCCACTGAACTGTATACTTTTAAATGACTAATATATTTTATGTCATGTGTATTTGTAATTTTTTCTGCTGGGAACTTTTCACTCTCTATTCATTTTAATAGTGTTCAGTGTTATGTTACTGAGGATATTTATAACAACTGAATTAAAGGTTTTTCTGGTAATTGCAACATCTGGATCATATCAAATGATCCAGTGTAACTGCTCCAGCATAAATGTTAAAGGAATGTCTTCAGGTTACAGAAAAATTAAATAATCTAGATATTAGTATCTTTTGATTGCCCTTTTTCTTGAGTGTTGTTCAGAATTACAAATTCTTTTTATGTCAGAAATTTTGAATTCTATTCTGGAAAGTTCGAATATTGTTCCTTTATATTCAGTCCTTTTATAATCCTACAGAAAATTATATTCTGGTTTTGCTTTGTTTTAGTAAATAATATGAACTGAATTGTATTCTCTAAAATTTATATGTTGAGGCTCTAATCCCAAACAGGACTATGTTTCGAGATAGAGCCTTTCAGGAGGTGATTAAATTGGTCATAAGGGCAGGGTTTCAATCTGATAGGACTGGTGTCCTTATAACAAGAGGGAGAGAAAGCACAGCTCACTCTCTGTCTCCACATTGGCATGGAGGAAGGGACACATGAGGACACAGTGAGAGGGTGGCCATCTGCAAGCCAGGAAGAGAGGCCTCAACAAAAATCAATACTCCTGATACCTTGATCTTGACTTGACTCCAGAGCTCTGAGAAAATTATGTTCTCTTACTTTAAGTCACCTAGTATGTGGTAAGTCATTATGGCAGCCCAAGCAGAATAATAAGTAATCAACCAGTTTAGGGTGAGACTGAAAGTCTCATCTGGCCTTCTATGGGTGATGATTCCAGTATTATTTATTAGTTCCTTTTTCAATACTTTTTCTACATTGCTTTGATTCACCAGCATAAAGCAGTCAAATGTTAGTCTAGGACTTGGTCAATGGCATGTAGGGTATTACAGTTCCTACTGGCTTTATTATGCTTTTTTAAATGCCTGTTATATATGTGCACAACTTGGTAATAAGCCTAGAATTTATGCCAATTGATATGCAAAATTAGGGGATGGCTTTCTCTTAGGAATTTATCCCACACTTTCTGTAACCATTTCTCTAGTTCTTCTGTCCAGAAAGATGTGTCTTTCTTTGAATGTTAGCCCTTCTTCTATGGTGTCTTTCTATGTTTCCATGTCTATGTTACAAAGATCACCATATTTCTTGGACATTGTCCCTTCCTTCCATCTTCAAACTCAGCCAAAGAGTGTGGAGTACATTTTGACCCATTCTCCTCATTCCCTCTTCTACCTCTAAAATTCATGTGGTTACATTGGATCCATCCTGATAATCTAGGATAATCTTCCTATTTTAAAGTCAGCTAATTAGAAATCTTAATACCATATGTGAGTTTAATTCCCTTTGTCATATAAGGGAATATATTCACAGATTCCCAGGATTAGGGCACAGACATCTTTGGGAAATTAATATCTTTAGGAAAATAAAAAATCTAAAAATTTATATTTTAGTTCCATAAGAATTGACTTTTATTGAGGCAAAATATAGGTAATTCTGTGAGCATTCTATACTTTCCTAATATTTTGGCACACCTATGTCCTGGGTGGTACATGAAACAGAAGGGAAAATAAATGTTAGGCTAGTAATTTGTAGAAGGCTTCCCAGAAGAAAAGGCTGAGTGTAGGAATAAAGATAGAGTGAAAAATACATTCGAGGGAATTGAAAATAAAATATAACACACATTCGTGAAATTCAAGTGGTATACGATGGTTAAAGAGATGCATGTCTGTGAGTCCTAACAAGATGACACTAGCATCTTGTAGGTTATATAGAGTTTGGAGGAACATATGTGCCTAGTGAAGGAAGTTTATCATATGTTTAAAAACCATGGAAGGTAAAATTTCATATTTTTTACCAGATTAGTGACTGAATTAGATAGGTTTTTTTAAGATCTTCCATATTCCACAGTATTATTAGTAGTACTAGTGTAATAATTACAGGAAGAAACATGAAAATCACATTGTTGGCTGGGCACGGTGGCTCACGCCTGTAATCCCAGCACTTTGGCAGGCCCAGGTGGGTGGATCACGAGGTCAGGAGATCGAGACCATCCTGGTTAACATGGTGAAACCCTGTCTCTACTAAAAAAATACGAAAGAATTAGCCGGGCATTGTGGTGGGCGCCTGTAGTCCCAGCTACTCGGGAGGCTGAGGCAGGAGAATGGCATGAACCCAGGAGGCGGAGCTTGCAGTGAGCCGAGATGGAGCCACTGCACCCTAGCCTGGGCAACAGAGCGAGACTCTGTCTCAAAAAAAAAAAAACAAAAAAAGAAAAAAGAAAATCACATTGTTAAATCTATGTAAGAAATTATATGAGTTCAAACAAAGTAGTAAAAATAGAGAGGGGAAAACATGCTTTTGGGAATTGGCGGTTTATTAGATGTGCATGGGGATGAGAAAGAGGAAGGAGCCTAGGAGGTATCCTAAATTTCTTTTTTTGAAAAATTCATGCACCTTGATGAAACTCACTCAGGTTAGAGATATAGAAAGAGGAGCAGAATGGCAAAAGCATATAATAACCATGTTTTCAAATTTGCTGATTTTGAGAAGGCATGAAATATTCTACGACCTATTTAAAGCAAATAGATGTATACCATATTTAAAGCCCATTAGAGAGGCCTGTAGGTGATATAATTTGCTGATTTTTATTGTTTTCTGTAACCCTGGCCAGCGTGGTAAAACCCTATCTCTATTAAAAATACAAAAAAATCAGCCAGGCATGGTGGTGCACGCCTGTAGTCCCAGGTACCTGGGAGGCTAAGGCAGGAGAATGGCTTGAACCCAGGAGGTGGAAGTTGCGGTGAGCCAAGATCATGCCATTGCCCTCTAGCCTGGGTGACAGGGCAAGACTCCATCTCAAAAAAAAAAAAAAAAAGAAAAAAATGTAAACTTCATGAGAGGCAAATCATGTGTATACTTTGTTTGCTACTGTATTTCTAGCATCTAGGAAATATCTTCCTCAATTAGGAACTCAGTAAATACTGTCAAGTGAATGAATCAGCTTAAATTTGACATTTAGCTATAAACGTTGATGAAGTCTCCCAAAAGATCACATAGAATGGGAATAAAAGAGAACAAAGCACAGAGCCATAAAGAAAAATGCTATTTACGTCATCTCAATTCTATTACATTCAATTGAAATTTGAGAAAGAATAGCTGCCGATATATATGGAAACTATTAAATAAAGTAATCCAGAGGTGAAGAATAAGGGAATTTTTTAAAGGATGACAGAATAATATCAGTGACCACAGAGAGAGCATATAAGTAAACAAAGAAAAAAAGCATCTTCTGACCCTGGTATCAATACCAAGATCAGAGGTTTTCATATTGAGAATAATTATTAGAATGTTGAGACAGAAGTTAGATCAAAGCGTGTTGAGGAGTAAAGGAGGAAAGAGCAAATAAAAAATGTTAAGGTTACTGGGCATGAAATGAAGGCAAAATACAAGTGATAGCAAAACAAAGTATGCAATTAGCTATTGTATAGTACATAAAATGAGCCAATAAAATGGGAAAATGAGAGGATACAAGAAAAATTAGTCACTAATGAAGGGAAAGTTTATAAAATTTAGTTCAAATGCTATTTCTATGTTGATTTATTTATGCATTTCCGGATGCATGCACTTTATTGAATGGGCAGTTATACATGGGAGGATCAGACATATTTTTAATTAAGGTTTTTGGTCAGTATCCTGCAGTGAATGCTAATGAAGCATATTGCATACATTGAGACTGATTTTCATTTGTGCATCAACCCTGTTAATAATAGTATCTAATTAGGACATTCATTAAAAGTCTATAATGTTAACTTAATGGAAAAAATCCAATAGAAGTCCATTAGGTTCTCCTTGTTACCTTAAAATTATCCAAGTTTAACAAATGCCTTAATTAGTAAAGAAAAGGAATATTATACAATTTAATTTAGAATGACTTAATGCAGAAAATAGCATGTTCTAGTGCTAAATGCTTTATTTTAGTGATATATAATATAGAGATATTTATAAATATCTAATAACTGAGTTCTTAATTAGTAAAACTAGTTTCCATAGAGAATGAGGAAACGTAATGTATAAGATAAAATTCTAGAGAGAATTTAATAAAGTTTTGTAATAGTTATTGTGTAGGTAAAATTCTCATTATTTTGTTTCCTTCTTAACTAAAAGTTCAAGTTGATAACATAAGTTTGCTTAGTGTTCAAAGACCGTTTACATCCTGTTGTATTAGAATAAAGAAGAAATAACAAAGTAAAAGTCTCCCTGATATAAATGACTTTTGTTTTTCGTTCAGTGGGTATAATCTTGTTGCTTTCAGTCCCTAATTGCAGCTGTAGT
The DNA here is from genome assembly GCF_000001405.40 of Homo sapiens. Taxonomy (NCBI): domain Eukaryota; kingdom Metazoa; phylum Chordata; class Mammalia; order Primates; family Hominidae; genus Homo; species Homo sapiens. The sequence continues at coordinate 106,037,087 of NC_000005.10, read as the reverse complement.
TGCATTTTTTCCCCTTAATTTTAATCCTATGTTTCTGTCTTTTACATTTTCTCCTTTTCTTCTTAAGAGATACTTTGATTAAAAACATTTTATTATTAATAACATAAATAAAATTATTTACCCACAAATTGCCCACAATAAACGACCTAACATAGTTCTACAACTAAAAGTCAAAGAATTTGGAAAAAGCGTGCTTCACAGGAACTGATCTGATTTTTGAGTGTTTATTGGTGGTCATAATTCTCTTTCTTCATAAGTTCTAAGTGCAGAAAATAATAATTATCAAAATTATGAGGCTTAGTAACTTGCCTTTTCCTTTTGGATTCAGGTGATATAAAAAGTCTTAGAGTAAATGTTTCCTAAAATATCTATTAGTAACTCAAGTAACACCTATAGTCTGATGCCATTCTGAGTACTAAAGTGTTACTAATCATACCCTTTATAGTTGGTCAGTCTGGGAGGCTTGACTGGCTTACTCTAAAGTGGAGATAGCACTTTCTTTTTAAGTTTGTGGTAGAAATTTACCTCAGATAAGGCTCCCTAGAAGTAGAGCCTAGAAAGGAGATTCTTGTCAACAATGAACTGGTCAAGTGATGAACTAGAGGAGTGTTCTCAGCAGTAGGGGACTGAGGGAGGCAAAGTACAGGAAGGAAAAAAGCATGGTAAGCAGGTTATTTAAGTTAGAGACTAGCTTCAGTTTATTCACTCAGGGAAGCTCAGTTTGGAAGCATAAGTCACACCATAGAGTTTGGACTGTCATGAGGCAAGGGGGTGGATCTTTTCTACCCTTTGTATAGATGGATTATTGGCTCAGGGTTGCCTCAGAGCAAGAGGAGGAAGCTATGAAGCTTCTTTCAAATGAGAGATGTAGCTTTCATTTGCCCAAGGGCAGTTGACTTGAAAAGTGGGTAGCTTTGGGTAATCAAGGAACACAGAAATTGGTAAAGCATATCTGGTTACTCAATTCCTTGAATAGGAACTCTCCCTTACTCAAATGTTCTTTGAATTATTGGGTTTACGCAGATTTTCTCAAATCTGTATTCAAATAGTATTCAAAGAAATTTACAGGTATACTACTTTTTCTTTTAATGAAATTAAAAATATGATATAGTCTCAGCTTGGCTATTTTATGATTTTTATACCCCAAAATACCTAATTCAGAGTTTATTAATCAAATGTAAACTGAGACTGAACCAGAATTCTAGATAAAATATTAGAATATTTTTTCAGTGGTGCAATCACAGTTCATTTCGGCCTCAAACTCTTAACCTTCAGTGAACCTTCTGCCTTGGACTCCCAAGTAATTGGGAATACAGGCACATTTCACCACTCCCAGCTAACGTTTTTATATTTTTAGAGATAGGGTCTTGCTGTGTTGTCAAGGCTGATTAGAATGTTTTCACAGTCTAGAAAACACTAAGTTACTAAACATATTGCTATAGCTGCTTCATTATGTCAAATTTTTGCTAAACACAAAACAAACAAAAAAGTCACAGAACTAAAATAAACATGCAAAAATAAATGTAACACATTATTTTCTCCAAGTTAATGAAATATTTTAAATAAAATAGCTGATAATACTCAAGGATTTTTCTTTACATAAAAATGTGATGTTCTTTGTTCACCACAATTTCAGAAAAGACTTTCCACAGAAGAGTTTGTGAAACAAACTACAACTCTTGTTGCTGCAATTTGTCCTCTGTTTCTAGTTGATAATCATTGTCTTTAATGTGTTCTTCATTTTGAAGGGTGGTATGATTTGGCTGTGTCCCCACCCAAATCTCATCTTGAATTGTAATAACCCCGACTGTCAAGGGAGGGACTCTGTGGGGGGTGATTGAATCATGGGGGCAGTTCCTGTTCTCATAATAGTGAGTGAGTTCTCATGAGATCTGATGGTTTTGTGAGGGGTTTTTACCCCCTTCACTCTCCACTTCTCTCATTCTTCTCCTTCCTGCCACCATGTTTCTTCCCCTTCCGCCATGGTTGTAAGTTGTCTGAGGCCTCCTCAGTCCTGCGGAACCGTGAGTCAATTAAACCTCTTTCTTTTATAAATTATCCAGTCTTGGGTATTTCTTCATAGCAGCATGAGAATGGACTAATACAGAGGGGATACTCAAGCATTTGAAAGCAGTACTAACCTCTGTCATTCACCTCAGGAATGTGACTTTGTCGATTTACTATCTGAGTAGGCAGCTGTCTGTGTGGGTGGGCACTTTCAGTATATATAAGACAATATGCAAAGTAATTGTGAAGAGCATGCAAATTAATATATCTGCAACAAATTTGGAGGTTTAAAACAAAATAACATTGTAAAATATTATTTGTCTGTTCTGTCTCCACACTTAGATTCTACGAACCAGCCTACCATTATGTCTTATCTGTCTTACACAATTCCTCAAAACCATGGATTGTGAACATAAAGTAGACAACAAAGAGTTGTTAAAACGAAGTAAATCTCTTCTACGTTATCAAAGGCAAGATGTAGACCTGCCGAGGACCACAGGGGAATAAAGTCAGACCAAAAGAAAAGGGAAAGAAGTCTAGCATGATAAGAAAACAAGTGTATAAATTTTTTGTACATGTGCACTAGCACTGTGTGTGTGTTAGTGTGCACTTCATATAAGAAATGAGAAGAAAATAAGTTTGGTATATTTTTCCAGAAGTAAGCACTTTCTGCCACCTTGACACCCTAAAAATAATAATAATTTAATTTTATAATTGCTATTAAAAATGGTTGATATTCTGGGCACATTGCATACAGATTTATTTTTATGACAACCACATCACACATGTCACTGACAGGCTAAATTCCACCTTTTTCTCCAGGGAAATGAAGAAGAAAGGGCCTGCATATGTGCTGCATGCATATATTTCTGCTGCTTCTTAGACTGACATCAAAAAACATATGTGCATATGTGCCATCAGTAGGATTTCCATTCCCTTATTTCAAAATAATTCTGTGTCATCATGGTCATTGTTGAAATAACAAAACTGAATCACCTTGACATCTAGGGTATTTATATTTCTATTTTATGTTGTTTTTCATTTCATATTTCATGGAGATCATAGAATCAAATAATTACTACAGACTTATGCCAGAAAAGCTAATGCAATGTCAAAACAGAAAGCACAGCAACTAATTGGCTGCATTATAGAGAATGTAGATTAAAGGGGCTTCAGTCAGAATTAAACTGTTTTGATTCAATGTGTCCTTGCATTTATGAGTCCTTCTTTTTTGGCATGTAAATGAGATTGTGAGCACTAAGGGCAAGGATGGTTTCCTCACAACCATACAGCATGTGTTACATAAACAGTTTTCAATTAGTGTGCTCTAAATTGAATTACAAATATTTAACTAAAAAATTTAAGGAAAGAACAAAGACAACTTACAAAGGGTTAGGTCCCTAAAATTGCATAAACCAGTGACTTAGAGCTTAATTTTTACTTTAATTTAGCTTTTTTTAATAATTTTTTTTAAGAGGTAGGGCTTGCCCGGTGATATGGTTTGACTGGGTCCCCACCCAAATCTCAACTTGAATTGTGTCTCCCAGAATTCCCAAGTGTTGTGGGAGGGAAACAGGAGGAGGTAATTGAATCACAGAGGCCAGTCTTTCCCATTCTATTCTCTTCATGATAGGGAATAAGCCTCACAAGATCTGATGGGTTTATCAATGGTTTTTACTTTTGCTTCTTCCTCAGTTTCTCTTGCTGCCCCCATATAAGAAGTGCTTTTGGTCCGGGTGCAGTGGCTCACAACTGTAATCCCAGCACTTTGGGAGGCTGAGGTAGATGGATCACTTGAGGTCAGGAGTTTGAGACAAGTCTGGCCAACATGGTGAAACCCTATCTCTACTAGAAATACAAAAATTAGCCAGGCATGGTGGTGGGTGCCTGTAGTCCCAGCTATGCAGGAGGCTGATGCAGTAGAATTGCTTGAACCCAGGAGGCATGGGTTGCAGTGAGCCAAAATCGCATCACTACACTCCAGCCTGGGTGACAGGGAAGACTCCATCTCGGGGAAAAAAAAAAAAGACGTGCTTTTTGCCTCCCATCATGATTGTGAGGCCTCGCCAGTCATGTGAAACTCTAAGTCCAATTAAACCTCTTTTTCTTCCAAGTCTTGGGTATGTCTTTATCACCAGTGTGAAAACAGACTAAATAGTGAATTGGTATCAGTAGAGTGAAGCGTTGCAAAGAGGATACCCAAAAATGTGGAAGTGACTTTGGAACTGGGTAACAGGCACAGGTTGGAACAGTTTGGAGGTCTCAGAAGAAGACAGGAAAATGTGGGAAAGTTTGGACTTCCTAGAGACTTGTTGAATGGCTTTGATGAAAATGCTGATAGTGATATGAACAATAAGATCCAGGCTGAGCTGGTCTCAGATGGAGATGAGGTACTTGTTGGGAACTAGAGCAAAGGTGACTTTTGTTATGTTTTAGCAAAGAGACTGCCCCGGCCTACAGATTTGTGGAACTTTGAACTTGAGAGATGTAATTTAGAGTATCTAGCAGAAGAAATTTTTAAGCAGCAAAGCATTCAAAAGATGACATGGGTGCCGTTAAAAGCATTCCATTTTAAAAGTAAACAGAGCATAAAAGTTTAGAAAATTTGCAGTCTGACAATGCAGTAGAAAGAAAATCCCATTTTCTGAAGAGAAATTCATGCCAGCTGCAGAAATTTGCATAAGTAGCAAGGAGCCTAATGTTAATCCCCAAGACCATGGGAAAAATATCTCCAGGCCATGTAAGAGACCTTCATGGCAAACCCTCCCATCACAGGCCTCGAGGCCCAGGAGGAAAAAGTGGTTTCATGGGCTAGGCCCAGGGTTTCCATGATGTATGCAGCCTAGGGACTTGGTGCCCTGTGTCCCAGCTGCTCCAGCCATGGCTGAAAGGAGCCAACGTACAGCTTGGGCTTTGGCTTCAGTGGATGTAAGCCCCAAACCTTGACAGTTTCCATGTAGTATTGAGCCTGCAGGTGCACAGAAGTCAAGAATTGAGGTTTGGTAACCTCTGCCCAGATTTCAGAAAATGTATGAAAATGCCTGGATGCCCAGGCAAAAGTTTGCTGAAGAGGTGGGCCCTCTTGAGAAACTCTGCTAGGGCAATGTAGAAGGGAAATGTGGGGTCGGAGCACCCACACAGTGTCCTTACTGGGGCACTGCCTAATGGAGCTGTGAGAAAAGGGCCACCATCCTCCAGACCCCAGAATGTTAGATCCACCAACAGCTTATACCATGTACCTAGAAAAGCTGCAGACATTCAACACCAGCCTGTGAAAGCAGCTGGGAGCGAGGCTGTACCTTGCAAAGCCACAGGGGTGGAACTGCCCAAGACCATGGGAACCCACCTCTTGCATCAGCATGACCTGGATGTGAGACCTGGAGTCAAAGGAGATCATTTTGGAACTTTAAAATTTGGCTTACCCTGCTGGATTTCGGACTTGCATGGGGCCTGTGACACCTTTGTTTTGGCCAATTTTTTCCATTTGGAATGGCTATATTTACCCAATACCTGTACCCCCATTGTATCTAGGAAGTAACTAGCTTGCTTTTGATTTTACAGGCTCATAGGTGGAAGGCACTTGCATTGTCTCATGTGAGACTTTGGACTGTGGTCTTTTGAATTAATGCTGAAATGAGTTAAGACTATGAGGGACTGTTGGGGAGGCATGATTGGTTTTAAAATGTGAGGTCATGAGATTTGGAGGGGCCGGGGCAGAATGATGTGGTTTGGCTGTGTCCTCAAGTTGAATTCCATCTCTGAGAATTCCCATGTGTTGTGGGAGAGACCAGAGGGTGGTGATTAAATCATGGGGGCTGGTCCTTCCCATGCTATTCTTATGATAGTGAATAAGTCTCATGAGATTTGAGGGGCTTATCAGGGGTTTCTGCTTTTGCTTCTTCCTCGTTTTCTCTTGCCGCCATCATGTAAGAAGTGCCTTTCACCTCCCACCATGATTCTGAGGCCTCTCCAGTCATGTGGAACTGTAAGTCCAATTAAAACTCTTTTTCTTCCCAGTCTCAGGTATGTGTTTATCAGCAGTGTGAAAACAGACTAATACACCCAGGCTGGAGAGACAGTCATCCAGGCTGGCACAATCATAGCTCACTGTAATCTTGACCTCCTAGGCTCAAGGGCTCTTCCCATCTCCCAAGTAGCTAGGACTACAGGTAAATACCACCACACCTGGATAACTTAAAAAAATTTTTTTTGTAGAGATAGGATCTCACTCTGTTGCCCAGGCTCATCTGAAACTCCTGGCTTCAAGCAATCCTCCTGCCTTAGCCTCCCAAAGCACTGGGATTACAGGTGTGAGCCATGGCACCTGACCCTGACTTAGAACTCTAAATGCATGTTTCTCATCAAAGTAACAGAAATTAAGTTCACTCACTTATTCACTTCAACAACTAATTTTAAGTTTATACTTAGTAACTTTGCTAAATACTGCTAATAAACAACTGAAAAGGTTTTATTCTGGCTCTTAAAACTGCTCTTTTGCAGTTTAGTACAAAACATGTCAACAATTCAGTCAACATGCAGGTGCTCTATCTACTTAGACTAACACAGAAATCTGTACTGGAAAATCAATGGTGACGTGACTCTTGAAAGCCTGTGGAATATCACAGGTAGACCTGAATAGGAAAACATTGAGAAAGAGCACACCAGACAAAACAAAGAGCACATACAATGGCATTGGAGACTACGCATATTGACATATTTGTGGAAAATACTTGTTTATAATTAAGAAAAAGGAAAACTGGCAAAAGCTTAGACCAGATAATGGTCTTATGTGCACAGGAGATTGAGGAGTCATCCAGAAGTTTTATGCTGAAGGAAAATGATATTGTAGGTAGCTTTGAAATGACTCCAAGCACTTACATAGCTTGATATGTGATATTTTTGTTTCGGAGAGTATTTCCCCCTCTTTTAAAGTGTGACTTCTTATCAGATCCCATGTATGAGAACTTGGAGTGAACTCCTCCCTCCTTCAGGGAATGTTAAGTCAAACCTTATCAGACCCCCCCTTATGTGAGTTACTGACCTCAACTACTGGATTTCAAAAATACATATAAACTCCAGAATTTGACAGACACTTTGAGAGCTTAGTTCATGTCAGGGCTACACTCTGTCGGCCACTTCTCTGAAGACCAAGAGTGTATGCTGTGACAGGCTGTATTCTGTCAGCTACTCCACTGAACACCAAGAGCTCAGGTTGCGACAGGGTGTCACCCTGTTAGCCTTGGAGTTAATCTCCAAAGTCTCTCCTGCTGACACCTGCACAGCCCCCTAACATCAGGGAACCTCACGTGTCGTCCCAGATCTCTGCTGCGGTGGTCAAGCCAACTCCTCCTGAGAACTGCTTGTATTATATAAAGACACACCTCAAACTTTAATTAGACTTTACTTGCCACAGAAGCCTGCTTCCATCCTAATTGAGCAAGTAGACTTTAATGGTTTTGGAACTCACTCACTATGTGGTTAATGTACCTTGCCTATTAAGTGTATTTCTTGTAAGGTTTGTTTATGTTATTCTCCTTTTCTTTAAGCATTGTGAACCTAAAAAAAAATCTTTTTAGATTAAAAAAAGATAAATATTTTTAGATGATGACAACAAATAGTTAATAATCAATGTTTCTACGGGGAGAAGTTTGAAAGCACAAAGACCAGTTAAGAGGCTTATCAATAGGCAAAGTTAGCAAAGGTGAGAACATGAACAAAGGCAGTACCAGTAAAGTAAAATGAAATATTTTGTAATTTTTGAAAGAAATGAGGGCAATTAGATATTGAAGGCTGAAGATGAAATCTAGAAAAATTCTTCCCTTTCTGGACTAAGTGGCTGGTTGGCTGGATGACATTGTCTCATGCCACATAGAAAGTTCTATTTAGCCCACAATATTGCCAAAGCACTGGTCATTCATATCTAAATTCTGATGTCAGTGCTGTCTCCCCTGAAACATTGGGTGATAGGGCCAAGGAGAGATTTCCCTGAGTTTCCGTGTTTTTGTTTAAATGCTTAAGATAGCATAATAGATCTGCGGTGGTAGAATAGAGAGGAATGGGAACATAACTATGTTTTTTTCTTTCAGTTTTCTGTCTGGAAAACACTTAATCTGAAGTGCGTTTGTTTCTAGAGTGTCCTTATTCTTATCCCTTACATGTCATAGGAAGACTTAATCATATAAACTAGTTTGTAACCCTTAATTTTGTTCCCAGGTTAGGCTATATTGCATATATAACAAAAATTTGTTCTATGTAAGATCATCTTCAAAACGTTGAAATTAATACAATTTCTCTCCAAAGAGTGAACTTTATAATCAGGGGCGCTGGGTGATGGAACTAACCGTAAGTTTCTGGCTTCTCTGGATTTGTAAGTAAAAGTAGATAAAACAATGGAAGATGCAGTATAGGATGAGTGGGCGGTATGGAAATAGAACATGCTAATATAATCTTTTTCAGACACCTTTTTATTTGTGTCACTTCATGTTATTTTCTGTAGCCAATTCTGTTTTTCCTTGATAAGCTTTATGATTAAGACATATATTAGCACAGCGCATCATATAAACAAATGACGTCACATGAAATGCCTATGTCTTATATTCATAAGAGGGTTGCATCTTATTGTCAGATACCAAGTTGAACTTTATGTGAAAATTTAAAAGTATGCCAATCAAGCCATTCCTAGTAGGCCAAACCCTTTTGAATATTAAGGGGATGGAAAGAGCACTAATTAACAGGTTGTATATGTGTTTTTATTAAAAAGAAAAAAGACTTTTTATAATTTCTCAATCTATGGGTGTTTCCAGCCAGTGGTGCACAATGGTGAATCAAGTGAGACATAATAGATATGCAATTTAACGTAAACTGTTTCCTTGGCTAACTTCAACCTATAGTCAGTGCAAACAAAACAAAATAACAAAAATAACAATGAACAACAGGTATATGACCTCCTTAGACATTTGTAATCATAAGGGTAAATGTTAATCTTTTCCTACAAAATGTAATTTTAAAATTTTATTTTTAAATTTACATTTATTAATTGTACATATTTATGGGGGTATGTACTGATGTTTTGATACATATAGTATATAGTAATCAGATCAGGGTATTAGCATACCCATCATCTCAAACATTTATCATTTCTTTGTGATGGGAACATTTAATAGCCTCCTGGATATTTGAAACCACATAATATATATTATTGTTAACCATCACCATCCTCTAGTGATTTAAAACACTAGGACTTATTTCTCCTATCTAGTTATACCCATAATTCAAATTTCATCCCTAATTTCCTCATACTGTATCTGTAGCACAACTCCACCCAATTTCTTCCAAGTTTTTTCTTTAACCAGGAAAGAGCTAATTAAACCATGTGTTGTTCTACCCCTAATTATTATTTATACTTTTACAATTTTTCTAATCATAAAGTCATCTTCCTAAGATAGATGCCTTGTTCCTAGAGTTCAGAGTTGTTATGTTCATGGATTAGATGCAGACAGACATTCTGTTACATTTGGTCAAATTCTCTGTTTCAATACACTAGATTTTCTTGTCTGAATTCTTCTATGATCAGTACTGTCCACGCAACAGGAAAAAAACATAAATTGTTTAGTGGGTTGTAAAGCAATTAAATAGTTTCAAAGATTTATTCATATTCCTCCCAAATGTGTATCAAAAATAGTATTTCTTCATTTTCCAAAATATAATTTAATTTTCTTCAATAGAAGATAATCTAAATTTTGGTTCAGTTTGGTAATTTTAGTTTAATATTGCAATTTGAGCAGTCTTTTTAAGTAACTCTATCTCTTTTGGAATATTTTCCAATCTTTAAGAACCCCTTTCATCTTCTCCAAGTTTGGGTACTCCATTGGACTGTATTTGCTAACAAAAAGAAAATACTTCTGATTTGTGTTCCATATTCTTAATATACATTGTGACTCGCATCTTTTCTGAAAATTAGATGAAAATCAGTTTCTGAAGCTTGAAGCAGATATAATTCATGGTCTGAACTCTCTGCTTCATCCAGTTTCATACTTTCAAAATTTGCTTTCCTTGTGCTACTGCTGCTGTGGACTCTTTTAAGTACTGGCTTAGATTCTCATGTACTCAGCCTTGGTTGTCAGATTTGCAGTCCTCCATTGTGTCACCACTTTGACATTACAGTGGAAATTCCCTCCAGTAAGGTATGGGGTAGACACTCAGCCAAATACTACAGTTTCCTGAGGGACAAGCAGAAACTTCTTTTTCATGATACTTGTGAACTGTGGAGAAGAAATCCCCAGGACCTTCTAGGCCTCAACATGGTATACCAAGTATTTTACGTTGATGCCCATGTTCAGGCTAATGTGGGGAAGACTGTGAAGTGATCTCTTTCAAGAGTCTTAAACATAATATGAGTTCAAGCAAAAGACTTCGAACTTGTCACTTTTCTTAAAGTAACCTAATCCACTTTCATCACATTATGCCAAAGACCAAAGATCAGAGATCTCTGCCTTGTGTCTTTCCTCTCTTCTCTCTCTCTCATTCTTATTTCATGACTCTTTGCTAAAAGAGGAATAACTTTATTTTGCTCTCTTTTCCATTCTTAATTGGGATTAATCTATTTTATATCCTCTTCCTCGAGGGCAGAGGCCCTCACGGCTTGCACCATGGGTACAAATGCTATGTTTTCTACATTAATGCTGAAACTTAGTCTGAGCCGGTCAGTGCTGATGATTGATATGATGATGAAATTCAGAAATCATTTCTTTCTATAAAAGCTTTACTTACAAGTGTGTGGTTGTCCTATAAAATAATATTGTAGATATCAGAATTGGTACATTAAAATATTAACATATTAAGCATATTGAATCTTACTTTGCATCAAAATGTCAACATTTTTTCTCTTTGTTCCTACTAAAACAACTCTAAAGTATTCCCTTCTTTTTCCCTGCCCAATCTCTTCCAAAAAAAAGAAACCTCCAATAATTAGATGCCTCAGGCTCTCTAGCAAAAAAAAAAAAAGCAAAGATCTATTAATATTTCTCAAGTTATTACCTGTATTTCCCATTTTAACTCACTCCTCTGCCTACATCCTTGATTAATGCAGATGACCTTTATGATACGAACACTAAAAAAATACTCCTGATTCTACTTACCTAATGAGCACATTTACCAAACTTTACCTTGTGGTTCAGGTATTGTTTACTTATGGTTTTACATATAGATTTTAGCTATTTTAAGAATCTTCTAAATTTTAGTGGAGAAGTTTTTGTGTATGTTCATTAAAGAATCATTTTCTGAACAAAGAAATACTGTTTCCATCATGTCTTCATAGGGATCTATAACACATACATATTAAGAATCTTTTCATTGAAAGGAATATGAAAAAAATAACAAAGAATAAGAAAGCAAATTAAAATAGTAAAAGAAAAAGGGAAAAATGCTGCTTAAAATGGAGAGGTTGTAGTGCGTTGATGTAGGTGATTATTTTTATGGTGATCTTTAGCTAGCTGTCATGATCTTAGATTTTCTCCCCTGTACAAATGCACTAGGCTTCTTCACCTCATTTGTATCCCCAGCATCCATTTATTGCTTTCTCTAATCCACTTCCAATACAGCTGTCAGAGAAATCATTCTAAAATGCAAATATCATCATGTCAGTCTTCCATGGAAGCTACTCTGATGGTTTCCTGTTGCACTTAGAAAAAAATACAAAGCTCCTAGTGTGGTATTCAAGGTCCTTTATGATTTGCTGCTGGTAAATATCTCAATCTCATCTAGTGCTATGTTTTGCTCCAAGGTGAACTTCCTGTTTACATCCCTTTATTTTTTCCTCTAGGACCACTTTATATTCTATAGTTTCTGCCTAGAACTCTTAGACTGCCCATTTCCTATTTATATTTTAGGTCTCATTCTAAATGTCACTTCATTGGAGGTTGGTTATGTCTCTAACCAGATTATAATCCATTAAGAAACCGATAAAACTTATTACCTGATTATACACCCAATCCTTGCCTTGGTATTTCACAAATATTTTCGTATTAACTGGATAAGACAATAGAAGGATAAAATGTGAAAGCTAAAGAGAGGAACTAGAGATAGTTGTATTTTTAGTGTAAATGACTTGTCTATCACAATTTATTTTTTATTGCATCTTCTTCACTCTGTATTGCCATAGTCAATTTATTTTTCATACCAAATTGATGACAGTTAGTTATTTTTGTAAGAATCCCAAAAGACAATGACTTAGCGCAATAATAAAAAGAATAAATGACAAAAATTTGATAAGATAATTGATTACAGAGGTGGGGGGCAGTTTAATGGAAACCAAGATGGAATTGTGGAGCGCTCTGGGAGAAACAATAGAGAGAAACCTGTGACCACATTCACTCACGAAGAAGCCAGGAGATTCAGGAGTTGCCAGAACTCAGGAAAGCTGGTAGCTGTTAGCAAGGGCCATGAACACAGAACCTATAGCCTTAAGTAGAAGAATGCAATCACTGACAGTTTCTAGCAGGACAAATGGGAAAGACCTAAGGAAAAAATACTTTGAGATTCAGTATCCTTCTGCCTTCGGTTCTCCTGTTGGTGCCTCTCAGTCATACCCAATCAGCAGTTAGAGAGCAAGGAAACTCTCATATTGATATAATGAACACAGTTCAACATTCTAGACCACAGAGCTTGGTGGAAAGGTTAAGGGGTGAACCTGGAGGAGAAAAAAAGGTAAGTAGGTAAAAGTCATAGAATAAAGTCTGACTTTGTTGCAACATCCTAACTTGGCTAACATTTTAGTTTTTAATACCTGTTATCAAGTTATCTGTATTAGAGCCCTATCAGTGATACCTGTGATTTTTTACTTGCCTAATTCAGCATTTTGTTGTCTCCTCATACTGTATGTTTACAGAAAAGAGATATGCTTTCCATTTTTGTATGATCAAAAGAAATGTACTTATATTTTAAAAGTAACATTTTATTTTAATTATGTGGTATGTGGGGGGGTGTATGTATGTGGGGTGTAGGTGTATGTTGTCGGGGTTGACTCTGTTATTAGGATTTTTTGGTTCTTACCCTTATTGATTTATACACAGCAATAAAATGATTTAGTTATTAAGATAACAATGCAAATGGATGATAGATGAAAATGCCAACTTAAGTACTAATTTGATGTTGTTATATGTCACTGTTTCCAAATATGATACTGTCTGAAACTTGAAGTGTATATTTTTATTACCAAACAGTAATCTTTGAGCCTATTGAAAGTATAAAGAAGAATATAATTATATTATAAAAAGAATAAAACATAGCTATGTTGGAATTAATTTTTTTAGGCATTTTTCAATTTATTTAATTTTAATGTGTTTTGCATTCATAACTAAAAAATTACCAAGTTTGAACAAACTTAAAGAATTATTATTTAAAGACATTCTGTAACAATACAATTATAGGTCAATTTTTCTTGTTTATACCTTTTGTTTTACAAATACGTCACTTAAGGTCCAATTTAGCTCAGACTATATCAGAAGAAAACTATTGTTTTACTTTTTATTTCTCACGGAAGTTAGGCATTTTCTTCAATATGCTATATGAGGCTGTATACACAAATTGGCATATTTGCAGATGGAAATTTCCACCTTTTGTTTCCTAGGTGAAATTGTGAGTAAATAAACATTGGTACTTCATTAAATAGTTATTTTAAAATGAGTAGCACAAATAATTTTAGGATATGACATATATGTCTCATGGATGAAGTAATGGCTGCATTAGCTACTGCTTAAAGAAATAACAATAGTTGTGTGTGACACCTGTAATCTTAGGTGCTAGGAGGCTAAGGAGAGAGGATCACATGAGAGCAGGAGTTTGCAGCTGTAGTGAGCTATGATTGGACCACTGCACTTCAGCCTGGGAACAGAGCAAGGCCCTGTCTCTAAAAAAGAAAAATAAATAAATAACATAACAATATACAAGGACTCCCATTTGTTGGGGCTTATTCTATGCACTTTAAAAAGTTCACTCTAGGAAGGTGCCACTTTATGGCATTAAAAGCAAATTAGACTCCACCTTGAGTGTGTGTTTGAAAAGGGACACAGAAACAAAGGATTAAACAACAATGGATTAATCAAAGGAATAGACAGAGATATAGATCACTACATTTGTTAAACATATCATAGAAAATCCTTGACATTGAAGGTTATTAAAGTATTTACTTTTCTTGTTTTTTTTGGTCTCAATATTATGTTTGTGTCATAACAAATATTCTATTTTGCTGATTTTATACATATATCTGTATGTATGTATATTTACTCTTTGTAGAGCGATTTACTAAAATCTTGATCAGATTATTTTATATCACTGGAAATAAAATGTAGTAGTGACTGTCTAGGACCTTCAGGACTAAATACAAATGAATCAAGTTGACTACGTAGGCCGTAATATAGGCATCATTGCCAATTACATTGTATATTTCTTCAGAAGAAGACGATAATGACACAAGTAGTTAATTTTTGAATAAATTTATAGGTTTGCTAACAGGGGAGAAATGAGGTAAAACTTTCCAGAAAGTTTGATAGATATGTGCCGACTGGATTGGAAGAGAAATAGGCCATGTAGTTGACCATATTCGAAGCACCTGCATTAATTAGGTTAAAAGTAAATAAAGGGGCATTTTAGGAAGTTGAAGGAATGAACAGCAGCGACATTTCAAAGGATGCATTGAGAAGGCTTATTGTTTAATTGGATAAGAGTGGACCTCTAGAGAGAGATTTCAAATATAATCTTAACTTTTCAGTTCTGCAACTGAGAAAATAGTGTTATAATGAAGAGATTTGGAAATTGAATGGAAGATCTTATGAAATAAAATAATATCAGGTTTTTGATGCTTTTATTTTCAGGTGACAATGAGACTTTCAAGTGGAAATCTACTCTAGAGAGCTGGAAATATAAAACTAGAGCTTCAGGTCAGAGGTATAATATAAATGTTATTGACATAGAAGTAATAGCAATAGAACTAAAGTAACAAAAGCATGTTTTCATAAAATGATAGGAAGAGAGAAACACATGCAAGGTATACATTAAATAAAAATTTAAAAAGGAAGAGAAAAACAGAGAAAGAAGAACTGAGTCATGTCTTCATACTTTTTCATACTCTTCTTAATTGGAATCTCCTAATCTTTTCAAGACAAAGGCCATACATATTTAAATATTAAAGTTTTTTTTTTCACTAAATACTATGTATTTAGTGAAAAAGTTAAGATGTCACAGCAAGGTCAGACAACTACTCTTATTTGGAATCTCCTAATCTTTTCAAGACCCAGGTCATACATTATAAAATATTAAAGTTTTTCTACTCTTTAAATAAATACATAGATGGATAAATAGCTTTCTCATATGTTCTCCTTAAATTCTGTTTCTTCAATAAAATGTTTGTTCAAATCCATATATAGTTTGTTACACGTATATCTCTGTTTCTCATCTTGTAGTAAAACCCTTACAGTAAATCACCTTGAGATTTTACCCTAATTGCAAGTTAACCCACAACAGTTTATGGATTCTGGGCCTTTTCTTAAATAAGAAAAATACTCTTTGAATTTTATTAAACTGGAATATCAAATACCAATATGAATATCAAAATAACAAGACCTCCCTCCAACAACACACAAAGACAGTAGTCCCCCAGCCCAATTTATTTTTAGGGCATAGGTTCCAAGACCCCAGTGGATGCCTGAAGTCATGGATAGTATGAACCCTATATATCCTATGATTTTTTTTCTGTGCATACATATTTACCATAAAGTTTAATTTACAAATGAGGCATGGTAAGAGATTAACAATAACTAGTAATAAAGTAAAATAATATGCTGTAATAAAATGTATGTGAATGTGGTCTCTCTCTCAAAATATTTTATTGTACATAATATTTTTGAAGCACAGTTGTCCATGGGTAACTGAAACCACAGAAAGCTCAACAATAGATAAGGGGAAACTACTGTATATATAGATGTGAATTTGTTTTACCGTGAGTCATGTTCATTCACATTGCTCAATTATTATGTCTTTTACCAGATATGCTGATTTTCTATTGTCTTAAATGACAGTTTCTCTCCTGTATTTTTAAACCTTTTCATTTTCTCTTTAGCTTTATTTCAGCTTATAAAATACAAACCATCTAACAACAGCTACCTCATTGTCCCACCAACACATTTGCTGGTTTGTTTCCTGATTTTGCTTTCCTTGGATGACTAGAGGTTAAATATCCTTGGTCTTATGTAAGGCTAGCCATTCTAAATTTCAACCTCTCTCACCTTAAGTGCTTTCCTCTTTGTCTAACTCATCAGTTTCTCACTGTGTACTAGATCATTCTCATTAGCAACCAATCATGAAGTATCTTATCTTAAAAAAATACTCTCCATTGATTTCACATTCTACTCCACCTAGCAGTACAAAGATTCATGAAACTATTGAATAAATTCCTGTCTTTCTTCGTATTAGATTTCATTCTAATAAATACATGATAATTTTGTAGTAAATATACTAATGGCTATCTCTCTTATTTAACCTCTCAGGAGAAATAAATGTAACTGACTTCTCTCTTCTTTTTAAAATTCTTCTTTCCTTTCACTTCTGTGAAAGCATAACCTTCTGGATTTTCTTCTCCTTCACAGGGCAAGTTTATTTATGCTGTTTCCTGCTCCTCTCTTGAGCTTGATCTTTAAATGTCAGAATGCCTAGGGTGTTTGTCCTGTCCTTCTTCTTGTTTTCTACCTCTATGCAATATCGTTTGATTCTAAAGCCTTAAATACTATCCATTTTCTACAACTTCCACATGTATGTAAAGCCTAGACATAGCCATAAACTAAAGACTAGTATTTCCAACTTACTTGTCCATTAGGATTAGAAAGAACGACTCAATCCTAATAAAACCCAATATTTCGTTATGTGTCTACAACCCTTCAATGTCCCAACCTCAGCCAATGTTATCACCATTCACAAGTTTTGTTCAGTACAATGAAAGATATTCCTGATCTTTGACTTTTTTGCTAATTTCCTGTATTTGATGCAATTCTTACTGATTATTCTCCCAAAAAACCTGATAAATCTTCCCAAATAACCTGGTCTAGTTTGTAGACATTACCTACATCAATCACTTCACTCCAGGCACACAGTTTATTTCTTTCTCTGCAATGAACCAAATCAGTTTTTAAAGAACATTTATTTTAGCTATTTTCTCTAACTGAGGTTCTTATCCTTGCTGTTTGCCTAACTGCTGCACCACTGACATCCAAATCTTAAATTAAGCTCTGCCCTAACTTAAGCTATTTAAATTTAAATTGAATCAGGAAAAAGTTGACAAAGACTTTCTCCTTGACCAAATTTTAGACAGGTTCCTCTGAGCCCTCTTCTCAACTGGATATTGACTATAACCTCTGTCCTTGCTGGGCCTGCCTAGCTCAGTTTAGTGAGAATCATGCTAAGCCAGTTTAGAGAGAATCCCTCACCCCTGGTATCTGATCACCTATGATATAACCAAATTATTCATCCACAAATTGAAACCTATTTACCTTGGCCTGCCTTCAGCAAGAATCATATTACAACAGTTTAGCAGGAAGCTCCCTATCCTTGATTTCTCCTCTTAATAATTTTCCATCCACTGACTCTCTTCACTCAGCTCATTGGCAGTATATCCCTAGCTATCTTTGTTGTATTTGGAGTTGAGCCTAACCTCTCTCCCAGATTGCAATATTATTATTGCAATAGTTTGGAATAAAGCCTTCTTTAGCATTTTAGCAAATGTTATTATAGTTTGTTCTTTAAGAAGATTTAACTACATCATTCAATCTAAAGTAGACATGCAGTTACTCTTATTCTATCCAGATTATTTTATATCTCTATATAACACTTACACTACTTGATAGTGTTAATATTCCTTGGTACCTTTACTTCCTTTCATCCTTTCTTCCTTTTTTTTTTCTCATCCATGTTTTTGCTTTATTCTTCTCTTTCTTTTTTCTTCATAGCTTCTCTTCATTTTAATGTAAGGTTCATTTAAGCAGATACGTTATCTTTATTTTATCACTGTATCCCTAGTGACAGAAGAGTGATTACAGGCAAGAGCCTGTTAAATCAATCATTGAATCGTTACAAAATTCAAGTACATGTTTATATAAGGATAAAGATGAAAGTTATAAAATTTAAAATAAAGATAAAAAGATATTTGTCCATAGTGGAAAAATACTATGCAGGACATTATAAATGATGTGGTTGACATTATAAATTATGCTCTCTAAAAGGCATAGAGTAGGTATAAAATGAACTAAAACAAATGAGACCATGTAAGAAGTAATTGTCACCCTTCAAATTAATCTAACCTTTCCTAATACTATGCAAATTCATCTTATATTTAATAACAATAGGATATAGGCCAGGTGCTGTGGCTCATGCCTGTAATTCTAGCACTTTGGGAGGCTGAGGCAGGTGGATTGCCTGAGCTCAGGAGTTTGAGACCAGCCTGGGCAATACGGTGAAACCTCGTCTCTACTAAAATACAAAAAATTAGCCAGGCATGGTGGTGTGCTCCTGTAATCCCAGCTACTCAGGAGGCTGAGACAGGAGAATTGCTTGAACCCAGGAGGTGGAGTTTGCAGTGAGCCGAGATTGCACCATTGCATCCAGCCTGGGCAACAGAGCAAGACTCCATCTCAAAAAAAAAAAAAAAAAAAGAAAGAAAACAAACAAACCAAAAACAAAAAAACAAATAAAACCCCACATAATAGGATATATTAAACATACTTGTTTTTCTTATCAGATCTTGCAAATAGAATCAAACAAAGTATGTTTATTTTGGGATTTTTAACATATCTTTAAATTCAGTTAACAATCATACAATCATTTTCATGAGATGATTGTTAACTACTGTTATAGATAAGGTAACATAGAAAGAAGGATAACTAGTTGATTTATCAAATCACAAGCTCAGCGCTATCCGCTTCTTATTAAAGTCACCACAAGTCTATGCTTATCTTTTTAGTTTTTTATGCCCATGAGTACAACTGTATATATTGTCCAGGGTGATTAAGCTCTGGGGGATTTATTGATGCATGAATCTGTCATGATAACCTGTATAATGATTTATTTATCTGAAATGAAAATGTAATTACTAAGATAACACAAATATCTTGTTTTCCCCCATAAAGAAATCTACTTAGCAAAGATAACTTTCTTTTAAAAGCCAAATTCAAAGTAAATGACCATAGATTATTAGAATCTGATGAATTTAGCTCTATAACAAGGCAGAAAAGTAAAAAGGAAGAAAGGAAGGAAGGAAGGAAGGAAGGAAGGAGAAGGGGAGGGGAGGGGAGTGAAGGGAAGGGAAGAGAAGAGGGAAGGAGGGAAGGAGGGAAGGAGGGAGGAAGGAAGGAAGGAAGGAAGGAATGAAGGAAGGAAGGAAGGAAGGAAAAAGAAAAGAGCATAAGCCTGTTGTCCAGAATGTAAAATGCAAGTTTTCAAATACAAAGGGTTACATATTTTTAAATGTCATAAGAGGGAGAACAAATTATCAAGAGCATGATCTGTAAATTTACGTTAGAAAGTCAATCTGTGTCTTGGAACTTAAAGTACAATTACAGTATTGAGTTTGTTTGGTTTAATGTACTGACATCTACACATCTGAATAACTGCTGAAAATGAGATTAATCTTGTAGGGTAAATATGTACATGAAATACTCATGTGGCCTAGTCAGAACTAGGTCAGGTTTGAAATGCATCTTGTTGGTGATTTGTTTTTCTGAGGCTTAGCTTTGCCTTTCAAAAAGTAACAAGGAAGAGAGAAGAGTAGACTTCAGTAGTCCTGTGGAGTTCCCAGCAGAGTTTCCGGGTGGAGAGAAAGAAAATAACAGAGTGTTTCAAAGTGTTCCTGTTGATTTGCTAAAATTTATACCAGGCTGCTGCTTTTGTGCTGCTTTTTTCTCATTTTGATTATATAGAACATTTAGGTTCTTTTCTATTTTCAAGACATTCTGAGGCCATGTTTCACCAAGTAGACTATCACAAGATACTATTATTATCGCCTTTTGTTTCTATTGTTTTAGCAAAATATTTTATATCTATTAATTAAGAAAATTTTATTCAAAATATTTTTTCCAAAATACTATGGCTGACTCAAAAGATTCACATTTTCTTTTCTCTTCTCTATCAGCAAAAATACAAGGCAAAAAGCCCTGATAGTCCTGTCTTCTGTATTCTGCCCATTTGTTGCTGCGATGAAGTAATCATTTTAAGCAATGCCATGATAGTAAGTCGGTGTTTCACCAGCATCATCGTTTAATGTCAGAAGTCTGTGGCAAGTGTAATGGAGACTTCTATGAGATATTAATCTTTTGCAGTGGTATCTTACTGAACTGGTAGATTTCTCAGTCAGTCTATCTTTAAAGATAATTTCCCAAAGGTCTGACTGAACATGGCTGAACCCAAACCAATCACATTTGTGGGGAATATACAATGGACCAAGGAGCCTCAACAAAACATTGCCATAATTTCCAAGAAAAAGGTGTCATCAATTTATACATATTCTGTTATTCATTTGTTTAAAAAATATTTAGAGTGCCAACTATATTCTAGGTTGAGGTGTCTAATAGGGTAAAACTTCTGTTTCTCTTCCCTTTTCAGTTTTTTATTAACATGTGTATAGGTATGGGTGTGTGTGTGTGTGTGTATGTGTGTGTGTACATATATAAAATCAGTCTTGCAGTGATCCATGAGCCTGTGAAGTCCAGCCATGTTGAACACTCAGGGACTCATCAACATTTTCTTTTGTCTAATGATGTGACGCGTTTCAGATGTTCAGTGAACCCATTCCCAGATGTCCTCCATATCAAGTAATCACCGATCTAATGAATTGTAACTTTGTAAGGTGTGTTTTTAAGATTAGTGAAGTAAATGGAGTGTTAGAGAGATTTAGTTAAGAGGTAGGAAACATATATTTGTTTTAGGGTCACTTTTGAATATGTGTGAGGGCAGTAGGACTTCCAAACTTATTTTTTTAAGTCTATTTTTTCATTGATGGGTTGTGTAGGTAGACAAGGAATTTGATTTTACATAGGTTCTTTGCTGAAATACAAATACAGATTGCCAGATTACAAATGTAGGGGGCATTTCTGTATTAGTAAATATGCAGTTTAAAACCTTCTTTAATCCATTTTCAGACATTTATCAATTCTAAATATGAATTGCTCTGTCTCATAAATCTCCAGGTGCAGTGAATGTATATTTGTATGTATATGTGTGCATATTTAAACCATTGTGATTTATGTAAATCAAAGTAGAAAAATTCAAACTGCGTGAATATTGTGCTTCATTCGAAGATCAAGTGCTTGAGGATACCTGCTTGGTTTCTAAAAAGAAGTTGCAATGGCTTTTAACCTCAATTCCAAAGAAGACCCATGGGGCAGTTTGGACCATCACTTATCTACTGAGTCGATCCTCCCTTAGAGAACCTGAAGCTTCTCTTTGGTATCCCCCTCATTTATCACATTTGGGAAAACACTCAGGGGTCCAGTGACAAATACAGATTACTAATATTGCTTAAACTTTCTTGGTCGCTTGTCTGGTTGTAGACTTTAAATATACATACAAAATATTGAACTAAATCTTGTAATTCTTAGGACCATTCATCACTATTGAACTCAATCTTTTATCAAAATCCTTACCAATTTTCAGTAAATCAGAGGGAAAGATATTTATTATCGGACCATAAATAAGATTTGTAGCTTTCAAAACAAATATGGCATAAGAATTACACTAAAAGGCAAATGATATTAAACAATGGAAAGTCAACTTATGAAATACATTTTTCATTCATTTGGTTTTCTTTACACTCTGATTTTATCAAAATATATAACATGTTCCTTAATAAGAACTTTTAAACAACTCCAGAATTACTGCTAAAAATATTATTCAATACAAAGTGAATAATTTGATTCACAACAGGGATTTATCTGGAAAGAAAATTCTAATAAATCTTCCATCCCAGCGGGTCATTTTGACAAGTGCAATAACAGAAGCTGCGGTTGGCAGGCTCTACAAGTGATATCTTGGCCTGTTACCATCACTCTGGCCATAAGACATGAATTAGCTTCTACAAAGCTTAATAATAAAAGTTACTGTCTTTGACCTTTGAGGAGATAGTTATGAATAGGTAAGCATTTTTTGTTGTCTGAATTACAAATTATATTTAACTATTTTACTATTTTAGGCCTTCATATAATTGACATTTGAGATATTTAACAGAAGTCTATTGAATGATAGTGAAATTAGCTGATTCCTGATTTACTTGAGAAGGTTTACATAATTTAGGCTAGAAAAAGATACCTCTATTCCTTTTTTATTGTCCTTCTGAGGAAGTAAGTTGTATGAGTATAAGCAGTGCAGAGTGCAAGAAGCTATTTCAAAAGTGTTCCTGAGACTG
Organism: Homo sapiens; assembly: GCF_000001405.40. Classification (NCBI taxonomy): domain Eukaryota; kingdom Metazoa; phylum Chordata; class Mammalia; order Primates; family Hominidae; genus Homo; species Homo sapiens. Next base: position 106,014,643 of record NC_000005.10, on the reverse strand, counting down.
AAAATGTAGAGTCCTAACAGTGATTAACACTTAATTGGCAAAAATGTTGAAGCTGTCCCCAGTAACTCTGCTATTGTTGTTCCATGCTGTGTTTAGCAGAGTGCAATAGAGGAGATGTCCACAACCTAGGTATCATTGTGAAATTCAGGGGGATAGTGTTGCTTGTCATAAGAATTGGGCACTCTACTGGCAGGTAGTGAGCACTAGCTAGGGATATTAGATATACCACAAGGAACCACAATGCCCATGACATTCATGATGCAAACCCTATTTATAATTACAAAGTAATGTTAGCTGGATATGAATATACAGCAAATTTTTCCTAAATACAGCTAGTGTATACATCTTAGAAATTATACTTTATTATGTTTGGAATTTTACCAATAAATCTTCACCACAGAGCAGCTTAATATATTTGAGTCTGCATTTGTAGCAGTCACATGAATATTCTATACATTATTGCAAATATCTGATTTCTTTAGCATATATTCTAGTGTTGTCATGTTCAAGTACTTATTGACATGCACATTATTTCAAACTTCTATTTTTATTTTCTTCTATATAATAATAAGCATAATATCAATTATTTTGAAGTTAAGTGCATTGACTCTGTAATTTTTTTCAGGAGAGTGAAAAAAGGACTTTCAAAACATTTATTTTAGAAAACTGTCATTGTGTCTTATAGAGCTAAGAACCAATATTGTTAGAAGTTGCATAGAGAAATGGGTACTGCAAAAAACCATGGTACTGGAGTTGAGTTAAAAGACCTGGGTTACAATCTTGGCTCTGCTTTGTATAAGTTTCTGGGTCTCATCTGTGAAGTGCAAATGATTACATATAGTTTACGTATCTTCTGTAATTTATATGACTGATGTAGAATTCTGCATGTAAAAATTACTCTGTAAATTTTAAAGGAGGATACAAATGAAGCTATTGTTACTCAGGAAATGCAGAAGGCCCCCAACTTAACAGGATTTAAACATAAGATTTTTTCACATTACAATGGGTTTCTCAGGTGTTAAATGCATTTTCGACTTCACAATATTTTCAACTTACAATGAATTTATGAGGACATAACCCCCTTGTACTTGAGGTGCATCTGTACTGCAAGTGAGCTTCTTCTGTTGATAGGTGTATTTAATTTCAAAGATTATCAAAGTAATCTCTTTATCACAGATTTTAGGAGTAACCACCACAAAAACAACAGAACTTTCTCCACTTCTTAGCAAGCATTTGGAAGCCCATTTTAGTAAAAGGCATCGCCCTGAGTCTAGAGGATAAAAAGAATGAGTATGACAAACATATAGTAAGTCCAGCTACTTTTATCATTTGTACATAATTATATTTATTATCTATAGTAATACTTTCTAGTACCACCTTCTAGTACACGCCAGCCTTTTTCCTAATTTGTCACTAATATGTCATTTATAGCTAAAATGTCATATGTCATTTTAAAAATGCTATATAAATGAAATCTTACTCAAGGTAAATTTGAGAATTTTTTTTTCACAAAGCATAATTCCCTGGAAATTAATTTAAGGTGTTAAGTTAGTTCCTTCCTATTGCAAAGTTCTATTCCATAGTACGTATATTACCACATTTTAACTATTTCCTGTTGAAGGACATCTGGGATAATTCAGGGATACAACAAGTCAAGCTGTTATAAGCATTATGGTACAGTTTTTGTGTGAGCATAACTTTCCCATTCTCTGGGATAAATGCCTAAGTGTGCAATGCCTAAGTGAATCACATGGTAACTTCTCCTCAACCAGCTAATTAGCAACCTTAATTCTATCTGCAACATCATTTTCTTTTTAATTAATATGGTTTGGCTCTGTGTCCCCACCCAAATCTTATCTCAAATTGTAATCCCCACATGTCAAGGGAGAGACCTTGTGTGAGGTGATTGGATCATGAAGGTGATTTTTCCCATGCTGTTCCTAGGATAGTGAGGGAGTTCTCATGAGATCTTGATGATTTAAAAGTGTGGCAGTTTCTGCTGTGCTCTCTCTCCCTCCTACTGCCTTGTGAAGAAAGTGCCTGCTTCCCTTTTGCTGTCTGCCATGACTGTAAGTTTCCTGAAGCCTTCCCAGCCATGCGAAATTGTGAGTCAATTAAACCTCTTTCTTTTATAAATTACCCATCCTTGGGTGTTTCTTTACAGCAGCATGAGAATGGACTAATACAGAGAATTGGTACCAGGTAATGGGGACTTGCTATAAAGATAGCCTGAAAATGTGGAAGCAACTTTGGAACTGGGTAACAGGCAGAGATTGGAACAGTTCAGAGGGCTCAGAAGAAGGTAGGAAGATTTGGGAAAGTTTGGAACTTCCTAGAAACTTGTTGAATGGTTTTGAGCAAAATGCTGATAGTAATGTGGACAATAAAGTCCAGGCTGAAGAGGTCTTCACCTAAAGTTCATGTTTTACAATAAGGTTTTACTCTTGGTGCTGCATATTCTATGGGTTTTGACAAATGTATAATGGCATATGGCCACCATTATAGTATCATACAGAATAGTTTCACTCTCTGTGATGGTAAATTGTATGTGTCAACTTGACTGAGTTAAGAAGTAACCACACAGTTGTTAAAACATTATTTCTGTGTGTGACTGTGAGAGGTATGCTGAGTAAAGGAGATCTGTCTGCTCTCACCAATGTTGGCAGACATCATCTAATCCATTGAGAGCCTAAACAGAACAAAAAAGCAGAGCAAGGGTAAATTTTATCTTTCTTTCTTTCTTTCTTTCTTTCTTTCTTTCTTTCTTTCTTTCTTTCTTTCTTTCTTTCTTTCTTTCTCTCTCTTTCCTTTCCTTCCTCCCTTTCTTCCTTCCTTCCTTCCTTCCTTTCTTCATTCCTTTCTTTCCTTTCTTTTCTTTCCTCACTCTGTTGCCTAGGCTGAAGTGCAGTGGCATGATCTCAGCTCACTGCAACCTGCACCTCCCAGGTTTAAGCTGTTCTCCTGCCTCAGCCTCCTGAGTAGCTGGGACTACAGGAGTGCACCACCATGCTCGGCTATTTTTTGTATTTTTAGTAGAGATGGGGTTTCACCATGTTGGCCAGGCTGGTCTCAAACTCCTGACCTCAGGTGATCCACCCACCTTGACCTCCCAAAGTGTTGGGATTACAGGTGTGCTTCTTGAGCTGGGACAAGTATGTTCTCTGGCTCTCAGAAATAAGAGGTTTTGGTTGTGGACTGGGAGTTACATCATTGGCTCTTCTGCTTCTCAGGCTTTAGGACTTTAAATAATTATACATCGACTTTCTTTGTTCTCTAGTAGATGACATATTGTGGAACTTCATGACTGTCATAATTGTGTGAGACATTTTCAAAAAAAATCTCCTTTCACATATTCATATATGTCCCATTGGTTCTGTTTACCTATTGGTTCTGTTTACCTAACCTCGAGATCATCACATTGCCAAATTTCACAGGATACCCACCACTCACATCATAATCAGTCATACACTGTGGACCCAATCTATCTTATAGGAGTTCTGTTTCAAAGTAGCTGTAACATTTTGCTTTCCAACGGCAATGAGAGTTCCTGTTGTTTCACATTCTCACCAGCATTTGGTGTCATAAGTATTCTGAAATTTGGCCAATCTTGATAGGTGTACAGTAATATCACATTTTTGTTTTAATTTGTATATCCCTAATGATGTATGAAATAAAATATCTTACCTTCATTTTAAAGTGTAGTTTTGTTGGATATAAAATTTGCTATTGACAATTCTTCTCTTTCACTGTTTGAAAAATACTGTGCCACTTCTTCTGGCCTCCATAGTTTTTGAAAGAAATTCATTGTCATTCAAAATGCTGTTCCATAGTTTTAATAATTTGTTTTTCTCTGGATGATTTAAAGATTTTCTTGTCTTTAGTTGGAACAGTTAAATTATGAGTTGTCTTGACATAGATTTCTTTGAGTTTACCTCATTGGGTTTGTTTCATGTTCTTGAATCTTTCACCACAGTTTGGAAAATTTCAGCCATGATTACTTCTGATATTCTTTTATTCTTGCTCGCTTTCTCCTTTCCTTCTGGAACTAAATAGATTTGAATGTCAAGTCTTTTGTTATTATCCCATGGGTCTTTAAGGGCATATTTATTTTAAATTCAGTGCACTTTTATTCTCTGTGTTGTTTATATTGCAAAGATTCTGTTGATCTATTCTTACAGTCACTCATTCTATCCTCTATGAATTCATGCTATGGTTGTCTATCCAGCAGCTTCTATTCCTTTATTATTATTTTTTTAACTTTTATGTTAGGATCAGGGATATATACGCAGGTTTGTTATATTTGTAAATTATAAGTTACAGGAGTTTGGTGCACAGATTACTTCACCATTCTGGCAATGAGCATAAGACTTCATGGGTAGTTTATTATCCTCTCTCTCCTCCTACCCTCCACCCTCAAGTACGCATGTATATATGCATACTCAATGTTTAGCTCCCACTTACAAGTAAGAACATGTGGTATTTGGTTTTCTGTTTCTGCACTAGTGTGTTTAACATAGTGGTCTCCAGATCCATCCATGTTGCTGAAAGGATGTGATCGCATTCCTTTTTATTGCTGTGTAGTATTTTATAGTGTATATGTACTACATTTTCTTTATCCAGTCTGTCATTGATGGGCATTTAGGTTGATTCCATGTATTTTCTATTGTGAATAGTGCTACAATGAACATATGCATGAATGTGTCTTTACAGTAGAATAATTTATATTCCTTGTTGATAAATTCAATAATGGGATTGCTGGGTCAAATGGTAATTCTGTTTTAAGTTCCTTGAGATATTACCACACTGCTTTCCACAGTGGCTGAACTAATTTACATTTCCAGCAGCAGTGTATAAGTGTTCTCTTTGCAGCATAGAGAGCATCTGTAATTTTTTTACTTTTTAATAATAGCCATTCTAACTGGTGTAAAATGGTATCTTATTTTGCTTTTGATTTGCATTTCTCTAATGATTAGTGATATCGAGCATTTTTTCATAAGCTCATGGCCATGTTTATGTCTTTTTTTTTTTTTTTTTTTGAGAAGCGTCTGTTCATGTCCTTTGCCCACTTTTTAATAGGGTTGTTTGTCACTTGTTTGTGAATTTGTTTAAGTTCCTTATAGACTCTGGATATTAGACCTTTATCTGATGCATAGTTTGCACATATTTTCTCCCATTCTATTGGTTGTCTGTTTACTCTGTTGATAGCTTCTTTTGCTGTGCAGAAGCTCTTCAGTTTATTCCGATCCTATTTGTCAATTTTTGCTTTTGTTGCAATTGTTTTTGGTGTCTTTATCACTAAATCTTTGCCAGGGTCTCTGTGCAGACTGGCATTTGCTAGGTTTTCTTCCAGAGTTTATATAGTTTCAGGTTTTACATTTAAGTCTTTAATCCACCTTGAGTTGATTTTTATAAATGGCATAAGGAAGGGGTCCAGTTTGAACCTTTTGCATATAGCTAGGCAGTTATATTCCAGCATCATTTATTGAATAGGGAGCACTTTTCCTATTGCTTGTTTTTGGTGAAGATAAGATAGTTGTAGATGTGCTACGCAGCAAGTTTTGTGTTGCTGTTATTGTATCTTTCAGTTCTGTAATTTCTGTTTCTTTTTTATATAACTTCTGTCTTTACTGAGATTTTCTAGTGTTTCATTTGTTTCCAGGAAATTTATAATTACATTTGAAGCATTTTTTGATAACCACTTTAACATCTGTGCCAGTAATTCTAATATCTAATCCATCTTTCTCTTGGTCTCTACTGATTGTCTTTTCTTGCTGAAGTTGTGGTTTTCTTGCATCTTAGTTTGAAGGTAAATTTTATATTGTATCTTGGACATTTTGTCTACTATCTTAGGAGATTCTAGGTCCTACTTAGATCTTTATTTAAGCAAGCAGTAACCCTGTTTAGGTTTAGCACATGAGTTTTAGTAAACTTTGTGGGCAGTAGTTCCAATGGCAGTTTAATTTTTAGAGACCTTGCACTGTCTTTTTTCTTTTTTTTTCATGGTTGGTTTATTTGGAGTCAATGGAGTTTCATTACTTCCGAAAGATCAAAGGCCAGAATATTTAGTCACACAAAATGTTATTTTAAGATATTGAGTGTGTGACTTATAGATGCCCTTGTCCATCTTTGTGGAAGCCAAATATAGATAAAAGATTATCTAAGAATGATATGTAGAGGAGCCTCTTGTCTAATAAATTTAATCCACGTGAAATACATCAGAGCCACACAAGATTCATACAATGTTATACTACCACAAGCTCTGCCAGCTTAGACTGAACGGGATAGAGAAGTCAAAATAGAAGAAAGCTTTCAGACCCCCAGAATTTTACAGGAAGCAATAGAAGTACATAGCTGCAAATATGTGCTATGCTTTATAAAACAAAAGGATGAAACATTGAAGATGAAGCAGAGCACAGAGTCATGAGCATAGAAGGCAGAACCTCAGAATGAGAGTATAGTTCATAGTCCTGAAAAGCTAACAGAGTTTGTCTGGATTTTGAAGTTGTTTGAGACCAGCCAGATTTCAAAGTTGCTTGAGAACAGCAATTTCTTTCTTCTTTCTATATTATTATTTTTGAGTAGAATTGTTTATTACTCTTATCATATACCTGTACCAACATTGTATTTTGGAATTAGATAATTTTTTCTTAAGTTTCACGGTTTTACAGATGGAGAGAAGTTGTGTCTTATGGTGGATTATACTCACAGCTTCTCCTATAACTAGGTCATTTAAATAAAGAGTTGGTACTATTGAGCTGATAAGATTTAGAAGACTTTTGGACTTTGAGTTTATAGAATAATAGGTTGAGTCTTTGGGGAAATTTTGGATGAAGTAAATGCATTTTGCATGTGGGATAGAAATAAATTTGGGGGGATAAAGAATTGACTATTTGTAAGCAGAATAATGACCTCTTAAAGATGTCCATATTCTAGTCTCCAGAACCTACGAATATGCTACCTTTCATGGCAAAAGGAAAATTCCAAATATGACTAAGTTAAGGGACTTAGGATGGAGAGATTATTCTCAATGATCTACTACTTACTGGGCAGGTCCAATGCAATCACAAGGGTTCTTACATGAGGGAGGCAAAAGAGTCCAAGAAAATGTGATGAAAGCTGAGTTTGCAGTCATGTAACCATGAGCCACAGATTTCAGACAGCTTCTCAAATCTGACAAAGGACAGCAGATTCTCTTCTTGGAAAAAATGAAATTATTAAAACAAACAAACAAAGCTCTCCTGTCCTCTTGATTTTAGCCTTATGAGTCCCATTTTGCATTTCTGGCCTCTAAAGTGTAAGATTATTTGTGTTACAAGCACTGCATTTGTAGTAATTTGTTATAATAGGGAGAGGAAACTAATATACTATTCTACATCCCTTACATATTTATATACATTTGAGAATTGTCTTACATATTTTGTTCTTAAAAATAGTCTGACAGAGGTTATTGGAGGGTTCAATTGGTTCTATATATCAACCTAGGAAGCAGGATTTTTGCTATGACTTTAATATTTTTAATAGATATTATATTATTTAAAATGTTCTATTTATTTTGTCAGTTTTAACAAGTTGTGATTTTCAAGGAATTTGTCAATTTCATCTAAGTTGTCAAGTCTATTGGCATTAAATTGCTCATTATATCCTCTTTCTATCCTTTTAATGTTATTTAACTTATGCCCACTTTTTATTCATGGTGCTGAGAATTTGTGGTTTCTCACTTCTTTCTTTTAGTCTTGCTAAGCATTAGTCAATCTTAAAAATATTGAGTCTGCCAATTTATGAATATGATGTATCTCTATATATACTTAGATCTTTTAAATTTTTCTTTAAAAAGTTTACCAATTTTCAGTGTAGAGATTTTGCTCTGTTGATAGACATTTCTCCATGAGTCTCACTTCGTTCAAAATTTGCAAGTAGAAACACTGACCAACTTTGACCTGTGCAATCTTTTCGGGGATGTTTGCATAATAAAAAACATTAAAAGTTTGAAATCATGTCTTTGTCTGTAGGCCAGTATATTTACTGTAAAATGTAATAAAGATAAGGTTTCTCTTGCAGGCAAAATTCAGAAAGAGTTAATGTCTATTATAAAAGTTATAGCTGACTTCTGGTTTCAAAATGATGGTATAGAAGCAGGCTTCATTTACCGCCGCAGAAAAGTAAAAACAATATAGAGAGGGCTGTGATTATCATGAGCAACATACCAGAACTCAAACATGAAAATGAGACAGTTGCAGGGGACATAGAGAAGTGAAAAAACTTTCAGCAGATGGTAAGAAAATTGAATTTTCACAATTGTGACACCCTTCCCCCTATTCTGCCTAGCACCAAGTATGTGAAAAATTTTCCCCCAACTCAGTTTCTCCACTGGAAAATGTGAGATTAATGTGGGAAATCAGCTTCCTCACCATCTTGGTACCCTGGCATTAGATCTGTCGCTGCCTTAACCCATGGGAACATCACACTTGCATAAAGAGAGAAATGTTACTGAGGATAGGCAGACACAAAGGAGGGAGGTGGGACTTTCATCTCCAGTGCTGGGAACTCCACTCTGTAACTCAGCCAAAGGAAACCACCATGTTAGAATTGTTTTTCAGCAGTACCATGCTGTAGAAAGTTTGCTCCACAAGTTCCCTGGGCACACTAGCCAGCCTTCCTATACTGCCACGATATCCCATTTGGGATCTCACCCATTCAGGAAGGGCAGCATATTAATGTGAAAAAAGAAATCACTTGAATGTACAAAATCCACTAGTAAAATTAAGTTCATAGGAAAGTCCAGAATACACTATTTCTATAATGTTGGTGTGAAATCCACTCATAATTCTAGTATGAAGCCAAAAAGACAAATCTATTGACGAATCTGTCAGTAATAGCAATCTGTTCAAAGATAGGTAATATAAACATATGTAAATCAAGATAATAAAAAGTCAAAATTTGGAGAAAATGAAATTATAATGTTGAGGGTTTTTTGTTTTGTTTATTTTGTCCTATTTTTTTTTGTGACCTAAGTTGTTATCTCTTTAAAATAATTAGTTATATCTATAAGAAGTTTTGTGTAAGCCTCAAGGTAACTACAATGCAAAATTCACTAAAAATAATAAGCAATGAATTGAAACATGCTACTAGGGAAAATCACTTTAACAACAAAGAAAGGCAGTAAGAAAGGAAGAAAAGGTTATAAATCATCAGAAAACAAGAACAAAATGGTAATAATAAGTCCTTTTTTTAATCAATAATAGCATTTAATGTAATTAAAAGACAAAGAGTGGATTCCCAGGCAAGATGGCTGAATAACAACAGCTCCGGTCTGCAGCTCCCAGTGAGACCAACACAGAAGGCAGGTGATTTCTGCATTTCTAACTGAGGTACCCGGTTCATCTCACTGGGACTGGACAGTGGGTGTAGCCCATGGAGGGCAACCAGAAGCAGGGGGCGGGGCATTGCCTCACCTGGGAAGCCCAAGGGGTCAGGGAACTCCCTCCTAAGGGAAGCTGTGAGGGACCATGCCATGAGGGACGGTGCTATCTGGCCCAGATACTATGCTTTTTCATGGTCTTTGCTATTCACAGACCAGAAGATTCACTCGGGTGCCTACATCACAAGGGCCCTGGGTTTCAAGCACAAAACTGAGCTGCTGTTTGGGCAGATGAGCTAGCTACAGAAGTTTTTTTGTTTTTTGTTTTTGTTTTTTTTCCATTTGTTGTTGTTGCTGTTGTTTTTCCATACCCCAGTGGCGCCTGGAACGCAAGCAAGACAGAACCATTCACTCCCTGGAAAGGGGACTGAAGCCAGGGAGCCAAGTGGACTAGCTCAGCTAATCCCATCCCCACAGAGCCCAGCAAGCTAAGATCCACTGGCTTGAAATTCTCGCTGCCAGCACAGCAGTCTGAAGTTGACCTAGGATGCTAGAGCTTGGTCGGGGGAGGGGTGTCTGCCATTACTGAGGCTTGAGTGGGCAGTTTTCCCCTTACAGTATAAATGAAGCCACCAGGAAGTTCGAACTGGGCAGAGCTCATTGCAACTTGTCAAAGCCACTGTAGCCAGACTGCCTCACTGAATTCCTTCTCTCTGGGCAGGGCATCTCTGAAAGAAAGGCAGCAGTCCCAGTCAGGGGCTTATAGATAAAACTCCCATCTCCCTGGGACAGAACACCTGGGGGAAGGGGCGGCTGGGCACAGCTTCAGCAGACTTAAACGTTCCTACTTGCTGGCTCTGAAGCGAGCAGTGGATCTCCCAGCACAGCGCTCGAGCTCTGCAAAGGGACAGACTGCCTCCTTAAGTGGGTCCCTGACCCCCATGCCACCTGACAGGGAGACAGCTCCCAGCAGGGGTCGACAGACACCTCATAAAAGAGAGCTCTGGCTGGCATCTGGCAGACACCCCTCTAGGATGAAACTTCCAGAGGAAGGAGCAGGCAGCAATTATTGTTGTTCTGCAGCCTCCACTGGTGATACCCAGGCAAACAGGATTTGGAGTGGACCCCCGCAAACTCCAGCAGACCTGCAGAGGAGGGGCCTGTTAGAAGGAAAACTAACAAACAGAAAGCAATAGCATCAACATGAATAAAAAGGACAACCACCCAAAAACTCCATCTGAAAGTCACCAACAGCAAAGACCAAAGGTAGAGAAATCCATGAAGATGAGGAAAAACCAGCACAAAAATGCTGAAAATTCCAAAAACAGGAATACTTCTTCTCCTCCAAAGGATCACAACTCCTTGCCAGCAAGAGAATGAAACTGGACAGAGAATAAGTTTGACAAATTGACACAAGTAGGCTTCAGAAGGTGGAAAATAACAAACTCCTCCAAGCTAAAGGAGCATGCTCTAACCCAATGCAAGGAAGCTAAGAACCTTGAAAAAAGGTTAGAGGAATTGCTAACTAGAATAACCAGTTTAGGGAAGAATATAAACGACCTGATGGAGCTGAAAAACACAGCAGGAGAACTTTGTGAAGCATATACAAGTATCAATAGCCAAATTGATCAAGCGGAAGAAAGGATATCAGAGATTGAAGATCAGCTTAATGAAATAAAGCATGAAAACAAGATTAGAGAAAAAAGAATGAAAAGGAAAGCCTCCAAGAAATATGGGACTATGTAAAAAGACCAAACCTAGGTTTGATTGGTGTACCTGAAAATGACGGGGAGAATGGAACCAAGTTTGAAAACACGCTTCAGGATATTATCCAGGAGAACTTCCCCAACCTAGCAAGACAGACCAACATTCAAATTCAGGAAATACAGAGAACGCCACAAAGATATTCCTTGAGAAGAGCAATCCCAAGACACATAATTGTCAGATTCACCAAGGTTGAAATGAAGGAAAAAATGTTAAGGGCAGCCAGAGAGAAAGTACAGGTTTCCCACAAAGGGAAGCCCATCAGACTAACAGCAGACCTCTCTGCAGAAACCCTACAAGCCAGAATAGAGTGGGGGCCAATGTTCAACATTCTTAAAGAAAAGAATTTTCAACCCAGAATTTCATATCCACCCAAATTAAGCTTCATAAGTGAAGGAGAAATATAATACTTTACAGATAAGCACATGCTAAGGGATTTTGTCACCACAAGGCCTGATTTACAAGAGTTCCTGGAGGAAGCACTAAATACAGAAAGGAAAAACCAGTACCAGCCACTGCAAAAACAAATCATAATGTAAAGACCATTGACACTAAGAAGAAACTGCATCAACTAATGAGCAAAATAACCAGCTAGCATCATAATGACAGGATCAAATTAACACATAACAATGTTAACCTTAAATGTAAATGGACTAAATGCCCCAATTAAAAGGAACAGACTTTAAACCAACAAAGATCATAAAAGACAATGAAGGGCATTACATAGTAGTAAAGGGATCAAGGCAAAAAGAAGAGCTAATTATCCTGAATATATATGCATCCAACACAGGAGAATCCAGATTCATAAAGCAAGTTCTTAGAGACCTCCAAAGAAACTTAGACTCCCACATAATAATAGTGGGAGACTTTAACACCCCACTGTCAATATTAGACAGATCAACAAGACAGAAAATTAAGAAGGATATTCAGGACTTGAACTCAGCTCTGGACCAAGCAGAACTTAGAGACATCTACAGAACTCTCCACCCCAAATAAACAGAATATACATTCTTCTCAGCACCGATAGCACTTATTCTACAATTGACCACATAATTGGAAGTAAAACACTCCTCAGCAAATGCAAAACAACAGAAATTGTAACAAACAGTCTCTCAGACCACACGGCAATGAGATTAGAATTTAAGATTAAGAAATTTACTCAAAACCCCACAACTACATGGAAACTGAACAACCTGCTCCTGAATGACTACTGGGTAAATAAGGAAATTAAGGCAGAAATAAATAAGTTCTTTGAAACCAATGAGAACAAAGACTAGAATGTACCAGAATCTCTGGGACACAGCTAAAGCTGTATTTAGGGGGAAATTCATAACATTAAATGCCCACAGGAGAAAGCAGAAAAGAACTAATATCAACACCCTAATATCACAATTAAAAGAACTAGAGAAGCAAGAGCAAACAAATTCAAAAGCTTGCAGAAGACACAAGAAAATTGAGATCAGAGCAGAACTGAAGGAGATAGAGACAAGAAAACCCCTTCAAAAAATCAATGAACCCAGAAGCTGTTTTTTTGAAAAGGTTAACAAAATAGACCACTAGCCAGACTAATAAAGAAGAAAAGAGAGAATCAAATAGACACATTAAAAAATGATAAAGGGGATATCACCACTGATCTCACAGAAATACAAACGACCATCAGAGAATACTATCAACCCCTCTACATAAATAAACTAGAAAATCTAAAAGAAATGGATAAATTCCTGGACACATACATCCCCACAAGACTAAACCAGGAAGAAGTCAAATCCCTGAATAGATCAATAACAAGTTCTGAAATTGAGGAAGTAAGTAATAGCCCACCAACCAAAGAAAAAAGAAAAAAAGCCCAGGACCAGATGGATTCACAGGAGAATTCTACCAGAGGTACAAAGAGGAGCTGGTATAATTCCTTCTGAAACTATCCAAACAGTAGAAAAAGAGGGACTCCTCCCTAACTCATTTTATGAGGCCAGCATCATCCTGATACCACAACCTGTCAGAGACATAACAAAAAAAGAAAATTTCAGGCCAATATCCCTGATGAACATTGATGTGAAAATCCTCAGTAAAATACTGGCAAACTGAATCCAGCAGCATCATAAAAAGCTTATCCACAATGATCAAGTTGGCTTCATCCCTGGGATGCAAGGCTGGTTCAACATACACAATCCATAAATGTAATCCATCACGTAAACAGAACCAATGACAAAATCCACCTGATTATTTCAATAGATGCAGAAAAGGCCTTCAATCAAATTCAACACCCTTTCTTGCTAAAAACACTCAATAAACTAGGTATTGATGGAACATATCTGAAAATAATAAGAGCTATTTATGACAAAACCCCAGCCAATATCATATTGAATGGGCAAAAGCTGGAAGCATTTTTTTGTGAAAATTGGCACAAGACAAGGATTCCCTCTCTCACCACTCCTATTTAACATAGTGTTGGAAGTTCTGGACAGGGCAGTCAGGCAAGAGAAAGAAATATACAGTATTCAAATAGGAATAGAGGAAGTGAAATTATCTTTGTTTGCAGATGATATGATTGTATATTTAGAAAACCCATCGTCTCATCCCCAAAACTCCTTAAGCTGATAAGCAACTTCAGCAGTCTCAGGATACAAAATGAATGTGCAAAAAATCACAGCCATTCTTATACACCAATAATAGACAAACAGAGAGCCAAATCTTGAGCAAATTCCCATTCACAATTGCCACAAAGAGAATAAAATACCTAGGAATACAACTTACAAGGTATTTGAAGGACTACTTCAAGGAGAACTACAATCCACTGCTCATGGAAATAAGAGAGGACACAAACAAACAAGCTTGTGGATAGAAAGAATCAATATCATGAAAATGGCCATACTGCCCAAAATAATTTATAGATTCAATGCTATGCCCATCAAGCTACCATCTAATTTCTTCACAGAATTAGAAAAAAACTACTTTAAATTAATATGGAACCAAAAATGAACCCATATAGCCAAGACAATCCTAAGCAAAAAGAGCAAAGCTGGAAGCATCATGCCTATGACTTCAAACTGTACCACAAGCCTACAGTAACCAGAACAGCATGGTACTGGTACCAAAACAGATATATAGACCAATGGAACCGAACAGAGACCTCGGAAATAACACCACACATCTATAACCATCTGATCTTTGACAAACCTGACAAAAACAAACAATGGGGAAAGGATTCCCTATTTAATAAATGGTGTTGGGAAAACTGGCTAGCCATATGCAGAAAACTGAAACTGGACCCCTTCCTCACACCTTATACAAAAATTAACTCAAGATGGATTAAAGATTTAAACATAAGACCTAAAACCATAAAAACCCTAGAAGAACACCTAGGCAATACCATTCAGGATGTAGGCATGAGCAAAGACTTCATGACTAAAACACCAAAAGCAATGACAACAAAAGCCAAAATTGACTCATCGGATCTAATTAAAATGAAGAGCTTCTGCACAGCAAAAGAAACTATCATCAGTGTGAACAGGCAACCTACAGGATGGGAGAAAATTTTTGCAATCTATCTATCGGACAAAGGGCTAATATCCAGAATCTACAAGGAACTTAAACAAATTTACAAGAAAATAAATAAAGAACCCCATCAAAAAGTGGGCAAAGGATATGAACAGACACTTTTCAAAAGAAGACATTTATTCAGCCAACAAACATGTAAAAGAGCTCATCATCATTGGTCATTAGAGAAATGCAAATAAAAACCACAGTGAGATACCATCTCACACCAGTTAGAATGGCAATCATTAAACAGTCAGGAAACAACAGATGCTGGAGAGGATGTGGAGAAATAGGAACACTTTTACACTGTTGGTGGGAATGTAAATTAGTTCAACCATGGTGGAAGACAGTGTGGCCATTCCTCAAGGATCTAGGATTAGAAATACCATTTGACCCAGCAATCCCATTACTGGCTATATACCCAAAGGATTATAAATGTAGGAAAGAGAATTCTGGAGTGCCAGATGAGTTGGTCTCCCCTATGTGAGACATCCGTGGGGAGCCATGGGCAGCCTTTGAGGAGAAAAGTCTCCTTATTGCCTTCATGCCTTTATGCCCCGAGAGCATAACAGCTCAGCGGCATTCCACAGGTTGCTCAAGGAGATAACACTCCCTTGAAGCAGTGGAGTATAATCAAACATCTTGGCTCTTCCTGAAACCCACTCCCACCCATTTCAGTCCCAATAAGCTAAAGATCTTAAGTAGTTTAGACACATGCCTTTGCTCAAGGAAATTCACAAAAACTGCCACTGCTATACATCTTATTGAATGACTCACAAATTCTCCTTCACTGATTAATCCTTTTCCTCATCCCTTCCTACCCCTCCCATCTGCCCTAAGAACAAAGAGATTGTAAACCAATAAATTAGGCAGAGCCAAAGAGCTCTGGGCCATGAGAAAGACTCCGACACTCCAGTCCCCTGGACCTGCCTTTTAAACTCTTATTCTGTCTCTTTCTAACTCCTTTATCTCGGCTGGACTCAGGGTACCCGCTGGGTGGTGTGGGGCTGGTTTCCCCAACAATAAATCATTCTACTATAAAGACACATGCACACATATGTTTATTGCAGCACCATTCACAATAGCAAAGACTTGGAACCCACCCAAATGCCTATCAATGACAGACTGGATAAAGAAAATGTGGCACATATACACTATGGAATACTATGCAGCCATAAAAATAGAATGAGTTCATGTCATTTGCAGGGACATGGATGAAGCTGGAAAACATAATTCTCAGCAAATTAACACAGGAACAGTAAACCAAACACTGAATATTCTCACACATAAGTGGGAGTTGAACAATGAAAACATATGGGCACAGAGAGGGGAACATCAAATACCGGGGCCTGTCAGGGGTTGGGAGGCAAGGGGAGGGATCGCATTAGGAGAAATACCTAATGTAGATGACGAGTTGATGGGTGCAGCAAACCACCATGGCACATATATACCTATGTAACCTGCACATTCTTCACATGTATCCTGGAACTTAAAGTATAATTTAAAGAAAGAAAAAAATAAAAGGCATAGAGTGGCTGAATTGATACAACAAAAAGAACTAACTATAATCTGTTTATAAGAAATCCACTTCATCTCTAAAGACACCCATAGACTGAAAGTGAAGGGATAGAAAGTGATATTTCATGCCACTGAAACAACTTCTAATGAGCAAACTTCAAAACAAACAAAAAAGAAGGAACAACAAAAGAGAAGAAGTATACTTACATCAGATAAAATGAACTACAATTAAAGACTATAAAAAAGACAAAGTTCACTATATTATGAGAAAAGGGTCAATTTGACAAGAAGATACTACAATTATAAATAGTTATGCACTCAGCACTGGAGCTCTGAAGTACATAAAATAAGCATTAATAGATCTAAAGCTAGAAATAGACTGTAATACAATAATAGTAGGGGACTTCAACACACCACTCTCAGGAGTGGACAGATCATCCAGAGAGAAAATCAATAAAGAAACACTGAGTTAAACTACACACTAGACCTAACAGGCCTAACTGACATTTTTAGAATGTTTCACACAACTGCTGCAGAATACATATTCTTTTTATCAGCATAAGGAACATTCTCCAGAATTCACCATATCTTAGGCCACGAAACAAGTCTCAACAAATCCAAAAATGTAGAACTCATATAAAATGCATTTTCTGATCATAAATCAATTAACTAGAACCCAGTAACAAGAGGAACCTCACAAACTACACAAAAATATAGAAATTAAACAACATGCTCCTGAATGACCAATGAGTCAATGAAGAAATTGAAAAGAAAATAAAAAAATTGGAAATAAATAGAAATAGAAATATGACATATCACAATCTATGAAATATGACAAAATCAGTACTACGAGGGAAGTTTATAGCAGTAAATACCTATATTAAAAAAGTAGAAACACCAAAATAAAACCTAACAATGAACCTCAAGGAACTAGAAAAGAAAGAACAAATTAAAGATCAAAGCAGAAATAAACAAAATTAAGACTGAAAAAATACAGAAGATCAAAATGAAAAGTTTTTTTTGAAAAGTTAACAAAATCAACAAATCTTCAGCTAGACTAAGAAAGAGAGAAAACCTAAATAAATAAAATTAGAAACAGAAAAGGAAACATAACAACTGAGACCACAGAATTACAAAGAATAATTAGAGACTACTAACTATACACCAACAAATTTGAAAACCTAGAAGACATGGAATAATTTCTGAATGCATACAACCTACCAAGATTGAAGCATGAAGAAATAGAAAATCTCGAGAAACCAATAATGAGTAATGAGGTCAATGCAATAATGAAAAAAGACTTCCATGAAAGAAAGCTCAGGACCTGATGACTTCATTGGGGAATTCTACCTGTTAAAGAAAAACTAATAACAATTCTACTCAAACTTGTCAAAAAAATTGAGTAAGAGGAAACAATTCCAAACTTATTTTATGAAGCACTATTACCTTGATAGCAAAACCAGACAGAAACAAAACAAAAACAAAAACAAAAAAAAGAAAACTACAGACCAGTATCACTGATAAACAATGTAAAAATACTCAGAAAAATACTAACAAACCGAATTCAACAACACATTAAAAAGATCATTAACTGTGATCAAGTGGGACTCACCCAAGGGATACAAGGATGGTTTGGCATATGCAAATCAATAAATGTAATACGTTATATTAAAAGAAGCAAGAACAAAAACCATATAATTATTTCAAAGATGCCAAAATGAATTTGATAGAATTCATCATCACGTTTATGATAAAGACCCCCATCAAACTGGGTATGGAAGAAACATGCCTCAAAATAAGGCCAGATATAACAAACCCACAGCTGACATCATACTGAGTGGTGAAAATTTGAAGACCTTTCCACTAAGATCTGGAAAAAGACAAAGATGCCCACTTTCACCACTTTTATTCAGTATAGCACTAGAAGTCCTGGCCAGAACAATTAGGGAAGAGAAAGAAATATAGAGCATCCAAACAATAAAGAAAAATGTCAAATTAGCCTTGTTTGCAGATGACATGATTTTACACTTAGAAAAACTTAAAAATTTTACCAAAAAGCTCTTAGAACTGATAAATAAATTCAGCAAAGTTGCACAATACAAAATCAACATACAAAAATAAATGGCATTTCTATAGGCCAACAGCAAACAATTTGAAAAAGAAAGTGAGCTCATTTATAATAACTTCAAAAATATAAAATACCTAGAAACCAATTTAACCAAGTGTATTAGGGTTCTTTAGAGGGATGGAACTAATAGGATAGATGTGTATATAAAAGGGTGTTTATTAAAAAACATTAAACTCACACAATCACAAGGTCCCACAATAGGCCTGCAAGCTGAGGATCAAGGAAGCCAGTCCGGTTCCCAAAGCTGAAGAACTTGAAGTCCGATGTTGGAGGGGAGGAAGTATCCAGCATGGGAGAAAGATGTAGGCTAGGAGGGGGAGGCTAAGCCAGTCTAGCCTTTTCACATTATTTCTGCCTGCTTTATATCCTGGCCACACTGGCAGCTGAATAGATAGTGCCCACCCAGATTAAGGGTGGGTCTGCCTTTTCCAGCCCACTGACTCAAATGTTAGTCTCCTTTGGCAGCATCCTCACAGGCACACCCAGAATCAATACTTTGCATCTTTCAATCCAATCAAGTTGACACTCAGTATTAACCTGAGATCATACATAATCTTCAAATAAAGACTATAATAAGGTCACAGTTGTGCCTAACATAATGCAACTATCATTTGTAAAACTGGAAATGCACCGATCTCCAACAAAAATGCTATTACATAAAGTTAACAACACTCAAATGCTGATATGAAGTCAATAAATCTTTTATCACATGACAAAGGAAAAAGGAAATAAAATGAAGGTATTTTCTTAGTACAAATGTATACATACACAAACATGTTTTTAACAAAAGGAGGATGAAATATTCATGACAATTACAGTCCCCTATCTGCAACTGGTCATGTTCTCATAGCTGTTATTGATGACAACCTTATTCTGCTACCCATTCTGTATTCCCTTTGCCTTCAGCAAGCACCTCAGCAGATTGTGGTTTTTTTCTTTTTTCCTGGTGGAGTGAACCAAGCCTTCATTCCTGAAGGGTCTGAGCCATTTGTACTCCTGCCTGGATTGGGCTGTTGTAGTTTCCCATTGACCATAATCACAGGGCATGGTAGTGCTAAAAGACATCACAACGGATCTTCTGTATTCCATGCATACTCTTCCTTACCTCCATTGTGCAATAGTAGACTGATTTCATATTGATAGTCTGGGTCAATCACCCTAGCCAACACTGTAACTCACTTCTTAGCCTGTTGACTCAAAGGTAGGAGGAGCCCAAAGTGTCCAGTTGGCAATTGTAATTTCCAGTTTAATAAAATCATTGTTGTGTCTCCTGGTGGCAGCGTTCCTCTCTCTGGCACTGAGATCTCTAGGCCAGCAGAATGTAATGTCACAAGAAGTGGAAGCAAAAATTTTGCTAGTGGATTGCTAGGGGAGATGGTGAGTGGTGCCACTTCCACTTCCACCCCTTGATTCCTGGACCCATTAATCCTGGCTATGGGAGAAACAGTACCATATATTGGACACTGATTCAGAGCATACATGGCCTTCTGGAGAACTTTGCCCCAGCCTTGCAAAGTATTGTCACCTAGTTGGCATTTTAATTGTGACTTCAAAAGGCTATTCCACATTCTACCAATAGTGCTGTTTCAGGATGCTGGGGAAGGGAACATGGTAAGACCAGGGAATTCCATGAGCATGAGCCCACTGCCACACTTCTTTTGCCATAAAGCGAGTCCTTTGGTCAGAGTCAGTGCTATGTGGAATACCATGACAGTGGATAAGGCATTCTGTGAGTCCATGAATGGTAGTCTTGCAGAAGCGTTGCATGCAGGATAGGCAAACCCTTATCCAAAGTAATTGTCTGTTCCAGTGAGGACAAACTTGTGCCCCTTCAATGTGGAAGAGGTCCGATAAAATTAATCAGCCACCAGGTAGCTGGCTGATCACCCCCAAGGAACGGGGCCATATTGAGGGCTCAGTGTTGGGCCTTGCTGCTGGCAAATTAGTGGCCGTAGCCAGGTCAGCCTTGGTTAGTGAAAGTCCATGTAGCTGAGCCTGTGTGTAACATTCATCCCTGCCACCATGGCCACTTTGTTCATGGGCCCATTGGGCAATGACGGGGTGGCTAGGGAAAGATGCTGAGTGGTGTCCACAAAACAGGTCATCCCATTCACTTGATTGTTAACATCCTCTGCTGCTGAGGTCACTCGTTGGTGAACACTCACATGAGATACAAATATCTTCATAGTTTTTGACCAGTCACAGAGGTCTATCCAGATACCTCTTCCAGAAATTTCTTTGTCATCAATTTTCCAATCATACTTCTTGCAAGTCCCTGACCATCCAGCCAAACCACTGGCTACAGCCCATGAGTCAGTATATAATCAATATAATCACACATCTGGCTAGCTGCAAAATGCACAATCAGGTGCACTGCTTGAAGTTCTGCCCACTGGGAAGATTTCCAGTCACTGTTGTCCTTCAGGTATAGCCCAGAAAGGGGCTGCAGTGCTGCAGCTGTCTACTTCCAGGTGACACCTACATATCATTCAAAACCATCTGTGAACTCAGCCCTAGTCTTCTCTTCCTTCTGTCAAATGATCATAGAAAACTCCCCATGAGGCCATCAGTGCAGGCTGCAGAAAAGAAGTCAGGGTGACAGGAATGGAGACCATGGGAATTTGAGCCACTTCCTCATGCAACTTACTTGTGCCTTTGGGACCTGCTGGAGCCTGATCACATATATACCAGATTAAAAATACGTGCTACATAAATATATAGTAAGAAAGACAGGATGTGATGTAGGTAAATGAACATGAGTTTGGTGAAAGAAATAAATGTCATAATTGAAACTGAATTCTTCCTAATTAACTTTTAGTTTACTCTTGCTGTCATGTTAGGAAGTGGGTAGGCAACAATGAGACAGTGAAGGGTTAAATTGCCCTGGCAGGATTTAGTAATTATAGATATTGATTACTCTAAAACATCATTTAGCTGACAGGATAAGAAAAGCCCACTTGTCTCACTGTTTGGCCCTTTTATTTCTCATAAGATGGATGAGTTAATAAACAGGGAGCAAGCACTCCCATAAATTCAGCATCTGTAATATTTGTCACCTTTGGAATTACTTGGATGAGAGGAACATCTTTTATGTGAATTCACAGGAGAGGACTAACTGACTTTCCTTAGAATCTGTATTCCACACTGTGATTAATGCTATGTTGATGCATAAAGAGGCAGTGTCATTAGGCTAAAGTGAGATGATAAAGAATCATGTTTCCTGTACAGCGCATCCCAAACATGCTAAGTGTCTTCATACAGGTTATGGTTTTGTTCAGTGGCATGGCTTTGTAACTTCTTGTTCCCAGCAGCATAGTTTGAAAGAGTAAGAAGTTAAACTGAATACACACACAGCCACAATTTCTTGAAATCGGAAGCACAAAGAATTGTTCCCAAGTTAGAAAACAGAATTATATACATTTTTAATTGTAACATAAAGCTCATCTAGTTGAAGTTCACTACAACAGGCGAAGCTGAAACTTAGGAATATGGCTTTTCAAGGCCACGGGAATATTCAATGACAAAGCCTCTTAACTCCTCTCCAAGGCAAACTTCGTAAATCATGGAGGGAATAGTCAGACATTGGCTAGCTTATTTTTTCTTTTCCATTTCATAAAATGTGTCCATTGTAAGTGTTTAAATTTGACTTAACGTGTGGATGAAACACTTTTTGTAAGTAAACGTTCATGCTTCTTTACATTTGAAATTAAAAATTATGATGCATAGACATGAAAAATGATGAGAGGTTATTTTTCTAAATTGTGAGCCGAACCGGTGGAAATCTTGATATAAATAAAAACAAATATTATTCAACCGCATCAATTACTTCTTTTTAACAATTAAAAAAAGCAGGATCCCTAACCTACATCTCTGCTTATCACAAGGTGAACTAATCTAGTGGATAAAACTAAATATTTGTTCTGCAATATTTGACATATTGTTGGCTTCGTCTTGTTCAGGTAATGCATATCTGAATTCTCATCAAACCAGTTGAATGTGAAACCAGATTTCTGGCCACAGTGAATATGCAGTTTTATTGTCCCAATTGACTGGTCATTGGCAGAATTCATTTAATAATTAGTAACCATGGTGATAAATGTAAATCTTTATTACCAGAATAAGATATTCAGGATGGTGGACATGTAAAATGGGGAAAATTTAGTATAGCCTATAGTTTCACTATTTTGTAATTTGAGGATTTATTATCCCTTTTTAATGAAAAGCTCAGAGGGTAAACATGTTTATTTTAGCTTCTATATAATATTTATTCAGCTTGTCAATATTTGCCACAAAAATAATCTAATTTCAGTAATTAGAATGCCTCATCTAATATGAGTGAAATCTCAAAATATTATTTAAAGGTTTTTTTTTTTCCCCTCCCTCACCATCTCTCTCTGGCTTCCTTAAGGCTAGAAACATGCAATAGGGAGATGAGGAGTGTCATCAGCATCTTCTGCCTTCGCTGTGCCCCGCACAGCCCTTCTCTAGCTGACACTTCTAACCCTTTCAGAATCTCACAGAGAAGATGGGGTGAGAAAAAGAGGTAACAGAAATGGGTAGGGAATTTTTTTTCCTAAGCAGCCAAAGATGTAGGAGGCTTGGTGAGTTTTTAAAGCTAGGTTTTCATTTTCTGTTACCACATTTATTAATAAGCCAGAAAACTAAAGACAAGAAATCCAACTTTAATAGCTTAAAAAATAGGCAATTGTAGACTGAACTGCGACAAGAGATTCACAAGATCAAAATGTGAGACATTTGTCATTGTTGACAAAAAGGAAGAAGTATGTCTTTTAGAAATCTGGTTTGGGTGACTGAGTGATATCTGGAAGTGCAGTTTGCTGCACATATGGACAGAAAAAAAAATCCTGGATAATGAGCCATTTTCTAAGGAGTATTACTTCTCTGGTGATTCTAACCACCAGAATATGAGCCATAATATGAGCTTGACATCTCCCTAGAAAACATATACATCTATAAAAAAATATTTTTCAGGGGAAAGAGGGGCTTGTTTTACTAAATAAGAAAAAAAATGATTATTTTGAGTAACTAGATTCACATTAAGGAATGAAACCTAGAGAGCAGCTGTATTATTAATGGTTGGGTGAGGAAATATCTTCTTTCTTTCTGTGACTTTGTATCTTTTACTGATTCTCTGAGTAACCTTTGTCTCCTGGACCTCCATTTTCCTCCCAGTGCCATGGGTTTGGAGAAGATAGAGATGGGAGGCAATGGTAGGTATGTTACTTATTCCTGATTCCTTTTAATGAGAAGAGAGCTTTCTACATTGAGTCTAAATTGACATTTATTCTGCTATGAGATATGTAAATGTATTGATATTAACACCCCACCTATGGTCTTTACCAGTATAAGTAAATATATTATAGCCAGTTTATGCTCACACTTCTATAGGCCACAGAAAAATAATTCAGGTCATTTTACATTGTTTGAAGGGCTATATATGACCAATAACTGAAAAGTGCAGATAGGTCAATTTGGGTTAGCATAAAGCAGGTTTCCTAACTAACTAGAGAAAATTCATGATGAAAAGAGCATTTTGGAACTAATCTTTTTTTCTGTTTCATGTATGTGTTCTATCAGAGACTCTACAAACACTTGAGATATTTTATAAGGAGAGGTTTTTAAACCTCTTTGTCTAAAATCATCTCAACTTTTCACATATTGGCATGCAATTTCTGCTTTTATTAGATTAACATATTAAAAATAAAATTAGGCTGGGTGCAGTGACTCATGCCTATAATCTCAACACTTTGGGAGGCCAAGGCTGGTGGATCACCTGAGGTCAGGAGTTCAAGACCAGCCTGGCCAACATGGTGAATCCCCATCTCTGCTAAAAAAAAAAAAAAAAATACAAAAATTAGCTGGGCATGGTGGCAGGTGCCCATAGTCCCAGGCACTCAGGAGGTTGAGGCAGGAGAATCACTTGAACCCGGGTGGCAGAGGCTGCAGGGAGCCCAGATCACACTATGGCACTCCAGCCTGGGCAACAGAGCAAGACTCCGTCTCAAAAAAAATAAAATAAACTTCAATTTTATTTACTTTTTCAAAAAATTTAGCTTTAACCTAAGAGATCATATCTATGAAATTCAGGCACTGATATGCTACTAATAGCTTATTTTTCTATTGCATATTAAAATAAATTGATAGCTATTAAAATTTTAAATATCTATCTGTGTACCTCCTAAATTATCTCATGCAGCTCCCCATCCTTCCTGAGAAACAGTATTCCAGTTTGGAAGACATGACCATTTAGCTTCCTTACTGCCATAGGATTTCATGGTTTCCTAAATTTTGCCTTATTTATGCATTTTTATTTGTACATTTTATGTATTCATGCTTTCATATTTATAAGCATAATTATGTATGGCATATGTGATATTGGTGATTAATTTTTAGGTCTGAGCATGGTTACCACTGTAACAGTGTTTGGTAATAAAAATATATCTATTTCCTCTCATATAAACTGGTATAAAACTGCTTGGCAGCACTTCACTGCCTTATAAATTAAGCCCAATGGGTATTTTTGCTTTAAGCAACGTCTTCATGCAGTAAGATATATTGTAGTCCAAGTTTGTTAACCTTTAAGAAAATAAATTTACCCACCAATAGTTTCACATGCTTTTCCATGGTTGTTAGTATCTTGGAAGATTTGGTTGCCTCCCCTTTCTTCCAGCCCTGTCAACTCCCTCTGTAACTTCCACTTTATGTTACAGATATGCTGGTTTAATCTGAATTTTTCTAAATCTCTACGTTCTCTCCTAATTTCCATTTGCCTGTCAACATAGTTTTTCTTCTTTTTTGCACAGTTTCACTCATTCTACAATTATTACTTCTAAGTGCACTTTTCAGACTCTTTTCCAAGCCTCCATGCTAAGCCAGGTGTCTTTGCTACAGGTTTTCAAATCTCTCTCTACTCCTTTTGTAATATGTAACACACTTGTAATTACTTATTCAATGTTCAACTGTGTTAATGGATGTTTTTATTGATTTTAGTTTGGTATACAGTTTTATGATTTTAAACACAGATATAGATTTGCAAATAATCATCGTAATTATGATACTCAATAATTTTGCCAGTCCAAAAAACTTACCTACTATCACTATATAATCACAATCCCCAAAGTTTCTAACTACTAGCAACCATTATTGTCTTCACTTATTGTCTTCACTGGTAGAGTTTTGTCTATTTGAGAATGCCACCTAAATGGAATCATACAATATATAAGCACTTGAGGCTGGTTTATTTTACTCAGAATAATGCCTGTGTAGTTCATCTGTATTATTCCACATATCAGTGGTTATTGTATTTTTACTTCACAGTAGTATTGCATGGTATGGTTGTACCGCAATTTATTTATTCACTCACTTATTGAAGGACAGCATGTTTGTTTCCAGGTTCTAGTGGTTATTTATAAAGCTACTATAAACATTTATGTAAAAGCATTTGTGTGAACATGTTTTATCCCATCTCCCACCTCCCCTCCCAGTGTAAATGTCCAGTAGTAGGATCACTGGGTCCTATGGTCAGTGTATATTTAACTGTATAAGAAACTTCCAAATGGTTTTTCAGAGTGACTATACTACGTTACATTTCTGCCTGTCAAGTATGAGACTTCCTATGGCTTTGCAACCTCTCAAAACTTTTGTATTGTAAGCATTTTTAATTTTAGCCATTCTAATATGAATGTAGTGGTATGTTATTGCAGCTTTGTTTTGTATTTCACTGATGGTTAATGAGGTTGAACATCTTTTTATGTGCTCATTTGACTTCCATATATCTTATTTGATAAAATAGCTGTTAAAGTTTTTGCCCTTTTTAAATTGGGTTGTTTGTGTTCTTACTGTTGAAATTTTGAAGTTCTTTAATAATTTTAAATACAAATCTTCTGCTGGATATGTGGTTTACAAATATTTTTCCTAACTCTGTAACTTGGCTTGTTATTTTCTTAGCCCCATCTTTGATGGGGCAAAACTTTTGAGCATTCATAACAAACTTTTTAGTTTGGAATAGTTTTAGATTTATTTTTAAAAATGTAAAGATAGTCCAGAGAGTTGCCATATATTCAACACACAGTTTCTCTTATTATTAACATCTTATGTTAATATGGTACACTTATCAAAGTTAATGAACAAATATTGCTACACTAACTAAAGCCCATATGGTATTCACATTTCATTGTCTATTGCCTAATACCCTTTTTCTCTTCCTGTATCCCATCAAAGAAACCATATCACATTTGGTTGTCATGTCTCCTTAGGCTCCTCTTGGCTTTGACAGTTTCTCAAACTTTTACTATT
The DNA here is from genome assembly GCF_000001405.40 of Homo sapiens. Lineage (NCBI taxonomy): Eukaryota > Metazoa > Chordata > Mammalia > Primates > Hominidae > Homo > Homo sapiens. The sequence goes on along the minus strand of NC_000005.10, from coordinate 105,988,022 downwards.
TTTGATGATTTTGACTTTTTGAGAAGAACTGGCCAGGAATTTTGTAGAATGTCCTCCAATTGAGATTTGTCTGATGTTTTTCTAACTGTGAGACTGGGATTATTGGTTTTGGGGAGCAAGAGTACAGAGGTAAGGTGCCACTCTCATCACTTCAAGGGTACATGCTATCAACATGATTTGTCACTGTTTGTGTTAACCTAAATCATCTGGCTAAGGTAGTGTTTGTCTTGTTTTGCTCATTAAAGTTAATCTTTTTCCCCTTTCTCATCCTGATTTCTTTTGGGGGAAACGTCACTATGTGCAGTTGCTCTTAAGGAGTGGATAGTTTCGTTTCACCTCCTTGAAGGCAAAATATCTACACAAGTTGTTTGGAGTTCTTTTGCATGGAATATTTGCCTATTCCTAGTTATTTATTATTTATTCATACATGTATACATTTATATCAGTGTGGACTCATAACTATATGTGAATTACATGTGCATATGCAAAACTGTGTATATACGCATATCCATTAATAGTTATCCATTAATAGTTCTATGAGTTACCATGTGTATTTATATTAACCTAAATGGATTCATCCTGATGTTTTCAACTCTAATCCATTACAACATGGATCACTGTAACCTTCTCACTTGTCCATCTCCCACTCCAAAAGGAGAAAACCTGGTTCCCAGCACTTACCATGTATTTACCCAATTGTGCAGTTCCCGTGTATGTGTGTAGTGGTTTCGATGTGTTAAAATGCAACTCCAAAAGGCACAACTTTGTCATCTAGAAGATATTTTTATGGCATTTCTTTTGTCTTTAGTTTCGCAAACTCTATTCATTTCCAAAGTTACTTAAGTCATCATCTTTTTCTCCCACCTTCTTCAGTGAAGTTGTCTAATCCATTTGTAATGTAGTTAGATCTTTTTATCACATTCTGCATTACATCCTGGCTCCCCCGACAACCTAAATACATTTTTGTTTTTAATTTGCATATATTAAGGTTCATTTTCTGTCTTGCAAAGTTCCATGGGTGTTGAAAAATGTAGTGTTATGTATTGTTCATTATACTGTCATACAAATTAGTTTCATTGCCCTAAAAAAAAAAAATCCCATCTACTTTACTTCTAAGCACCTGAAAACCACTGTTCTTCATAATGTCTCTATAGTTTTGCCTTTTCCAGGATGCCATGTCAAGATCTAGTGTTATGGCATTTCAGATTAACTTAGCAATATGTGTTTAAGAATCATTTATGTCTTTGTGTGGTTTGATAACTCATACTTTTTTACCGTTGGATAACATTGGATGTAACATACTTTCTTTGTCCCTGAAGCTATTAAAGGACATCTTGGTTGATTCAAGTTTTGGGAAATTATGAGTAAAGCTGCTATAAATTTATACGCTTTTTTGTATTAACCCAAGATTATGTATTAAATGAGTAAATGCCTAAGAGTACAACTGCTAGACTATTTGTGAGGCTGTGTTTATTCCTGTAAGAAATGGCCAAACTTTCTTGAAAAGTGTCTACAATTTTCTGTTTCCACCAACAATGAGTTCCTATTGCTCTAGATCCTTGCCAGCATTTGGTGGGGTCAGATTTTTTTTTTTTTTAATTTTAGCCATTTGAGTAGGTTCTGTCATATCTCATTGTTGCATTAACCTAATTACAAATGACGTGAAGCATTTTTAATTTACTTATTTGTCATCTTTATATTTTGTTTATTTTTAAAATTTTGATGGAGGTCAATGTATGTATTTTTCTAATAGAGAGAACTTTCAGTATTATGTCTAAGAATTCTCTGTGTAAACCGGGTTATACATATTTTCTCCTATGTTTTCTTCTAAGTGCTTGATAGTTTTTTTGTTTTATACGTACACCTATAATACATAAGTCAGCATACTTTTTCTATAAAGGGAAAGATGGCTAATATTTTAGATTTGGGGAACAACATAGTCTTTACTGAATATTTTAGTTTTTCTCATCCTTTTTTAAAAAAATTAAAAATATTTTAAAAATGAAAAAATATGTATTTTTAGCCTGGCACTCATACAAAAACATGCTTCAGACTGGATTTGGCCAATGGACTGTAGCTTGCCAAACCATACTCTGACCCATGCTCAGTCATTTTTGCATATGTTGTGATGTTTAGATGAAGGTCATTACTATATAGATAGATGTGTGTGTGTATGTGTGTGTGTATGTGTGTGTGTATATTGCATTTGGATGTCAAATTTTCTCAGCACCATTTATCAAAAAAACTATCATTTCTCTATCAAGTTGTTTTTTCACTTTAAAAAAGTTAATGATCATATTTGTGTGTACCTGCTTTGGTTCTGTCTGGAATTCTGATTTTGTTCTACTTATGTATGTATCTATCCCTTTGTCAATCCCACATTCTCTTGATCATAATAGCTTTATAGCATAGCTGAATATTCGGTAGGGCAATTTCTTAAACTGTATTTTTTTGTTTTTGAGATTGTTTAGTTATTATAACCTTTTGCCTTTACATATAAACAGTGAAATCAGCTGTCTATGTCTACAAAAAATCCTTCTGAGATTTTGATAGAAATTACAATAAATCTATAGATCAGTGTTGAAAGTATTAAAATGTTGTTATGTTGAATGTTTTAAGCCATGTAAGCAGTGTATTTCTTTATTTAATTAGGTCTTCTATGATTTACTTCGTTGGTGTTTCATAGTTTTTAGGATAAAGATTATTTACATGTTTTTTTCATTTTTATAACCTAATAATTTCATATTTTGGAATATAATAAATAATGTTGATTTTTAATTTCAGTTTCCAATTTGACATTGTTAATACATAAAAATATGATTATTTGATTGTGAAATTTGTATTCTGCCACCTTATTAAACTTATTAGTTCGGAAAATTTTATTTTTTGTATATTTTTTTAGATTATTTGAAATTTTCTACATACAAAATTATGCTGTCTGAATAGAACTAGTTTTAGTTCTCTGTTTCCAAACAATAAGTTTTTGAATTTCATTTTCTTGCTTGATTGCATTGACTAATACTTCTCAAATTTAATAGGAGTGTCAAGAGTAGAACTTTTCCTTGTTCCCAATATTAGTAGGAAAACATTGAGTGTTTTGCCATTAAATATAATGTTAGTTGTAGTTTTTTCTCAAGATGCCCTTTGTCAGTTTGATAATTTCCTTCTATTCTCATCATTTACCATGAATGGATATTAAATTTTGTCAAATGCTTTTTCTACATAAATTGATATCATGCTGCTTTTTTATTCTTTATTTATATGGTGGACTGCATTTTTGATTTTTGAATTGAACTTGACTTGTATTCCTGAGACAAATCTCACATAACCACATTATTCTGTTTATTCAATTTTACATTCAATTTACTAATATTTTGTTTATTATTATTATTTTTGAGATGGAGTCTTACTCTGTCACCCAGGCTGGAGTGCCATGGTGTGATCTTGGCTCACTACAACCTCCACCTCTTGGGTTCAACCAATTCTCTGCCTCAGCCTCCTGAATAGCTGGGATTGAAGGCACCCACCTCCATGCTTGGCTAATTTTTTTGTATTTTTAGTAGAGATGGGGTTTCACCAACTTGGCCGGGTTGGTATTGAACTCCTGACCTCGTGATCCAGCCACCTCAGCCTCCCAAAGTGCTGGGATTACAGGCTTGAGCCACTGCGCCCAACCTATTATTTTTTCACTGAACATTCATAAGGGATATTAATCTTTTGTTCTTTTTCTTTTAGTAATATATTTGTGTGGTTATGTTTGTAGGGTGATTCTGGCCTCATAAAATGACTAGGAAGCTGTTTTTTCTTCTATTTTATTAAAATTAATTTGATAATTGTGTTACTTCTTTGTAGTTATTTAGCAGAGTTTGTCAGTTGATGAAAACTTTTCATTAAGTTCTAAAATCACAAATTCAATTTGTTTAGTAATTACAAGGTTTTCATAGTATCTATTTTATCTTTGTTGAATTCAGGTACTGTTTGGGTTTTGAGGAATTAGTTCTTTTTAACAAAGTTGTCTAATCTATATTTGTAGTCATTAACAGTGTTTCTCACTATAATTCTAAAGTCTGTGGGCTCTGTAGTCCCTCTTTCATGCATTCTTTCACCAGACAGGTTGGTGATTGTCTGTTCTCTGTTTCCCTTTTGTAAATTTTGCAAGAGGTTTATCAGTTCTCTTGATTATTAAAGATAAAAAGGTTTTGTTGTCATTATGAGACTTTAACTACCATGGAGAGAGAGAGCTCATGTTCATCTTAGTGAATATTTTATGCTGAATTAATCTTATATTCTCTATCAGACACAATCTGTGTTCTTTACTAAACATTAAATTAATAACTGCTGAAAGAATAAGCAAGTAAAATAAGTATACATGGGCTCATTAGATTTCTTTTTTTAGTTTGGACAGAAAATTGTCATCAATATTACCTATGAGTTTTAAAATTACATACTATTTCACTATTACAAAAAAAATAAATGGCATTTGGATTGATTGATGTCAGCATGTGACTTTTACATTACAAGTTATGCTAAATGCTTGTTATACCCAAGAGAGTGATTCCTAATTTTGTAGAACTCAGATTATAATGTTATAAAGAAAAAACAGAAGAAAAAATCACTGCCACATTTCATTTATTTGGGTATTCCTACACATTCAAAATTCAGGTAAACTAGAATGCCAGTTTCTACAAGCATCACCGAAACTTTGCTCACCAACTTGACATCCAGGAATAATGAGGTATGCAGACAACTGGAGGTTGAGCAAGGTGGAGAGGAGCTTCACTGAGTGACAGAATATCTCTCAGGGTCTCAGGTAACCCAAAGCTGGTAGCTTTTTTCTGCAGGCAGGTCGTCCCCATGGATGTCCAGCTCTCAGTAGAGAGGAAACCTACAGTGGGTAGCTCCTTTCTGCAAGGAGGTCATCCTGACGACTGTGCAGCCCTCTGCAGAGAGGAGACCCAGAGTGGGTAGCTCCTGTCCTCAGACAGTTCCTCCTGACATCTGTGTGAGTCTGGCCCAGTGGGTTGGGTCAGGTGGGGGGTGGGTCTTATAGGCTCAGAAGGAAGGAAGGAAGTGTGTGCTGATTGATCCATGGGTGGCCACAGGAGGGCCTGGAAAAAGCACCATATGTTCTCGTTAGGGGCTGCAGACTCCACCCAGAACTGACAGCCTGGCTCCCAGGCTTCAGGCCATCCCTTGCTTAAAGGTGGGGCTTCACAGAGGACCCACCCCTTTTCATCTAGGAGCCTGTCTGCCTCCTGCTAACATCAACAGGTCGTCCGTGGTGCCCAGGCTGTTTGTGCCAAGGGACACACACAGGCCCGTGTTGAGCCATCCTCAGAGCCCCCTTGGCCTAGCCTCCCATGCTCATTGGCACCCAAAGTCCAAAGGGGCCCGAGGCAGCAGGGGCCTGGCATGTCAGTGTGCCCCGTCATATGCACACCCAGCTGGGTTGCGACAGTACCCGGGCTAGCTACAACTTTGTTCTGAATTCGGAGCAGGCACTGAGAGTAGGAAGAGGCCAGGGAGCAGAGGCAGGCACTTCCAAGCCTGCAGGGGCAGGGGGCTTTCCAGGTCCCCAAGAATGTAGGGATGCTCCGATCTAGAGCTTCAGCTGGGAGGCTGCAGCTGCACCAGGGGGCACGCAGCTCCTGCCCCTTTAACTCAGTAGGGGGAGGAGTGGAGCTAGGATTAGAATTCAGATGTTTCAGTGATATTTCTGATAATATAATACTAGTTTCTAAGAGATAGAATATACAAAAATTATTACTTCATCATTCAAAATATGCCAAGCATAAGCAAATGGAATTGAGTCTCCATATTATTACTTTTATAGCCATCATTATTTTATTTTCTTGTTTTATTTTGAGGATTTCCATCATCTTCCTTTGCATGATAATCAATAAATTTTCATAATTTATACTTTGATTTTATATTCAGACATTTTGACTCATCTTTAGGTCTGTCATTCTCTCTCTCTCTCTTTCTCTATCTCTCTGTCACACATACTTGCACACACAAACTCAGACACACACTGAATTAGGCTAATATATTTTTTGTTCCAAAATGTTCCAGGTTGTTTTACTGCTCTTTTCACTATGCTAATGCTTTGGAAATCTTCATGAATGTTTTCAAGACTGAATAATACTTAACACTCATTTAACCTTCTAATGAAATGTTTCTCCCTCCAAGAAATCTTGCCTAACCTTCCCTATCATCTGCTGTCTTCCCATATTCTATTATCATATCCTTTATCACTCTATATTGCACTTGTTATATACCCCATTACCCTGTGAGGCAGTAAGCATCTTGAAATCAAAAACTATGTTTTACATATATGATCACCCATAGAGAAGACAGTATATAACACATTAACATAGCAAAATTATTAACCATTGAATAAACTGATATAATGATTCATTGCTTAAATAGTTTAGAAAAAAATGTAATGTGAACTTGTAAAACTTTATTAGAAAAAAACTCGTGATTTTTTTTTTTTTTTTTGCCATTTGGTAAGACATAGCAAATAAAAAATTCTTCTCTATATCAAACTTCTCAATGTTCCTAGTTCTATTGTTAGAAACAAAAGTCAAAACAGAGTTTAGAATAAACTGGGAACTACACAAAATTCCAGTGATTTCTTTTTTATGATAAATAAACCAGCAACTATATAAGTTCAGATTAAATTTGAGTATCTCAGGGTTTCTGTAAGGCTATAAGACAAAAAAAACCCACCATTTTTAAATCTTAGCATAAAAAGTATATTTGATTGAAATGTTTGATTTCATGCTTTCATTTTAAGAGTTAGGAAGAGAAAGAATATGTATGTATATGTACACACATATTCATGCTTAATTTCATTGTCAGCTTGTCTACTTTTGACTTGCAATTCAGTAGTCTTATTTGTACAAATTAATGCTAATATCTATAGAAAAGATTATAGAATTCAAAGAGTGAAAGACCTGTTAGGAATTTTTTTGTAATTACTTACAAACTGAATTGGTAAAAAGTAAAACCAGCTGGGAGATATTAGTCTTTTTAATACAATTAAAATTATCATTTTGAAAAGCTTCAGATTTGTATTAGAAATACAAGAACTATTAGTACAAAATATTATTAGAGAAGCTAAGAGGGGATCAGTGTTAATAAATATGCTAATTGTGTTCCTATGACTTTAGAAAAAAGACTACTCTTTGTATTAGAATTCAAAATAAGGAGTTAATTAAAAGACTGCCATCACTAATACAAATATGTACTATCACTAAATGCCTAGACTTGTAAAATCCCCTATGGAATAGTGAATAATAGTTATAATTAAACCAACCTAAATACATCACATTGGCCATAAATCTTCAGTGGTAAATGGAGAAAGTATATTTCTTCTTGCAAGTAGAGCAATCCTGTACTGGGTTATGAAACTTCTGCCAAAGAGACGATTGCCTCTCACATTGTTTTGGTATATCATTAAATCCCAAAATTATATTTCTGGCTGGTTTGCGGCTCTGATCTGTGATTGAAACAGAGTAGATTAATGACTATTACAAACACAGTTTTGAACTCATCCAACTAAACATATTATTATTTTTTTACTCAGAAAATTTAAGATTATATATAAATATATACAACACTATGTTGCTGAATCAAAATAGGGAATTAATTTTGTAATTTAAAAGATAGTGATGAGTTGCAAACATGAGTTTAAATGTGAGATAAAATAAATTAAATAAAAAATTTCTTTAGTATTTTCAATTCTTCTACTAGTTATATAGAGCACATAAGTAATATATGTGATATTTATATTTTCAGATAAAATTTTATTTTTATATTTTAACAACTTAGAAAAATTACTGCTAATAAAATAGATTTTACAAATTACAGCAATTTGTCCCACACTTTCATTTAAAGAAACTTCTCAATTTAGGTAAATAATTCCAAAATATTAGTGCTTAGCCTAATTGAACTCTTGCTTTACTGAATGAATATATATATATATTTCAAATCTATAACAAGCAGTTGTATTAGCAAAATATAGTTTTAAATGTAAATCAATGTTTTAATTTTGGATTTTTAAAATATTTTTTATACAAAATTTATTCCTTATATGAAGTAATGTATTAAAGTAATTTAAATTGAAATGGTTGTTAATTTAATATTAGGAAATAGTCCTACTTATTTTTTCTAATTCTGGTTTATAAAGAGTATTTGGCAATGAATGAAGTAATTTCATGTCAGAACGAAGAGAATATGAGCGGAGAAGATTTCTGAAACATTTAAATATTTGTTTGACAATTCAAAAAATAAAGTACATAATACACACCACGCAAATGCAGATTACTCATAAATAAGCACAAAAAAACTGTAGAATTTTCTCTAATTTTTCAAATAAGTGAAGTTAAGCAAACTCCAGCACTTTGGGAGGCAGAGGTGGGTGGATCACTTGAGGTCAGGAGTTTGAGACCAGCATGGCCAACATGGCGAAACCCTGTGTCTACTAAAAATACAAAAATTAGCCGGGCATGGTGGCACGCGCCTGTAGTCTCAGCTACTCGGGAGGCTGAGGCAGGAGAATTGCTTGAACCCGGGAGGTGAAGTTTGCAGTGAGCCGAGATCACGCCACTGCACTCCAGCCTGGGTGACAGAGCGAGACTCCATCTCAAAAAAAAAAAAAAAAGATACACAAACATAGTTTTTCTAATTAGTTAGCTAAAAACTAAAAATTTATACTTGGAATCATGTATAAAATTATGACATTCTGCAAAATAAATCTTATTAGTACATATAGAGATTCATTTTCGTTAAAAGTGCTGGAAAAAATATGCTACCTTTGATTAGACACATACACACATTCATAGACACACACACACACAACACACACACACAATGTTCCCCTATATATAAGCTAATCAAATTTAGGGATTCAAAATAAAGTCACGTATTTATTGTCTTAATCACAGCAATTCCAAGAATCCCTAAATATATCTACCCTCTGTGGAGTTTTCCTATGAAGATGATAAGGTTAAGAAGCTCAGATGTGACTGCATTATTGAAGATGTCACCACAATAACAACTGATTCACAAAAGGGAATATAAACATCTGGTCAGCCTGTCAATGACTCTTTCCTCCTCTGCCTTTGCTACTGTCAATATCACATAGTTTTTCTGTTAGGATTCAGTTCCTCAAGCAAGGTACTGTTAAATGCAGGAAGCATCATCTCTAGAGACCATAGTCTATAGACTGTAGTTTATTGCAAGAAGGGTCACACTCACTGAGGCCTTATTCACCCACGTAAGCTGTTATCCCTGATTTCTCTTCTGAATGAAAATTCTAAAGTAACGTGTTAAGGTATTTGGATCAAAGGAAAACCTTGTCTTTTCCCCAGTGTTCCTGTCACTGTAAGTGTTCCATATTAAAGCCAGCTGACATTACAACTCTTTTTTTTTTCCACAAAGCTCTTTCAGTTTGCATTGGAAAATGCACATTAATTTTGCTCAAATCAAATCCATGGTGCTGAGTGAGGGGTGTTGAATTCTGTGAGACCTGCCTTACCTGTTGAGCTCATGGCACCAATCTGGAATTCCTCTCCCTTATTAAGATTTTCCCTTCGAGATCTTTTGGATTCTCTTCTCTGAAGTAGTCTCACTCAAGGCCACATCATATATCAGAAATACTAAATACTTTTAATTCAAAGTTAAAAACTTGGAATCCCAACAATTTTCTTGTTAGAAGAACCCTGGCCTGTAGCCATATTATGCCACTCTTCAAATAAATTATTCCAGTGGGTATGAGGATACAGTTAAATGAATCTCTCTTCTTACACAATAAGGCTTAGACTACTCCTTGAACACATTCCAGTTACACTTGCCCTGGAATGGGTGCTCAACTCATAGTTTTACACATGTGCACTGCAGGGGAAAGGAAATATTTTCCTCACGATCACTAGGTTTCTGGCTGATTCCCTTATGACAAAAGATAGATTAACAAGAAAGAATCATACAAATGTATTTAATGTAAATTTTATTTGACATGCGAGCCTTGATAAGGAAATGAAGCCCCAAAGAAACAAGACAACCCGGGTATTTTAATACTTAGCTTTGATGAAGACTGGACAAGGTAAAGAAGTATGATTGGACAAAGGGCGTATAATCTAATGGTAATAACCTAGGGGAAACTTAGCAGGACCTGTTTGTTCAGATTCTTCTCTGTGTCCCTGAATCTTCAGAAATATAGACATTCCTTTCCTCCAGGTATGAGAGAATACCTCTTGAATCAGGGTCTTATGACCTGCTTTAGGGAAAAAAGGAAGAAGAGTGATCTTCCTAGGTTTTATGACTTGCTTCAGGCAAGAAAGAGCAAAGGAAAGGCAGCATTTCTTTTTTCTTTCTGTTTTCTTAAATGCCATGGTGCCGTATTTTGGAGTAGCATTTCCTCAACCCCATCAACACCCACAAATAAAAAGAGGCACTTTAGATGCGCCTACAGGAATAATGAGACTCCAGTTTTTAGAGACTTTAAACTAAAAATAGAAATGAGTGGTGACGTTCAACAAGCAGTTATTCTTGACAATTTGCCTGATAATTGTGGTAATAAAAGATAGTAAAGTTGTACCTCACCAAGTGTCTTTATTTCCTCCTAAATATGTCACAGGATCAGTGTGTGCTAGGGACTGTGGCAATTTGCTTGTCATTCCTTGGAATTTATAGTTATCGCTCCATTTTATAGGTGAGAAAACATAACAAAAAGCAGTAAAGGAAACCAGTGTGGCTCAAATAATAATGATTTTAAATGTTCAGTAGGTGATTGCATTGGTAGGTGGGGGAAATAATATGCATAAAATTTAAACTATATACATGTTCTTAGTGTTTTGATGTTTATTCTAGGAAACAATTTAAATAAATGAGGGAAAACACATATTAAAAACGAAGAAACATCTTCAAAAATACTATACCCTCGATTAATCAAAGGATAAAAACTTAAAAAAGTAAATAGATTGCTTTACCTTTTCTAGACAATACCAATTTCATTATATTGATTCTATATTTGCTATGTGATATTGTCAATATATTACCAAACTACTTATTAAAAGCATAGCAGAAAAGCAAATAAACATGATCCAATATAATTGCATTTGAGATACATAGGACAGGTAAGAGGATGAATTCATTTTATTTAATAGATAATTTAAATCAATTTTATCAATATTAACATTATTTCTCCAGCAGTAAGGATGAGGGGTGAAACAGGTCAAATTAAATTTTTGAAACAAAATCAAATTACACTTCACAACATCAGACAGGTGGAGATAGATCGGAGAATTTGTTTCTTGCTATTCTGGCATTTAAACCCAGCATTGGCCTTTGAAAATGCTAAAATGTCGAGTGTTATGTTGACTCAGTTGCTTTGCTGGACTCTGTTGCTCAGAGGGAATAGAAGTCTTCATGGGAACCTACCAAAGTCATAATTCATAACTCGCTATTATCAGCAGACTGTCAAGGTGGGAAGCAAAGGCTTGAAAAATAAGTGTGTCGTGTTAACATCAGAAAAGAAAGTGTTGTTACTGAACCTGAGGCTTTTGCACCTCACACATTACACCAAGCAGTTTTGGTGGCCTTTTGATCTATCACAAGTAATAATAACTTTTCCTGTTAAGTGGTACTGGCTCAAAACTTTTTGAAGAAATGATGCACAAGGACTATTCATAATAATAGCGTTTGTGTTTTTCTCTTAACATCAATGGCAGATGGGTGAGCTATAGTGGAAGTTTGCTATATCAGAAATATCATAGACTTGCTAATAAAAAAGCATTTCATGCACTTCAGCCTGAGAAAGCCTGGCAGCAAAATTATCATCAGCTTCTTAAATAGGAATCTAAGTAAAGCAGAGAATTGCACTCTATACTGGTATGATATTTTATTTCTGCAGCCTTCAACCCTGGCTCTTTGAAAACATTTAGCAAACCCTGTCTCAAGAAGCTCTCATTGTTCCTGTAGCTAGTAATAGGTTAAATACTAGCTGAAGATTATTAACTCTTTCAAATCAGAATTGGAAATATTTTTGCTGTTGTATGGCCCTGAAGGAGGAGAAAAGGGAAAAGGTTGAGGAAGGTGGTCTACTTTTATACTAAGTTCTTTAACTTCCATTCTGATTAAGGAAGAGAAGAATTAAGAAAAAGTAAATACATTCCAGGAAACATACCATAAGGATGGATTCAAATTCTGATGGACAACAACAACAAAAAATCACTTAAGACGAGCAAAACGTTGGCATCCTCTGTATAACATGTTCTTTTACCATTCTGAATTATGTTTTTTAGAATTATCACTCATAATTAGCGTACAAACACAAGAATACAAGATTATGAAGGTGAGAAGAATGGCTCTCTGATTCACTGCTCTATTTCCAGCGTTTGCTTGTAGCCAGACACATGATAGGAGCTCAATTAATATTTGTTAAACTGTTGAAAATATTTAGCTGTGAACCCATGCACTGACCTCACTCTTCACAAACTACTTTTTACTTTTTTTCCATTGGAGAAAGAATTCAAGGGGTCAGTTATTATATCTGTGAATCAGGTGGCGTCTGCCCCTAACAAAGTAAAATTTTGACATGTCGGATTGTGGACTCTTTTCTCAGAAATACTGAGTTTAGGCTTTAGCACAATCTCAAAATGTAGATCATCATCATGTATGTATTGATACCAATACATGAATGTACCAATACATGCATGTATCAATACAGACATGATGTATTCTACCAATTGTGTGTGTGTATGTGTGTTTAAAGCAATTGTCTGTTATACATGCTTTTTACTTTTTTCTTAACTAAATTGTAGATATTTAGTAGGGTTACTTAATGAATATATACAGACCTGAAGATTATATCTTCTTAATTTACTTTTGTAAGTTGACACTAATGGTATTGCATTGATTTATCATTGTCACACTTTGTTTACTTCTTTAAATAAGTTAATCTTGCTAATTATCATTCATAGATTCAATAAACAAAGATACAGGTGTATGGCTCTCTTTCACATTAAATAAGAAAGTGTGTTGCTTCATATGTAACTTATGTTCAAGAACCTGATTTTCAAGGCACTTTGAATAATTTTATTCTTATCTGACAACTAATTTTAATTTGTAGCTAAAATCTAATTTCAAAAACTGGAAATAGAATGACTTTATCTGGTATTATGGATTTTCATACTTCAGATTATAAATTATTTTTTGAAATATTATTATAAAATTTACTTTAAACATATTTATGAAAACATAACAGGCTTTAGCATGGCATGTGTCAAATAAGATGAAATAGAAAAATAGTTTGTCTTTTAGAATGCTGGGTAACGCCATCCTTAACATTTTTGACATTTACTTGTAATTGGGATGTATATGCAGTAATAATGAAGAAGCTTGCTATTGATTCATACTATTAATTATAAGTGATGACTTGTCAAAACAGAATAAACTCATATTCATAATTATTACAAAAGCAATTTAAAAATATTAGTTTAAACTTATTTTTAAAAATCATATATTTTTATAACTCCATTCAACTTTTTCTGAATCTTCTTCTAAGATTCCAAAGAAGATAAACTCAGCATATGGGGAAGTTACTTCCATCCTAACGCCAGGGGCAATACTAAGGCTGTCTGATACATTTTGTCATCTTACACACAAAAAAGGTATCCTTGTCATAACCATTAATGGAATATGTGCAAACTATTATATTAAATATGAGTGTTTTCAGACTGAAGGTTCTTGGTCAAGAGTTTTGAATGAGCTGCAAGCGAATAAGAGCTGGAACTAATTAAGCAGGGAATTAATTCAAAATCAGCAAATTAATGGGCAACAAATGTTTTTTAAAATTGAACTTTGACTTGAATTATAAGCCAAAAAAGGGTAGTGAGGAAAATAAATAGTATCTCTTAATTAGAACACTAAAATATTTCTTATTTAAAGGAAAGAAGTCTTCTGACAAAAAATCATTTTTCTCTTTTATTTGTATACTGGTAATATAGTTGGAAAAATTGACCATAGCGATTTCCAGTTTGTCTTTATCATATAATTTTTAACAGATACATGCTTTCTTCTGGCTATTTGTAATGGAAGTTAATATATCTACAATTGTTTTTAATTTCTGTAATCTAGGACTGACATCTAAAATAATCTTAAGTCACTTAAACGTATCAAACTTTGTTGTGTCCAGACTTTTTTTTATAATTCAATTTGCAAAACTATTTCCCGCCTACCCACAAAACACATTTTTATGTTTGTCATTGTGTACTGTGCTTATATTCCTAACCCTGTATGTCAAAGCTCTGAGTGTGACATGATTTATATTATGGTAATGCACAAATGATGTCTTGTACAGATCTGTCCAAATGAGATCTGGTTTTACTACACAGCTCTCATGTTTGCATTAGGCTTTGGGTATGTTTGTGTATGTGTATGTGAAAAAGCAGGAGTGGGAGAGAGAGAGACAGTGAGTAAAATTCATGTAGATGTTATATATGCAAGAATTTCACGTGTAGAAAGAAACAAAATTGTGAAAGTCCAGGAAACAATATGAGAGAGCCAATCCTATGCTTAAGTGACTGTTCCATAGGGGATATAGGAAGTCTGATAGTTTCGTGAGTCAAATGAATGCCAAACCACCTGATTGTACATTGGAAGTGATCTGGTACTCTTGGGAGAAAGGGAGTCCACATAAATTAGTTTCTTAGAGTCTAATTGTTCCTCAGAAATCACTTGTGGATATGCAGCACAAGCCCTGGCTCTAAAAGGCTCTGTTGCTTATTTAATTTGCTTTGCTTATCAGAGGCATGGTGAGGCTTATATCCAGAGGAAAGCTATATAGGTCCTGTCAGATATTCAAGCCAAACACAATGGTTCTATCATTACAAAGGAGAAAGTGCAACTCTCAAATGTCTTACTATTTTGATTCTCAGAAGAACTGTTGAAACACATTCAATACATTTATACAGAATGAATCCAAATAATATTTACATTTTCTAGGCTTTGGACTTTCAAACGCCAAGGTGTCATAAGAGGCCTTTAATGTTAGCTTTTCATGGAATTTCTGCAAAGGGAGTTTATTTCCAGTTTCACGAGCGTTATTGAAGATAATTCCATTTCCATTAAGCTCTCAGTATATGTGTTTGCCAACTTGTGACACCAGTGCAAAGTTAATTAAATAATCTTAAATACATTTTCTTAAAAGTTAGATGAAAAAATTAAGTTCCAGTTGTTCACCTGCAACTGCTTATTTTTACTCGTTTTTTATTTAATTGAAAGTCAATAATCCGGAAAGGAAAAGCATATTCACTTGAGATCCTATTAGAAACTGTATAGCATGATCAATTGCATGGTTCACAAGTATGTCTGTTTTTATTCTTTCTTTCAGTTTAAAGTAATTCTTTTTGTCCTCTTCAAATATGTGTATCAAATGCATATGCCATTTTAAAGTAATAAGAAAGTTACCAATAGTCTCAATTACATTTGAAAACAAATGTAAATTTAAGCTACCAAAAACTAATCTTATTAATTCTACATATATTTATTTTACTTTAGTTACATTTTATTATCATGTGTATAACATATTTTATCAATCATATTCATTTTAACCCTACAATTCAAAGAGATAGCTACAATGATACCTTAAGCATGGAGTTTCTTAGACCCACATGAACTCTTTTTCTACAGTGGCCTGTGTTTGGTTAATCATACTGTATGATATAGTTGGCTCTCATGTTCCATTTCTATCATCATTGCATATGCTTGTGTTCAATAGAAGGAATGAGATCCCATTTTTTCACTTATTACAATTTTTTAAGTCATTTAACTGGGAAGGAGATTTATTTAACTGAAGAGATTATTACAGCATTTAATAATGAAGACACTAAAGCCTGACTGCCTGAATTAGAATACTGCTGTGCTTAATGTGTGACTTTGGAAAGTTGCTTAACTTCTCTGATTCAAGTTTCTCTACTGTCAAAATGAAATAGCAGCTAGAGTATGTTATTATTTTGTTATTTGAGATGATTTTCCTAGAATAAGGCAATAGAAAAAGATTGTGAATACTGTAAATACAGTTAAATATGTTTAAGTAAAAATCTTATTTATTTAAAAATGTGGAGGAGACTTTATTGTATATATGAAGCAGAGTAGGGGAATGAAAAGCCTCAAAGAGCCAATATATCATTTTTTTGTTTGCAACATTGAGCAAGAATTTTAACTTTTTTAGGTATCAATCTCCCCAGTGGTAAATTGGTGATTATTATAGTTTTTCTTTCCTCATAGATGAATTTTATCAATGAAATAATGCAATTTAAAATCCCTTGAAAGTTTTAAAGTACCATACGTGCTATTTATTAATATATTATAATATTAATAATAGCAATCACCCAGGGAAGAAAATGTGATATAATGCTATTATAAACAATCCTATTCAAGCTTAACAAGTTTACAAAAGATAACTAAATTACTATATATAATCACAATATAATAGACTATTAAAATTATAACCACAAAACATATATGTGCTATTTTGATGAATTTGCTAAATTAGCACACGAATCAGAGGCATATCTGGTAAAACTGATTGTTGAACTCTATTCATAATTTGTTTATTAAAATAATACTTCACCATTTTTACAACTATGGCAATTTGATAGCATTATAATCATTGGTATCTCAAGTTATAATAAGTCAGATATTCTAAAGGTCCAAATTATTTGCCTAAGGCAGGTTATAATTATTCTGAGAATAAAAGCTATCAAAGGTTGATTTTGTATATCACAGGTAATATATTTCTACCACCTACTAATCAACTATTCTGTGTGGTTTGATAAGTCACAAAAAGTAGAAAGGATAAATGCCAGATCTTACACTTGGCCTTTGAGATTAACTGGCAGATATGATTCTCAATAACTACATTTCTGTTCTAGGGCATAGGGAGAAATACTGAGATACACAAAGCAGATGCTAACCTGCTCTTGATATTTGCTATGAGTTTTCTTGCAGATAGCATTTTTTTCAGTTCTCTTTAACTTCTTTTCCTCTTCATTTTTTAAAAAGGCAGATTTTCATTTAAAAAATTGTTTATATTGTTACTTGTTTTTCATTAGAATATTGCTTTGTCTTTTTTTTAAAAAAATGAGTTAGCACTAGAATAAATGTTTCTAGCAAATTTACATTTGTGGCACATTTTTTATGGGTGGAATACATTTGATCCAATATCCTAATTCTATATTAATAAAAGCAATGTGAATAAAGTGCTGCTGTCTAATTTTGTTGTATATCAAGGCACTTCTGAAACAAGTTAAGGGAAATATTTTAGAGACATAAAAATCCAAGGATGGAAAGACTTAGAAAAAAACAAAAACAGAAAAAATTTGCAAGCTAGAATACAGGTGAAATGGTGATAAGTAAATTAATAGACCTCTCTTATCAGACCTGAGAAAAGCAAATTTTATATCATGATGAAAAAAGCTGAGAATCAATCAGACTTAAATTTTGGAACTGTGTTAGCCTGAAGAATTGACATTGTGGGACATCTCTGAAAGTTGGAGATAAAGAGGTGACTACAATGAGGAGGACCATCTGAAAGCAGTTTAAGAGGCAGTCAGATTCCTAGATCTCCTCCATAACACTATCATGCCTGGTAACAGCTTCTTGAAGGAAATTAGAAGTTTATTTTCTAGGGAGATTAAAAGAGTGAGACTATGGCCTGAGGAACAAAAGGTGTAGTTAGGACCAATGTTATGACAAAGTCAACAGTAGAAGGGGACCATTAAGTATCAGTATGTGTACACTATGCGGAAAAAGAGAAACTCTTCCAACACTGACTTACAGAATGCTAGAAGTGGAATTTTTCTAGGTTGGAAATTATGATTGGTGTCCAGTACAGTGTGGCTCATGCCTATAGTCCCAGAGTTTTTGGAGTCCAAAGATGGAGGATTACTTGAGGCCAGGAGTGTAAGACCAAACTGGACACCATAGTGAGACCAAGTCTCTACAAAAAAATAAAAGTAAAAATTAGTCAGGCATGGTGGTTCGTACCTATAGTCCAAGCTTCTTGGAAGGCTGAAGCAGCCTAGGATTTCACTGGAGACTAGGATTTCAAGGTTACAGTGAGTTAGGTTTGGACCACAACACTCTAGCCTGGGTGACAGAGTGAGACTCTGTCTCTAAAATAAAAATAAATACATAAATAAATCAGTGTGATGAAAATTAAAAGATATTGCTATAAGAAATTGCATCCAACAATAAAATTTACAGTTGAAGTTGCCCTATCCATCTGTTAAGAGTTCTCAATCAATCTTATTTAGGCCCCTGCTCACAAATAGAAATAGATATTCAAAATGACCAAAAAACTGAAGAAAGCCTCTAATGTAAAAGAGAGGCAAGATAAATGACAAAAAATCCATTTTAGACTTCAACTTCCAGTTTTCCTTCTGGCATGTAAAAGTTAAGAAGTCACTACTCCATCCTAATAAGTAAAAAGCTGAAGAAACTGAGAAATCAACTCTTCCATGATCCATCAGAGAAGTGAGGTCTCAATGCAAACTATTGCCCCCAAAATTGGAAAAACAGGCACATCCAGAGAAACACAATTTATCACAGTAGAAACCCACAAGAAGAAGCTTCCTCCATAACCAATGCCCGGCTAGGAAAATCTAAACTGTAGATGACAAAATGTTGGAGGCTCAGTGTGGACAAACCTGAAAGTTAAAAACTCAAGGAGAAACTAGGCCTAGGGGGTCTCCTACTCTTTTATGAGTTTTACTTCCAGGAAATCTACTACGTATTCACAGTGAATAATACAAAAAATTGCATCATTCTTCCAGCAGTAAGATTTAAAAAGAATCATTTTGCAATATTCCAGAGTATTCTGTTACAAGGCCCGCCCTCAGGAGAAATTTTTCAGAGCCTAATCTGATAGGCTTTTGTCAGGACCTAACCTACCTGAAAAAAGGAAAACACACAACTCCAGCCCCCCTATCTATCTTGTCCTACCTAGGAAGGAAGGGGGAGAAAATTGAGAAGCACTAGTAAAGTTCATAGCCCAGGGGCACAAAAAAACTTACCAGAGGATTCAGATTTAAGTACATAATAGAATGCTTCCTTTCCCCCTTACCTTACAAAAACATTATTAATGGACGATTTACATCAGTTCCTTTTACCCAGTACATCATGTCTGCCTTTCAACAAAAAAAATTACAAGATACACTAAAAGGCCAAAACAAAAAGAGAGAGAAAGAAAAAAGAAAAAAAAAAAAAAAAAAAACCAGTTTGAAGAGGCTGAAAATGTGTCAAAACCAAAGTCAGATATGACAGATAAGTTAGAAATATCAGATTTGAAATTAAAAAATTAAAACAACTTATAACTAATATGCTAAGGAATTAAATTTGAAAAGTAGACAAGATACAAGAACACATGAACAACGTAAGCAGAGAAATGAAAATCCTAAGAAAAACCAAAAAGAAATGCTAGAAATCAAAACCACCGTAACAGAAATTAAGAATGTCTTCGATGGGATCTTTAGTTCACTGAGCATGGCTGAAGAAAGACTCTCTAAGCTTAAAGATATGACAATAGAAATTTCCAAAGCTGTAAGAGGAGGAAAAAGAATAAACAGGAAACCCAGAATATCTAAGAATTATGGGACAACTACAAAAGTTGTAACATAAACATAATAAGAATAAAAGAAAGAGAAGAGAAAGAAATGAAGAGAAGCAATATGTGAAGCAACAAGGTCTGATAATCTCCCTAGTTGACATCAGACAACAAACCACAAATCGAAGAAGGTAAGAAAACAATGAGCAAGTAAAAGTAAACCAAACAAAATTGCAAAACCATACCTAAAAATATTATATTCAAACTACAGAAAATTGGAGATAAAGAAAAAATGTTGAAAGAGACCGTAGGAGAAACACCTTACCCGTAGAGGAGCAAAGGTAAGAATTATATTTGACATCTCCTCAGAAACTATGAGACAAGAAAAGATTGAAATAAAATATTTAAAGTCTTGAGAGAAAGAGAGAGAACACACAACCTAGAATTCTGTACCCTGTGAAATTATCACTCCAAAGTGAAGGAGAAAAAAGTCTTATATGACAAGGAAAAAAATGAGGCAATGTGTTACCAGTACACCTGCCTTGCAAGGAAAGTTAAAAGTTATTCAGACAGGAAAATGATATAGATCAGAAACTCAGATCTATATAAAGAAAGGAAAAAGCACTGGAGGAAGTAGTAAAGGTAAAATAAAAATTTTTGTTTCTGTTATGTTTTAATTGATCTAACATAACATTTCATTCAAAATAATGATAAGTAAATTCAATCATGTATGTTAGGCATATATATGCTTATGCGTAAGTGAAATGAATGACACCAATGGTACAAGAGAAATGAAGTAAAAATTAGTAATTTTTTCTTATAAGATATTCATGCTACTGTGAAGTGATATAATGCTATTTGAAAGTGGACTTAGGGCCAGGTGTGGTGGCTCACAGCTGTAATCCCAGCACTTTGGGAGGCCAAGTCGGGAGGATCACGAGGTCAGGAGTTCAAGACCAGCCTGACCAATATGGTGAAACCCTGTCTCTATTAAAAATACAAAAATTAGCCAAGTGTGGTGACATGCGCCTGTAATCCCAGCTACTCATGAGGCTGACACAGGAGAGTCGCTTGAACCCAGGAGGCGAAGGTTGCAGTGAGCTGAGATTGCGCCACTGCACTCCAGCCTGGGCTACAGAGCAAGATTTCATCTCAAAAAAAAAAAAAAAAAAAAGAAGAAAGAAAGAAAGTGGACTTAGATTTTTTGTAAATGTACATCGCAAACTCTAGGGAAGCCACTTTAAAAAAGATGAATTAATATGCTAAGAAATGAGGTAAAATTAAATCATATTAAATGCTCAATTAAAACTACTAAAGGCAGAAAAATTGGGAACAGGGTACATAAGGCAATACAACAAGAGCAAGTAGAAATAAGTAACAAACATGGTATAAGTTAATCCAAATATATCAATAATCATCTTAAACATTCATAGACTAAATATATCAACTAAAAGACAGAGATGATCAGAATGGATCAAAAAATAAAGAGTAAAAAAGACATAAAGAGATAAAGAAAGATATACATAATACTAGTACTCACTGAAAGAAAATGGGAGTAGGTATTCTAATTTCAGACACAACCTACTGCAGAGCAAGGAAATTTATCAAGGATGAAAAGGGATATTACATAATAATGAAAAAGTCAATACTGCAAGAAGACATAACAATCTTATGTATTAAGTCTAACCACAGAGCATCAAAATATGTGAGGTAAAATTTGATAAAACTGCAGGGAGAAATAGATGAATCCACTCTTACTGTTGAAGATTTTAACACCCCTCTATGAGAAATGAACAGATTCAGCAAGCACAAATAAGTAAGGACATAGTTGAACTCAGCAACGCCATCCATCACCTGGATATAGTGGACATCTACAGGTTAGTTCATCCAAAAACAATACATTACACATTTTTCTCAAGCTCACATGGCATATTAGCCAATATAGACTACATTCTGGGCTATAAAACGCACTTTTAAAAAACTTAAAGAATATAAATCATGCAATGTTTATTCTCAGACCACAGTGGAATTAAAGTAGAAAGCAATAACAGAAAGATAGCTGGAAAATACTTGGAGAATAACATTCTTCTGAATAACATATGGATCAAAGAAGAACTTGTAGGATAAATTTAAAAATATTTTGAACTAAATGAACACAATAATAGAGCATCAAAATTTGTGGAATGCAGCAAAATGGTGCTGAGAGGAAAAATTAGAGCAGCACATGCATATGGTTACAAAAGAAGAAAGATCTAAAATTAATAATCTAAGCCTTCACCATAGAAAACTAGAAAAAGAAATGCAAATTAAATACAAAGTAACCAGAAGAAAAAAATTATAAAAATTAAAGCAGAAATAAAAAAAAATTAACAATAGAAAATCAGTTGGGAAAAATAACAAAACAAACATTTGGTTCTCTGAATAGATTTGTAAAAGCTAAAAGCCTGTAGCCTTGCTAACTACAAAAAAAAATGAAAGAAGATATAATTTTACTACAGAAATGAAAGGGGATACATCACTAAAGATATTGTAGACATGAAAAGGATGATAAAAAAAGAAATAAAAGGTATACATGTTGAAAAGGAAAAAAATAAAACTCTCATTTTTCATAGGTGACACAATTGTGTATGTAGAAAATCAAAAAGAATGAACAAAAACAAAACAAACCCCCCCAGAATAAGTGTTTATAGTAAGGTTGCAGGATACAAGGTCAAAATATAAAAGTTATTGTTTTTCTATATATCAACCATGAAAAATTGGAATTTGAAGTTAAAAGCACACTATTTACATGAGTCCTCCCACAAAATCAAATATATAATTATTAATTTAACAAAATATGTACAAGATCTGTATGAGAAGAATTACAAAATGCTGATTAAAGATATCAAAGTAGAACTAAATAAACAGAGAGATATTCTATGTTCATGGATAGAAAGACTCAATATTGTTAAGATGTCAGTTCTTCCCAACTCAATTTATAGACTCAATGCTATCCCAATAGAAATTCCAGCAAGTTCTTTTGTAGACATTGACAAACTGATTCTAACATTTACATAGAGAAGCAAAAGACTCAGAATGGCCAATTCAATAATGAGTCCTCAAAGTCAGAGAACTGACACTATTCCTTTTCAAGACTTACTATACAATTATTAATAACAGTAACCAAGACAGTGTGATACTAATGAAAGAACAGACAAATAGATCAATTAAACAGAATAGCCAGCCCAGACACAAATCTACACAAATAGAGTCAACTGATCTTTGACAAAGGTTTAAAGGCAATGCATTAGAGCAAAGACAATATTTTAACAAATGGTACTGGAACAACTGGACATCCACATGTAAAACAATGAATCTTGATACAGACTTTACACCATTCATAAAAGTTAACTCAAAATAGGTCATAGTCCTACAAAAAATGCAAAATTACAATATTTCTATAAAATTTTTCTATAAAAATTATAAAATTTCTCAATTTCTCCTATTAGAGGAGAAAACCTAGATGACATTGGACATTAAGATGACTTTTTAGATAAAACACCAAAGGCATAATCCATGAATGGGATAGCTGATAATCTAAATCTCAATAAACTGAAAAGCTTCTGCCCTGTAAAAGACAATGTCAAGAGAATGAGAAGACAAGCCATAGACTAGGAGAAAATATTTGCAAAAGACACATCTGATAAAAAAAAAAAAAAAAAACTATTATCCAAAATATACAGAAACATCTTAAGACTCAAAAATAAAATAATTTAAAACCTGATTTTAAAATGGGCAAAAACCATAACTAACACCTCACCAAAGAAGATAGGTAGACAGCAAATAAGCATATAAAAATATGCTCACTATTTGTTATTAGACAATTACAAATTAAAACAATAATGAGATATCACTGTGTCTCTATTAGAAGGACCAAAATCCAAAATGTTGGCCCCCACCAAATGCTGGCAAAGATTAGAGCAACAGGAACCCTCATTCATTGCTCGTTGTTATACAAATGGTACAGTGACTTTGAAACATAGTTTGACAGTTTATCATAAAACTAAACGTTTTTTCACCATATGATTCAAGCATCTTGCTCCTTGGTATTTACCCAAATGAACTAAAAACTTATGTCCACAGAAAAAAACTGCACATGAATGTTTGTAACAGCTTTATTCATAATTACCCAAACTGGAAGCAACCAAAATGTCCGTTATAGTGGAATAAATAAACTGTGGGACAATCTAGACAATAGAACATTCTTCGGCTCTAAAAAGAAATGAGCTGTCAAGCCATGAAAAGACATGGAAGGAAACTTAAATACATATTACTAAGTGAAATGAGCCAATCTTAAAAGGCCATAAACTGTGCAATTCCAACTAAATAACATCCTGAGAAAGCAAAACTATGGAAACAGTAAAAAGATTAGTGGTTGCCAGGGGTTACTGGGAAGGAAGGGAGGAATGAATAAACAGAGCACAGAGAATTTTGATGGCAGTGAAACTATTTTGTATGATACTACAATGGTGGACATATGCCATTATACATTTGTCAAAACCCATGGAATTTACACCAATGGGGAAAGATTATGTAGACTATGGACTTTGGGTGATACTGATGTGTCAATATAGGTTCATTGATTGTAGCAAGTGTACCATGCTGCTGCAGAGCACTGATAGAAGAGGTTGTGCATGTTCAGGGACAGGGGTTATATGGTAACTTTCTGTATTTTCTGCTTCATTTTGCTGTGAACCTAAAGCTGCCCTAAAAATAAAGATTATTGGCTGGGCGCGGTGGCTCACGCCTGTAATCCTAGCACTTTGGGGGTCCAAAGCGGGTGGATCATGAGGTCAGGAGTTCAAGACCAGCCTGGCCAAGATGGTGAAACTAAAATACAAAAATACAAAAAAATTAGCTGGGCATGGTGGCAGGCGCCTGTAATCCCAGCTAGTCGGGAGGCTGAGGCAGAGAATTGCTTGAACACAGGAGGCAGAGGTCGCAGTTAGCCGAGATCACGCCACTGCTCTCCAGCCTGGGTGACAGAGTGAGACCCCATCTCAAAATTAAATATATAAATAAATAGATTATTAATTTAAAAGACAATTTGTAGTAAACAGATTAGCTTGAAAATACAGAACAAATGAAGATGGAGCATCTGGCATACAGACAATTATTTAAAAATAGAAGAAAGAGGTAATAAAGAAAATGGAGAGGTGGGATTTGAACCTAAAAATATTTAATTAATATTCTCAAAACCATAGAACAATGAGTTGCTAGATTCAAAGACACAATAACTATTCAGGACAGTGGACAAAAATGAACTCTTGCCAAATCACATCATTGTGAGATTTTTTTAAGAACATGAGGAAAAAGAGAAGATGCTATAAGATTCCAGAGAAGGAAAAAAATATAACTGGTTTCACATCTCTCAAAAGCCAATGGGAACATGAAGGTGAAATACATCCAAAAATATAAAGAAAAATTGTTTTCAATCTAGAATTATATACCAACATGGTATATATGGTTTGTATAGAATTATAAACAAACATGGTGTAGTAAAGGCTTACCTCATATTTTTCATTAATTAATATTCATATTCATTTATTTATTCATTTTATGGAGTCATTGAAGGATAATTACCACCAAAAGCATAAAGAAATCAGGAAAGAGGAAGACATAGAATGACAAGGTGTTTCGATATTCATTTGGCCTATACTGATAAGGCTGTACATGCACAGCTTTCTCAATGTTTTATAGCCTGCATCTATTCCGATTGGTCAGTGCCCCAGTCTAGCTCTGTTGGTTATTACTTGACTTGTCAGTTTTTAAATATTTTTAATAAAGAATTCAGGAAACACAGGAAACCAAATCAGGTATACAGAAAAACCATGCAGATTGCAGTAGGTCAGAAGTCTTTGAATGAACTTTTGCTTAAAATATTGAGTTTATTTCTAATGTGATCAATATTTCTGGGAGGAATTCTAAACAGTAAGTGAATAATATATGGTTGAATTCGTAATTAGCAGAAGACTGGCCGGGCACAGTGGCTCCTAGCCTGTAATCCTGTAATCCTAGCACTTTGGGAGGCCGAGACAGGAGGATTGCCTGAGCTCAGGAGTTTGAGATCACCCTGGGCAACATGATGAAACCCTGTCTCTACTAAAATACAAAAATTAGCCAGGCATGGTGGCGGGCACCTGTACTTCCAGCTACTTGGGAGGCTGAGGCATGATAATTGCTTGAACCCAGGAAGCAGAGGTTGCAGTGAGCCGAGATCATGCAACTGCACTCCAGCCCTAGGCAACAAAGCAAGACTCTGTCTCCAAATAAATAAATAAATAAAATAAAAGGAAAAGAAAAAGTGATTAGCAGAAAACTAAACTATGAAAGAGCAGGAAAAGTATTCATTCTAAGGAGTAGCAAAAGTTGTGGAGGGAAGGAAACTCATGCTTTACTAGCTGGCTCATCTATGAATAATAAGGAATACTGGTCTAAACAAAATTATAATACAATTTGTGAAAGGATGGATGGTTAGGAAGAATGCTGTGGTAATGTGAGTTGGGGGGGAGATGGGATTCATGTCGTCATTTTTTCATAGTAAAAATCATTAGTTAATCTGTAAACAAAACAAAACAAAATAGAAATGTAATGATGTCATTCAGACATTTCCAGGTAAAAAGGATGACGTAAACAAATGAAAAGCTGGTTACCTAGAACATAGGAGAATTGTGGAAGAGAGAAGTGGTGATCTGTTTTTTGTATAACAAACCTAGTAGAAACATTTGAATTTTTACATTATGTGCATGTATAACTTAATCTAAGTACTTTTAAAAACTAAAAAACAACTTTCTGAAAATGTTGATTTTTAAAATGTAGAACTAAATGCTATCTCAGAATTTTCGCCTAGAGCTGCAGATCAAAGAGAAAATAAAATGAGCATCTAGCCATTATATAAATGAACTTTTAAATATATATTTCCCTCTATTTGAAAAGTTCAGTCTACTATCTGTATTTTGTACTTATTTAAATCACTGTACTATTTAAGATGATATTCCAGCACCTTTACTTAGCATTGTGGAGAGTCCTTCAGAGGTCATTAAAGTTATTATGGATCGAATGTTTGTGTCCTTCCGAAAGTCACATGTCAAAACCCTACCTCTCAATATGATGATATTAGGAGGTAGACCGCTTGCAAGATAATTAGGATTAGATGAAATCATGAGGATAATGGGGCAATGTTCCCACAAATAAGATCAGAACCCTTATAAAAGCTTGCTTCTTTCTGCTCTCTTCTATGTGAGGATACAACTCAAAAGTCAGTACTCTGCAACCTGTAAGAGGGCTCTTACCAGAACCCGACCATGCTGGCACCCTGATCTCAGACTTCCAACCTCCAGACCTGTGAAAAATAAATTTCTGCTGGTAACAAGTCATCTTATCTAAAATAATTTATTAGAACATGTTGAGCTAAGATAGCAGTTAATATTTAACACTGGAAAAAGTATGTGTGCACAAATATTAAAACTCACCAAGTGAATTAATGTTTTTCTATTTTGACTTTTCATTTACTGATTTATTTACAATGTCTTTTGGCACTTGACAAACAATGTTTTCACTGATGATAGCTCAACTGTATGTTTCTTTTTACATTTTTAATGGCTTATTATTCAAAATATATATTTCTCAATATACTTCAATTTTGTCTTTTGCATTTCAGAAATGTGGAATATTCATTGGTCTAAAATACCCAATATGTAACACAAAATAAGAATTAACTTGAATTTCAAAGTACTTGGGAGTTTAATACATTCCCTCTTGCTTCTGAATTTTATACTTCGATAGAAGAAAGTTCGCTAGTTATGTTCTTAGTAATACAAATGAGGTCATTTTTCTGTACTTATTATTAGTAAGAGTGATGGGATTGGTGGAGCTTTATTTCCCACACGCAAACTCTATTGTCAAGTTTCCAGCTTCTCATAGAGTTCAATGACATTTACTTTTTTAAGTTCCATGTGCTCCTGCTTCACTCAATGCTGAAAATACTCTTTTTTTTCCTTTCTGCATGTAAATATGAGCCAGTTGTTTTATCCTTGTCTCTCTGCAAGATAGTTCCATAAATGGTCTTAGAAAGAGTCTTAGCTATGGCAATTAGCAAGACAGAGCAAACATTGATAGTAATCCTCATGTCGATAATTATCTTCATAAATTCTTTTCTGATAACTATGAAAAAGATGCTTTATAATGCTGGGTTCTTCATTGCTATCTGAAGTATATTTTCAATACTTAAGCATTTCAAATAATGGCAACAGTTAATTATATAAAATATAACAATATAACATATGCAAAAGACTGTTAGCGATTCTTATTAAATGTGTAAGCCTAAAAACCTTCAGAAGGATCCCGATTTTTTTTTAATGATTGCTTACTATTGTTTAATATTTCTTAGTGACTGAACTTTGGAGATTTTGATGTACACTGAAATAGGTTATAAATAAAAGTGTATTGGTTATATATACTGGAAAGAAATTTGCTCAATCATTACTTTCTAAGTTTAAGGGTTTAGTTCTTCAAGGCCTAAATATCAAGTGTTTCTCAGAGGACATTTAAAATTGGTAAATATAATTATTTATATAGAAAATAATATTGAGATTTGCTTCATATTCAATTTTATTAAAATATAGTTTAAATAAAACAGGTGCTTTTATTAAATTAATTCATTATATTATAGGTTCATTTAAAAGACAAAGATGCCAGAAATAAAATTACTTTTATATGAGAGTGTTCTTCCTTTGCTTGAAAAATATGTTTCAATTATTGCCCTTCCACCAGGCCCCTTTCTGCATTTCTTCTCTTATTTTATTTATTTATCTTTTTATTGTTGAGTAAGGTTAAGATTCTTCTACAAGGAAAAATACTTTTATAAAACTAATTGCTCCATTTGGCAGCATACAGGGTTCCTAGCTGCCTTGTGATTTTAATATTTAAAAAAAATTCTTTCCACAGATGAAAATACCCTGAGTTAAAATATGTTTTAGCCATCACCCCAGATCATAGCTTAGTTTGGTGACTGATATGTTTCCACTGCATTTTCTAATTTTTGATCACACTGTCCTATGATAGCAAGTTTTGTTTTTTTTTTAACTTTAGATGGACAGCTATTTTTCTCTACCTACCATGCTAGAGAAGTTCTGTCTACCTACCAGCATCTACATTAATGTTAAGTTCATTAATTTTCACTTATGGAACATAATACTAACATTGTTTTACCATGCTAGTCCAGAGAGGCAAGAAGAACAAGTATTAGGCATTAGAAGGCAACATGTTCTATTATTTCTCAAGAAATTCATACTAGTTATCACATATTTGAACAATCTTATGATGCTCCAGTGAAAATCTTCACACATCCTTTCAAATATCCTCATTCTTATCTTCTGCTTTCTGTTTTCTTTAGCATGGGTTAGTATAAGTAGAAAAAAATGCTGCCCAGTGATGCAACAAGGTTCATTTACAGTGCCTGAGATCACGAATAAAATAATTATGTTACAGAGACACATAAGCATTTGTTTAGCCCTTATTGTGCTCCATATACTGTATTAGGCATTATGCATGATATGAAGGTGAACAATAGAAATATTTTTCCCTTAAGGAGTTTATTTCTCATAAAGTAGCAAAATATTGTATAGACAGGATTATGCTATAGACAGCATACATCAAAGCCATAATATCGGCTGGGCACGGTGGCTCATGCCTGTAATCCCAGCACTTTGGGAGTCCATGAGATCAGGAGATCGAGACCATCCTGGCTAACACGGTGAAACCCCGTCTCTACTAAAAATACAAAAAGAAATTACCTGGGCGTAGTGGCGGGCACCTGTAGTCCCAGCTACTCAGGAGGCTGAGGCAGGTGGAGTGGGTGACAGAGAGAGACTGCCTCAAAAAAACAAAACAAACAAACAAAAAAAAACAAGAGCTATAATATCAGGCCAAACTTTATGAAGCAATTGGACACGTCTAGTTTTATAACATTGTCTTTTTGTATATGCTAAGAGAAAAATATTTAAAGAAAAAATTAATACCTTTGTAGGTTTTTTATAAGGATAGGTGAAACTAAATTTTGTTGGGTAGAAATTAAAAGATGTGGAGGCACTGGGTTACTGCCAACAATAGGGATTAGATGTTTCCTAAGTGTCAGGTGTGTTTTTATATTCTCGCTGTGCATAAAATGAACATTTTGTTAATTCTATTTTTTCTTCCTCCTTCCCATTCAATTCCTTTTTTTCTCACCATCTGCTGTGTTCTAGTATTCTTTTCTCTCATAATTCCAACACAGGAATTCTCAGTTCACCTTTTTGAACTGTAAAGCTTCTAATTAGCATTGACTTTCACACAGCAGTATCTGTAGTAAAATCTCATTAATTTTGCCCAATTGGGAAATAAAAGGGAAGTCTGAATTATAGAATATTTAAGAAGAAATGGCTTTCTTCTTAAGTGCGTGTAATAACCTACTGACAGCAATTGAGGAATGTAAGGACCAATGACCAATTTGAGAAAAAAACTTGTTTTCAGCATAAGAACGCTTATAAATGAAATTTATTTTTGTTATGACATTCAGTATTTGAATAAAATCACTGCTAAGAAGGCTTAAAATAATATTCTGACCTTTACTTGAAAATAGGCTAAATATTTCACATATTTGCACTCTTCATTAGAAAGTAATTGTTTTGAGGATGCACATATCTATTTAAATAGTTTACCTTATTTATTATAATTTGCAATTTTTAATTAAATAGATTTTTATTGTTGTTGAAGGAAATTTATTTGATAAGACAAAGACTATAGCATAAAATGTTTTGCCCGACAGTAAATAATTTTAATTTTACAGACATTTGAATCTGATACTAGATAATACAATTTAAGATTGATAATGTGTATCCTATTTTTATTTTCTAAACAAACATTTGCAACTGCATTAAAACTACAATTTTTTTTTCAAGCACATTTAAAAAAATAGATAAAAACATACAAAGATAAAAATATACAAAGATGTGGGTTATGTTTATTTACCTATCAGTTATCTCTTCATTTACTTTCTTTGGATATATTTCAAATTTCTAGTTTGCTTGAATCAGCTCTAAAACAATGGCAATTCATGGTGAAACAGCGGAATTGTTTATTCAATATTAAAGAGCAGACTTTTTGAAAATATTTCCAGGAAACCTTTTATTCAAATAGAAATATGGGAGAAAAGGTGAAGGAAGGGTCATATTTGTGCAAACAGAACTTTATTACATTTCTGAAAATAGGAGGGACCTTAGAAGGATGTTACAGAATTGACAGGGTGGTGCCACTCAAGGAGACTGAGCTAGAGCAGTTATTGAAGTAGGAGAAAATCCATAAGAAATAAATATGTCTGAATCCAGGACAGAAAGGGATTCCAAAAGGAGTGAGTCATCAGTGGCATGGAATGGCACAGTTACTTAAAAGTTCAACATAAAACCCACTTTTCCTGGCCAGAGAAATTGGAGAAAGGAGACTCTATGGTCCATAGATTTGGGGGGGATTCCTCATTTTTTTTCTGTTTTCTCATATTACTTAGCCTTGAGGGGGCTCCAGAATAATGGAACTGCATCAAAGCATGGCAAGCTAAATTACTGGGGAGACAAAGAAAAGATTTCTGGCCAGAAGACTAGGTAAGGTGCCCTTGTATACAGAGAGTGTGGGGAAATTCTAGAAAGGAGAGAGCTAGGGAAGAGAACTTCCTGTTTCTGTCTTGTTAAATATAAACAAGACTGGGCTTACACAGTATTAATGGAACCACCCACACAAGCATAGCAAAGGATTTGAAAACTAAAGAGTAATCGCACATTTGATAAACCTAGAACCAGACTAACTATGAAAAAGAGGAAAGAATTCTCTCAACCCATAATTCTGTATCTGGCAAAAATATTCTTCAGAAATTATAGCAAAATAAAGAAAGACATTCTTAGATAAAGAAAAACTAATGGAAGTGGTTACTAGCAGACTGGCCCTAAAAAGTGTTAAAGTTACTCAAGCTAAAGAGAAATGATTCCAGAAGAAATCACACAACTTCAGAAATGAAGAACGAGCAAAATATATAGTAATTATTTAAGATAATACAATAGATATCATACAAAGCATACTACCTGACCATAACAGAATGAAACTAGATATAATAATGGAAAGGTATCCATAAATCTCCAAATAGTAGAAAATTAAATAATATGCTTCTAAAAACCCCATGGGTCTAAGAGGACATCTCAAGAATATAAATAAATTTTTAAATAAATGCAAGTAAAATTAATATGTCAACACTTGTGAGATATATTGTAAAACAGTGCTTTGAGGAAAAGTTTAAAATTAAATGCACATATTGGAAAATAATAATTATCTAAAATCAGTAAGCTAGGTCTTCACTTTAAGCACCACAGGAAGAACAACATAAACCTGGGTTAAGCTGAAAGAAGGTAATAGTGGTGATTGATTAGAGCTGAGATCAGTGTAAATAAAAACAACAAAAATAGAGGAAAATCAATAAAACCAAAGGGATTTTTTAAGGATCAATAAAATTGATAAACATCTAGCAAAGCTAATGAAAAACTGAAA
Source organism: Homo sapiens (assembly GCF_000001405.40). Taxonomy (NCBI): domain Eukaryota; kingdom Metazoa; phylum Chordata; class Mammalia; order Primates; family Hominidae; genus Homo; species Homo sapiens. The sequence continues at coordinate 105,955,804 of NC_000005.10, read as the reverse complement.
GAAAACACAAATTATCAATATTACAAATGAAAGATGGGGCATCAGTACATGCTTCACTGATATTAAAAAGATGATAGGACAGTATTACAAACAATTCCATGGCAATCCACTTACAAAAGGGCCAATCCTTGAAAGATACAAACTACCAAAAATATTTCAAGATGAAATAAAAACCATGAGTTTTAACGTATCCACAGAGGGCCGGGCTCAGTGGCTCACACCTGTAATCCCAGCACTTTGGGAGGCTGAGGCGGGCAGATCACTTGAGGTCAGGAGTTTGAGACTAGCCTGGCCAACATGGTGAAACCCCAACTCTACCAAAAAATACAAAAATTAGCTGGGCTTGGTGGTGCGTGTCTATAATCCCAGCTACTCAGGAGGCTGAGTCAGGAGAATCGCTTGAACCTGGGAGTCGGAGGTTGCAGTGAGCTGAGATTGCACCACTGCACTCCAGCCTGGGTAACAGAGAGAGACTTCGTCTCAAAAAAAATAAAAAAATAAAAAATAAACTATCAAAGTTTCCACAGAGTAAATCACTGGGCCCTGATGGTTTCACTGGTGAATTCTACCAAACATTTAAGACAGAAATCATATCAATTCTACATAATTTCTTCCAGAAAATAGAATGAGAGAGAATATGTTTATTTCTTTATTAGCCCAGCATTATCCTCATATCATAATCAGACAAAGTCATTACAAAGAAAGAAAACTATAAATATCCATCATGGATATAGATACAAAATCCTCAGAAAAATACTTGCAAATCAAATCAAACAATAAATAAAGGGATAATATTTTATAACCAAGTGGAATTCATTTCAGTAATGAAAGACTTTGTTTAAGATTTGAAACTCAGACAAAGAAGAAAAGCTGTATGATTAATTTCAATTGATGTAGATAAAATCCTTTAATAAAATTCAGCATTTATTCATATAAAAAGCTGTTTTTAACTCTTTTTGCTCGGAGCAAACTAGGATTAAAGGAAACTTCTCTAACCAGCTAAAATGGAACTCCAAAAAGTCAAGGGCTATGACTTAGTTATTATTTTGTTCAGTGTTTAATAGAGTCCCTATCATAAAGGTGAAACGAAGTTTGTGAAATAAATTCTTCCCAAATACATAAACAGTGCCAAATTTAAACCACAGATACACAAGTGCATGTGTGCATGTGTGTGCACACACACACGCATGCACAGAAACTGTGTTGAACATATAGATTCAATTACTCAACCAATGTTTATAAATATCATCAAGGAGTGATGACTCAAATGTAAGGAGATACGTGGTGTGTGTGTGTGTGTGATACAGTAGGAGTTTATTTATAGGGCAAGATTTGATTCTGTGAATACTTTATCTTGAAGATTTAGATTGTTAAAAAAAATAAGTATTTCTCTAGTTTTCAAAAAATGCCATGATATGTTTTAGAAAGCTGATATAATATCTTTGAATAATTTGGAACAGGTTGGTAAAGGGACAAAAACCATGTAGAGTTTTATTCTAGGTGTTACGATCTGGGTCTCAATGACAGTAGATTTGATGTAAATGGATAGATAAGAAAAACACATTGGCAATCTTTGTTTCTTCAATTTCATGAGGTAAATCAATCAGGCTATAAGAAAATATTTGTTTTCAAGGAAGAAGAGGAATAAAAAATCATTCATTTAAAATAATTATTTTGTTCTCTGGCAACAGCTAAATTCAGCCATAGCAACTGAAATAATAAAGTATGTATTCATTTATTTATATATTAGTTTAAACAAATATTTGTATTTATACACATGCATATTTCTATTAATTTTTGTATCTTTTATCGCAGAGTATACATGTACTAATAACATTTATTAGACCCGACATCCTATATTTTACCCAATAAATGTTTTGGCCTTAAAGATACTTAAGATAGTCACACACAAGTAATTAATTTAATGACCAAGCAGGGTTACTTGTGGCAAAGAACTAAACAGTCTTGTTTACTCTAGATCTATCTTTGCCAGCCAGGATATATTTTCTAAGCTTACTGAACATTTAATGTGGTGTGGTTACGAGGAACAGCTGTTTGTTTTTTTTGTTTGTTTTTTTGTTTTTTTTTTAATGAACATACTTACAGTGAATTATATTATGGACCAAAGGTCTGCATCCCACTGAAAGGGCAGATGGATAAATGTTTGGTTTATGTTACCAAAAGGAGAAATGTTTCTGAATTCGATATTTCAGTTCACCTTATCATCAACTAGATAAAACTCCATATGCCTTAAGGTAATACCTTGATGGAGCTCTACTTAGCCTTCCGTCTTTCCTGTTCATTATTTTAAATTATGCTCACAAAGTAAATATAGATTTATAATTTATTTTTAAGGGTCAAGTGTAGAAGTTGAGTCTTTTTATAATTACATTGCTAGCTTATTTAATTATTCTTGAAATGTATTTTCTCTATTAAGGAAGCCAAGGGAAGGTAGAAAAATAAACATAAACATACAAAGCTGTAAGGAATTATGGTACTGTGTAAGCTTCAGACAGTGAAAGAAATCTTATAGAAATTTGTCTGAATCCAGAATCATAAGGCTCTCCATAATATTTCTTGGTTTGTTTATTTTTGCCTACACACCTCGTTGCACAAAAAAGTGTGCTAATAATGAGATGGCGAGATCCGGGATTGTGTGATGTTCATATGGTTTACACAGCAGAGGCAGCTGTTGGTGCCAATTATGTAGCAATAAGCTTGAGCAGCTGCCAAAAGAATGAAAACCAAATTTGACTTAAAAGCAAGTGAGACATGATGCTCTGAAAGCTTCTGTCTCCCAGGACAAGTAGATGCCTGTCTATATATATTAGATAGTAATTGGAGCCATTAAATCAACAGACAAAGACACTCTGTCTTCACATATGATCATTTCAGTCATAATAAGATCAGGATCTTAAATTTCTAACTTAAAAAAATTCTATAGACTTTACAAATGGCTCACAAATGTATGATTTAAATGTCTGGGCCCATTTATACAAAATCACCATGCTGAATATACACACAAGAGATAGCCAAACATACAGTCTGCCTCACTTATAATAAAACATAGCCACCTCTTTAGTGGAATTAAGCAGATGTTTAAAATTTTTCAAAACATTTTCAATATGACTTAAGACAGGAAATGAAGAAAATTATATCCAATTTAAGCTCTAGGAAGTATGCAGACAGGCTATAATCATCTATTATTAAGGCAACTAGTGTAAAGGATAGCAAACATCTATCCAGAAAGAAGATTTCTTGCATTGGCGGAGACTTTTGAATTGCAGTGACATGACAAATGAGGAATCCTTTTATGTTCTATGTTCATCTATCTCTTTTTGAGGTCTAGTCTTTTCATTCATTCATTTATTTTTATAAATTTAAACTTTGTTAGATACTGAAAGAAATCCAGTTTTGATAACTAGTAACAAGGGATTTTAGTCTGTTTCAGATGAGAAGCACAAATGAGAAAAATAAAAAAGATAAAATATTCAGAGAAGGAATGTAGCCTGAATAATAGATGGTATATTAAGAAATAGCCATTAATATAATATATTCCTATATCTGTAAGTTAGGGAAAATATTAGGTATTCAAAATGTCAAATTCTACTTATGGTGTAAAAAGAGAACAGCTTTATGTTTTTCATTTTTGATATTAAATATTAGCCTCTGTGACTTTCCAATTCTTATGTAGTTGAGAAAGACCACAATCAGATGGTGTATATTTGTTGTCCTTGAAATGCACCTATCTACCTCTCCGGGACTGGACAGCTTTGAGGACTTTTGGTCTTAACTACTTTAAAGTATTGAAAGTAAGAAATTGTGCTGCAAATGCTGAACAAAACTTTTTCTCAGGGGTTTTCCAGAGATAGGAGTTTTGCCACAAGGAGGCCTTCATTTTCTATATTCTGGCTCTTGAACTGATAAACCGCCAGCCTTTGCCACTTACAAGATTCCTGAGAGTAGTTGTTTACCTGCTATAGGCATTGACAACTTATTGGCTAGTAAGGCCCTGACAAAAGAGAAACAAACCAAGATTGCTATCACTTAAGTTACTCCGGCAGCTAAAGCAGCAAGCCGACCGACAATATAAGTAAACAAATTAATAATAATAGCAAATCCAAGAAGACCCATTAGCCAAGTGAAAAATACAAGCAAACTGTGCGAGTTAGAAAAATCCTAATAAAATAGGACAGCGAGGTGAGAGAGTACACATTAAAGAAAAATAGTGAGAACACTAAAGAAAATTCAAGTGTAGCACAACTAAAACTTCTGGAACTGGGGAAACAGCTATAAAAATAATAGCAAGCAAGATTTGGGAACCAAAACAAAAAAGAAACCAATAGTTGAAGGAAAGGCTAGTCACCTTTATTAGTGGCTTGGAATAACAAGTAGAAGAAATAACTCAAAACAGACCACACTATAAGGAAATTGACATTGAGATTAAAAAAAAAAAGACATAAAAAGATTAGAGATGCGTAACTCCCAAAAAGAGAAAAATAAACAGATGGAGCACAACGATTAGGGAAATGATAAAATGTGTTTTTCTTATGTAATAAAAGTCTTGAGTCTGCAGACTGAAAATGTTCATTAAGTACTAGCATGGGTTAATAAACCTAGTTATTTTCTGATTGAATTCCTGAATGTACAAGATTCCAGACAGAAATAGCTGGTTATTTACTGTGATTGCTATTAGAACTGTTTATGTATATTTTGATTCTCCTTCTAGGCACATGGCAGAATTAAACATTCTTACCCCATTTGAAGTTAGGGTGGCTATGTAACCTTCTTTGTCCAGTGAAATATAAACAGAAGTGATGAGTATCAGGTATGGCTGGAAGCTAAAACCAGTGCATAACTTACTATACTTATGTCCTTTAGCTGTGGTGCCTTTGAAACCGTGTCTTAAGAGCTTTCATCAGCCTGCATCTCTCTGGTAAGCAGGGCCCCTGCCAACCCATACACTTACCCACATAGATACTAAGAGCGAGTGTATAAACATGTACCTTATTAAGGTTTTGGTCCTGGGAGGTGTTTGGTAATGTGGCATAATCTAGTCGATTTTGTCATGTCCATTGCTCCATAGAGCAATGGAACCTAGATAATGGTAGGATAACATCTGCAAATTACCACAGAAAATAATCTTTACCCAGTCATTAGGGAGTTACAAACCGTATGCAATGACCTGACTCCTTGATAAAATACATGGATAATGGACTTTTCCCTCTACGATTAGGTTATATACACACAAAATTACTTAAATTTTATACAAGGCTGAGAAATGTTCTATTCTTTTTCTAACTTGGAGTTGGATTGTTATTTTAAATAGGATTTTGAGACATGAAAAGTGAAAATTCAAAGAAAGAAACTATCTTACTTGAAGTTAAGATATCAACTATATAATTTGCACTATTAACACACCCTACAGTTTACAAGTCTGACAGTCTCACCGTCTCAGAAACAAATAATAAAATTTAAAACACATGTATCTTTATTTTAAAAGCTGACATGTACTCACATACTTGTTGATAATATTATTGGCATGTAATATTCCATGTTATCATCTATTATGTGTTTATTGTCTTTTAATTAAAAAAATTATTATTTAAATATGCCTCAAATGACATACCTCATTTGAACTTTACATGACAATTAAAAGTGAGATATTAATTTATACAATGTATAATTGATAGATTTTTTTAAAACTGGGGCTATTGTAACAATGCTGCTATTTATCCAAACCCATAAAACTTCTCTGGGAGAGAATTATTGCAATAAAGTGTGAGGTTCTTCAATTTATTAGATGATGCCAAGCTGTTTTAAAATGTCATGCCAATTTATACTACCACCATTAGTGTGTGACAGTTTCCATTGCTCCATATAGTTAGCAAAAAGTTTTAAGATGTTTATATATTTGGCACTGTAGCGAATACATGCAAGTATCTTCTTTTGGTTTTAATTTGTATTTACTTGATTACTTATGAGTTTGAAAATCTTTTCGTATTTGTACTGACCATTTGGACTTATGTTTCACCAAGTCCCTGTTGCATATTTTAGTCTAGTTTCTGATTCATTTTTTTTAAATCGATTTACAAAATTTTTGTATTTTTAAGTTTGGATATTAATCTTTTTGATTACATTTGTTATAATATTCTTCCAGATTGTGACTTGAATTGTCATTTTACTTATTGTTTAATAATGTATTTATTCATAGTATTTAACTAACCAGTTCATGTGTCTTGCTAACAAATATGTTTTACTCATTATTAACCAATTTTCTTATAACTTAACAGTTTTCTTTTTCACATTTATTACTTTTTTTTTTTAAGTAGAGAAATAAAGAATAAAGTCAGGATGGAAAGGAAGCCATTATTAAACTCCTTACCTAACAGTCACCAATGTGGTAACTGAAATTTAATGCTAGTAAGAAGCTTTGGATACAATGAAGGTGTGTGCACCATCTGTTTTTACCTGAGGGTTGGAGAAGTTGAGTATGTACCCACTATCTCCTGTAGGCAATTGTTTAAGGGTAATAACTGGTATGTGTGTATATGTGCACATCTGTATGTGTATGTTTAATTTTCGGCCTCATCTGGCAGCATACAGTGTTTTGGCAGCCAGTAAAAGACCTCAGACAAAAAAAAATGTAGGAATTATCCATCAGAAGTAGAGCCAGTGTATACTGAAATGAAAAGGATTACTGGGTATGGGTAGAGAACCAACAGCATCTGCTGTAATATGTTAGGCAGCATTGTGCTATTGAAACCAACCTGATAGTCCCATAGACTGTTCTGGATAAAAATAGAAATTGACCTTTCTGATTTTAAAGTTTGAAGCTTACATTTGTTTTATCTGAGTTCCTTCCTCAAGAAAGGACCTTCAGGCCCCTCAAAAAAGGTATCAAAGAACTGAAACTCACCAGATCACCACGTCCTGACAATGAGATGCCTGACCCCTCATTAATCATGATTGCATCCATGCCCCTCCCTACTTCCGTTTTCTTACACATTGTTACATTTCTTTCCTGTTATATAAACCCCTAGTTATAGTTGATCAGGGAGATGGATTTGAGATTGAGCTTCCACCTGCTCAGCTGCAGCACCCAATTAAAACCTTCTTCAGGCCCAGCCACGGTGGCTCACGCCTGCAATCCCAGCACTTTGGAAGGCTGAGGCGGGTGGATCACCTGAGTTCAGGAGTTTGCGACCAGGCTGGCCAACATGGTGAAACCCCATCTCTACTAAAAATACAAAACAAAATTAGCTGGTCATGGTGGTAGCTGCCTGTAATCTCAGCTACTCAGGAGGCTGAGGCATGAGAATTACTTGAACCCGGGAAGGGGAGATTGCAGTGAGCCGAGATCGTGCCACTGCACTTTAGCCTGGGTGACAGAGTGAGACCCCATCTGAAAAACAAAACAAAACAAAAACCTTCTTCCTTGGCAATACTGGGTGTCTTAGTGCTTGGCTTTCTGTGTGGTGAACTGCAGGACCTAGACCAAAACCCTGGCGTTTTGGTAACACTGTCATCTATGTAGCTTAACCTTTAACCTTTTTTTTTTTTTTTTTTTTAAATGTTTTGCAGCCTGTTTCAACCCAAATAGTATTCTGGACAATTTCCTTTTTTTATCCATACCTTGGCTAACTCTCTTTTCAGCTGAGCTTAAATTTTAGTGAGTTTGTCAATTGAATGAGAGTTATTTTTTTCTTGTATTTCTGGTTTCCCATACCGTGCAAATATTTTTAAGATTTTTTTTTTATCTCTTTAAACATGGTAGGCAAAATGATATAAGCTGTGATAATAGTGTTATGTAAAGTCTTTGAGAGTTTTTTGTTCTTTCTCTCATCCTCTCTTTGTTGTGAATCATGGTCTCTTTTATTTATTGTTTCTTGTTCAGAGTGTTTTTATGTCCTTGTGTTTTAAATGATTTTATGTTTTAATATGAGCTGCCCATTTTTGCCAGAAAATTACATTATTGTGATAATCTTTGGAATATGAGATGAAGATGTGTTCATTTAGAGAAGATTATTTTATATCCTAAAAAACACTTGGGATATTTTGTTGTTGCTGTTGTCATCTGAATTACATCTTGAAATCTTTAGGAATAATGACTCATTCACATTTGGCTTCCATAACTTTAAAAAGGCTGTGCTGTGCTTACAAACTTCCATATGCATATTCCAAACTTCTCGGTGTACTTATCAATACTATGCCTCATCATCTGTTGTCGACTTAGATTCACCAATAGCATCTTCTAAAGTCTCTTCTATGCACAGAAGAGAAGCTGGAAACCATATTTTTCATAATCCCCTTTCCTGTGTGATATTCAGAATTACATGGAGTCTGGAAAGTAGAAGAGAGGGAGAAGCTATTATTTTCCAAAGGCAGTTGCATCCTAATGTGAGATTTACTTTGGCTTCCTGGCAATTTCTTGAGAACCAACTGTTTTGCTGCTGCTCACTGAGGCAATTGAATATTTTTCTATATTAGTTTGCTGGGCTTCCCTAACAAAATTCACAGAATGACTAGCTTAAACAACAGAAATTTATTTTGTCACAGTTATGAAAGTTGGCAGTCTAAGATCAAGGTGCCAGCAGAGTTGTTTTCTCCTGAGGCCCCTCTCCTTGGCTGGCAGATGGCCGCCTTCTCACTGATAGGTCCTTACATGGCTGTCCCCCTGCACCCCAGGTGCCAATCTGTACATCCTAATCTTGTCTTCTAAGGACACCAGTAAAATTGAATTAGGGCCACATACGGGCTATCTGCCTTATTTTAACTTAGCTACCTCTTTAAATGCCCTATTTCAAAGTATAGTCACAAAGGGAGGAAACTGGGACTGCAACATATGAATTGGGTGTGGAGGGTGGCACAATTCAGTCTACAATACTTTCTTTGAAATTCTTAGGAATTTCAGCGGCTTTCCCATGAGCTGTTGAGAACCATACACTTTAATGCTTCAGAAGGAGGCCTTCAGCGCATTTGCTTCATTGATTTTTTTTTTTTTTTTTTTTTTTGAGGCAGAGTCTCACTCGGTCACCCAGGCTGGAGTGCAGTAGCATGATCTCAGCTCACTGCAACCTCTGCCTCCTGGTTCAAGTGATTCTTGTGCCTCAGCCTCCTGAGCATCTGGGATTACAGGTGTACACCACCATGCCAGGCTAATATTTTGTATTTTAGTAGAGACCGCATTTCATTATATTGGCCAGGCTGGTCTCGAAATCCTGGCTTCAAGTGACCTGCCCATCTTGTCCTCCGAAAGTGCTGGGGTTACAGGCATGAGTCACTGAGCCCAGCAGCTTCCTTGACTTTTGACAGTGTTTCTTCGAACTGTGGTAGTGACTTACCTGATGTTTTCATCCCCAGTTCTGCCACAGTTATGAAAGCTCATAGTTTCTAGTTTAAAACCTGTAAACTGGAATATATTGTGGTTCTTCCCCACCCTCTCAATTCGCACTCTGTCTCTCTATTTTTCTATCTATCACTTATATTAGTTTGCTACGGCTGCCATACCAAATTCCGTAGACTGTGTGCTTTGTCAACAGGGTTGTTTTCTTCTAAGATCCTTTTCCTTGGCTTGTAGATGGCCATCTCCCCGTGTCTTTACGTTGTCTTCCTTTTGTACCTGTCTCTTCAAATTTCTTATTCTTATAAGGACACAAGCCATATTGGATTTGGGCCCACTGTAATGAACTCATAACTTAATTACCTCTTTAAATACTTTATCTCCAAATACAGTCACATTCTGAGGTATTAGGTTGGTGAAAAAGTCATTGAGGCTTTTCCCATTAACAGTAATGGCAAAAACTGCAATTACTTTTGCACAAACCTATAATACTTTAGGGCTTCAACATATAAATTTTGGGGGCATACAATTCAGCCCATTATTCTATTTATCTATCTGTCTATCTATCTATTAATCATCCATCTATCTAATTGCTAAATTATTTGAAAGTAATTTCTAGATATCATGATGCTTTATATGTAAATATATAGCATATGTTCTGAAGAAATAATAAGAACTTTCTTTTACATAACCAGAGCTCATTTCTTTTTTCTCTTCTTGTCTCTTTTCTTCATTTTCTTTATTTCCTTTTCCCTCCCTCCCTTCCTTCCTCCCTCCCTCCCTCTTTCCCTCCCTCCCTCCCATCCTTCCTCTCCTCCTCCTCCCTCTTCTTTCTTCTTCTTTTTTTCTTTTCCTGTCTCTCTCTCTGTCTCTCTCTCTTCCTCGCTCTCTTTATTTCTTAGCCTTGTCTTAGTTTCGGCTGATATAACAAAGTACCATTGACTGAATGGCTATAAGTAACAGAAATTTATTTCACACAGTTCTGGAGCCTTAAAGTCTAAAATCAGAGTACCAACGTGGTTGGTTTCTAGTGAAGGCCCTCTTCTGAATTGCTGACTATTGATTTTTCATTGTATCTTCACATGGTGGAAAGAAGCTAACTAGCTCTCTGGCCTCTTCTCATAAACTCACTAATTCTATCCATGAAAGGTCTATCTTCACGACCTAATTACCTTCCTAAGGCCTCACCTCCAAATACTATCACATTGGAATTAGGGATTCATTTTGGGCAGACACAAATATTCAGTCCATTGTAAGCATCTAATTAGATTTCACACAGTGCATTGTACTGTTTTTGTAATTTATTTGAATCTGAAAATTTTTCTACTTTTTTTATGATATTGACTCTTTGTACTGTTCTCAACTTGTAACTTATATGTCATTTTAGATTTGTCCAATTATTTCATTTTGTCATTAAACATATTACCTATTTTTAAATTTTCTGTAAACTAAAGTTTATAGAGGTTTTCTGCTTTACATTAAATTGTGTGTATAACTTTCATATTTAGTTCTGGACCTTTGTGGTAGATAGAATTCAAAGATTGCCCTTAGAATCTGTCTTAGTACCTATGGGCTGCTGTAACAAACTGCCATAAACTAGGTGTCTTATAACAATGGAAATATATTTCTCACAATTCTGGAGGCTGGCAAGTCCAGGATCAGGGTACCAGCATGACTGGGCTGTGGTAAAGGCTGCAATACCTGGTTCTTGGCACCTTTTTACTGTGTCCCCACAGGATGGAAGGAATAAGCTAGCTGTCTGTGGTCTCTTTTATAAGAGCACTAGTCCATTAATGAAGGCTTCACACTCATGACCTAAAAAAAGGCCCTGCTTCTTAGTATCATCATCTTGGGTGTTAGGGTTTCAACGTATGAGTTTTGGGGGGACACAAACATTCAAATCATAGCAAAATACCTACCTATCATGTATGTTTCTTGTATAGTCCCTTTATCTTAAATGTAAGTGGAGCATGTGAATATGATAGGATCCTTGTTTCTTGGATTAAGTTATGTTCATATGGCAAATGATGGTGAGATAATTTCTCCTATGATTATATAACCTTATATAGAACTCCATTATAGTGACTGGAAGAGGATTTGAAGTCAGAAATACTCACTCCTATTGGCTTGAAAGAGACACACGCTCATATTGTGTCTTGCCTGTGCTGGTCATGTGTCAAAGGACTAAAGGTGGTCTCTGGAAGCAGACAGTGGTTATCAGAAAACTTGGGATTACAGACATAGATCTACGAGGGAATGATTCTGCTGAAAACTGTGTGCTTGGAAGAGGATCCTGAGCCCTAGAAGAGAACTGAAGCCCCAGCCAACAACTTGATATCAGCCTAGCAAGATCCTGAGTAGATGACCCTGTGAACTCACACTCTGACTTCTTTGTGATATGGATAGGAGGCAGGGAAATACTGGGAAGAAGAGGACAGGGTCGCTGGCAAGGGCTTCACCCTCAAGCCTGGACTCTCCGCCCAAAGTGAGAACTATCTCTGTTTTCCCACCCGAATGTTGCCTTTTGGGCAGCCCTATCCCCATCCTGTGCCCATAAGAACTCCAAACCCAAGATGCAGTGGACAAACACACACACACACACACACACACACACACACACACACACACAGAATAGAAAAGCATCTGAACATTGACAGGCGAAGAAGCAGCTGGATGTTGGAGACTACAGCCAGAGAAGAATTTGGCTGGGGACGGTTGGAGAGGAGCTTGGCCTGAGATGGCCAGACCCCAGGGGAAGATTATCCTCCTGCTCCACCCTGGTTCCAGCTCCTCTTCCCACTGAGAGTCACTTCCAGCACTCGATAAAGTCCTCTTCAATTCATTCGTTTGACTTGATTCTTCTTGCTGATGGACAAAAACCTGGGTACCAAGAGGGCAGGGTGTAAAAGGCTGTCACCTTGTCCCTCCACTGAGCTGGTTAACACTTAGCCATCCATGGACCAGAACGCAAATGCTAAAAGAAAACTGATTGTAACACATCCCCTCTGGGGTTCCAGGGTCACAGACACTCTCTCCCAGACAGCACAGCTAAAAGAGCATTGTAACATGTTTGGACGCTGCTGCAGGGCTCACACAGAGCCTGCTCCTGCGAGAGAGGAGCAACCAGCTGGTTCCAGCATTAGTTCCCTCTGGTTCCCACACCCGTCTTCTCCTGTGCTCCCTCTCATAAGGGATTGAGCACAGCAGCTGAGTAAATGAGCCATGCCCTTCACAAGTCCCGAGAAGGGGTCAAGGGAACCCTCTCATCTCACTTGGATCATGGAAAATGTGAGATAATGTCTTAGTCCATGTGTGCCTCTATAATAGATTATCTGAGACTGGGTAATTTACAATTAACAGAAATTTATTGGTTCACAGTTCTGAAGGCTGGAAAGTCCACAAAGGTGACAGCATTCTATGAGGACCCTCTTGCTGTGTCATCACATGACTGAAGGTTAAAGGTCAGGAGAAGGAGCCCAGTCCCAAAGCTCATTATTTTTGTGGCCAAAGCAAAATAAGTATTTTATTTCTTAGGTGTTTTTTTTTTCCCAATTAAATCTCTTAAATTTCTTCTTGACTCTTTGTAACAGCTAAGGAAATGTAACAGGTAAGCAAATGAAAAAAGATACAATGTAACTTAAGTAGCAATATTAAAGTTGTATCAAGGCATAGACACCTATAGAATTTTGAACAAAAGATAAATGGCAGAGGTTTAGGTCTGACACTATTTAACTGATTTTAACTACCCACTGGTGGAAAAAAAAAATGAAAGGATCCAAAAAAAAGTATGGATATTTTCCACAGAGTTCTGAAATATTTCTTTCATTCCTGATAGCAGAACCCTCATGAACTAAACACCTTCCATTAGGCCCTCCATTCCTACTTGGCCCCATCTTCCAGTAATTTTACATTATCAATTAAATTCCAACATGAATTTTGGAGGGTTCAAAATGAACTAAACACCTTTCATTAGGCCCTCCATTCCTACTTGGCCCCATCTCATGAACTAAACACCTCATGACTAAACACCTTCCATTAGGCCCTCCATTCCTACTCGGCCCCATCTTCCAGTAATTTTACATTATCAATTAAATTCCAACATGAATTTTGGAGGGTTCAAACATTCAAACCATAGCAGATAATAAATTTGTGTTGTTTTAAGCCAGTGAGCATGGTAATCTGTTACACAGCATTAGAAACCAAGACAATTTCTTTTCAGATTAGGCTGTTTGGCAATGTCTGGATATATTCTGAATAGTCAAAATTTGAAGGGGGTTCCTATTTGCATTTAGTGCATAGAGGCCAGAGATGCTGCTAAACATCCTCTAATGCACAGGAAAAACCCTCTGACCACAGGATTTTGCAGCCTCAAAGTGGATAGTGCTAAGGTTAAGAAACCCTGCTGTGGTAGGCTATTTTGTTAAAATTATCTCCAATTGGAAGAGGAACACTAAATTAGAGTGAGAATCCTGAGAATATAAATAATTTTCTGGGAATAAGTTAAGAATTTTCATGAACCAGATAAAATTTATTTGGCATACTAGGATATTATTAAATACTACATAATTAGTAACGTTATTCTCAGAGCTGCCAAACTGAATCTGCTACTTCTTACATATAAGAATTAAGTTTTAAGGTAAGTTTTGATATTTATAAGAAATTCCTACCCACATGAGATAATCAAAGATCTTATAGTTTAGAACATTTTGCTCATGAGGTGTAAACTATGTGAATTGTTCTTCGACTTTTACTTTTTGGAAATACTTTTTTAAATTTTGCAGGGGCACAATGGAGACATTTAATTGGTAGGACTAATTCAATATTTGTCTTCTGAACTTCCTTCATATGCCGTTCCTTTTCTATCAGAAAGCTTCCGAGGTTGCTGGCAGAATATCTGTTTATAAAATCTGATGCATGCCACAGGATTCCAGTATTTGTGGTGGCAAGAACACAAAGAGTAAAGATTATCATACCTTTTCTAATTCCAAAACAAAAAAAATGTTTCAGAACCTCAGAGACTTAAAAACTGGATGAAACATTCTGTAATAATATATAAATAAAAGCTAGAGCTGGTAATATACTGAAGCTACTTATAACTGTTGGACATGATAAATTAAGCATTAAATAAATGCAAGTTTGGAGCCCTTTTTATTTCAGTGCTGCTCTTGAGTTGTTGATACTCGGCAGGACTCTAGTATTATCACATGTTCTTTGAGGAGAATTTTAAACAACATAAAAATATTCTAAAGGCACAAAATTTCTCTAAGTTACTTCCAGCTGCCAGTCAATGAGATCCCACAATGCAGATCCTTTGCTGTGAATTCCAACATATCCTGCTGACATGAACCATCAGGACATTTAACAGAGAACAGACAAATGAATATTGTGACAAAATTGCAAAACCGTGTGGAATATCAAGGTTCATTTATTTACACAGGTGAAAAACAATATAGAGAACCCGATCCATATTATTCACAACCTTCTGCCTGGAATGAGCCTTTGCTAGCATTAGGATTATAAAATAAGATCTCCTTATTTTCTAAGTCATAGTCTCAAAGTTCTACAAAGACAAATTTGTCATGTTTTGTGGCTACTCCTTATTTATAATTAGACTAGCCTTCAAGAAAAATGCAACTGCAAATAGCAAGTAACTAAATAAATATGAAGTTTTATCCAGAAGTGACTTCCCTAATAAGCTCAGGAATCTCAAATTTTCAATGAATATGAAGAATCAAATGATCTACCAAAGTACAAAACCACATGTTAGTATATTCGTACATTAATAATATGGGCAGGCACACATAATACTTATTGTAAGTCAGATACAGCTCTGATGGCTGTCTTTAGATAGTAACTTGTTTAATCCTCACAGCAACCTTATGAGATAAGCCCTATACTCATCTCCATTTGACAAATGAGAGAACAGAAGCAGAGTTTAAGTGACTTTAGGAAGAAGTACAACCAGTAAAGGAGTTAGCAAATATTCAAAGCAGAGCCCTCACTCTTAACTACTTCAAGTGGTTAATCTCCAAGTTTCTATTTAGTCTTTAGTCAAGCATTCATTTAGTTTTTATCCTTGGAAGCACCCTGTGCTGGTTGCTGGCATAGAGATAAATATAAAAGACATGTAAATCAATAAATCACATTTTAATGTGTGTTGTGATGTGAACACAATGAAGGGATTATCACTTGCCAAGTAACAAAAGGGAAAACAAGAAGCAGTTAGGTTAATGGTAAACAGTTCTATGTATTTCAACTTCCTATTGTAGTATAGCCTTTGAACACATTGACATTGTAATTATATTCATAATGAAGACCTCCAATTGCCAAAGATTGAATGTATGTTCAGAGAAGTTTGCTTAAGAAAGAAGGCATATAGGCAGTGTATTTACAAACTTTTATTATAGATAGTTTACCTGTTTTGAAATAAATACTTATTTTTTTCCATCACATTGAAGTTATTTTTTTGTGGTTACTTTGGAGGTTATTGTATGCATTTTAACTTAGAATTGACTTCAGATTTATACTAATAATTCTAGTGAGATATAGAAATGCTACTTCTATATAGCTCTACTTAATCTTTCCATTTTTGTCTTACTGTTATTATATCTATTACATCCATACATGCTACAAAGCAAATAATGCATTGCTATTAATTTATTTTTTTGTCTACTATGGAAGCTGAGAAAAGAAATAAGGGCAAATATAGATAGATAGATAGACAGACAGACAGACAGACAGACAGACAGACAGACAGATAGATAGATAGATAGATAGATAGATAGATAGATTTTTAGATATTTACATTTTACTTACCATTTCTGGTTCTCTTTATTTCATTCCTGGTTCCTGTTCCCACTGACCTTTATGCTCCATGTTTTTTTGTGGTTACTCTAGAGATTATCATATACACTTTAACTTAGAATTGACATAATAAACATGTTATATTTTATATCTAATAGGCCAAACAGTATAATTCTATACATAGTGTTTTATACAATTGCTTTTTAAATGAATTAAGAGAATAAATAAAAAATGCATTTATATAGCATTTTATAACTACAGAAGTACCTATAACAATGTTCCTTATTTTTTGTATAGATTTGAATTTCATCTAGATATACTTACTTACAAACCAAAGAACTTTCTTTAGTATTTCTTTTAAGTCTTGTCTGAAATTATAAGAATGTCTCAGTGAGACAGCCTAGTATAAAGGGGTCCCCAGAGAACCTCTGACTGGCCTGCTCACTGTGAGAATGGGGTGGAACCACGGAAGTTCCTGCCATTTGCTCAGGGGAGGAGCCTGGCCCCTCCTGTTCTAGTGTGGGAACCTCGGATTCAATCTGTGAGATGAGGGACTGCTAAAGGAACTCCTCTCTTGCTTTGCTGTGTTGCTTTTCCTTGTTCCTTTTGCCCAGTAAATTCTGTTATTCCCAACCCTTCCATGTGTCCACAAGCCTAATTTTTCCTGGTCATGTGACAAGAACCCAGCTTTCAGATGAACTAAGGAGAAAGTCCTACAACATCAGTTTTTGTTTATCTGAGAATATTTATCTGAAAGATAGTGTTGCTGGATGTCAGATTCTTGGTTGACAATTTTTTTTTCTCAGCACTTTGAATACATTATTTTGTTATATTTTGGCCTTCAATGTTTCTGATGAGAAATCAACTCTTAATCTTTTCAGGTTTCCCTCATAAGTGATAAATAATTTCATTTTTCCATTTTTAAGATTTTGTCCTTATTTTAAACTTTTCATATCTGTGTTATAATATGTCTGGGTGTGGATCTCTTTGTATTTATCCTATTTGGAGTTTGTTGAGATTCTTGGGTATGTAGGTTGATGATTATCTGCAAATTTGCGAAGTTTTCAATCATTATTTCTTTGAATATCTTTTCAGTTGTTTTCTCTATCTCCTTTCTTTATAGTGTTTCCATTATACTATGTTGGTTCACTTAAAGTATAGCACATTTTTCTAAGTTCTGTTCATTTTTCTTCATTCTATTTTCTCTTTGTTCTTCAAATTGCATAATCGCCATAGATCCAGCTTTGAGCTTGCTTATTATTTTTTCTGCCATTTAAAATCTACCATTGAGCCAGGTGTGGTGGTGTGTACCTGTAATCCCTGTTCCTGAGGTGGGAAGGTAGCTTGAGACCAGGAGTTAGAGACCAGCCTTGGCAAGATGTTGATATTCCTGTATCTAAAAAAGAAAAAAGAAAATCAAAATAAACAAATAAAACAAAATAAAACAAACAAACAAACAAACAAAAACAAAAAACCCACTCATTGTTGAGCTTCTCTAATGATTTTTTTTTAAATTTAAATTCATGGATTTTTAACTCCAGAATTTTTATTTTCTTCTTTTTTATAATTTCTATTATGTACTGATATTTTGTATTTGATGAGACATGTCAGGGCTCCCAATGACTGTCTCTTTTCCTGATCTATCTGTTACCACATGTATTTCATTTGGTATTATACCCCACATGTTAGGCTCCCCTAATTGCTGGATGATTGCTCTAAGTTTTCAACAATGCCCTGATGTATAAATTACTCAGCAGTCAGATGAATTAAATTCAAGTACAGGTAATTTTTAAGACCAATCTTAGAGATTTGTTTTGACTTTATAGGGCTCTTCTTTGCTGTGTATTTTCCTCATTATTTTTGGTAAACTGGATGATCTTTGGTTTAGCTTGTTGCTCTTGTGCACCCTGAATATCTGAGACAGGTCTCAGTTAATTTAGAAAGTTTATTTTGCAGAGGTTGATGATGCACACCTGTTACACAGCCTCAGGAGGTCCCGATGACATGTTCCTAAGATGGTCGGGGCAAAGCTTGGTTTTATACATTTTTAGGGAGACATTAATGAAAATATGTAAGATATACATTGGTTCTGTCCAGTAAGTTGGGACAACTAAGCAGGGAGAGGGCTTTCAGGTCACAGGTAGGTGAGAGAAAAACTGTTGCATTATTTTGAGTTTCTGATTAGCCTTTCCAGTGGAGGCAATCAGATACGCATTTATCTCGGTGTGCAGAGGGATGACTTTGAACAGAATGGGAGGCAGGTTTGCCCTAAGCAGTTCCTGGCTTGACTTGTCCCTTTAGCTTAGTGACTTTTAGAGCCCCAAGATTTATTTTCCTTTCACACTCTTAATTGAGAAAAGCTATTTATTTCAAGAGATCCCTTAAGAATGAACTTCTTCACACTCTATTTCAAATAATGTCAGTTCCATAAAGAGAGTTTTGGATCTTTTTGTTTTTGTGAACTTCCTCTCTCTCTGAAAATTCTCTGGGCCACTACTCTGTGTGCTATATGTGATAGTAGCCTCTGATCCTCTTGGATTGCCTCTTCCAGGAGGGACTTCTGCCTTAAGAAGAAATGTTGGTGCCCTGACCCTCCCAGTGACATATGGTAACCTTTTACAGGAAGATAAGGAGAGAAGAAGTTCTGTTTCCTTGGCCACACCCAACTACACGTAGTCTCCTTTAAGCTGAGCTGAGTGGCGAGAGGGAGGTAGGCAAAAGGCTGTGGTTCAAAAGTCAAAGACTCTTGCTATTCTTACAGAATTTTGGAAGATTTTTTAAGTGAATATTTCCACTTGTTGTATATGCCCTTAGCACAATTTCCAGAGAGTTTATTTAATTTTTTTGTGTTCAACAGTTTTGTTCATTTCTTTATGGAGAGCTTCTGCAGAGTTCCTCATGCTGCCATTCTAGAAGTGAACTCTAAATACTTAATTTTAAAAGATACTTTCAGTTATCTTAGTATTTCATTAATGTAAGGAACAATGTCATTCCTCAATAATACAAAGTAAATGAGGTACATTCATTGATGTTTAGAGTCAATTTAAGAATAAACTGATGGCATTACTCTTGGTCAAAAGATAAAATGAAAGACACTATAACTCTCTAATCTAGAGATTAGTAGTACTTGGGTCAGATATACACAAGTCTCATTTATAAGTTCCACAATACATGCTTGAAAATGTATTTCTTGGCTTGTATTATAATTGTTTTTTTTTTTTTTTTTTTTTTTTTTTGAGATGGAGTCTTACACTGTTGCCAGGATGGATTACAGTGGTGTGATCTTGGCTCACTGCAACCTCTGACTCCCGGGTTCAAGTGATTCTCCTGCCTCAGCCTCCCGAGTAGCTGGGATTACAGGCACGCACCACCACACCCTGCTAATTTTTGTATTTTTAGTAGAGACAAGGTTTCACCATATTGGCCAGGATGATCTCAATCTCTTGACTTTGTGATCTGCCCGCCTCGGCCTCCAAAAGTGCTGGGATTACAGGTGTGAGCTTTAACTTCCTCTCCTCACCCTCTCCCCCATCCCACAGAGTTATTTTGTTTCAGAATATTGAAATTTCTTAAACTTCACCAGTATCATTATAATAATATTATTATTACATTTATTGTCAGAATTTCAAATATAATTTCTCCTTCTCCTGGGCAGAGCACCAAGAAGATTGGTTTAATTTGCTGGGTGACTGGATTAGTAAATATTTATTTGAAATTGATTCATTCTGTGAACATTAATAGATACCGACTTTGTGTCAGTTACTGTTCTAAGCACAGGAGTTGAGAAAACTCAATACGCAATGGGGTATTATTCTGACTCCGTAAATTTACCATATAATCTAATGACCACAGAGGGCTTAGAGAATATATAAATGCAATAATATTCATCATGAAAAATAAATTTTTTTTTATGAGGTTAAGTTGGTTCACAAAGAACTGGGTGGCTAATTTTGTTTGGTCTGGAAAGATGCGGGACAGCTTCCCAGACTTGGTATATCTTGACATAGAAATTTTGTATTCTAGGAATAGTTGCAAAATACATGTAGTTTGAAATGAGCAAGTAGTTTCTTTTGACCAATATCTCAGAGGGATGGGAGCAAAACATGAAGTCAATAGCTCTAGAGAGCTAGGCAGGGACCAGATTGTGGTAACCTCTTCTCACTATGCTATCGATTTTTCACTTTATCGAGCTGGCAACAGGAGGAACTGAAAAGCTTGAAGTTGGAACCAAATGGATATCACATTTTCATTTTTCTTTAAAATTGTTGTTAGTTTTAGAAAGTTTTGTCTGCCAAATTTTGGAAGATGAATCAACTAGACTAGTTAAGAGACTATAATGATGGCATACTTAAGAGATAATTGCCTGAAATAAAATAGTACCAGTGGAGCTAAAACAGACAAGGTAGATATAAAAAGTTGTTAAGAAGGTAAAAGATAATAGGACTGGATCAGAAATTTATATACAGACTAAGAGGAATAAAATATTTGAAGACAAATTCTAGATTTTATGATTATGCAGCTTCATTGATGATGATGTAATTAAAGAGTAATGTGTTTTGGAGGAAAATTAATGCTTCTAGTTTTGGACATTGTGGTTTATTATACCCATGGAACACCAGTTAGCCCTGCCTGGTAGGTCATTACGTACATAAGTCTGAAGTGAAGGAGCAAGATCTGTGCTACTGATGTAGAAGTCATTCACATATAGGAACTAAAAAAGTCATGACAATGAAGAAAATCTCAGTTTGAAAATGTGAGATCTCAAAAGACAGAACTTTGTGGGAAAATGATATTTAAGGGGAAGGCAAAGATATTTCATTTAGGAGAGAAGTCTATCTTTTCTACATTAACAAATACATAAATTTATTTTTTAAGTTCACTAATTTAGTAATGATAAGTAAAGATTAACAGGCCTATTTCCTAGTTTGGTCTGATATAGACAATCTGAGTGATACATAAACAAGCAAATAATTCAGAAGGCCTTTATATAGAAACCATGCACATTTCATTAGAGAGACAAATTAATATAATAAGACATTCTTTTGGTAAGTACATATATGTTTTGATAACTAAATAGCTATTCTACAAGCTTTACTTTAGTGAATTAACACACATATCTAATGCATTTCCTAAGTCTCCAACTCAAAAATGCCTGAATTAATTCTCTTAGACAAAATAAAGCATATGTTGACTTTCATTTCTGGTCATTTATTAAACCACTGAAGATATATATTGTTTACATTTCAACCAGTGGTTTTACATTGGAGATAATGTATTTAAGAAATTAGGTGTCATTATATGAGGCCATATAATGAGGCAAACAAGCCTTTTTTATTTTTTCCAAATAATCATTTTTAGAGGATACTATAAACAAAAACATTAAAACATTTTGCCTATGTTCTAGGCCCCTGAAGTGTGTGAGGTTTCATGCTTGAAATACAGACTTAGCCATGCCACTTTACAATTCCATGACAATTCTTTCCTTCTCTTTCTTTTCTTTTCTTTCCTTTCCTTTCTTTCTTTCTTTCTTTCTTTCTTTCTTTCTTTCTTTCTTTCTTTCTTTCTTTCTTTCTTTCTTTCTTTCTTTCTTTCTCTTTCTTTCTTTCTTTCTTTCTTTCTTTCTTTCTTTCTTTCTTTCTTTCTTTCTTTCTTTCTTTCCTTTCTTTCTTTCGTTCTTTCGAGAGTTTTTTTTTCCCCACCTGCTTCTTTTTACTCATCTAGACGTTGAAATCCATGGAATGCAAGTGTCTTGGCTGCATTTGCAAATTTAATAGGAGAGTACACAAGATTTGATCCAGTTGTGTTTGATTCCAAGCCCCAGTCTTTTTCTTCTATAGCCCTATACCATCTTTCCAGGGAGTCTGGTTCTAGATAAACCCAGCATGCACAAATGGAAGGTATGTACAACTCTCCTCAAAAAAACCCTGGAAATCATCCAAAAAATATATTACATATAGTAATGAACCATAGACGCATTGATTGAGAAACCATGTGATTTCTAAATAATTCCAACACACTGAAATATATCCTCACTGTTCAAAAATCTAGTAGATTAATATTTGGGTTGTGCTTAGAGACTAGATAGGCACAAGTATAGATGTACATTTGCTTGTACATACATATGCATATACATACACATACACATAGGCATTAATATAAACATACAGGTATTTGGATATCTTTGTTGTCATTTTTACTAAATACAAATAATTAAATGTGCACAAGTTTATACCATTGTATTCTCTGCCAACTCCTGATTTTCCTCTGAGAAACTGCAGTTTATGTAAAAAATTTTCAAAATGAATTAATACACTATAAAAAGACTTTCTTGTTATTACCAAGTAGAAAGTGAATGTGAATAAGAAAAGAAACATAGAAAAATGTTTTTCCTATCAGACCTGTGTGGAAGTTCCCACTCTGTTTCTCACTGAAGCCCCTGCTCTGCTTCCTACTATTGACATGATATTGAGGCAGTTATTTTGAGATCAAGGTCTGTGTTATTATAACAACATTACCAGGGTTGGGCACAGTGGCTTATGCCTGTAATCCCAGCACTTTGGGAAGCTGAGGCAGGAAGATTTCTTGAGGCCAGGAGTTAGAGGCCAGACTGGGCAACACAGTGAGATACAGTCTCTACAAAAATGCTTTTAAAAATTAGCTGGGCGTGGTGGCACGCTCCTGTAGTCCCAGATAATTTGGAGGCTGAAGTAGGAGAATCTCTTGAACCCAGGAGTTTGAGGTTGCAGTAATCTATGTTGGAGCCACTGCACTTTACTTGGGTAACGGAGTGAGACCCTGTCTCCATTAAAAAAAAGAACACTACCCTTAGTGCATTCATTTTTCATATATAAGTTTTACTTTCCACAGCAAAAATTGCCAATGTTAGAATAATTTAAATTTTACTCCAGTGATCCTCTCATATAACTTAATGGAATTAAATAGATCTAGTAACAGAAGGGAAAAATAATAGAGTGAGAGAGAAACTATGTGTGTGAGAAAGATAAATGCTGTAACGTACCAAATGTTCCTGTACATTTTCAGTGTCTTGCAGCTGTGAAAATACAGGTATAAGTAATTACCATGCAAATGTTTGAAATTTTACTTATGTATGTAAAGTGTGCACCAAAATAGCCATTTTTTTTAGGTTAAAGCAAAACTCATGTCTGACTAAAGGAAGTGTCATATTTTGATGAACACTCTGCACTAAAATACACGATATGCTCATGGATAAAAATTTGGGAGAGTTGAACTTTTAATCGTAAAATAAATATACTTAAGTTACTGAGACTTTACCTTCTTCCTTTCTGAGTTGGAAGACTTCCACTACTATGCTTAAATATGAAGACCTCACAATTAGGATCAGTTTTCTACAGAGACTTCCCTGGAAATTCTACACAGAAGAAAAACATTGCATGCCATATATGGTAATGCAGCCTACTTCTTATTTTTGAACCAGATGGATTAAAGATTAAATGATGAAGTGTAAGTTCCTCTGTAGTATACTCAGCAAGATATCAAATAAAAATATTAATATATATTTATCCAATTATCTTTTGTGCTTGAAAATTATTCTTGCTGGGGCAAAGGAATTTGAAAAATTAGGATCTGGCTTTGGAGGTTTTTGAAAGCAGAACATTTTTATGTCACGTGTCATCTCCCTCATCTCAGAAATATGAAATGACAAAACCATGGATTATAGACTGCCAAAATTTTCTCAAGCAATAAGTAGGAGAAGATAGAGGGCAAAGGGCAGTAGTACTGGGAAATCAGAAACATTTTTTACTGTTCCCACCCAATAAAGTGTATTGTTTTGGAAAACATCCCTCTCTCCATCGCTGTGCGTGCCATAGTTTTAAAAATTAACAAATGAAATAGCATTATTTAAATATCTTAAAAGAATGTTTTTATTAGTATTCTGCTAAAGGGTTTAAAAATTATTTTATAATGATATATGTTTAAAGTTAAATATATCTAGTTTTTTTTTTTTTTTTAAGAAGGAGTCTTGCTGTGTTGCCCTGGCTGCAGTGCAGTGGCTCAATCTCGGCTCATTGCAACCTCCACCTCCCAGGTTCAAGCGATTCTCCTGCTTCAACCTCCCAAGAATTACAATAGCCTATATACAGGCACCTGCCATCATGCCCAACTAATTTTTGTACTTTCAGTAGAGATGGGGTTTCACCACGTTGGCCAGGCTGGTCTCAAACTCCTGACCTCAGGTGATCTGCTCTCCTCGGCCTCACAAAGCATTGGGATTACTGTGCAGAAGTGAGCCACAGTACCTGGCCAAATATCTGGTTTTAAGCAGTTAATTTGATACTTTCATTTGCACCTAGGGGCCCATGTATTTTATTTCCTTTCTGTCATTTTCCTTTCTCCTTTTCAATTGCTAAATGCTACTAGGATGCCTGTAATTCCATCCTTAGATCGTCATGATTAACACATTTGCACCAATTTGTGATTCCAGCACTATTGTTTGTTGACTTGTCTTGATCTTCATACTTTTGTACTTTTGTACAAGTTGTTATTTTCCTGCTTGAAGCTCCTCTACTTTATTTATCCAGTAATTTATCAATAGCCACCTAATTGTTTCCTGTGTAGTTCTACAACTCTTCATATGCAGCCATTTTAATATTTTTATGCTGTATTATCATTATGTGTCCAGATGTGTCTAGAAACACTGAGTATGTGGAACACCTAGAAAACATACCCTACTTCAATCACAAAGTGTAATTCTGGGTACAAAATAGACAGTAGAGAATGCTTAATGAATGAATGAAGAGCTTGGTAGCATATGCTGGTAGGAAAGAGAGCTGCAAAGTACTAATGTGGACTCCAAAGCTCTGAGAAACATGGGAGGAAACAGAGAATCTGTCAAATTTGTCCATTTGACATCTTTGTCCATGGAAAATAGGTCATTTAAAAATAAATAGAACACCATTTTCTTCTTACTCACATACTACCACTGTAATATGTATTTGAATATAAGACTATTCAAGGGACTAATATTTTAATCAGTGATTATATGTCATAAAAATGTATTGAGTGAAATATTTCCCTTTCAGAAGAAGCAAGTAACAGAAAACAAAAATAGATTAAAAGTAAAAGTACATATTTACTACAATTTCCAAAGACCTATTTTATTAAGTGAATTATAAGTTGTTCCATTTATTCTAAAAGTAGAATTACAATGGCC
Source organism: Homo sapiens (assembly GCF_000001405.40). NCBI lineage: Eukaryota > Metazoa > Chordata > Mammalia > Primates > Hominidae > Homo > Homo sapiens. Next base: position 105,930,464 of record NC_000005.10, on the reverse strand, counting down.
TATATGTTTTAAAGCCTAAATAAAATTGTGCCAACACATTGCCAACCCAACAGAATGTACAAGAATGTTAATTTAAGTAAAAATAAATGAGATTTTGAAAAAATTTAATGATCCCCAAAAAGACGCAGACTGTGTTTTCCCTGTATTTGGTTATCCAAGTATGCCTCATATATTCTAAACTTTCTTTGAATACAATTTGATCTATGCTTACAATATAAATAAGACTGCATATAAACAAACTTAATATAATTTGGTAGTTTCAATGCATAAAATCAAGAAGAATATGTATTATGTATACATATATATTTAGTTTCTATGGTGACCTGGTCACTTGAAATACAGTTTTGCATGAACAATAGTACATAGTCATCACTTTGAATTTCCTGACCTCTCTTTTCTGTTTAAATGCTGCATTAGCAGATTTTAGTAGCTAACGTTTAGTATATCTTATAAATTGTGTTAATGTTATAGGTCTTGACAACACAGTTGCTCAACAGTTACTCCAAAAAACAAAAGTTTTAAGTTTCCTTTGAAAAGTTTTATTTTGGCTTTAAATAAACCTTGAGATTACAACAAAACAAATAAACATGAATGATGCAGTGAATTATACATTTTGTTGTGTTATCTGTAGCTATTAAACTAGAAATAAAGAGAAAACAAGCATTTCAATATTTATGAAGCTGTGTGTTAATAGATATTTGAGGTATCCTTTAAAGTTAACATGGTATTTCTATAATTAGCCTTAAGCTAGTATGTTTATAATGTCAATTTACAGTTTATTATGTCAGAGAAAGAATACTAGGCTAGATACATGGGGTCCTAATCTTAGATTTGTTGGTGCCATTTACATTTCTATGACATAGGGTCATAAGTTTTCAGATTCTCCATTTCCTTATTTATAAAATAAGAAGTAATAACAACATAAAATTTTATTTCTATCTCTAATTCTGCAAGTCTTAAGGCCGATATAAACTTCAAAATAAAAAATTCATATTAAAAAATTATTTACTGCATGTTTATTGCAAAAACAATATTAAAAGTAAATATGGCTAACAATTGGGGAATAGTTACATGATTTATAACATGTAGTTCAATAAATATTTTTGTTATTAAATGATAAATATGTAGATCATGTATTTAAAAAGAAAGACATATAAAATAGCATGTGAAAATGTTGCAAAAATTGTTTCCATTGAAGACAGTTGTGTGAAAAATACAATCTCATATATAAGGGAACAAAGATGTCAGATTAAATTAAAAACAGTGTGGTAAAAGTGTCATTTGCTTTTTGCTGTTGTGGTTTATCTGTTCTGTTACAGCTGGTTAAATATGAAAACTTTTTAAAAGAAATATATAATATGCAGTATTAATGTAGCAATAAACAGAGGCAAAAGAACTTGATCTCAGTCCCTAATTGTTATAAAAAACAAAACAAAACAAACAAACAAAAACAACGGTGCTCTGAGATGAGTGTACCCTTGGATGGGGTATACAAGTAGAAAAATGCAATAACCTTAAGATTTTAAAGCAGTTAACAGTGTATGCTTCTATTTCAGACAGGCTTTGAGTTTACACCTATCTGGCTTTGCCTAGGCCTGGGTGAATTTAAACATATTGTTTAACCTCCATGAAGGTTGTTTATCTCATGTGGAAATGGAGCAAATAATATAAAATGCCTTATAAAATCAATTTGAGGATTGTTAAGTAAATGTGAGTGAAGTTCTTATCATGTTGCCTAACTCATAATTACTCATTAAATACTCAGTGATCTCACACTAAATTTATTAGGATATAAAGGATATTTGTTATTGTTTCTAGAGAAGGGTAAAGCTAACAATTGTCATACGGTAGTTATAAAGTATGTCATGCGTCATATAGGTTTATCAGTGTATGCTATGTGACTTTACAGAGAAGTGGACAGATTTAAAGGGGAATCATTTAATGCCATGTAACATGCAGTGGGGTCTTTTTGGCTTGGCTTCCCTGTAAATTGCCAAGATCCATAATGTAATTATAAAGCAGGGAAATACATGAATATATAATCTGTAGTAGCTAGTCATAAAGGAAGATGGCAGTAATTCTAACAATTTGAATGATTGCTGTAGGAATATTGGATGAAGTGAAATGGCTATAAATTGCAACAATGGGGACTCAGCAACAAGAATTACTTAACACTGGGACTACATAAAAATGTCTTGCAGTTATTTAATTCTAAAGTTTTGTTAAAGAGAGTAAATGAGGATATGATAGAAGATTAGGGAAGGGCGATTTAAATTCTTTTAATTGCATACATCATCCTGGAATGAAAGTGTTTATGAGTACATTGGTGTGGATGGTTAAGAAAGAAAAAAATGAGCTAAACTGAGAGGATCAACCTATATCAGACATCACCCACTGAGCATCTGTTATCTTTATACTTTTATTATTTAGATAGAGATAAAGAGGTGTGTGAGAGAGACGTCCGTGTGTGTGTGTGTGTGTGTGTGTGTGTGTGTGTGTGTGTGTGTGTAGAATAAAAATCAGTCTATTAAGTCCAGGAAATCAGCCACCTTTTTTTTTTTTTTTTAAGATGGAGTCTGGCTCTGTCGCCCAGGCTGGAGTGCAGTGGCCCGATCTCGGCTCACTGCAAGCTCCGCCTCCCGGGTTCACGCCATTCTCCTGGCTCAGCTTCCTGAGTAGCTGGGATTACAGGCGCCTGTCTATTTTTTTTAGTAGAGACGGGGTTTCACCGCGTTAGCTAGGATGGTCTCGATCTCCTTGACCTTGTGGTCCGCCCGCCTCGGCCTCCCAAAGTGCTGGGATTACAGACGTGAGCCACCGAACCTGGCTGAAATCAGCCACCTTTTAAAGGAGATCCATGCAGAGGAGAATAGATGGCATCGCAAAATAGTATTTAAAAGTAACCTCTTTGAAAGTATGGCTACAGATTGGGCTGCACTCACTGTTCTTTCCATCAGAAAAGCAGAAGGAGAAAAATAGACACATAGGAGTTATTAAAGTATATAGGATAGGTAGAAAAATATGAGTAAAGCATCATGCCTCTCTTTCGGCATGATCCATTTGAAAGAAAATATCATTACATTTCATAACAAAAAAAGTCATAAAACAAGGAGGAAATTTAAAGTATATAAACTCGGTATATAATTTTTTTTTTAAACAAAGAGAAGCATGACTTAATACTTACTTGCCGGGACGCAAGGAAGAAAGGGGTAAGCAGGTAGGTATTCCTTGTTCTGACTAATATTGCTACAGTCTTCTGGGATTCTCTAGATGTCTCCAAATTTTTATGTTACAAAACTGTTCTACTTCACATGTAGACAGGCAGAAAGAACAGTGCATAGATCCAAATTCCAGTTGCTAACACTGTGAGTAAAGTGACATTTTAAGTAATTTAGGAACAAATAAAGGTGTATTATTATTGTTACATCTTTGAACTGTGGAACTTGAAGCTGTATATTAGAATTACATGTTTGTACTCTAAGTTTAGAGTTCTATACAAACACACTGAGTTCTACTTTGAAACATTTGCTTTATAAACAATATAAAAATCAAACCCTATTCTTATTCTTGCCAATTATGTTATTCTACTGGAATTCTGTTCTTTAAATATTGCCTTACAATAAGTTAACAGCCAGGTAGAGAATATGAAAATTCAATTTATTAGGAGATATGATAGTGATGGTATTGTTAGCATTTGGCTTATATTATGAGAATGGAAAGTTAAATCAAAATGCATAAAATATTGATTTAGGGTGATCACTAATGTCAATATTGATTGATAGGGAGGAATTTTGCATATTTTTTTCTATAGAGTTAAGAGCACAAGTGAAGTATAGCAAGATAAATATAACACATTAACTGCCTAGCCAAATTCAAAGTTTTATTTCTTCCAAAATCTCATTCAACTGAAAAATCCCAGAATCACAAAAAGATGTTTACTGTTGTATCCACATTGCTTAGCATGATTCCTTGGAAAGAGAGAGTGTTAAATAAAATTTATGGTGAAGGAGTGAAATAAAAATATAGTGGCTTTCTTTATTTTTGATTTTCTGTATTAGGTAAGTTTAAGTTGATGGACAGTATTTTTGAAAATCTTACTTTTATAACTCAGTTACCTCTCATATGCCCACTAATAATATATAAAATTAAATGCAGAATATTTGAGTTCCTCTAAGATTCTACGACTTAAGCCCATATATTAAGAGAATTTAAGAACTTAAAATATTTCTATACTATTCAGGAAATGCTTACAGTGAAAATTGATTTTTTTTCATATTTTTGTAGAGTTTCAAAATAGGAAAATACCACTTTGATGGACTTTGCTTTTAAAAGATTTTCCTAATTGAAAATTTTATATCTTTCATGGTCAACCTAGAGGCTGCCTTTCTCCCCACCTCTGAAGTCTCAAGAGGAAAACATTTTATGGAAAAGAAACAATCATAGATTAAAATACTTTAGAGTATTGACTTAATTTTTTGAATTGAATTGAAAAAGACAAAAATGAATGATTCCCTACATACAGTAACATTTAAAGAATTTTGCTTTGTGATATAAATATGAAAGGATCTGCAATTATGACTAATAAAATTGCTTTTAAGTATTCCTTTGTTAAAGATGGAAATTGATATCATAAGAGATAAGAATGTGTGTGGGGAACACTGAAGGAACACCTCTTTTTAACTTTTTTGCTAGGACTTTAGGTTTTCTAGTTGTCGCAGCTTATCTTTTACCACATGCTAAATAGGACTATTTTTTCCATTTGTTAATTTATTTTACTTCTTTTTAAACCTCCTCACACACTGGAGGAAAAAAATAGCAGTGTTCACTTCTTTGTTGCTAATTTCTTATTTTAGGTTGAGTAAAAAGGTTCTATCAGGCAATATTTTTTCTCAAGGCATTGAGTAGTTTTCTTTACCAGCATGTCCTCCTGCCAATACTGCAATAAATATTCCTATCTGTAATCTTGAGAAATACTGCAATTAGGGCATCAACACTTTCTTTGTATATAAGGAAATTAAATTTCATTCCAAAGTTATAAAGTCCTGATTTTTTACAATATCCTTTGACATAATTTTAATAGGCAAGCTATGTTCTATTTGGATGACACTGAACACTTGAGTTTTTAATTACTCCACTGATGTTTGGCTGCTATAACTTTCCAGTATATCAAATAATTATTTGATTTAATTACCATCTCCCTCCACAAACATCCTACAACTTAAACAGTAGTTCCTAGGTAACTGTATACTTTATATAGACTGGTTATGACTATCAAAGCATGAATTTATTAAAAGCAGTATCAAAGCTATAATGTAAGTGGGTCTAAACAGACATTAATGCTTTTTTTTTTTTACAAAAGTTATTATAACAAATCTGTCTCTTTAAATCAAACCTTAAATAGTTCTCTGCATGGGGGATTATTTAAAAACATCAGAACCAATGACTAATATTCACTCAATGTAGGAAATGTGCCCTACTCAGATAGATTAGTGGATAATCAAACAACAAAAGTAAATCAAATTATGTACAATTAAAAAGATGCAAAAACATATGAGCAAGTGCTCAAATGCTTGTCTTATGAAATGTTAATCATATCCACCCTTTGGGAATAGGAAGGCTATGTCATTAGATATTTAGCTCTTCTGAGAGGTATGTCACAACTTAGTGTTAACCAAATGGTTCAGATTAATGAAAATACACACGTGAAGATGAAAAATTCAACTTCAACAGCAATACTATATTGACATAATGTACAAATTAAATTTTTATTCATGTAAGAAGGCAGAAAGATATTTGGGGGAACAGAATTGTACCACGAAAAGACATAGTTAAAAGATGATTTGTCCTTATTCATTCTAAGACCTTGTGCAACTAAGTGACTTCATGCTTAAGACACTCATCTTGATCCCTTTCTTGCATGTGCAAAATGGGGAAATAGAAATACCTTTTAGAAGAGGTAAGCAATGTAAATTAGAAATGCAGAGCATGATATTTGGTGTTCTATGTTGTTTAAATCTTGGCAGATGCTTTTGTAGCTGCTGGTGTTCCCTCTGCAGTTGCTACTACAGATGTTGCAGTTGGTGATATTATGACTGCCACTTTTTTCACTAGAGAATAATTTCTCTGTATACCGGCAAAATGGCTAATTATTTACAAGTTAAAACAGCCAAACATACTAGTAGGTCTATCCATCAGCTTTTCTTTTAAAATGCCTTCTAAAAATTGACATAAAGTTAGCAGGCTGTTTTTTATAGCCCCTTAATTGTTTCTCCGAGTACTAAAATTTAAGAAGCCATGCAAATATCTACTGTGTAGCTCAAGTTATGCTCTAAATGATGACTTTGAGACACACAGAATAAAGAGTGTGAAAGGAACTACTCCTTTGCCTACTCCTTGATTTAAAAAATGAAGGAACAAGATTTAGAGTTTGAGCGACTTTAACAAAATACACACTATTCAAAACAAGTGATAATTAGAACCAGTTCCCCTACAAGTTGCTTCTTTCAAATAAGCCAATGACTGCTTAATATTACAACATTTGGTTGGAATACACCTCGCCTCATGATTATGCATTGGTTGAGGTTATTTCTGTTTCATCTTTCCCCAAAGAGTAAGATTCCTCCAATTACTACATTGAAAAAGAGAAGTCTACCAAGTTCCTAGGAGATACTTTCCTTAATATCTTGATAATACAGTGAGTGACCCATAGTTCCCAGAGATATATCATCCAGACAAAATAAAAAATGAAAAAGTTCTATGTCATTGGATATTTTAATGCTCTCATCATTAAAAAATTAATTAGTGAATTTATTTATTTATTTATTATTTCAGACAGGGTCTTCCTCTGTTCCCTAGGCTGAAGGGCAGTCGTGTGACCATAGCACACTGCAAACCTGAACTCCTGTGCTCAAGCAATCCTCTCACCTTAGCCTTCTGAGTATCTGGGACTACAGGTATGCACCACCACACTTGGCTAATTTTTATATTTTATTTTTGTACAGATGGCACCTTGCTGTATTGCCCAGGTTTCTACATTTTTGTATTTTAAGATTCTCTTGGTTTTTATTTTAACTAAAGCTTTAAATCTTTAGTTTCATTCCAACTGATATTTCAATTTGTCTTATTCTACCAAATAAAAATCAAATTGACATTTAATTTATGTTCCTACAAGATAATCTAAATTCTTCTATCTGTTGGGAAGAGAAAGGTATTGAAGAGGAGCTTCAAAGATTAATTGGCTTTAACTTTAAACACTGCATATATTACATAATAGACACAAATAATAAAACCTATAATTTTAAAATATTACTTTTTAAATTCATACATTTATATTCTGAAAAATATAGACTAGTCTACAGCCATGCCACCTTGAATGCACCTGATCTCATCAGATCTCAGAAGCTAGTTAAGCAGTGATGGGCCTGGTTAGTACTTGGATGGGAAAAATAGAGAACATATATTTAAAAAGCTTATTTAAACTCTCAACAACAAAAAAAGTATTATTATTTTATGGTACGTCCATGTGCCTTACCCCTACAGTAATTATACTGTAGCTCTTTGTGGACATTGAGGTAATTTAAACAACATACAATTTGCCAGTGATAATATGGCTCAGATGATAATATTAATATTTCATTACATCCCCATGATGTGAGTCACTACATGACCTGTTTGGTATGTTTTAGCTTCCTGTAAAAGTGTATACATAGATATATAAGTAGATGATTAATAGATTTTAGGTAGATAGATCTTTAGGCTCCTCCAAATTCCTTCCCTGTGTTAACCACAGAGGTAGAGTTTTCTGATATTCTCTTTATCTTTGTATTTATAGAATTCCATAGTCTAATTATACTATAGCCAGATTCTTCTACACCCAATGCCTTGAAAAAAATGCGAAATGTTATAAATCTTAAAATGCAGATATGGATGCACATTTTTTAAGATTTTGAAAATTTAATGTTATTTCAAATTTATTTCTAATTCTATAATAATGCTAATAACCCACAAAAGTAAGAGATTGACCTTAACAATTCTATTTCTTACATATATGACATTACTCTCCAGATTGACTAGGATATCTATGGTAAGAATTACATTTCAGTTGCTTAAAAGACCAAAAGGCAATGCTCTGTCTAGGCTACATGTGCATCATTAGTCATTTTGAAAGTTGTTGTTAATGTATGTGTCCTTACTCTGGGATCCAACCTGACAGAATGCCCATTATTTCCTGGAAAGAGAGAAAGAAAGGGTGGTAAAGTATGTGCTGTTTTTAATCATCTGTCTGGAAGGGACACATATTATCACTTCTGTGTATGCTCAATTGGATATATCAAGTCACATAACCTACTTCAAGTGAATAATAAAGGTGAATTCTACCATGTGTCTCAGGAAGAGAAAGATTTGTGAATAGCATACATGTCGAAAGCATGATATATTTTATCTTATCTGTTTTACCAATAATTTCATTAAAATGTTTCCATCCCAACATAACCATTCATTATTTTAGATAGCAGTGTTTGCTTTTATAAATATATATACCATAATTTTACAGATTCCTTAGTTGTTGCTCAAAAATTCATTTATATTTTTTCTAAATTATAAGCAATGCTTCTGCATGCTTTCTTTTATATACAACTGTATAAAATCATTTCCTCAGGCTATATAGTTCTAGAAAAATTGCTGAATCAAGAGTATTGCCCAAATTACCCTTCACAGTGAACCAAATCGTAATTCTACTACAAGCAGTGTCAGTTTGTTTACACATTCTTGAAAAATGAGCATTGTATAATTTGTGTTGTCCTTTTCACTTCTGCTTGTAAGGGATGCAATTTGATTTTTTAGTATGTATTTTGTTGCTTACTTGTAAGGTTTAATTTGATTAGCTCTGTTTTAGTAATTTGAATTTCCTCTAATGTAAATTTCTCCAAGTTTAAAAACTAATTTAAACCAGAAATTACAATAAATTATATATTTGTGACATAGCATAGGTAAATGACAACTGCAAGTATTACAAAGTGCAAGTATAGCATGTTTATTATTTTTTAAATTTAAATAAGATTAAATCACAGTAAAGTATTTACTATCAAAAATACTAATTAAAAAGGCAAATTTGAAGTAAAATTCACTTAAAAGTTATTTTGAAAGGTATGAGATACCATCTCACACCAGTCTGAACAGTTACTCTTATCTTTTCTTTCTTTTTTTTTTGAGATGGAGTTTTGTTCTTATTGCCCAGGCTGGAGTGCAATGGCATGATCTTGGCTCACCACAACCTCCACCTCCCAGGTTCAAGCGATTCTCCTGCCTCGGCCTCCTGAGTAGCTGGGATTACGGCCATGAGCCGCCACGCCTGGCTAATTTTTTATTTTTAGTAGAGATGGGGTTTCTTCCATGTTGGTCAGGCTGGTCTTGAACTCCTGACCTCAGGTGATCTACCCGCCTCGGCCTCCCAAAGTGCTGGGATTACAGGCATAAGCCGCTGAGTCCGGCCCAGAACAGCTACTCTTAAAAAGTCAAAAAATAACAGATGTTGGTTGGTGAGGTTACAGAGAAAATGGAAAGCTTATATGCGGTTGGTGAGACTGTAAATTAGTTCACCCCTATAGAAAGCAGTTAGGAGATTTCTCAAAGAACCAAAAATAGAATTACCATTCCACCGAGCAATTGCAGTCTTGAACATACACCCAAGGGAAATTAAATCATTTTACCAAAAAGACCCCTGTATTCACATGTTTATCACAGCATTATTCACAATAGTAAAGACATACAATCATCTTAGGTGCCCATCAGTGGGAGAATTAGATAAAGGAAATGTGGTCTATATACACCACTGAATACTATGCAGCCATAAAAAAGAACGAACTCATGTTTTTGCAGCAATGTGGATGCAGCTGGAAGCCCTTATCCTACACAAATTACCACTGAAACAGAAAACCAAATACTGCATGTTCTCACTTATAAGTGGAAGCTAAATATTGGGTACACATGGACACAAAGATAGGAAAAACAGACAATGGGGACTCCAGAAGGGGAGAGAGAGTAAGGGAGGTAAGAATTGAAAAACTACCAATTTGGTACTATGTTCAATATTTGGCTACCAGATCCAATCTAAGTACAAACCTCTATCCATGTAACAAACCTTCACATGGTACTCCAATTGAGAGAAATCAAGTTGAAGATTTACTATTAAGTGCACTTAAAAATATTGTGAAAGTTTACTGTTTCATCATTTCCATTAAGTTCAAGCTCATTGAAATAACTAAAATTATAACTTTCTTACCTAGATAAGGCTACCTGAGGATATAATAGGATGGGAGATAATAATACAGAGAAAACTATTTTGTTGCATTTTTATAATTGCTTTTGCTTACAATTCACTTATAAAATTTTGTTCTTTTGTATTTTCAACCCTTTTGGGTCTTTTTAAACATATCTCTTTTAAGTAATACATAAATCAATACTGCTTTTTGCTTCCTCCTACAGAGATATTTTGACTTTTAATTTTTAATTTTAATCTATTTACACATATTATGTCACTGATGTATACTGGGCATACTATTTTCTATTTTGTTTTAATTTTTTGTCTTTCTTTGAGTGGCCTTCTATTTGAGTGATTAAGGGGAAATTGTGTCCTTTTTTGATTTTTAAAGGGCAGCATGGTAATAAGGATATCTTCCTCTGTTGTTGGAGTGTTAGGACTGCTATGTGGATAATTATTTCAAACGTCTTAGGTGTCTCAGCCATGGAGAAGGAAAGAGAACAAAAGCAAAAATCATAAAATAATCTATAATTCTTTTACTTATACCATTGTGGCCTGATTTCATGGGTATTGTCAAGATTATTTTCCATTGCATTTGTAACTTTAATCTGAAAATGTCCTGTCTCACAGACAGCTGCCTTCTCTCCTTGAGTCATTTTAGTGTTTTATTCAACAAATACTTTTGAGTACATTATTTGCTGAGACACTGTGGTAGATGTAAAGACAGGAAATCATAATAAAGTTATAGAATCATGTTTTATCCTTTGTGATTCTTGAAAGCATACAATTTCACCATGAAAATTTCATAATTTTATACATTTTATAAAATTGGTTTTCAAAATTATCTTTTCATTCTCAAGCTATGTCAAAGCTTAGATAATTTGCAACTATGCTAAATTTCACAAAGCACACAGTAATTATGGAGTCATTTTGATAGGCACAGTCCACATACTAACAAATGTTAGTTGCTTATAACACGCCTACCCATGACTTTTTACTATACCATCAACATACTCCAGCATCAAATTCACATACTCTACCTTCAAAGATGTGTATGCGTGCATGCATGTTGATATGGTTTGTGTCCCCACCCAACTCTTATCTTGACTTGTAGCTCCCATAATTCCCATGTGTTGTAGAAGAGACCCAGTGGGAGATAACTGAATAATGTGGGTGGTTTCCCCCATACTGTTCTTGTGGTAGTGAATACATCTCGCGAGATCTGATGGTTTTATAAGGGGAAACCCTTTTCACTTGGTTCTCATTTCTCTCTTGCCTGCCACCATGTAAGATGTGCCTTTTGCTTTCTGCCATGATTGTGAGGCCTCCCCAGCGATGTGGTACTGTGAGTCCATTAAACCTCTTTTTCTCTATAAATTACCCAGTCTCAGGTATGTCTTTATTAGCAGTGTAAAAACGGACCAAAACACATGTGGGTGGAACTTTAGAAGTATCCAGGACTGAAGTTTTAATAACTATCTTCTCAAAAATAATACACATGCCACAGATAAAAGTATCACAATTGACCACAAAATGTCTGTATAAAGAAATTTTAAATGGTGGGTATACTGCAAGCCCTTTTCAAAAGGAAAAGAAAACTGCATGAGCAAAGTGCATTTTAATAGGGAATCTACATAATTTTATTCTTTTTTTCTAAAAATTTTGTAAAAAATAAGTGTTTTCACCGTACACACTTTGAGCCCTGTTGATATCACACTTATCATTCATAAAATTTGTTGAAATGTGTTTACATTAAAAAGTACAAAAGTATTCCCTATATTTATAAACATATTTTTAAAACCACACATGTAGATTCATTCTGAAATATGGTGAGCTTAAGTATGTGCAAATTAGTGATTTACTTGCTTTTTATTATCACTATTTTGAGCAGTGCCAAGTGATCATGTATCAACGCCAGTTGCTATGTAGACTTAGATGCATGTGTGTGGAAATTTGCAGTCTCTTTTATTCTGTCCCTCCATGTCTAGAAATGTTATCTCTGAGAAATATGAGAAACTACTCAAAATTTATCCAGATGTTTGTACAAATTAATGATTTAAAGGAGGATGTAGATAGTAAATAAATGAGGGTGGCTGATACTATTAAGTTGTTTGTACTAGTTAAAAACTGCTTGTATATGAGTTCATGAGAAAATCCAGACAAAGCCAACAGCATGGCCCAGCATCATAATATAAAATTTCAGTTAAATATAGAGATGCATTGGTAAAAATAATTTAGTAATTTTGTTTTACAATTTAATTCTGATATCTAAAGATGAAAAAAACATGCTTGGGTAGCTTGATACAGTGTGTCATGGATGTTATACATACACTACAGTGTATAAAAATAAACTTGAACATAGTATAAAAACTAACAAAAACTCAATATATTGCTTTTAATTTGGTGATTTCAGATAAGGAATATGTCATCAGGCCAAAAGTATCCTGAAAAGGTCAGTACTCATACTGACATTTATGAGAAAGGAGGTATAGAAATATGTTAGAAAGATAGTGTTTTTCTGTTTTCCAGAAATAGGAAATTAAATGGAAATTGAATGAGTTATGAGGGTTTAAGAAAGATGTAGCAAGAATTGATCCATATTGTTTCTGTACTGTTTTTAACAAAGTATGCATGAAAGCCTTAGAATAAATTAACATCAAATGCATTTGAGCAAATAGAAGGAAATACTTCACACAGCCATTGTGGAAATATACTGCCATTGGAAGGTCACAGAGTCAAAAACTGTAACTGATTAATAGAACCAATAATAATATTTGTATTGGCCAACACGAGGGAGTTGGGGCCAGCTCCATGCTAGCTTCAGGGATTTTTCTCTGAACTTCATCCAAAAGCACTTTCTAGCTTGGGGGCCCTGAGTGTGGTTAATTAACTCCATCTGACCCAGTCACAGAGTAAAGGCATCAATCTATCAGACTTGGCTCCCTTTCTTCCAGGGAGTTGCAGGTGAAGGTCTTCTACCTATTTTTGGACTAACAAAAGAAAATTGTCTCTTCCTCCACACATACACATACATAGCACAGAAGAAAATATGGTGTTTAGCACTTTGATCTACATTGATGAGTCCATAAAATTTTCTGCCCTGACTCTATGGAGACTATATAATATAAGAGACAAGATACAGAAATAAGAGTCAGAAAATTTTGTACTGGAAGACAGTATCTTCCTTTACTGATTATATGACTTTGAGCAAAACAGTTAACCTTAGTTTTCTGTATTAAAAAAACTGGAAAGAATAATAAGAGAACTCCAGCAGGGATGTAATCCTAAGGTCATTAATTAAAATTCTAAAATTGTTTTATGTTTGTTGAAAAAAATCTATGTATAACTGAGGTATTCTCTACCACATGTGAATGTAAAATAAGGCTTATTTTGGACCTTTCTATCTTTTATTTCTTTTTCATGAGTTTCCATTTTTTCTAAATACTCATGGTGTTCATCAATTGCCAAAGTCTGTAGTATTCCCTGCCCCACCAGTAGGTATACGCATTTATTCCACATTATTATTGGGGCTATCAAAGAAAGTGGGTGCTTTAATTACTAAAACAAAGCCAAATGAATGAAAGCTGGTAATAGTAAAATGACTTACAAAGGAAGCTCTTTGACTTATCTTCATAGACTTATTTATTCTTCCCAAAATTTACTTTCCCATCTGGTATTTCTCTCATTTTACCAAGATGGCTTCAACAGTTGCTTATACCAACAATAAGACATGAGTGCCTAAATTATAGGTACTTTAATTTTTGTGATAGGGATAGTAAATAGACAACCAAAAATTTTATCCTCTGCCCTACTGTAGGTGAAGTAGCTGCCCAGTGAATTACATCTCTCAGCTCTTTCCTCTTCTCCTGCAGTCTTTGGACATCCCAGTGGGGTCATGTGATAGAAAAACTGTAAACTGGAAAATGAATGACTGTGGTCATTGAATGACCTGGTCACTGAATGACTACATAAATAAAATCCATCTGCCAGTTACGACACTTATATTACACTACTTTCAGAGTTAGAAATACATTTTTATTTGTTAAGCCACTGAAATTGTGAGGTAGCTTATCTGCTAAATCTACAGACATACTCTAGCAAATACATATATATTAAATCTAGCTCATGCAAATAGGACTTTTATAAGTGCTGGGAAATAACAGAAAAATATGTGAGTAAGAGATGGACCTTGGTAATCTGAATTTCCAAAACTGCTATTTAAAAAGGATAACAGCACTGCTATTGCATCCTAGCTTTTGGTCAGCTTCCATATGAAGGATGCCATCTTAGCACCTTCTACTCAGAAGCCAACCTCACAAAGAGAAAACCCAAGAGACTGAAGCTCAGATAAGAATGGGTATTTCTTTATCTACCTATGTAATGTTTACTTTATGCAATTTCAACTCCTTTGTAAATAGCCTCTTCCCAATATAAATGCAAGAAAAGATGACTACCTTTTAAAGAAATACTAAGTTTTCTCACAGGATTATGTTTTAACCTACAGAAGATGATAAAATAACTACCATCTGAACATTTCAAGACACTCCAACATTCAAACTAGAGAAATGTTTTAAAATATACAATGTCAGGGTCATAATTTCATTATAGATTATTGTTCTTCCATTTTCTAAAAATTTCTGATAATCTAAGACAAAGATTCCTGTAAGCTTCCAGAAGTGCCACAAAACTTTTTCTGTAAAGAGCCAAATAGTAAATATTTTTAGGCTTTGCAGGACACATTCTATCCCAACTACTCAACTCTTCCATTGCAGCATAAATGCAGCTATTGACAATACACAAATAAGTGGGTGAGGCTATTTTCTAATAAAACTTTATGTGCAAAAACAGTCCATAGGCTGGATTTGGTCAACATAACATAGTTTACCAACACCTGATATAAGAAGTCAATTCATCCAAAGTTGTATTTTTTTAAACGTCCTATTCTCTTCCATTGCCATATCTATAAATACAGATTTCAGAAAACTTTACCATCTGTATGGGATGCTATAAATTCGATTTTGTGCATCCCATTAAAAAAGAAGTCCTCTCTATTTCAACTTCTGACTAAACATAAAACAAAAAAAAGTTAGGTGATGAAGGTTAAAGCATTTTTCTATCACTGGTATTGATGATATTTAAAAATGTGGCTTGGACATTTCCAAATGGAAATTTTTTTATGAATCCCAGAACTGGATCATTTTCCCCCTGAGTTAGGAGGGGTGATGAGCTACTATTCCACTTCCTCTATTGGAGGAAGACCCTTGTAAAACTTAAAAAGCAGAGGACTGTAGCAGACCAGACAGTATGTTTTCTAGGTGTAAGCTCAGTCCCAAGATCAAGCAAAAAGAAAGGAGTGACTACAAATCTCTAGCTTTTTGTTAGTTTGATTCCTAAGCACTATTATGCCAATTAAACCATTCCTGTCTTAGACATTCTTGTCTAAGGGCAGCAAGATTGGGGTGTGGATGGTGGAGAAGAGATCAGCCATCTCTCAGAATAATCTATTCCCAAGAATTAAAGAAACTCATCCAGTCGAAAGCAAGGCACAGAACCAAAATATCAGATGCACTTTTTAATATGATTACTATAAACCACGAAGATGAAAGAGACTCGTACACCAAAGTCTAATGTTTAATGCCACAGGACCAGGCTCTGAATCAAAGATAGTTTGTTTCCTCAAATAGTACTTCCACTTCATTTTGCACATATCTTGTCTCATTGTATCAGAAGTGGAGAGTCCTATCTTCATATAGCACCAAATGCAGCTTTTAAGCTCATTTATAGTATCCAATGCTCTATAAAACCTCTTCTATACCTCACTACATCCTCAGCAGAATTAATTGCCCTTCCCCCATGTTTCACTAAACCCTGCTTAAAATGCTAGAAGGCAACTTTTATTATAGTATTATGATGAATTGTACATATCTGTTTTTTCTTTCTCTGTTGAACCTGCTATATATATTCCTAACATGTTAATCATGGTCAATTAAGAGAAACAATATGTGCAATTATTCATAATACCATATATATGAATAATAATAACATATCTCTATAACTAAATAGTATTAATATAAGAATATGTTGGCCAGGTGCGGTGGCTCATGCCTGTAATCCCAGCACTTTGGGAGGCTGAGGCGGGCAGATCACAAGGTCAGGAGATCAACAACAAACCTGCACGTTGTACACATGTACCCTAAAACTTAATTAAAAAAAAAAAAAAAAAAAAGACCATCCTGGCCAACATGGTGAAACACCGTCTCTACTAAAAATACAAAAATTAGCCAGGCATGGTGGCAGGCGTCTGTAATCCCAGCTACTTGGGAGGCTGAGGCCAGAGAATCGCTTGAACCTGTGAGGTGGAGGTTGCAGTGAGCCGAGATCGCGTCATTGCACTCCAGCCTGGGTGACAGAGCAAGACTCCATCTCAAAAAAAAAAAAAAAAAAAAAAAAAGAATATATTTACTGCTTTAATAACTAGTTATGTCTAATAAAAGATTAAATTATTAAGATTTAAGTGTTATGCAATTCAACATGTGATTGGGATTTAGATATTGAGGCCAAAGATTAAGGACCTTTCAATCGCTCTCAAATCATATCCCATGATTACAGCTGTGTAGACAGAATGCATATGATTTCATTGAGTGACATTACAACTCTTTAGTTAACAAACTTCGGAGCTCCTAAATGTAACATAGCAAAGAAATGGAGTAAACTCACTCTACTTTTAAAAAACTGGCTTTATGATTGCATTTCTGATCTTATATTTAAAATATAAAAGTGATAATTACATATATGCAAAACTTTAAAAAATGCATTGTACAAATCTTTGTTGACTTCTTAATTTCTACTGTCCTAAAAGCTTTAGTAGTCTAAAGAATAAGTTAAAATTTTTAAATAAGATAAAAATTTACTCTTGAAAAGGTACTCAATTAGGAATTTAAATCTGTTAGCTTTTATGATAAATATATTTTTCTTATCAAATTTATATAAATCTCAGCTCTGTTTGCAAATCCCCAATCAGGAACTCTTACCTGAGACTCAATCCTAGGAAATAATAGAGCAATTTTATATATGAGAGATAAGCCAAAAGATTAGAGTTTTATCAGATTCTATTTCACAGCTTTATTATTGCCTATTGCTGCACATAAATACCCTTCTTCTGATTGACTATATTGAGTAATTGCAAATTTTTTTCCTTAGCTTTTAAAAATTATATGTTGAGTGGCCCTGTTTAAAACAATCACTACTTCCTAGAATAAAATTTAGTCTATCACAATTTCTTCTCAACTTGATGTATAAACATCAGGAAATACAGTTTTGGAAAATGAATATTTTTAGAGTACTAAAATCGGTATGAAACAATCTAACTGAAACAGTTTCCATTCATGTTTTAGTTTGTGTAACTAGTAATGCAGAATTTCAGTTGTTTCTTTTTCCAAGCAGGCCATATAGTATCTTTTAAAAATCAAATATTAACACCTTCCCTATTTCACTTGGTACTATTTCTGTTTTATTTTTCATAAACATGTAATTTATTGATTTATAAAAATGTTAACTTTGCAGTATTCTTAATATATTTATATATAATATATATAATATTTTGTATATAATGCATATAACATATACTATACACATATAAGTTTATATAGAGTTTAACTGATGATTTACATATATACACATACAGAAAATGTTAATAATTTGAAAATAAGAAATTAGGTATAGAAAAGTTCTGTAGATTACTAGGGATAGTGTACAAACAATCTAAAAGAACATTGAAAGCTATGCAACCCGGGCTGGGTGTGGTGGCTCATGCCTGTAATCGCAGCACTTTGGGAGGCCAAGGCGGGTGGATCATGAGGTCAGGAGTTCAAGACCAGCCTGACCAATACGGTGAAACCCCATCTCTACTAAAAATATTAAAAAAAAATAGCTGGGCATGGTGGTGTGTGCCTGTAGTCCTAGTTACTCAGGAGGCTGAGGCAGGAGAATCACTTGAACCTGGGAGGCAGAGGTTGCGGTGAGCCGAGATTGCACCATCGTACTCTAGCCTGGGTGACAGAGCAAGACTCTGTCACCAAAAAAAAAAAAAAAAAAAAAAAAAAAGGAAAGAAGAAAGTTATGCAACGTTGGTAGGCTTTTTTGAGGCTTTGCCTAAGTGTTACTTATTCAGAAAAAATTTTATAACATCTATTTTGTATGAGATTGAAAAGGGGAACACTCACAGGTAGAGTGTTACTATGCATCGAGGTTAGGGAATAGAATTTAAATTTAATTCCTCTTTCTTTGAAAAGAGATTCTGTATGTTCTCACCTACATACCATTCTTTTAAACTTAATAGTACTTTGTTAGTTGGCTACAGTTGTTAGAGCTGGATTCATTTGCATTTTCCTAATTTACTCTGACCCCTCTTATCTACTAATGTTAGACCTTATGAGGAACACCTGGGATTCTTAGACAGCTCTTCCACACCAAGCAAATCGAATTACCTTGATTAACGTGAGGATTTTCAAATGCTGGTTGTTAATTACGTAGCGTGGGTCCGCCATAACATTCAATGAAATATCCTGAGTACAAACGCCTCAGCAAGAACAATTGCCTGTTTCTGATTTATGAACAAAACTGTAAGTACAGAGTCACCTCTCATTTTTACTGATAATAGTTGTTATAGGATAAGCAAGGAAGTAAACTCTGAGAAAACTGTGAAAAATAGATAATGTAGAGGTAATATAATCTGCTATTATAAACACGAGTTTTCCACGTTAACTACTTGGAATTGGGCTGAGATGCAACATTGTCTGCTGAGTTGTCAGTGGGCATCAGGAGGTCAACAGTAAGTTTACATAGCATCTCTGTTTACTTTAAATTACTCCAGAACCTCAGGAAGTTCTAACTCTAGCAGAGAAGGAATGAAAGAGGATTACTATTGATACAAGTGATTCCTCCATGTTCAAATCTCACAGAGCCCTTTATAAGTAATTACTCTTTCTCTTTCAAAATATGTGAACTTGTTTAGTGGTCTACAAAGTGTCAACTTATATTTTTAAATAGGTAGTTTTTTTGCTATAATATATATTATAATCCTTTCTGATTATTTAATATCAGTATCCTAAAACAACATGAAAACAACAATATAAAATACTTTTTTTCAGTGAGACAATTATTATGAGTGGAGAGGAAAAATAACTTTTAAACTTGTATAACCGTATAGATCAAATGAACTATTTTCTTTGAACTATTCTATTCTGCCATAGAGTACCGTCCCATTTAATGTTTTGAATGAGTGTATGACGAGAAAGAAAGCTGAAAAAAATGCTTAAGTTTTTGTTTGGGGGTTCATCATTTGATTTTTGACATGTGGCACATGCAAACTATGAATTCCCGTGAGTAGTGATGCCCCTGATCAGTGTATCTTGTAATAGAGACACAAGCATGGTGTTGGCCGGCGATAGCCTTTTCTAAATGATTTCCTACCTACTTACTCATTGGCCCTGGTGAAAGAAGATCTATGACCACCTCATTCTCATAATACAGCTGGATCAGAGGAGGGCACCTAACCCAAGAAGATCCAATCAGTACACCAGACAGCCCCATATGATCTGGTCTGCAAAAATTGGCTAAGCTGACACCTAGTAATAATAATAATAATAACACTCACTGAGCTCTCATGGTGTCTCAGTTGTTCCTCCAAGCACTTTAGATGTAATAACATTTATTCATCATATTAACTTTTCAAGACAGGTTATGAATATTGCTTTCATTTTATAGATCTAGAAAGAGATGCAAGAGACACATTTTTTTTTCTCAGAAATGGAAACTAAGGGATAGTGAAACAGGAATGGGAGGTCAAACTAAAAGATAGTATATGTAATCAAAGATACCCAAAGTTTTGAGAAAACACAAGTTATCATTATGAAGAGGCAAAAGCTATAAGTGAGCACAAGGTGTAAATTAAACATGTGCCCTCCACAATGGAGGAAAAAAAGGAGGTTATAGTACATGGAAAAGCAGTATGTGAATAGGGAATAGGGGTGGTATGTTAATGATAGACATTAGAGTGAAAGCCTGGAGTTCTCTTTCACCCCTGTTACTGCCCTTCTTGAGGCCAGGTTGTTTGGCTTCTCCTTATAGCATATCTGAAATTCTGTTTTTCACAACCACATGAATTTAATTAGATAAGTAAAGTGACAAGGTATAGGTTTCTTTGAATAGGATAAACAAAACAAACAAACAAAAACAGATGAACACAAAACCTTTCGATTGTTTTTAGAAAACTGAAGTGCAACGGTGAAAACCTCTTTCAAATGATCTGGACAGAAATTACAGTACAGTAAAGACTGCAAGGTTTTGTGCCAACTCTAAATCTTTCACTTACTAGCTGTGGGATCTTTAGCAGGTTATTTAACTTCTCTTGCATCTATTTCCACATCTATAAAATGGGAGTAAGATTCACAACCTGTCTCAGATAATTGATATGATGAATAAATATTATGACATTTAAAGTGCTTAGAGGAATACCTGAAATATAGTGAGAACTCAATGAGTGTTATTGTTATCATAAGCACATGTTTTAAAATACTTGTACATTTGACCACAAATTGTGTCCTAATATCTTTGTGTCTGAAAATGATGCCTTGTATAATAATATAATAGACATTAATAATGTATGTTTGATTCTATATTAATTTATTCACACAAAATTAGTTTGTATGGTTTATATGGTTTTGGCAAACAGAGCCAAAATGCAAATTTCTTGTTTTTATAGTGGAGTTGAACATGGGAATAATATTTATAACTCTCTTTTGGAGAGGAAGTAACTATTGGCTCTAATTCAAGTCACGAAAAGACACATTGAGTAAAGGAACTAGAGTATTAACTTTCAGCCATTTCACTCCATGGAAGACATAGGCTCAAAGGGAACATTTCACTTATTGTGGGACTTTGAACTACTCTGTATTACTTCCTTCCAGGGAAACATAGAACTTGAAAATTAAAAGTTTCAATTTACAGTTGATTTTATGGTTACCATATAGTTCAAAATTTAAGTGTAAAGTTTTAAAAGAATTTATGAGAGAGTCAGAAAGAGCTAGTAAATTGAAGAGAAGGCCTAAAAAGGACAATAAACCAAAATTTTATTGTTACCTTCATTATTTTCCATTAAGTGTTTTCTTCTATAGTATACCTCCCATCTTTTTGTCCTTAGATATGCTTTTCTTCCTTTAGTTAATTACATTCATTAAAGCTACTGGAAGGAAAATACATTGGTTGTGAATGACTATTATTGATAAATATCCTCTATCTACTTGTAGCTGAATCAGGAAGGAGCTATTCCTGACAATCTGGGGTTTCATTAGTTTAGGAAAATTTAAAGAAATAAATTGCTTGAGACAACATATAATTTTGGTTAAAACTTTGGAAAATAAATTTATCAAAAAGTTTAAATAGATAAATTACAGCATAGCCAATCTTATGTTTTTAAAAGGCCATATTAATGAATATGTTCCAGGAAAGGTTTCCATTTCCCCTGTTGCTTGATTTTACACTACTAGTGGTTAAATTAATCTTCAAATGATTGATTGCCAAGTAATACTATGAATTGTCTTCTATAGCATGAATCTAACTAGCATGTTTGCTTTATCATCAATCTTGTTGGTCATTATATCATTTACTGTTCATTATAGCAAGAGATAAATTGCACAAATGTTTAATATTGTTAGTTCAGCTTGGCTGCCTTGTTTAGTGACACTAATTCTATAGAGCAGTTGGGCAAAATCAATGTCTTATGCACCATTTATATTAAATTACGCTTGTTATGTGATTGAATCAACACTACATAGAGTTTTCTCAAGTTAATTGATCAACTCCTACAAAACAAATTAATATGATACATCAAACTTATGGAATTGTCATCTAGAAATAACATAATAAACATCAGTGCTGAAAGAAAACCAGTATTCCTTCCAGAATATTGAAATTCTCAACCCTGATCAAATGGCTGGCTTAAATAATAGTGGGCAGAATGAAAGTGTAAATTTAGAGGGAGATTTTTCTACTTTTCTAGAAAAATGTAAGATATTTATGTCAAGTAATATATATAACAGTATTTGATGAAACATTTGTAGTACTGTTTGATTTTCATCTAATAACTTCTCTCTTCATCAGTTAAGAAGAAATGGTATTTGAAAAATTACTAGTGAGGTATTTTTTCTTTACTAGTTTAAATGGTTATGATGGCAGCCATCTCTCTAAAGTTGAATATTAGTAAACAGTCAATGAATCACTTTCCAAGTTTTAGCAAATTAACTCAATTTTATTATTGTTAGAATACACATATATTTCAACTGTGCTGAATATTACTATGTCTTATAAACGTTAAAATATAGGCCGGGAGTGTTGGCTTATGCCTGTTATCCCAGCATCTTGGGAGGCCGAGGCGGGTGGATCACCTGATGTCAGGAGTTCAAGACCAGCCTGACCAACATGGAGAAATCCCATCTCTGCTAAAAAATACAAAATTAGCCGGGCATGGTGGCACATGCCGGTAATCCCAGCTACTCGGAAGGCTGAGGCAGGAGAATCACTTGAACCCGGGAGACGGAGGTTGCGGTGAGCCAAGATTGGCCATTGCACTCCAGCCTGGGCAACAAGAGCAAAACCCCATCTCAAATATATATATATATTATATACATATATGTATGCATATACTTATATATATTCATACATATTCATATATATAATATATAATACAATATATATTTATATATAGGTTTGAGCACAGTGTTAAATCACCTGTGTGTACTTAAAGTAATAGTGATACATAAGAGAAGAAATGAAAGTATTTAAAATAAATAAATAGCCAGTGGCATCCAGCTAAATATATGATACCTCACTGAGAAAATAAGTATAAAACTTAAAAGAAAACATATGTTAGGCTACTTTAGCTGTACTTAGCACAGATGTTGACAAGATGAGTAACTCTGAATAATATTCTTCTTATCTATGTTTAGATGAAGATTAATAGAACCGTCTGACCCTAAATATTAACAAAGTTAGAATTCAGTTCTTTGCTCCACTCAATGGCATATCATTTCCTTTTTCTCTCAAAGTGTTCCTAAGTATTTAGATGTAATCTTTAGGAAAAAGACTTCGGTAATGAATGAGTTCTTTCAATCTGCTTTGATTAACATCCAGTAAAATAATATATGCAAGTTTTCTCAATAAAGACAAAGAAATTATACATTCAATGTCTTCTTTTTGAAGTGAATGACAGATTATAAATATATTCCTATCTGTTGAATAGAAATATTAATTCCAATGTATGCTCCTTTCTGACTGTGTTTTTGGAAACTCTACAGAATTACATTTCCAAATGATACAAATTTAAATTATTTTGAGTGCTGAACCATTCAAAAAATATTCTAAAATTTTATTTTAGAAAACTAAAGTAAAATATTTTACCATGAATGTGTCACACCCTACATATATATCTCATTAAAAATTGAATAAAAATAGTTTTTGCAATCTTAGTTCACATGTTCAAACTTTAAGCAACTAGGCAATATTTATTTAGATGGCTTTAAAAGTATGGTTTAAATTTTGTGATAATTATAATCATTTAAATTGTATTGCATGCGTATTTACATATTTATATAATATATAATGAAAAGTACCCAAAATTATAGGACTATAGCTAATGTATTTATCAAAATAATTGACCAAATTACCTATCTGTTAAATTAGTAGCTGATAATTGAAGATATAAATAAGAAATTCTGTAAACACTGTAAACGTATTTTGCTAAATTAACATACATCCATAAAACTTTTTCATTAAATATTGATATTCTTACTTATATAGGAATATATTGGCATGAAATTTTGTAGAATGTTTACTCTTAATCCCCATAAAAATTCATGGCAAAAGGTCAAGATACCGTGACGTTTTATTTTCACAGTGCCTGTGATCAATTTTATCTGAGTCACAGATATTGTAGAACAATGGACTAAATTAGTTGATTCTGGTTCCAAATATCATTCCTTTCCTGTAATATTCTGATCATTATAAGTCATTTAAGTAAACTTTCTAAAAATGGCCCCCATTCTTTTTTATATGAGCATGGTTAGTTTAAATTTGAAGCAGGGATTAATTATGTGATAAAGAACCAATCTTATCTATGTGTCTTTATAATATTTAAATTCTGAATATTGAGGAAAATGAACTTGACTTTTTTCATATTTGTCTGGATATTTTATACTATACAGACATAGTGACAGAGAAAGCTGCTTCTCATGTAGGTTGGCATATGGTTTAGGATATTATTTTAGGCTGTAAATTGTAAAATCTGATAAACATTGGCTTGTACAATTCATATATTCTTTTCTCCTTTTGTCCTTGTAATGAGAAATTTAGAAAAGGGCATTCTGGAACTGGTAAAGTGACTTCACAGTGCCATCCGAGATCTAGGATCCTTTGTTGTTTTACTTCACATTCTTAACCTATGAAAATTGACTAATAGTTCCAGGATGGTTTCCCCCTTCTGGGCATTGCATCAGTTTTTCTGACAGCAAGAAGAAGGGCAAGGGCAATGGCAAAACGCCACACAGCATGGAGTCTACTACTCTCAATTACCTAACATGCATTTTATGGAGCTTTCATGAAAGACACTATTAATGACATCATTTATATCTCATTGGCTAGAACTGTAACATGAGTACTCCAATGTGCAAGGGAAACTGGAAAATGCAGTTATTCCCACTGAAAAAATCAGTGTTATTTTTGCAGGTAAGAAGGACAGCATGGATATTGGTAACGAAAATTACACTATTTGAGTCAGTCAGTGCTACAGTTTTACAGAATAACTGTATCATCAATATTACTTTGTTAAAGTCATTTTCAGCACATAGTCTATCCAGAAGCCAGAGTTACACTTGAATCAGGGTAGTTGCTTCTTCATGGCAGTGTTTTAGAGTAGAATCCATATGTATATTGAAGTCAGGCAGATGAGTTTGTTCCTTACTTTGTCTCTTACCCAAATGTGTGACCTTGGACAACCCAAATTACCTCAGTGGTCTTATACTGTTGTTGAGACAATAAAACTAAATAATAAACATAATGACCCTGGCCCATACTTGGTACTCAATAATTGTTAATCCCCTCCTTCCATCTACCTGATCTCTTTCCTTTCTCTTCTGGATCTAAATTTCAAAGTCTTTCCTTCTACATATCAGCAAGATATTGTTTCCAAAATTTCCATGAGGATGGGAAATGTTTTATGGGGACACATCTTCAATATATTTAACAACATTATTATAAGAATTTTCAACATCATCACTAAATTAAAATTGAACACAGAAGCCATAGCTGTATTTCAATTTGCCTATTCTAGTCTAACTAACAGCATCTTTTAAACTTAGAATTAACTTAAAATAGCTTTTTAGATATTTTTTCTCCTGAAGTTTTTGTAGCTTTCTCGGTCCCAAATTGTCTTATAGCTTCTCTTTATTATTACTGTTCTGTTCTTTTCTTAAAAATTCCACTTATCAAATTTCCACCAAGAAAGCTGTTAAATGTTAAAAGAGTTTACATTATAGCTTTAAAAAAATATACCTTAGGGACAATTACTTAAGAAGGATATAACCTTAAAGAAAAAATGCAGAAGAAACTAGGCATATTTACCTAGCATCACTTAATTTTAAGCCTCTCATATACTTCTAACCTCTTATTATAGTATGTGCTTAATATTTAAATATTTCATACCTTAAAATGTCATTCCATAATCATATTAAAAATTAAGAGAAAATAGTTATGCTTTTTCCAGTTTTTTACAGAGTTGAAAGATGGTGGTTCTATTTTAGAGTAAAAACTAAACAAAATAAAACAAAAAACAAAGAATGTATTTAAGATGAAATATAAAAACATCAAAATATTACTCAGAAAATGTACTATTATAAACATTAACATATATTTCAATCAGCATAACAATATTGAACCTCTAAGATATAAAGTGTTTGCCTTTTCCTGAACAAAATATATAATTTGATGCTCAGTTGAGATGCACAGAAGAAGTATTCTGGAATATTCATATTAATACTTTTACATTTCTTGACTTCTTTCCCCCAAAGTCTCCCAAGATTCTTTTAAGTCAGCCTCCTTTAACCCTCAGGTCTCCTCTGTTATCTTTCACAAACCTTCTGTTTAAGTGGTCTTGTCACTTTCATCAGCATAATATGCAAATATTCATCTTAGAGAATTTTCTTGAGCAATTTTTACTGTTGGGGCCCAATTGCAAGGATGACTTTAATTACTATCCTCTAGAGCAAGACTTTCTGAATCCACAGTCCTTAGGGATAATTTCCTCAGACTTCATAGAGCATTTTCTGTCTCAGTCACTCATCTTCCCTGTAGAATTTGCTATTTTAAAATGTTTTCCATTGTTGTGTCTGTCTCTTATATCCAAATAAATAATAAATTCTTTACAGGCAGATGTAATTTCTTATTCTCAAAGAATGGAACACAGTTTATTCATGTTTATTATTTCTGACAATATAAAGAGCATTTTCAGCAAAAACCAAAACTATGAACTACTCTGCAAGGGATAGCAAAACTACATAGGATAGATAATATTTAAATGGTTGGTGAAAAATAAAAGAAGAAAAAAATGCTGATGTTTAAATCAACAATGTTTCAAAAGTGGTTCATATAAAAAAGACAGAGTATAAATACATTATTTCTAGCCACTCTTGAGAATAAAAAGGCTTCCTCAGATTCCCTGAGCACAAAACAAATGAAATGAAACTTGAAATCCAAAAGAAATACTAGGTTCCATATCTGCTTAGTTTGGTTTACTTCAAAGATGCTGTGTGAGATTATATTTGCTGTGGGCAGATAAGATGGTTACACTTCACATGGAAGGCCAGTATGCTGAACTTTGCTTTGGCATAGCATACGAAACAGGAAACTCATCAACTGTGTAAATTCACATTGATATAATTTTCCCCCAGATGGATTGAATTAGCTGATAATAGCAAGCTGCGCTGCTACAGCTCCGGAAACTTTCTGATCTTGTCTCATCTTTATCTGGTCACAGAGATGTCCTGGATTGAGCAAGCGTAGCTCCAGACTTTGTCACAGGAAAAAAAAAAAAAGCATTTAATAAAAATGCGCACCGAAATAGTTGAAACAGAGAATGGTATCTATAAAACATCAAACTTCCTTTATTCTTTATTTTTCGATATTAGAGAAAGGTCGTTCAAAAACGAAATAAGTGACAATGACAAGGCTCAGTTTTTCTTTAAAAGTCGGAACTTTAATAATTCATAAGTGTTTTGATCAAAAAGTAGTCTTTTGGGGTTATTTATAAGACTAATGGGTGCTATTTATGGGCCGAGAGCCATATGTAGTTGTTTAAGTCTTCTTTGAGAAGCCATAAATTCCTCTCTGTTAATGTGACAATTATGACAATAATTTAGTTAATAAAGGAGAAAATCTAGCCTCTTTGTTTCTGTGCTTCTTCCTTCAATTTGATTTTGAGCAATTAATTTAAGCAGTGTTAGGCAACATGTAAGGCAAGATACTTTCTCTTTGACCCTAAGGGTTTTGCTTAAATTATCATAGAGTTGATTTTATATTCTTTGGTTTAACATTTTTTCTAACATATACAACTTTTTATCATTTAAATACTTATTTTCTTACAGTGAAACCATATCTGTTATGCTTTTCACTGAACCTTTGCTTGCTTCTGTAACAGCGATTTCAACAATCTAAAGTGTGAATAATAAGCCTGCTGAAAGATATAATAGATTTTGTTTTCTCCTTCGTCTTTAAATAGAATGCTATGAAAAGAAAAAAAAAAAAAACGGTCTGGGTGCGGTGGTTCATGCCTGGAATCCCAGCACTTTGGGAGGCCAAGGCGGGTGGATCATGAGGTCAAGAGATCGAGACCATCCTAGCCAACATGGTGAAACTCCGTCTCTACTAAAAATACAAAAAATTAGCAGAGTGTTGTGGCAAGCTCCTCTAGTCCCAGCTACTCGGGAGGCTGAGGCCGGAGAATCACCTGAACCTAGGAGGCAGAGGTTGCAGTGAGCCAAGGTCACGCCACTGCACTCCAGCCTGGCGACAGAGCAAGACTCCGTCTCACAAAAAAAAAAAAAAAAAAAAAAAAAGAAAAGCAAAGCAGGAAAAAGTTGCTATGAGTTCTATAAAATCAGACCTTTTTATTAGTTTTTATTTGGAATACATATGGATATAAAAGATGAAATCTATTTGAGCACATTGATAGTTATGATTTATTATATATAGTACTTGGCAAATATTGACCAAAATGCCAAATATGCCTTCTTTCAGTCCTTTCTTATATTTTCCATAATAGATCTTTTTCATAAACTCCATACTGCCTTAATTGTTTATTTACTAACACATTGTATACTATTCAAGTATTAATATAAGTACGGATAATCCTGTAATGCATTGGATATTAAATACATCCGTTTTTTGATGGGCTTTCTTGAAGTTAATTTGCCACTCTTCATTTATTTCCTTTAACCATCTTACCACATTCATCAGACTGTCAGAGTTGAGCTTCTTAGACTTTCCTCTTCTTTCTTTCCATTTACAGTGAAAAGCAAGCAAAGTCAAATCTGCATCACTAAAATTTCATCACATTGCTCTGTGTCTTATTTTCTCATGTGGCCACACAGAAGAAAAGAAAATACTTTGTATGAAGGTTATTCAAGCTTTGAAGACAAGAGTCATACCATCCAATCTTCACAAATGCATTTATAATATATTTTCTGGATACTTTACTATCCTTTTAAATACTGGAGGAATATTTTCCAGTTTGTTGTTTGGAGCCTTTTTAAGTGCAGTGCCAGAATATAACACAACATTCCAGGTACACACAATGAGCACTAAGTTCCATGAGTATAATACCTCATTTGGTTAAAAGTCTGTATTATTTCTAATGGTGCATTTTAACATAACAGGAGCTTCTTAGCATCACCATTTTATTCCTGGTCCATGCTAAAATTGTAGTTTCTAAAACTTCCTAACCTGCCTGTGTGCCTGCTTCCCTCTTTTCCTCTTTCCTTTCTTCCCACTCTCTCTCTCCCTTCCTTTTTTTGCATTTCTTTTTTTATTGTTTCCTCCTTTCTTTCTTTTTCTGATTCCTTCCTTTCTACCTCATGCTACTGAACTAAATTTAGATATTTCTTCTCCTTTTTATTTAATTCAAAATTCTTATCCGTCCTTCTCAACTCTTACAGGGTCTGTCAATAAGCTTAATAGAAATAAATCGGTTTCACAGAAGTCAGGCTAAAAGGGTTAACAGTAAAGACAGATCCTCTGCACTATCTTTTTACCAGGGCCTCCAACATATTATTGCAGTTGGGTTGTTTAGTGTGTCTTGTCCATGTACAGCTGTAACTGGGACTTTCGATCAATATATTCCTATGCTTCTCATTTAGTTCTCTCCCTCTTTCTTTTAAATCCAAGTAGATCTCAAATATAATATGTGGAAACTAAATCTAAAAATGCTTGTATGTCTAAAAATGCCCAGCTTTGCTTTCATATTATGGAGAATGTGGGTTGGCTAGTTTTTTTTTTTTTTCTTCTTCTTCTTTTTTTTAAAAGATTCCACAGCTCGGATGATTTCTGTATTGTCGCTTTATCTCAAGTGTTTAAAGTGTTAAGCCAGATATTTAGAAATCTGACTTTTTCTTTAATCCTTCTCTATACTATATAGCTCTTTTCAATCTAAAATTTATATATGTTATTTATTCAATTACAGTATCTTCTATTTATTGCAAGATTTATCCCCTTTCAGTTTCTATTTTTGTGTTCTTCTACTAGTTTCAAATCAAAACAACTGATATGGTACATAATCATCTCTCTTTTCCTCTTTCATAATTTTTTTTGTTTCTTTATCTATTTGAGCTCTATTCTTGAATGTTTCTTTAACATTATAGATTTTATACAATTTATTTCAACAGTAATACTTCTAATTTTCAAGGTCTATTTATTATTCTTTTTAAAATAGTATTTTTGCCCAGCACCCTCTTCATCTCCTCCAACTTACACTGAGATTTTGTGATGAATTTTTTTTTACATTTTCATTTAAACTTTTCTTCTTAAACTTCTTGTTTCATCAAACATCAAAGGGATTTTTCGTTGCTGTTTTTTTTTGTAGTCTTTGTTCTTCATGATGCATTTTTCTCCTTAATGTGTGGTGTGTGGTGATTCTTGGTGGATCATTAAGGATATGGGATCCTGCCAGAGTAGTGAAGAATGACAAATTATGTTAATTTTTCTAGATGGCTTGTGTGGATTTCCTCCACCACTTTTCAGATAGATTTGTTTCCTGTTAGGCTTACCTCAGGAATGGAAAATGAACTAGCTGCTCTTGTGGAGATGGGAGTAGAGTGAAGAAGGGTTGACCTCGCTGACCGGTGGGGTAGTTTTCTTATATTGTAAATGGAAACAGAACAAGTTCATGAAAAAATTTCAAAAGGGAATTTAAGTTGATGTGTAAAAAGGTTTACATTTTGGTGTTTATTTTGTGGTAATGAGATTCTGCAGATAATGTAGGAGACCATCACTGGCGATAGGTTTAACACATGTTATAGGGTGCCATTGAGCAGTGAGAAGCAATCAAACAGCCATATACCAATAAACATTAAGGTAGAAGTTTAAGATAGATTTTAAACATATTGTTCTGAATAATTTTCTTAAAAACAGACGAGATATGCAAAACAAATGTATTCGTGTACATGAAAAATACATACACACAGAAATTCCAGTAGGCATTTTTCAAAGGTGCAGATGCAAAGATACCTCTATAAGTTCTCTATGGATGGGAAAAGTAAGAATTAGAAACAAGGATAAAAGAGAATAAAATAATGGATAAAAAAAGAAACAAATGCATGAGTGAAAATGAGAGTAGGGCCTTGCAAAGAGAGACAATGCAGTGGAAGGTGAATTTAGAGTATATTTAACTCTCTGCATCCTAGGTTTTGTGTTTACAGAAAAAGGAACAGGAGCTATGCTACTTACTGGGAGGCCCCTAGATGCCACTGTGAGGAGAGATTTACCCTGTATAAGAAATATCCACATTAGAACCCTTAGATCTCCCAGCCCTAACACTGTGGATAGTTCTCTCAGTTTATCTTGAGAGGCATTCACCAGTATGATTTGTTTGTGTGCTTGCTTGTTTGCTTTTTTGTTGCAAAAGCTGGTTGATTGTTACTGTAGCCAGGAACACAGGGAACAGGGCATCTTGCACAGGTGTTCTGTTTATTTTCCCATTTTCCTGCCTGTGTCTTATTCTCTTGCCATTGCTGCTACTGAATCTAAGCCCAGTGTCTCTAGTAGCTTCCTCAGCATTTCTATGTGGTAGCCTCCTTTGCTCTTTTCCCCACTGATGTACTCAAACTTACTTTCTGTCTCAAAGAAATTTGTTCAAAACTTTTGCCTTCTGAGGACCACCGCTCTATCCCAACAATCCTCCGTACAACATCATTCTCTTTTATATTATGAACTTATTCAAGTGTACTTTGATTTCACTACAACCTAAAGGAGGGGGCTGAACTAGTCAGCATGTCCTTTTGAACCATAAGTCAGGCAAACATTATTCCTTCCTGATTTTTTTCGTGCCAGTTGCAGTTTCCCTGTTAGTTAGAAATCCAAATTATATAATCCTAAAGCCCATACCTCACATTTCATTTCCCTTATCTTTCCTCCCATCCTCCCCAATAAAACGGAATAAAGTTTTGCTTCCTCTATGCCTTCCTTTGTCCATGTCTGTATGTATCAAGTGTCAGGAATAAATCATGGACTTTAAAATGTCTTACAGAGAGGATCCTTATCTTAGACACGGAAGAACTCTTCCCAAAACAAATACTAGTTGCTTGAGCACACTTTGTGTGGGCACTTAGGTTAATTTCTTCCCATCTTTGGGGACACAGAGTGGTGATTCTAGGGAAAGCTAATTTTTCAGCTAATCGTCACTCACTTTGTACATCCACCAGGCTTCTTCCTACAGAACAATAGCTTATTCAGCCTCAAATATTTTTTCCAAAGAGACTTTCTAAGAGACTTGTAACACTTCTGAAGAATAGATGTCTGGTCAAGTATCTGAAGGGGCTAAAGTAAGAGGAGCAGTGACACTGGAAACAAAAATTACCACTCCCTTTACTCCCCCTATTGTCAAATTTAAAATTAAGGCAAAATTAGATTTTTTTGTTATTTAATCTACTATTTTTCCTTAATCAGTGACTCTACAAGTCCCCAAGTAAAAATGACAGATTTTAGATATATATTGTTTTAGATTTCCTTTAAATGGATCTTTCTGTCTCTTTCTCACTTTCTCTCTTTTACGTTCTATTCTACCAGATTGGAAGAAAATATATATATCACTGAGAAAAATGTGCAGCTAGATAGTTCTTATGCATCAAGGATTTTAAAACTGACAAGGGCTGCTTGGGTCCTCTGGTCATATTATATTTGTGTTTTTCACACATTTCTGTGAAAAAAAAAATTGTATCATTAAATAAAATGAACACCACCTTCAACTTTTATGGGCTTTTCCCTCCTCTCAGATTATTAGAGGCATGTCTTTATTAACAAAATCAACAACAAAAAAATCTAAATACTCTATGGAATTTATGCTACTTCCCAATGTCCTTCTGTTTATTAATTTTTTAAAGAAACAGTTCTTCATGATGAAGTATATACCAATGCATGCCATTGGTTAGCCTTGACATTAGTAATTGCTTCTCTACACGTGCTTTTCCTTTTCTTAATTTAGGGAGCTATAGTCTTCATCAAAGTGTGCTCAGGGTTAAGATTCAGTAATTTCACTTTGAATGATAACTTTTGTTCTAGCAGCTGAGCTCCATTTACTCCTTTGTCTGCCAAAGACAGCATTTTTGTCCCTCATCCATGGCATACTTTTCTCTTTTTTCTTCTTCATTTACCTTTTTCTTTTTTGTAGGTTAAATTGGCTCCACATTCTTAGCTTAATGAGTATACACAAGTTGGCAGGCAAGAAAGAGCCATTTATCTAGAGAGCTGAGCCAGCTGTGAGGTATAGAGATTTTATTTCATCTTGAGGAAATAAAACAAAAATACTAATATTATGCTAATCCTCACATTCACATTGGAAGCATTTTAGGAATCTTTGGAAAATATGGAATAGATTAGGGACACTATTAAAACTAGTAGCATACTGCAGTGGTAACACCTATTATGAAGTAGTATCCAAAAGAAGCAAGGTAGCTTGTTGGAATCTGTATCAAAAAGAAGATATTAAAGAAATTGGCCATTGTAGAATAATTCTGGTTTTTTTGTTTTCTATGCTTCCTCAGGAAATATACTTTCAATTTTTAACTTAAAAAGACGTTACAAATATAGCTACATAATTATTAGAAATGGGTCTCAGGGTTAAGGAGGGCTTATTGGAACAGTCTGTTTTAGCTACCAAAGTGACTTTTGCTTCTTTTGAAGTTATGTTTTATAATGAGTTTTTATTATGATGATTTAAGAGGAAATATTTCTATTTTAGATGTAAAATAAAGACAAGTCAAAAGAGATATAAACAAAAGGAAATGAAAATAATTAATGTGACTGATCTAAGACAAATACATAATCAGAAATGGAAAATAACTCAAAAGTTATAGCTAACTCTAGCATTATTCATACATTCATTTTATATAAAAATGATGTAGGGCTATTACCTATACTCAAGAAGTAACTAGCTAGCTACATATTTTAAACCTCTTGAAACAAAGCGTGCTATTTACAATATCCAACTCATGAATGGTTACTCCAAACCTCTCTTCTTATTATGACATTTACATTATGCCCAGGTTACTATAAAACCAGTCACTGAAACAAAAAATATGAAGTCTGTCTTGAGGGACTTGGACAACCTGACAAACCATATTTTCATATTCCATTCTTTACTTTTGTGCATTCATTGAATCTAAGTTAACACTGAATTTATGCAAAGTCTTAACAACATGTTAGAGCTTTAAAAAAAAAAAAAAACTGAATAACTTATCCCACTACAGTCTCTGAGCATGTAACACCCACACTTTTCTTGGTATCATCATTGAATGCACATACATTTGTTACCCAAACAACTGCAATATATTCACCACCAGTACTTTTGTTGATGGCTAAGACATTAGTCCTCAGGAGACCGTTACATTAATTTCATGTATGTGCTAATATTATAGGAAGTTATTTTGATCTTCTTCAAATTGCATCTAAGTTAGATATAGCAACTACCTATATTTCTTCCTCCTCTTCTCAGGCTGAATTTAGCTATGCATTCATGGCACTGTTTCAGAACCTCCATGGCATAATATTCTAAGCAGTCAATACTAATTATTGAATACTTGGGGTGAAATATAAACTCTTTGAGAGTATTGCTACAAATAATGGAGATTGCTGGGGTTGGGGGTAAGGATATGAATAATTTCTGTTTAATATAAAGTTAATAATTCTGAGCTGTTCTCCATGACTCTGTTTCCCAGCTTCCTCTGCATTCTTACCCTGCTTCAATGAACTATGGTTTCCACAGTGAACTGTTAGAGACTATGCCACTCATAGGGGAGTGTACACATTGCTGGATGAGAGATGAAGAAAACCAGCTTTTTAGGACAAATTCTTCTTTCTGGGCCTCAGCTTCTCTTCTGTTAATATAGGGACTCTACAGCGAGTTCCCAAATAAGCCTACAGTTCCACAAGCTAATGCCAAGGCAATGGCATCTGGAAGGTGTTGTGAGTTAGGCTCCAAGTTTTTTACCTCTGGAATTTTAATACTCTTCTGTATTTTCATGGTTTTGTCACGTGAAGCATTCATGGAAACAACTGTGTATTTAATAAAAATGCATCATAGTTATTATAAGGATACTTCTGGTAATCTGACCACCCATTTGTGGTGAAACAAAGATGCTTTTACTCCTACACTGCTCTCCTGAAGGGAAACTATGCCTGTGGGTAATAAAGTTGTATAATTTTGATAAATTTTTATAATAATTGTTTTGAAATATATATTCATGTCAAAGTAGTTCTGTCTATACACAGGCAAGACATACTGTGAATTAAAAGCATAGAACAGATAAATTCAACTTCCAAAGACCTGTATTGCTTTCTTGTTTCTTCCTTCTCATCCATAGAAAATAAGCTTTTGTTCTTGAATTCTGAAGGTAAAAGAAAGTGGAAAGGTTTGCACTTAATTTTGATCAAATGTTTCCTGTTATTTGGACTTCTTGATGGGAAAATATATGTGATATGCTATCAAAGAAAAAGTAAAGCATAAAAATTACACCTGTAAAAATAAATGTGTAGAAAAAAGCCATAAAGAAAATAGATCAAATGTAACAGCAGCTGTCAGTGGAGTTACTGGGGGCAGGGGGGGTTGTTTTTTCTTTTCTCTTTTCTGTATATTTCAAATTTGCCTCAACTAATATTTCTAATATTCTTCAATAATTACAAATGATTAAAGTGAGCTATAAATAATGCCTTAATAAATACACTTAAGAGGGCCTTATGTAAAGAGTCTGAGGGGTTCTTAAAAAATGAACAAGGGGGGATGTCTGTAACCTGAGTTTCTGGGTTCCTTCAGTTCACACCACAAGCATCCTCTCTTGCACAGACAGAATTCTAGTCAATGTTCTTTCTCATCACTCCAGATATGTGGCATTTCTTTAAAAGCCAGGTTCAAATGTACTGTACCTAGGAAGCTTTCTTTCATATTTCGACTCACCCCTTCACTAACCCTATTCAGAGGCACCATCTTATTCTTTTATGTCCCTGTTACACTCTTCTAATTTTCTCATACGTTTATTATAACATTCTGCTGACTTGTAGAATTTTTTTTGTTTGCTTACTTCATTACTTCAAAAAATTAAAAGTTTCTTCTAGTTACTGATCAAATTTTATTCATTTTTTCACACCTCAAGTTTATTTAATATTTATTTGTTTCTCACCATATTGTTTAGAATTCTCATTTTATATGAGGGTTCACACTATTTCCCTCACAATATTAAAAAAAGAGAATGGAGAAACCAGCAAAATTGAAAATTTATGTTTTCTAACTAAATCCTACCCTTTTAAAAAAATAAATAATAGACTTGAGCCGTGAAGTTCTAGCCACTCCCTCAGTCTTCTTTTACTGCGTTATCAATTTTTTTCTTCTTTAATGGCATATGTGTTAAACCAGTATGCTTGTCTTATTTGTCTTATATAGTTCTCTTACTAAAAGGCCTAGATAGATAGCCATTTTAAATGTTGATTAAAAAATCACAGCAATATAAATGCTAATGAAGCCTTCTCTCAGAAAGTAGTACCAATAAATAGTAGGAGTGAATAAAAAGTTTGGCAATACAAGGGGGACTTTCCTGGATGGTGACTCTGAGTTTATTCAAGCTATGAAAATAAGGAGACCTTATTATCATGTTCTAAGACTTTGCTTAGATCAATGATGAGACATCTACTGCAGGGAATATTAAGATTCTCATGACAGCATCGTACAACACATTTAATCTTATGGAAGGCAGCTTTTACAAAAACTTTTACAACTTCCTTAGAAACTGTAGCATTGTAATCAAATACCACTTAGCCAAATGTATCCCAGGCATTCAAAGATTGTGATACTATATTTTACACCTAATGATTAAGTAGTTCCGAGAGCACTGGGAAAACTGAAGAAAGTCACAGAAAAGTCATTATTTCTTGTCTTGGATTGGACTTTTTTAAATAACAAGATTGGAATACTTTAGTGTTTGGGAGGCATATACAGTAAATCCATGCTTTAATTCTGGCTGTTTAAACTTTATAATAATACAGGCAATATTTCTTAAACTCTTATTTCCGTTTTGCTACTATTTATATTTATTTTAGTTAAAATTGACATAAACTAATAGTAAGATGTTTCGGCTAATTTTTCTTTCTTTCTTTTTTAAACAACAAAACTCAGTTTTCCAAATTAAATAAATTGCAGCCTCTTTGTGATTTTTTTGTTGATTTTTAAAAATCTTTAATTTTATTAACATTTTTTCAAATTTTTACTCTGTAGAATAGGGCTTTATGGCATCAGTACAATTCTCTGAACATCCTTTTTTAAGTACAAAATGTGTTATAGCAATTAAAATGATAATGTAATAGGGTGGTTGTGCTTCAAAACAATGTGTTGGGAAAACAATCTCAGACCAATTTCTGTTATCTGTTTCCTACTTTGACTTCTGATTATTCCACTTTTGTTATGATATTTATTTTATTTAGTAAGGTTTCTTAATTTAAATTTTACAGTTATATTTACCAATTTAATGAGCTTTGACAAATGTATAAAGTAGTATAACCACCACCATAATCATGATATAGAACACTTCCACCTTGCCAAAAAGTCCCTTTTATGCCCCCTTTCAGTGAAACCCCTGCTCCAACTATTAACATCTGAAAAATACTATTCTGCTCTTTCATTTTGCCTTATCTGGAATTGCATACAAATATAATTTAAAATTTTATAATAATTTTAGCTAGTTTATTGCACTTAGTATAATAACTCTAAGACTGATTCAAGTATTTATGTGTATACATAGCTTGTTTTTTTTTTTAATTGCAAAATAGTATTTCATGTTATGAGCAGCCCATATTTTTAAAGAAATTCTTTCTTTGGCATTTGAATTATTTCTATTGTGTTTTTACTTTGGAGTCTTATGAATAAAACTGCTATGGATATCTCAGTACAAGTCTTCATGTTGAAAAATATTTCATTTCTCTTGGATAAACAGAAAGATATAGGATTGCTGCATTTAGCATAGGTATAAATTAAAATTTATTTTTAAAACGCTGAAGTATTTTTTAAATAGGTGTATCATTTTAGTTCCCACCACCAATGTGCAATATCTCCAGTTGCTTCATGACCTTATTTAGTGTTAATATCATTTAGTATTGTCAGTCTTTTTAATTTTATCATTAGTGTGTGTAGTAACATCTGTGTGTAGCTTTTAATTAGTCTGTCCCTAGTGACTAATGATGTTGAGCATCTGTGTATGCGCATATTTCTCATGTGTACATCTTTTTACAAGAGTTGTCTATTCAAATATTTTGTTCGTGTATTTATCCGGGTGATTGTCATCTTAATATTGAGTTGCAAATGCTCTTATATCTGGATACGTGTCCTTTTTTAGATTTATGTTGTGCACATACTTTCTTCCAGTTAATAGCTTGTATTATTTATTTCTGAAAGTTTATTAAAAGTACAAGAATGTTTTCAGTTTGAATTCCAATTTATTTTAATTTTTTTTTTTTGTATTTCATGCTACTTTTTTTTAACCTAAGAAATCTCTTCTTAACCCAAGATGATTAAGACTTTTTTCCTCTGTTTTCTTCTAGAAGTTATGTAGTTTTAACTCTAACATTTATGGCTACATTATTTTTGTTATTTTTTTTTTTTTTTTGAGACGGAGTCTCACTCTGTCACCAGGCTGGAGTGCAGTGGCGTGATCTCGGCTCACTGCAACCTTTGCCTCCCCGGTTCAAGCGATTCTCCTGCCTCAGCTTCCTGAGTAGCTGGGACTACAGGCGCGCGCTAATTTTTGTATTTTTAGTAGAGACAGGGTTTCACCATGTTAGCCAGGCTGGTCTCAATCTCCTGACCTCGTGATCCGCCCGCCTTGGCCTCCCAAAGTGCTGTGATTGCAGGCGTGAGCCATCGCGCCCAGCCGCGACATTACGTTTTGAATTAATTTTTGTACGTGGTTTGTGATAAAATTCAGTTTCTCTCTCTCTCTCTCACTTTCTCTCTCTCTCTCTCTCTCTCTCTATATATATATATATAGATAGATAGATAGATAGATAGCATTTGGATAGCCAATTGTTCACTATCATTTGTTGAAAAGGCCATTATTTCCCAAAGTGAACTGTTTACCTAGCCCTTTTTCAAAAACCAGTTGAATATCTCTCTCTCTCACTCTCTCTCTATATATACACACACACCCATATATGTATATACATATATGTATATACTAATATGCACATATATATTACACATATCTATGTGTATATGTGTATATACACATAAATGTATATATTATTTATATGTGTTATATATTATACACACATGATGCATATATACACACACATATTATATATATGTATTTTGAGACTTTCCATTTTGTTTTAATAATCTTCATGTCTTTTCTTATTTCATTATCATAATTTTTTTGATTACTGTAGCTTCAAAATACCCCAAAATCAACAGTTTGGTTGCCTCTACTGCTTGACTCTTTGTGAATAATGCTTCTATGAACATGGGTGTAACAAATAGCTGTCTGAGTTTTTGCTCTTAATTATTTTGTATATACCCAGAAGTTGAGTTGCTGAGTCATATGGTAATTTTTAAATTTTTATTTAAGAACTATCCTACTGTTTTTCATAGCAGCTGCATAATTTTACATTCCTACCAACAACGCACAAGGGTTCCAATTTCTCTACATCTCACCAACATTTCTCATTTTGTTTGTTTGTTTCCTTGTTTATTTTGATAGTAGCCATTCTAATGGGTATGAGGTGATATCTCATTGTGGTTTTAATTTGCATTTCATTAATGATTAGAGATGTTGAGTATCTTTTCATGTGCTTAGTGGCCGTTTGTACATCTTCTTTGAAGAAATGTTTATTCAAGTCTTTTGCATATTTTTAGTAAAGTTTTTTGTCATGTAGTTATTTATATGTTTTATATATTCATCAAATATATGATTTACAAATATCTCATATATTTACTATGAAACTTTATTTAGTAGGTTGATTTGTCCTTTGAAAATACAAGATTTTTCATTTTGATGTAGTATGATATATCTATTTCTTTCTTTGCTACATATGCTGTTGGTATCATATCCAAAAAAATTATTGCTGAATTCAATGTCAAAAAGATTTTCTTGTGTGTTTTCTTATAAAACTTTTTATAGCTTTACCCCTTACATTTAGGTCTTTGATCAACTTTGAGTTGATTTTTGCATAGGACGTAAGGTAAGGTCCAACTTACTCTTTTTCATGTGGATATCCAGTTTTTCCAATGCCATTTTTTGAACAGACTGTCATTTCCCTATTGAATACTATTGGCATGGCACTGTTGTCAAAATTCATTTGACTATTTATATAAAGGTTTACTT
Organism: Homo sapiens; assembly: GCF_000001405.40. Classification (NCBI taxonomy): domain Eukaryota; kingdom Metazoa; phylum Chordata; class Mammalia; order Primates; family Hominidae; genus Homo; species Homo sapiens. Next base: position 105,890,033 of record NC_000005.10, on the reverse strand, counting down.
CTGGGCTCTCTATTTTATTTGGCTGGTCTATATATCTTCTTTTATGTCAATACCATACTTTTATAAATATTGTAGCTTTAAGTTAAATTTTGATATCAGGAAGTGTTAGACCTTCAACTTTGTTCTTTCAGTTTTTCTTTGGCTATGTGGGGTTCTTTGAATTTCCATAAGAATTTTGGAGTGAATTTTTCTATTTATGCAAAATACTTTGCTAGAATTTTGATAGATATTGCATTATATCTGTAGATTGCTTTGCATAGTATTTACATCTTAAGAATATTGTGTCTTCCAACCCATGAAGCTGGAGCACTGTCTTTCCATTGATTGGTGTCTTTAATTTTTTTAGTAACAATTTATAGTTTTCTGTATAAAAGTATTTTGCACACTTAGTTAAGTTTATTTCCCAGCAGTTCACTATTTTTGATGCTATTCAAAATTAAATTGATTTCTTAAGTTCTTTTTGAAATTATTCCATATTTGGGTACAGAAATGCAACTGATTTTTTTGGTGCTGATTTTGTATCCTGAAACTTGGCCAAATTTATTAATTTTAACAGTTGTGTGCGTGTGGAAACTTTCTGCATATAAGATCATGTTGTCTGTGAACAGAGATAATTTTACTTCTTCCTTTCCAATTTGGAGGCCATTTATTTCTTTGTCTTGCCTAATTGCTTTGGCTTGGACTTCCACTATTATGTTGAATAGAAGTGGCAAAAGCAGGCATCTTTGTCATGTTCCTGATCTCAGTAGAAAAGCTTTCATTTGTTCACTATTGAGTACGATGTAAGCTGTGGGAGCACTTGAGTTTTAATCTAAATAAGTAATTTCCTCTCTTGGTTTTTAAATTATTTCAATGTATTTTTATTAGGTCTTGAGTACCCCTTTAAAATTAACGCTTCTTAATTTTTAATATCACTTTCAGGAATATAGAAGAAAATTTAAAATATGTATTAGATATACTGTAATTATAAGACATTTCAAGAAATTTTGAGATTTTAAAGTTACATTAAGGAGCAAATAACCATGCCTTGCTTTGTAACTGGCAGTCTTATTCACTAAAACCTGATAAACACCCAAAGTCCAATGGTATACAGTATATGATTTTGCCCTTTTAAGAGATATTTTGAAACTGACATAATAATCTTAAACCCCTCTCAATATTTGCCAGGTTGTAGCTTTCAGTTTAGTTGTGTTTTTGTTTTGTTTGATAAATACTGAAAAATAATGCAAATATTAATAAAATAGTATATTAACTGGGAAATACCTTTAACATTATAGCAATTGATTGAAAATACAGAATATCAACCCTTTCAAAATCTGCATGTTCACATAAACTCTACTTTTTCTTTTTTTATTTTCTTTCTTTTCATTTTTTTTTAGTAAATGGTTACCTGTGAGTTTTTTTTTTTTAATTTCTAAACTAGATCAAGAAATTGACATATTCCAAATTAATGTATTACAAGATGTCATGGTCTACAATTTTGAAATGAGGCGTTTAAAATAAAATATACTGCATGGGAATTCATTTCTTGGAGATTTGGACTAAATCTAGTGGTTCTTCCAAGTTTTAAACTTAATACTATTTTACTTTAGCTCAGAAAAAAACCAAACTTGTACACTTGTAAACTGCCAATATTTATATGTTTAATTCCATTGTTTTATATTACAATGATAAAACTATTTGAGAAGGCATGAGCTGACAATATTTACATGTTTAATTCCATTGTTTTATATTACAATGGTAAAACTGTTTGAGAAGGCATGAGGAGGAGGCCAGAATAAAACATTAAAATTCAAACAGATTTTTTTTTTTTTTGAAACGGAGTCTCACTCTGTCTCCAGGCTGGAGTGCAGTGGCACAATCTCGGCTCACTGCAACACTGCCTCCCGGGTTCAAGTGATTCTCCTGCATCGGCCTCCCGAGTAGTTGGGACTACAGGTGCCCGCCACCAAGCCTGGCTAATTTTTGTATTTTTAGTAGAGGCCGGGTTTCACCCTGTTTGCCAGCATTGTCTCAATTTCTTGACCTCGTGATCCACCGGCCTTGACCTCCCAAAGTGCTGGGATTACAGGCGTGAGCCACCACACCCAGCCTCAAAGGAATATTAAACCATGTATTTTGTAGCCACAATTGATTATAAACTCCAGAGGACTGAGCTCATGTGTTTGGGAATCTCAGGACAGAGGAAAGCACAATGATGGAGCAGCCAAAAAGGCAGTTCTGGAATTTAATGGTTGTTTTCTAAATTTTTGAAGCCAAGTAATGGTGAACCCTTGGTTATTTTCCTTTATTGTGACTTAAACTATAAATTCATTGATATAGTTTAAAATATTGATTTTGAAATAATCTCCAGAAATATTCAGGGACAGTGATATTATATCATCTGGTAGCCCTTATTTGGTATTTCCTCGGGGAAAGACAGTTAAATGCAACTGTGCAGCAACAAGATGCCAATGTATAGAACAGAAAACAAACCTCAGTTACAACCTGTTGTATTGGCCTAAGTATTTTTAACCAAAATGAATAGCCTATTTGTGAAGTTAAAAGTAAGATTAACAGAAAATGTATTTTTCTTCAATAAAATTGATGCCAACAAATAAAACTGATTATTTAATTCTTTAAAACTGAAAATTCAGTTAAATAAACATCTAATATTTTTGGACCCTGTCAAATAGTAAAAGCATACTTCCTAGTATTTACATTCTGTGTATAAATTTACTACTTTTCCATATCTTTCTTTTCTCCTATCTCCCTTCCTCCGTTTTGTCTTCCTTTTCTCCGTTTCCTCCTTTTCATTTTTTTATGTTAAAAAAACCGCAGTGGCATGTTGAATTGGATTATGCCAAACTACATTCTCATATATATCAGACATTAATCTATAATTATCCTAATTTTATATTCGAATCTTAAAATATTAAATAATGATATATTGTAATATATTAACATAATAAATAACAAAAGTATAATTTGGTTAGCATACCAAATTAATTATATGTTTGTTGTTTATTATATTATATTATAATATATCATTATTTAATACCTTAAGATTAGAATATAAAATTAGGATAATTATAGATTTGCTATTATATTAATATATTATAAAATATAACTTTTTATTTATCTATGAAAACTTTAGATTAAATTTTCTTTGTAACATATACTTTCACTTTCATGTACATATATATATGTAAGCAACAACTGTATGATGTAAGTAAATCATCTGGTGCTATTGTCTCTATCAGAGGCTAAAAATCAGTAAGACAAGAGACTTGTGCATAGGCCAAATGACAAACAAAAATCAGAGAACTTGAACACTTATTTGATTACTATTTTCTATTACTCCTAAAGAATCAACACGATGCATTCTGAAATACGGGTTAATTCTCATTTCTTCTCTGGAAGTGATTGCTTGGCTTGCTCTGCTCCCACAATTATAACCTCTAGCTACTTTTTGCCTGCCAGTCCTCAGCACTACCTCCCATAGGATGCCATCCTTCAAACTTTGAGATCAGCTTCCCAATCTTCAGGTCCTTAGAGTTTCCTCCATCCTCCCATTCCACCTCTTCCCATCATATGCAGTTTGCCTCTTCCTTCAGGTCTTTCATTCAGCACACCCTCATCTTCTTCCTGAAGCTCATCCCCCAAACAACCTTACACCCACTTATCACACAAAATCCAGCCCTTTCTTCTGGGGCCACATTGTTCTTTGCATGTCCAGGATCCTAATTCTTAGTGCCAACCTTAGTGCCAGTCCTAAAAGCATTGTGCCTATCTTTAGGTCTCTGTCCCCTGCCTGTTGGTCTGTTGTTTTCATGCCCATTTTTTCAAGCCCTATTGCACTGTTTTTCACTCCTCTTCTTCCTCCTTCTCCTCCTCCTTCTTCTTCTGCATTTGTCAATGTGATGGTTGGGAAAAATCTTTTCCAAGTTTTTCTAAACTTTACTACCTGTACTCTTCATCTCTAAAAGAAATGAAGATATAACTTTTCAACTCTAATTTCCACAATGTGCATCTCTCTGAAGAATGATATGTAGAAGGATATAGAGAAGGGTGAACTTGACTTTTTTTTTGTCTTTGTAATTGTGCTCTCTTCAAGGGGTGTGTAAACTGTAAACCACAGGAGGAGTTATGGAGTGCAGGAGTCAAATAGGACACTTTTGCACAGAATCGGTTGGCTGGGAGTTATGGGTAAGATATCTATCCATGGAATGAGAGTATATTCCAGGACATGTCATTGTAACCATGGTGGCAGACACATGAGATGTTTAATTTGTCCAAAGTCTTGGCAAAATCTATCAGTATGGTACATAACAAATGACTAAATTTTGAGAACACTGGTAAAGTAGAAATATGGAGCTTTGAATAAGACAAATTAAGGTTCAGATGAAAGCTCTGTCACTAACAATAAGGTATAGATTTGGTTATTTCATTTCACTAAGTTTTAATTTCCTTCTTGTGGTAGAACTTCTATCACTGTGAGCATCATGAGGGTATTTGAAGAAAAACCATTAAATTAAGTACCCAGCACATAGCAGGCATTCCATACATATTAGCTCCCTTCTCCTCAGTCATCTCTCTACCCTACTAAGCACCTTAAATACATGTAGTCATGCATTGCTTAACAGTGATACATTTAGAGAAACGTGTCATTAGTGATATCATCATTGTGTGTAGCTCATAGAGTGTACTTACACAAACCTAGATGGTATAGCCTACTACACACCTAGGCTATACAGTATAGTCTATGGCTTCTAGGCTATAAACCTGTGCAACATAGTGCTGTACTGAATACTGTAGACAATTAAAACACAGTGGTGGGCCGGGTGCCGTGGCTCACACCTATAATTCCAGCACTTCGGGAGGCTGAGGCGGGTGGATCACGAGGTCAGGAGTTCGAGACCAGCCTGACCAATATGGTGAAACCCTGTCTCTACTAAAAATACAAGAATTAGCCAGACATGGTGGCACATGCCTGTAATCCCAGGTACTCAGGAGGCTGAGGCAGGAGAATCACTTGAACCCAGGAGGCAGAGGTTGCAGTGAGCCAAGATCACACCATTGCACTCCAGCCTTGGTGACAGTGAGACTCTGTCTCAAAAACAAACAAACAAACAAACAAACAAATAAACCAGTGGTATTTGTCTATCTAAAACTATCTAAACATAGAAAAGTAACAATAAAAATATAATATAAAAGATAAAAAATTCTACACCTGTGTAGGACACTTAGCTCACTGCAGCCTCCATCTCCCAGTCTCAAGCAATCCTCCTGACTCAGCCTCCTGAGTAGCTGGAAATACAGGGGCATGCCACCATGACCAGCTAATTTTTAAAAAAAATTTTTAGTAGAGGTGATGTCTTGCTGTGTTGCTCAGGCTAGTCTCAAACTCTTGAGCTCAAGAAATTCTCCTGCCTCAGCCTCCCAAAGTGCTAAGATTACAGACGTGAGCCACCATGCCCAGCCAACTTTATATAAAATTTTCTTTCTTCAAAAATAAATTAACTGCAGCTTACTATAACTGCTTTATAAACTTTTTTACTCTTTTAAAATAACACTTAAGACAGAAATACATTGGGGAGTTGCAAAATATATATTTTTATTTATACTTTATATATATTTAAATTTGTTTATATCTTTATATATATATTATAAGGGTGTAGAGTATCCTTATTCTACAAGCTTTTTCTATATATAATTTTGGTTTTACTTTTTAAACTTTTTTGTTAAAAACTAAAGCACAAACAGACACTTCAGCCTAGGCCTACACAAGGTCATATATGTATGCTGTCATAATATAGTTGTTTTCCTCCTCCAGGCCTTGTCCCACTGGAAGGTCTTTAGGAGAAATAGCATGCCTGGAGCTGCCATCTGTGATAACAATGCCTTCTGAAATACCTCCTGAAGGATGTATTTGAGGCCATTTTACAGTTAACTTTTTATATAAGTAGGACTACACTCTAAAATAACAATAAAAATATATATAGTAAATACATAAACCAGTAACATAGTAATTTATTATCAATAACAAGTGTTAGGTACTGTACATAATTGTCTGTGCTGTACTCTTATGCAACTGGCAGTACAGCAGGTTTGTTAACACCAGCATCACCACAAACACTGGAGTAATATGTTCTGCTACAACATTACCAGGGCTATGACATCACTAAGTGATAGGAATTCTTCATCTCCATTATTGATTTTATGGGACCACTGTCATATATGAGGTCTGTCGTTGACCAAAAAGTCATGATGTAGTGCATGACTATACACACACACACACACACACACACACACACACATATATGTATATACACACACAGATGGTCCCTGACCTGGAGTGTTTTGACTTAGTATTTTTTGACTTCTCAATAGGTTTATCAGGACATAGCCCTACTGTAATTTGAGGAGCATCTTTATGATGGTTCTGATTCAAGCTGAGATTTTTTTTTTTACTTTACCATGAGTTTATCAGGGTATTAAATGCATTTTTGATTTATAATATTTTTGACTTACAGTGGATTTATTGGGACATAACCCCATCATAAATGGAGGACCTTCTCTGTGTGTGTGTGTGTGTGTATGTGTGTGTGTGTGTGTGTGTGTGTGTGTGTGTGCAGTATACAAAAATTATATAGTGTGAGCCACCACGCCCTGCTAATTTTCATATTTTTAGTAGAGACGGGGTTTTACCATGTTGGCCAGGCTGGACTCAAACTCCTGACCTCAGGTCATCCACCCGCCTCGGCCTCCCAAAGTGCTGGACTTACAGTTGTCATGAGGAAAATATGTGCTTACTTAGTGCAATTTATAGGCATGTTTAACTTGCCTCTGGCAAGATTTATATGAAAAATCTTTAAAGCAAACCTGTTTTTCTGGCTTTTGTTTACAGAAACAAAACCTCTCTGAGGACAATACCTTGTGAGAGAAGCTCATTATGGAAGCTGCTAGAGGAAAGGGAATCAATGGTTCTACAAAACTAGGAATGGAAACAAACATTTCCAGGACCTCTAGGGAACAGAACCTTGTATCATCATCTATAGTGGCTATTTGGACAGAGGCAGGGCCTCTTGGGAAATCATCTGTGAGGTACACTTAGGGAGAGTGTGCCGGGACTGTGCCCACACCAGCTGCACCTTCAATTGCATTAGAATAAGATACCTTTTTCTACAGGTTGTAGCCAAACTAATTTTTTGTTGTTGTTGTTGTTTTGGGTTTGTTTTTTTTTTTTTTTTTTTGAGATCTAGTCTCCATCTGTTGCCCAGGCTGGAGTACAGTAGCGTGATCTTGTCTCACTGCAACCTCTGCCTCCTGGGTTTAAGGCATTCTTGTGCCTCAGCCTCCCAAGTAGCTGGGACTACAGGTATGAGCCACCATGCCCGGCTAATTTTTGTACTTTTAGTAGAGACAGGGTTTCACCATGCTGGCCAGGCTGGTCTCGAACTCCTGACCTCAGATCCACCTGCCTCGGCCTCCCAAAGTGCTGAGATTACAGGCATGAGCCACCACAGCCGGCCCAAGCATAAAAATTAATGGCCTGATGAGGGGAAGCAGTCCTCAACTCTTCTAGTATCCAACCCTGCCACTAACTGTAGAACTACACAGGCATTTTGGAAAACTCCCCAAAACTAATTGAGCACAGAGAATTAGTAGTGCCATTTTTCAGATGCCATGTGGACTTTGACAGTAATTATATCAGTATTACCATTATGGAGACTTGAAACTCTTTTTCTAATTTTTGATAATCATATAACCTCACCTTCCCTAGATCTTTGAACAACTTCCCAAATGACTGTATTAAAACGGTTGCTAGGGAAAAAATATCATTTCATTTAAAGAAAATAATATATTGCAGTTTTCTTGCACATCTCTGCATGATGTGACTTGCAAAGTATCTAGAGAGGTTTTCACTTTTTGGATAATTAAATTGCTTCCTTGTTTGTATTCTATTATATATATATTCTGTTTATATATATGTTCTCTATATTTAATTCATAGATATTTCCCTATATATACATATATGTGTATATATATATATACACATTCTGAAAGACTTGACATGTTTATATTAAATGATTGTTTTGCAGATTATTGTACTCATGAATTCTTAAACATGTAAGGAAAAAACATTCAGTGAAGGAGGATATCCCACAGAGAAATGAATTCATAGAATATACATATGAAGTTTATAACACAAAATTATATTATACAGGTGGATTCAAAACTATCCTTGGTTCAACTTCCAGTTTCTAGTTTAAAATTCCATGATGTTTTCAGTAAAATTAAAATATTTAATCTAGATTACTTGAGAGACAAACATGCTGTAGAAAGCCAAGTCGTTATTGACAAAAAAATTAACTTCAGTCTCTGAACTGCTGAATGTAAGCACGCTTTAGTTCACAGTTTTGTTTTAACATATCACCAGATTTTTTCCTCAAATATAATATTTCCAAAAAGTAAGGAGTCCTGCAATATAATAAAAAAAGATGCAGTATTATCAGATATCTGTATATAAGTTTTTACCAAGGAAATATTTAGAAATTCTCTTAATAGTGTGTAATTTATCTTCTTTACTAAAATCATTTGCTATTACATTTAAATATAGCTTATTCAAAATAAAAATTAATAAAAACTATGACAAAATAATTTTGTAATAAGGTGAATCAGGTTAGTTGCTTGCCAGTTGTTTGATCCTAGGCAATATATTAAAATGTCTAATTATCAGTTATGTCTTCAGTGACAATTCTGAAGGAGGATATTCTACATCATAGTTCTAATAAGAGGATAAAATAGTATGTTGGCCATAACACCCCAACTGTAAGCAAAAATGGTCATTATAGTTCACTATTTTATTAATATTATACTTAGAAATTTCCGTGTATACACAATCAATGAATAAACCATCAGTTAATCTTATCTACAGTAGCCCCCCCCATCCCCCGGCTTATCTTTAGGGGATACATTCCAAGACTCCCAGTGGATGGTTGAAACCATGAATAGTAACTGAGGCTTAAATATAATAAGTTTTTTTCTATACATACACACCTATGATAAAGCAAAATTAGAGAAACTAAGAAACTAATAACAATAACTAATAATATAGAAAATTATAACAATATGCCAAAATCATTAGTCTTGTTTTGCTGGTCATTTGCTAAGTAAAATGAGGGTTACTTGAACACAAGCCCTGAGATATTGTGATAGCCAGTCCGACAATGCAGATGGCACTAAGTGACTAGCAGGTGGGTAGCAGATATGGCATGAATACACTGGACAAAGGGATGATTCAGATCCTGGGTAAGATGGCGTAGGGCGGCATAAGATTTCATCACAATACTCAGAATGTTGTGCAGATACTCAGACGAACAATGTTGTGCACAATACTCGGAATGTTGTGAATTGTTGTTTATTTCTAAAATTATCCATTGAATATTTTTCTACCTTGGTTAATTGTGATTAACTGAAACCACAGAGAGTGGAAACTTAGGTAAGAGAGAACTAATGTATTCATGAATTAGGTGTCAAACACAATTTGTAAGTCCATTTCTAGTTAACTATTGCCTTTCAAACTAGCAGTTGTTATTCCTTTTTACTCTGACACTCACCAACTCCTACCATTGGAAATCTCAGGGATTAAGGACATTAAAACTATTAGTGTTCATTTTGCAACCACGTGGTGAGATTGTTGATGAGAATGCAACCAACCCAAAGATCAGCAGCTAAATAAAAGGAAGAGATAATGTTGATGCTTAACTTCACCACCTGTAATCAGCCATATCTGAGAGCAGTAAAAAAATAGTCAATACAATTATAATAAATGAATTTTCCTTTTGCTTCAAAAATGTTTACTTCTGATATTCTAATCAGTTAATCTAAAATTGTAAGACTTACTAAGTAAAGACATTTATTTTCTTATACAGTAATTTTCTTTAAACACATTCAGTTTTACTTATTGATTTGATTTGTTTAACATGTGTTTACAAAGGGGGATAATACCATTCAAAATATGGCAGTTAATAATTTTTAAGAATATCAACTCAAAATCTACAACATAGTAATATATTTGTAATTCCTTTTTAAGGATATATGCTGAGCTATGAAGAGAAATATTATAGAAGAATACTTATAAGAATGTCGAATATTTTTGATCAATTGTATCAAAACTAATTATTAGCAGCAATAATTGACTAATATTAATGAATGGAATTCATGCATTTATGTGTGGTTTTTCCTTGCCTTTTCAAAAAAGTTTAATATTTATTTTTCTTTACCCTTAGCAATTGATTTATTGTTAAATCAGTGTATTCCTGGAAGGATAATTAATTGAAAATATTATAAATAATATGGAGCATTTTTTACTGTCTTGAAACTTTCATCTTTTTGCATTGTCTGAATAATTTAAAAATAAAACAGAATTGGTGTATGTATAGCAACTTTGCCATAGAGCTAAGTAAGACAAAATGAGCTTATTCCTATTTAGGTTACTTTGAATCTATAACAGACCAAACATTTCACGGAGATGTTTTTGACTTAGTTCATTTATAGAGGCATATTAGGCCTAATTAGTATTTTTTAGTCATAAATTATTCTCAATAACCTGGGGACTATTGCATTAGTTTTACAATTGATAGGTTTATAAGAAAAGGAAATTTGAGAACAAATGATCCTCTAATTTGCCTGTGCTAATTATAAAGATATTAATTCTAATTTTAAAATCAGTAATTTAATATTTTGGTAAACTAGGACAAGATAGTAATTCTAATTAGTTATGCCAAATTGTTACTAAGTGAAACAGATTTAATAGTCCCTTTGAATCTGTTAAGAAAAGTTTTGTTGTAATGAATATCTTTGTGTATTGTTTTGACCTCTACTTCAATTACACAATCCCAATTTCTTTTAAATGTTTTCCCAGGTACAGGACTCTATGATTAATATCACTTGCTGTGTTATCTCTGCTGCTAATGAAAAACATTGGGTGTTCTTTCACTTCACAGAATGCAAACGCAGATGAAAAAATTTCACAGGTGAACTCCTTATGAACACTTCTAATTGCTTAGGAACGGTGTTTGAAAATCTCAAGTAATTTGCCATTATTATAATGAGTAGCATAAACTGTAATTTTTCATAGTAATTAACTTGTGTCAGCACCATTATTTTTCATTAATTATAAATGAGAAAGAATGAAAGAACACCCACGGGAACAGATGTGCGAAATTGTCTCTTATGTTCTGTTTTATGTTTTCTTTTTGTTTTTTTGTTTTTCCTTTTTTTCCCCTACTCAGTATACTATTCTATGAAACTTGAGGAAATTGCAAATGGTAGTGCCTGTTTGGGGCAGAAAAGGGCAAAGAGCATTTAATGAGGTTGTTGTCTGTGAAGTCCAGTGTATTAATAAAAGAAGAAAGTTGTTACTGGCATGCCAGATAAAACCACTGGGGGGAAAAGAACACTTTGCTTTTAGTAAGTGCAACTGAGATAATTTGAGGAAATGTATTTTGACAGTCTTCTTCTTTTGTTAGAAAAATAAAAGCCACTATCTAGTTTTGCCAGATTTTATGGGTATGGTGTGTTTAATTAAAGTCAAATGGAAAAAAAAAAAAAAAACCGAAGAAAAATATGATGTACTTTATTCTGTTTGGGTGGTTGGATGTCTTTTTCTGTGATTCTACATAACAACTTTCATGCTGTTTCCAGAGGCCAGAATACAGGTATGGCTTGGGTATTTTTGTATTAAATTCACTTTGTTCAGGCCTATAAAATAATTAACTGTGTTGCCATTCCCAGCTTTTCTATCTTAGGCTGGTTACAAGCATAGAAAGTCTTGAAATCATTGTACTGTAAATTTACTGTGACTTAACAGTTCTTTAAAAAGGTAACCTAATTAGCAGAGCTCTAAGGATATCATTTTAACCCTTCGTTTTTTATAAATGTTGGCTTAGCCTGTCCTCAGAATCATTCTTATTCTATGTGGGAACAGGCCGAGCTATCAGTTTTGCCCCACATGAGTTGATCGGGGAAACAGATGTTAGATGATAAAAGCCGATCATAGTCAAATACGTTTGGAACGATGTGGCAACTTGATGGATTTTTTTTAAAACCTCAGTTTCTTTCAGGGCTTTTAAGTTGGTGAGTTCACTGTGAATCTCTAGGAGAGAAGTAGAATATTCAATGTTTTCAAAAGGTTATTTGATTCTATAACCAATTTTTTCATGACTCAGGTACCTAACAGCATATGTTAGAAATAGCACTACCTAGAGGAAGTTGTGCTAAGGACAGAGAGAATTATTTCCTTTTCATTATCAGAGGCTACCTATCCCAGCAGAATAAGTAATGATGGGGAAAGAAGCTTGATTTAGGGAAACTTGGCTTTTATTTTATCACATTTCTCCTCAACTGTAGTCTAATTTGTTCCTAGCTTAATGAATCCCTCTACATTTATCCTATCTGTAGATGCTTTTCTGTCTACTCAATCCAATAAACCTTTCCTGCCTTATATGATAGTTTTGAAAAATTTTAATAGTAAAATTTAATATATGGTGGTAATAGTATACTTTTCATTCCTGGAACTATGAAACCAAACCTATGAATATAACTACAAATAACACTGATCCAGATAACAGAAATAATACATTTAATTTTTAGGCTCATATCAGCATTTGCTTACATTTAGGATTATCACGATGATTAAATTAAATTATGTAAGTTATAAATATATAGGTGAATTTAGAAGAGTGCCTAGGATTTAATAGCTATATACAATAACTTACTCTATTTCAACCTATTTTCCTTTGTATTCTGGGGAATAATCATTCTTCTTTAATAGTTTTAATTTATAAAAACTGGTTAAATATTTAAAAGTGCTATGTCTTGGATTTGTCTCTTCCCAAACACATGTTGAAATGCAACTGTCATTGTAACAGTATTAAGAAGTAAGACCTTTAAGAGGTGATTTGGTCATGAGGGCCTATAATAATTAATATTATGTTTAATTGACAAATTATAATTGTATATATTTATGGGGTACAATGTAATGTTTTGATATGTGGCTAAAATGTGGAATGATTAAATCAAGCTAATCAATATATACATTATGTCATTTGCCTATCATTTTTACGACATGACATTTGAAATCTGCTCTTAGATATTTTGAAATATACCATAACTATTATTGACTATAGTCACCCTGCTGTGCAATAGATCTCAAAATGCATTCTTTCTATCTGACACTTTGTATCCTTTGACCAACTCCCCATTCTCTCCTTTCTGCCTCCAACTCCCTACCTCAGGTAACCATCATTCTAATTTCTACTTCTATGAGTTCAACTCTTTTAGATTCTACATGTAAGTGAGATCATGAAGTACTTCTTTCTGTGCCTGCCTTATTTCACTTAACATAGTGTCCTCCAAGTTCATTCACGTTGTCACAAATGACAGCATTCCCTTCTTTTTAAGGGCCAAATAATAGTCTATTCATATATATAGCAAATTTTCTTTATTCACTCATACATTGACAAACCATCCAGTGGTTTGCAAATGTTTCCTCCTATTCTGTGCGTTGTCTCTTCAATTTGTTCATTGTTTCTTCATTGCACTGAAGCTTTTTAGCTTGATGCCATTCCATTTGTCTATTTTTGCTTTGTTGCCTGTGCTTTAAGGGTTATATCCAAAAATATCTTTGCTCAGGGTAGGGTTGTGGAGCTTCGTCCCTATGTTTTCTTGTAGTCATTTTACAGTTTCAGTTTTAATATTTACATTATTAATCCCTTTTGAGTTAATTTTTGTATATACTGTGAAATAATAATCCAATTTTATTCTTCTGCATGTGGGCCAACAATTTTCCCAACATCATTTATTGAAGAGATTGTTATTTCCTTATTGTGTGCTCTTTTGCTCTTGACACCTTTTTCACAAATCAATTGCCATAACTGTGTGGGTTTATTTCTGAGCTTTCTATCCTGTTCCATTGGTCAATTTGTCTGCTTATGCCAGTATCATGCTGCTTTGATTACTATAACTTTATAGGGTATTTTGAAATCAGGGAGTGTGATACCTCCAGCTTTGTTCTTTCTGATCAAGATTATTTTGGCTATTCAGGGTCTTTTATGGTTCCATATAAATCTAAGGATTATTTTTTCAATTTCTGTGAAAAATTATATAGGAATTTTTATAGGCTATTGGTTCCTCCATTAAAGGCATCTGGGAAATCTTTCATTTAAGGACTCTGAAGCTCCGAATTAACTCAGGTCTAAATAATATATTAGACTGACTACTATCATGCAATTGTCTAGTTATCCATTCATTTCTGTATTTATTTGCATTTATTGTTATCTATTATATATCTGTTTTTTATTATACAAATCACTTAAAATGTCAGTAGAGTTCTTATTAATAACATTTCTGGGAATCTTATAATTAACTAACTACTAGGAAACCTCCACAATCAGACCATTACCAAAGATCTTGTTTTTTGTTCCCCTTCCCTGATTCCTGTTACACATTTTTTCTTGTGATTAAGTACTACCTTCTGTGCTCAGCCTCCGTGGTTCTGTCTCTCTCCCGCTTATATAAGGAAAACTTATTCAATTGTTGACCTCTGACTAGTATTCCAGTCCTGAAGCAAATTGCAAACTCACCTTTCTTCATTTAAATTTCACCACTTCCCTAAACATGCTGGATTTCAAACAAGGAAGAAAGGAAAATGTTGTGGAGATACTTGGAGACCCAAGGAAGGAAAAGGTGTATGGAAAACTCATGGTCAGCTGATCCAGCTTCTTTGTCTTCCAAAATCTTTGCATTTTTTTAGAATAAGAGATTTTGAAATTTTGATATCATTTAGCTTGGATACCTAGAGTACAGTTCTCATTTACATCTTCTAGCCCAAATATTTTTAGGATTTAAGCTAACTGTGTGAATCTGCAGAATGCCCGATTGTCAATACATTCATTTTTTTTTCAGACTTTTGGTGCATTTCACATTTTTGAACACTTTGAAAAGTCTATTTCTACAAATACTCATTAGATATATGACATGCTATTTATCTAACACTGGCAATCATTTCTTATAAACTCTTCTGTTCCCTAAACTTTCTGCATTTTTCCCACCCCTTTACCACCAATAATGGCAACACTTGAATTCTGTTTACTAACTAAGAACAGAGACTGAAGATTCTTGGGGAAGATGAGCTTTCTTTTATGAAAGAGGAGTGGCCTCTGCAAGAAGAAAAGTGCAAAACATGGTGTTTCAAGGTTTAGTTTTTCTTGTTACCCAAGTCCTTCAAAGCTTTCCAAATTATTACAATTGCCAAACTCCTTTAATTTTCCCAGGATAAAGTTGTGAATTAAACTAGTGGCTAATTTGGCAACTAACGATGTATATTTCTGAATGTTTGTTTGTGTTCTCAATTCTATTACAACAGCAGCTAAATGATTCTTTTCAGCATGGTCATGTCTTGGGGCAAGAACTTTAGAATTTGAATTTGTCACATTAGGTTATCCAGTGTTCTGGTGCAGCCAAATTATCCAACCCAACGGACAGCATCTGTGTTATTGGCTTAATTGACAGCATCTGTGCTAAATTAGTGACAGAACAAGTATGTAATCCTTGTGAGCTTCACTCTCAATTGGCTTATATGATTTAATGACTTTGTTTACCACAATATGCCATTGGCTGCATGCCTCCCATTCAATGTCTATTATTTTCCAATAACCAATTTTGAATGCCTTACTTTCCTTAAGTCTATGTTTTCTAAACCCAGTCTGGTATCAGCTTTGGTGCTAATTAGGCCTCTTTGATTGCAATCAGTAAAATCTAACTCTCAATAATTCTTGAAATAATTTTTTAAAAATTAAAAATTACGTTATTGGAAGTATGCTATGTGGCTCCCAAAATTGATGTAAGGGCTACAAGATGATGATAATCTGGATTCAGAAATAAAGAAACCACAACAATTCTGGTTTTCTCAGCAGTAGGAACTTACTGGCAGTATTTAATGTTTCATCCATCATCTGAGTTGCTCAGCCTCAAAATTACTGGGATACTGTATTTCCAAACAAGGTTCCAATTGCCCAGGTAGGGAGAAAACTTATAACACCAGTTCTGTAGACTGAATGTTTGTATCCCCCTTCCCCCAAGATTCATAGGTTAAAACTAATCCCTAATGTGATAGTATTAGGAAATGGGGCTTTTGTGAGGTGGTT
The DNA here is from genome assembly GCF_000001405.40 of Homo sapiens. Classification (NCBI taxonomy): domain Eukaryota; kingdom Metazoa; phylum Chordata; class Mammalia; order Primates; family Hominidae; genus Homo; species Homo sapiens. The sequence goes on along the minus strand of NC_000005.10, from coordinate 105,873,840 downwards.
AGGCCATGAGGGCAGAAACATCATGAATGGTATTAGTGCCCCTAAAAAGAGGTCTCAGAAAGCTCCTTTGACCCCTCTGCCATTTGAAGACACAATGAGGAGATGGCATTCTATGAAGCTGGCCTTTTTCAGATGTTGAATCTGCCAGCGCCTTGATCTTGGACTTCCCAGAACCCAAAACTATGAAGAGCAAATCCCTGTTATTTATAAGCCATTCAGTCTATAGTAATTTGTTACAGCAGATTGAATGGACTGAGACAACTAACAAATTGTCAGATCCATGAGGTTGGGTGTTTTTTTTCTTTTCTTTTCTTTTTTGTTTTTTTTTAATGGCACCACCAGCCTGGGAAGAGGTCAGGTATTTTTATCATTTAGTTTACTGGAATATAGTGCTTCCTCATTAAATGTTTGTTGATGAAAGGATGGATTTGTGAAAGGAAATAAATCTCTCCAAAATCACTGACCCAAAGGGAAAAGTCAAGTTGGGAACTGAGTTGGACAAACCCGCCTTCCATTCTTTTCCTAAATAAGATAGCTACAAAGATTTTTAAAAGCTACACATCTTCCTCACAATGTGTCCACAAGGAAATTCCATGTGGACAAAGGACAGGTAGAACTCAAACTTATTCCTCTGCTCACATGAGACAAATGCATATCTGATTGCTTCCTTTGCCCTATCATTTTATAACGCCTAAGGTTCTTGCCTAGCCCCGCCAAAGAATTGGTGTGGCAGCTGACCGCTGCGAGTGATAAGAGACACGGACCGAGAGAGAGAAAAAGCTGTAGGCTTTATTGAGTAGAGTGAAAGTACAAAGCTTCCATAGCATGGAAGGGGTCCCGAACGGGTAGCCACTGCTAGTTTGGGTATTCACCTTTTAAGCTTTTTAAGGTGGGAGATACGTGAGGCGGGAAGCTTGTTACAGGAGCGAGAAACAAACGCAGTAAATTATTTTGTGACATGTCTTAGATTTTGAAGAAAACTGGAATTGCAACTTAGGTTTTATCTACTTTATGACCTTGCAGCGGCACAAAGTATGTTTACAAGGAATTGGAATTGGGAGTATAGATAAGCACTGCTGGTCACAGAAAAATGGTCAGTTAACATTCCTTTTACTTTAGTTTCAGGGAACGGGGAAGGGAGAGAGGGAGAGAAGGACACAGGGAAACTTACAGCAAAATTTTCGCTGTTCATATCTTTCTTGGGGAAGAAACACATGCACAAATCCTGGTGTTAGGAATATTTTAAGCATATATCTTCAATATTATTTATCCAGGACTGAAGTAAGTCCTGATGCAGGAAATGAGTGAGTTTCACAGCTTTCTGAGCCCCTACTCCACCCAGGAAGTCCAGCTGGCACCTCCTCTCAATTTCACTAAGCCAGACTAAGACATTAGTGACTATTCCTTTAAATTGTGCATTCAGGCTAATCAGATTCTCAGAAGAATGCAACCGTTTGTCTCTTATCTGCCTATGACCTATGACCTACCTACCTGAAAGCCCTCTCCCCACTTTGAGTTCTCCTCCCTTTCTGGACCAAACCAATGTACATCTTACATATATTGATTGATGTCTCATGTCTCCCTAAAATGTATTAGTATAAAACCAAGCTGTGCCCCGACCACCTTGGACACATGTCACCAAAACCTCCTGAGTCTGTGTCATGGGCACATTCTTAACCTGGGCAAAATGAACTTTCTAAATTGATTGAGACCTGTTTCAGATATCTTTTGGTTTACAGATTATATTTGCATGTGTATGCGTATATACATACACATATATTCAAGCCGTGTAGTGAGGCCCTATAATTGAAAGTCCAAGTTAATCATATAAAGTAGTTATGTCTCCATTGTATAAAGTGATAATGAACAAACTAGAAGAAAGAATTTTTCTTTCTTTAATAAACTTTTTGTTTCTTTTCTTTTCATTCTTTTTTTTTTTTTTGAGAACACTCTTCAGATTTTTACTTCTGGTTTTCTAACTGGGTTTCTGCCTCAGCATGTGATTTTCTCTGTCAGATTTGTTTGTTTCAATTTAGTGGCCCTATGAACATCCAAAATTGTGTCCTCATTGGAAGAAATGTCTTTAATATGGTATTGTGAAATAATTACTTATAAAATTACATTGATGATGTGAATAATATTATTTTCATAATTATTTTCTCTTTACATCTGAGACTGTTTCCTTGTTGGACATAAGCTCCCAAATCCGATTGGGTCTAAGAACAGACCTTTTTTTTAAATTTTCTACGGTAAGCTCTTACTTCAAGGGTAGCTGCAATGGGTTTTCTCAGTAATTGTGTTTGCTTGCTTGAAAGATAAATTATAAATGAGAATTTTAGATTTACTGTTAATTGCCTTGGCAGCAATTAACCAGATAAAGTAATGATATGGACCAAAGAATACTCAAGCATTTTACACATTTCATCTCAATTAACACTTAAAATAACATAATAAATTAGGTGAATATTATTACTGTTCTTGTGTGACAATAGAGGAAAGTAGAGCGCAGAGAGGTAAGATAATTGGCCCACATCACATGGCTAGGAAGTCAGGAAGCAGCGATTCGAACAAAAATGATCTAATTCTGCTCTGAGTTCCATCATTATTCTATATTGAAAATTTGTGGGCTAGAACTTTATTTGAGCTACTTTTAATTTTCTACAGTAATCAATTATTTTTCTCATTATGTTGTGTAAAGTCTTTTACAAAATTGCAAATCTTCTTTTATTAAGGAGAAAAATTTGCAAACAATGGAACACTTCAAAAGTAGCGATAACCAAAGCAACATATCCAAAACTACAGACATTCATTCAAAACAAATTCACAGAAATAATTATTTTACTTATTCATTTCTAAGTTAATGGTTATTTTGGTGGATACCTTTATTATAAATTTCTAGTTTTTCACACTGTGTTCTGAGAGTGTTGGATAAATATTTAACTTACTCAATTTTTGTGGCCTAGAGTATAGTAAAATTATAAATACTGCAAAAGTATTCAAATGAAAAGAAAATTTCTCACATTGTAGCATAATTTTTTGACATGGGTCTGTTGAAATGATCTTACATTAATCAGATTTTTTGGAATTATTTATTTATTTTTGCTCTGATAAAGAATGGGAAAGTCTCCAGTCTTATTGTTGGTTATTTCTTCTAATGTTATAAATTTTAAACTGTTTTTGTCCTGGTACATTTGATACTATGAAAAAGCTTTACTATGATTTGTTTTTGTTTTTGTAATTCTTCAATGTGTCTCATATTTCATTAAGATAATTGTTTTTAATCACTCAAAAATTATTTTTTTCAATAAAATCTAGCTTATCAGGTACTATTACTGCAAAATTTAATTTATATATTTTTAAATCTTCTTGATATAGCTTCTTAAATTTGGATTTTAATTTTTAAATAATACATCACACACACACATAAATATATATATATATTCAATCTGAAAGCCTTGGAATATAGTGTGAAATTTTTAATCATCTGGCCATATTTCAAAAGATAATATTCTTAGTTGTACTTATTTTATGCTTCCTATTTCTGAGCTTTTATTCTTGAGTTTTATTTTATTTTTAATGAAGACTTCATTTGCTTTTATTGACTTACACTTGCAGTAGTTTGGAAAATACATGTCCTTCAGAATTACTGACTCTTCTATAAAAACCTCTTTGTTTAGTTATAAACACCAACAATAAAATTGTATTTTGCCACCTACCACCAACATACCACCTCTGTAAACTGTGAAACCTACATAATTTTTACATAATTTTTAATCCATACATAATTTATTGTCATTAAGGAAAATACACTTTCAATATAATTTTTGCTTTTGTCTTTCTTTGACAGCGATAGTAAAATAATACAAACTTTTCAGTAGTATCGAATATGAAGTATAAATGAGAGCTGTAATTCATAAGGCAAAAAGTGACAAATGTATCCTATTTTTAGCCTGTGAGCTAAGAAACATTTTACATTTTTAAAGGGTTAACAAAAAGACTAGGAGTATATAAAAGATACTATATGTATCCTGAAATATCTAAATATTTATTAGCTGGATCTTTATAAAGAAAATTTGCTATATTTTTTTTTTCCTAAGATGGCAGATTGGAGACATTGTTAGCATGCCTTTCCAAAATGCCTCGCTATTTTGCAAAGGCAAAATGGTGTGTAGAGATTTATGCCATGACCTTTTTTTCAAGAAGCAACACAGGAACTTAACAGAAAAACTAAAAGAAACCACAGACCCTTTGAAAGAAGTGGCAGGCAAACACCCACACTGTAATCCAGACAAAACTGTGAATCTCCAGCACATGAGAGGAGGAGAAACTGCCTCCATGACACACACTCCCACTGGGGAGCCAGGCAATCCAGGTCACGGAGGAATGCCTTAACCCTACCCAGCACTGGAGCTGATTTAGTGAGCAGTGAGGAGCATATGAGAAGGAGCGACATCAAGACATGCTTTGTGTGCACTCCCATAACTCCAGCAGGGACAGAGGAAAGCCATTTCTGATCCTAACAAACGGGACCTTGCAGAAGTCTGCCAGCTAACTCAGGTGGTAGTCACAGGTTGGGAGAAACTCCCATCTGAGATTTGCTATATAATCTTGAGTGGGGATGAACCCCCTTGAGTCTAACCCAGGGATGCATGGGAAGTGTGCTATAGCCATGGGCACAGGAGCTGGGCACCCATGCTTTGTGGGCAGACTGGGAAGAGCGAGGCTTGAAAGCCATGGTTTCTGTTTTGGTTGGAAAGGCTTAGGACCTGGAGCAGTCTTGAGTTCTGAGTGCAGGTTGCCTGAAACCCAGCTAGCTGCTGTTAGCAGAACACTGTAGGAATGAGGGTGCAAGACTTGCCTTGCCAAGAGTGTGGGAGCTGAATGGGGCTTACTGCCACCTGCCACCCCCTTATCCCCATGTAGATTCATTTGTGTAGCAAAGGTAGCTGTGCTCCTCCCTGGAACCTCACCTTCATGGTCAGGGAACCACCCTCTGATCTCCATTGGGGCCACTGCTCGCACCCACATGTGAGGAGCCAGAGCACACAGTTGCCTGACCCAGCCCCAGTCTGGCTTTGCCCCTCCATCTGCCCTGGTAGGGTAACACAATGATTAAGGGATTTTGGGAGCTCCATGGTCCCTCACATTGCCTGAGACAACAGAGTACCTCCCTTGGGTAACATAAGGCAAGTGCAAATCCCATGGCTACCACTGCAGCTGGCATTCTTTTGCAAACACCTCCTCATGGCTGGAGGCCAACTGGAACAGCCCATTACAACATCTGCAGGCACAATAATATAGGGCTCAGTAAGGAGAAGACTTTTGTGCAATCTCAGCTGTCACCAGTGCCTGCATCACTGAATACATTAAGGCTAATTATAACTGAGGAAATCTCAGAGACTTTGTCACTTTCCTCTCAAGCCCATCAGAGATGGAGTTGATACTCAATGCTGGGACACAAGAACAGGTCACATCATTGGATTTCTTGCAGATATTTGCTATCACCAGTCTGTAGTGTGGCAGCCCCACTGGGAGGCTAGACCCAGAGGAGCAGCAGGATTGAAAGTAGTCTGGTGCTCAGGGACAGCTACTCCTAGGGGAAAAGGTAGTGTACTACATTAAGGGAGCACCCTATGAGACAAAAGAAACCAGGCTGCCTTGAGTCCTGGAACTGTTCACTTGTGGAAAGTTTCAGTAGAGGCACAGCTGCTGTGTTGGGCTCAGTGGGGAAAATCTGTGACTACCCCAAAAATCAGGGAGCCCGGGTGCTCAGGAAGGGTCTTGGAGAAGGGTACTTCTCTCCCTCACCTAGCACTGCAGACATAGCTGGGGCTTTATCCACGGGTGCTGGACATGGGTGCATCTGTAGATAACCCTTCTGGAACACTTCAAGGTGACTACATCCTCACAGGAGGGTTCAGGTTTCCACAAGAGGCAGAGTCACAATCGCTGTCTACATGGAACATCTGCATTTCTGAAGGTGAAAAGAAGTGCCTGTTTGATCTGAATAGCCAGAACACCAGGGCAGGAGTGTGACTGGGAGGTGGATCGTTTTCCTGTTGGCTCCATCCTTCCCCCAAAAGACCTCAGTCCATTTCACTGAGAGATTATCCAGTCACCTCCGTCAAGGTTGGGACCTCTACCAATGACTGGGGTGTTGCATTTACCCATCTGCTTTAGCTGCAGCTAGTTTTTACCCATGGGCGTCTCCTACTTGCCTGAAGCCTGAACTGGTAAATACAGTAAATAAAATACTGGGAAAAAAAGGGTTTTTAAGTGCACACCTCTGGGAAACAAGATAAGCTTCATGAGACCTCTGCCATTTCAGCCTCACAGGAGACAGTGAACCTCCTCATACATTCAGCATATTGCTGTTTCAACCTGCAACTGAGAAAGACATCGCTCAAAGATTCTCTATAACCAGGAACTCTTATACAGTCTTTGCCAGTGAAGGCACCTAGAGCCTAAGCTAGGTAACAATAAATTATAAACCTTAGAGTCACATCCTCAAGGGGAAAATATTTTTTAAAAAGTTGAATCAAACATAAATTAAAACATAATTAGAAGAAATAGTTAACCTAAATAAGAAGTAACCAGAAAAATAATTCTGGCAATATGAAAAACGGTTCTATAACAACCCCAAAACGTCACAACTCTCCAGAAGCAGATCAAATCAAGATGAAATATTTGAAATATGAGATAGAGAATTCAAATAGTTGATTAATAAGTTACTCAGGGAGGGACAAGGCAAAGACGAAAAACAACATGAAATTGTTTAAGACCAGTTCACCATATGAACAAATAATTTTCTGTTTTTTTGTTTTGTTTTGTTTTGTTTTGTTTTGTTTTTTAGGCGGAGTCTTGCTCTGTCCCCCAGGCTGGAGTGCAGTGGCGTGATCTCGGCTCACTGCAAGCTCCGCCTCCTGGGTTCACGCCATTCTCCTGCCTCAGCCTCCCAAGTAGCTGGGACTACCATGCCTGGCTAATTTTTTTTTGCATTTTTAGTAGAGACGGGGTTTCACCGTGTTAGGATGGTCTCAATCTCCTGATCTCGTGATCCACCCGCCTCGGCCTCCCAAAGTGCTGGGATTACAGGCATGACCACCGTGCCCCACCAAACAAATAATTTTCTAAAGAGATACATATTTTAAAGAAAAATCAACCAAAACTTCTGGAAATGAAAGACACATTTAGGGAAATACAAAACACAGTGAAAAGTTTTAACAATAGACTACATCAAGTTGAAGAATTAATTTCAGAACTTGAAAACAAGGCTTTTTATTCAACCTAATCAGGCAAAAACAAAATACAATTTTTAAAAAATGAACAAAATCTCCAAGAAATATGGGATTATGTAAAAAGGCCTAACCCAAGAATTATTGGTGTCTCTAAGGGAGAAGAAATAGAAAAGTTTGGAAAACCTATTTGAGAGGATAATTGAGGAAAACTTCTCTGGCCTTGCTAGAAATTTCAATATCTGAATAAAAGATGCTCAAAGAACACCTGGGAGAATCACTGCAAAAAGGACACCACCAAGACATATAATTATCAGATGGTCTAAGGTCAATGTGAAGAAAATAATTCTAAGAGCAATGAGACAAGAGCATCAGGTAACAAAAAAGGAAAACCTATCATCAGACTAATGGCCAACTTCGCAGCAGAAACCTTACAGGCCACTAGGGATTGGGGTTCTATGTTTAGTCTGCTATGTTTTGTCAGCCAATAATTTTGTATCTAGCAAAACTAAGATTCATAAATAAAGAAGAAATAAAGTTTTTTTCAGACTTTTTATCAGGGAAGGTCTAGTACTGACAAATGTGGAGGGTATTTGTCAATACTAGACCAGCCCTACAAAAAATTGCTAAGAGGAGTTCAAAATCTTGAAACAAAGGTTGATATGCACCAGAATTGAAACTCTTGTAAGCATTAAAGTTTTTCCTATTTCTGTGAAAAATGTAATTAGTAGTTTGATAGGTATAACATTGAATTTTTAAATTGCTTTGGGCAGTATGGCAATTTTGACTATTTTGATTATTTCTATCCATAAGCATGGAATGTTTTTCTATTTGTTTCAGCCATCTCTGATTTCTTTCAGCAGTGTTTATAAATTCTTGTTGTAGATATCTTTCACCTCCTTGGTTAGCTGTATCCCTAAGTATCTTAATCTTTTTGTGGCTATTGTGAGTGGGATTGTGTTCTTGATTTGACTCTCAGCCTGAATATTATTGGTGTATAGAAACACTACTGATTTTTATACATGGATTTTGTAACCTGAAACTTTGCTAAAGTTGTTTATCAGATCCAGGAGCTTTGGGGCAGACACTATGAAGTTTTTAATGTAGATAATTATATTATCTACAAACAAAGATAGACTTCCTCTCTTTCTGTTTAGATGTCTTTTATTTCTTTCTCTTGCCTGAGTATTCTGGCTTGGACTCCTAGTACTATATTGAATAGGAGTGATAAGAGTGATTATCCTTGCCTTATTCCAGTTCTCAGGGGAATGTTTCCAGCTTCTGACCATTTGGTATGATGTTAGCTGTGGGTTTTTCATAGATAGCTCTTATTATTTTGAAATACGTTTCATCAGTGCCTAGTTTGTTGTGTGTTTTTACCCTGAAGAGATGTTTAATATTCTCAGTAGCCTTTTCTGTATCTTTTGAGATAATATTGTAATTTTTATTTTTGTTTATGTGATGAATCACATTTATTCATTTGCATATGTTGAATCAACCTTGTATCCCAAGGTTAAATCCTACTTGATAGTATTTATCAAGGTTAAATCCTACTTGATAATGATGGATTAGCTTTTTAATGTGCTGCTGCATTTAGTTTGCTAGGATTTTGTTGAGGATTTTTGCGTATATATTCATCAAAAATATAGGCCTGAAGTTTTCTTTTTTTGTTGGGTCACTGACAGGTTTTGATATCAGAATGATATTGACTTAATAAAATGAGTCAAAGAGGAGTTCCTCCTCTTCAATTTTTTGAAGTAGTTTCAGTAGTAATGGTACTGGCTCTTTATACATCAGTTAGAATTCAGCTGTGAATATGTCTGGTCCTGGGTTTTTTCCGGTTAGCAGGCTTTTTTAACTGATGCGACTTTAGAACTCATTATTGGTCTGTTTGGGATTCACTTTCTTCCTGGTTCTATCTTGGGAAGCTGTGTGTTTCCAGAAATTTATCCATCTTTTCTAGATTTTTTATCTTGTGTGCATGGAGGTGTTTATAGTAGTCTCTAAGGATTATTTTTATTTCCATGGGATTGGTGATAATGTTCCCTTTGTCATTTCTAATTGTTTATTTGTATCTTCTCTCTCTTTTAGTCTTACTAGTGGTATAACTTATTTATTCTTTTAGAAAACAACTCTTGGATTCATTAATCTTTTTTATGGGTTTCTGCATCTCAATTTCCTTCCATTCAGCTCTGATTTTGCTTATTTATTGTCTTCTATTAGCTTTGGGGTTAGTTTGCTCTTGTTTCTCTAGTTTCTCTAGGTGGGATGTTGATTATGAATTTGAGATCTTTTTCATGTTTTGATTTGGGGATTTAGTGCTATAAACTTCCTTCTTAACATTGCTTTAGTTGAGAAACTCTGGTATGCTGTACCCTTGTTAGTTTCAAAAAATTTCTTGATTTCTGCCTTAATCTCATTATTTACTCAAAAGTCATTTTCATATAATTGTATGATATTGAGCGTTATTCATAGTATTGATTTCTATTTTTATTGCACTGTGGTCTGAGAGTGTGGTTGGTATGATTTCAGCTTTTTGGATTTGCAGAGGATTATTTTATGTCTGAGTGGTTGATTTTAGAATATGTGCCATGTGCAAATGAAAATATTATATATTTTGTTGTTTCGGGTTGGAGTGTTCTGTACGTGTCTATTAAGTCCATTTGCTCAAGTGTTAAGTTTGAATATTTTTGTTATTTTTTCTCCCTCAATTATATGTCTAATACTGTCAGTGGGGTGGTGAAATCTCTCATTCTTATTGTGTGGAAATCTACATCTTTTCCTAGATCTCTAAGAACTTCCTTTATAAATTGTGATGTTCCCATGCTTAGTCCATATAAATTTAGGATAGTTAGGTCTTCTTATTAAGTTGAACCCTTTACCATTGTATAATGGCCATCTTTGTCTTTTTTGATCTGTGTTGATTTAAAGTTTGTTTATCTTTTTGTCTGAAATTAGGTTAGCAATCCCTGCATTTTTCTGTTTGCCATTTGCTGGGTAGATTTTCCCCCATCTCTTTACTTTGAGCCTGTGGGTGTCATTACATGTGAGGTGGGTCTCTTGAAGACAACATACATTTGGGCCTTATTTCCTTATCCAAGACTAGAGTGCAGTGGCATGCTCTTGGCCCATTGCAGCCTCTGCCTCCCAGATTCAAGTGATCTCCTGCCTCAGCCTCCTGAGTTGGTGGGACTACAGGTGCACACTATCATGCCCAACTAATTTTTTTGTTTTGTTTTGTTTGTAGATATGGGGTTTCATCATGTTGTGGTGATCTTGAACACCTGGGCTCAAGCAATTCGCCTGCCTTGGCCTCCCAAAGTGCTAGGATTACAGGTATGAGTCACTGCACCCAGCCCACTCTGTGCCTTTTAATTGGGGCATTTAGCCCCAGTACATTCAAGGTTAATACATTCAAGGTTGATAATGATATGTGTGTATTTGATCCTTTCATAATGTTGTTATCTGGTGCAGGCTTGTTTGTGTGGTTACTTTATAGTGTCAATGGTCTATGTATTTAAGTATGTTTTTTAGTGGCTGATAATGGTCTTTTCTTTCCATTCATAGTGATCCTTTCACAACTTCATAAGGTAGGTGTGAGGTAACAAATTCCCTTAGCATTTGTGTTTGTGAAAAATGTCTTATTTCTCCAACACTTATGAAGCTTAGTTTGGCTGTATATGTAATTATATGGAAATACTTTGATTTAAGAGTGCTGAATATAGGCCCCCAGTCTCTTCTGCCTTGTAGGATTTTTGCTGAAAGGTCGGCTGGTAGCCTAATGGTGTTCCCTTTGTAGGTAACCTGCCCCTTCTCACTAGTTTCCTTTTTTTTTTTTTTTTTTTTTAATTTTGACCTGGAGAATCTGATGCTTTTGTGTCTAGGGGATAGTCTTCTCTTGTAATATCTTACTGGAGTTATTTGCACTTCCTGAATTTGAATGTTGGAGTCTCTAGTGAGGTTAGAAAAATTTCCATGGCTGATATCCTGAAATACATTTTTCAAGTTGCTTGCTTTCTCCTGCTGTCTTTCAGGGATGACAATGAATCATAGATTTGGTCTCTTTACATAATACCATTAGTATCAAATGCTATGTTCATTCTTTTTTCTTCATTTTTATCTGACTAAGTTAGTTTGGAGCACCAGCCTTTGATATCTGAGATTTTTTTTCTCAACTTAGCCTATTCTGCTGTCAATACCAGCAATTTTATTATGAAATTCTATAGTGTGTTTTCAGCTCTATCAGATCAGTTTGGTTCCTTCTTATAATGGCCATGTTATCTTTCAGCTGCTGTATTTTTTTATTTTATGAATCATATTATTCTAAGTGAAGTAACTCAGTAATTAACAATCAAATACCGTATTTTCTCACTCATAAGTTGGAGCAAAGCTATGGGTATGAAAAGGCATACAGAGCAGTATAATGGAGATTGGAAACTCTGAAGGAGAAGTGTGGGAGGAGGGTGCAGAATGAAAAGCTACATATTGAGTACAATGTACACTACTCAGGTGACAGGTGCAGTAAAATTTCAGACTATACCACTATACAATTCATGGTAGTGAAACCACTTGTACCTCCAATGCAATTAAAATTTTAAAAAAACATAAAATTAAAAAAAAGAAAGTTATAAGAAAAAATTGCTGACCATTGAATTCAACTCAAAAATAATATTTAAGTTGTTTCTGATGTATACATATTAGATTTAAAGGAATTTCTTAGTCTTTCATTTTTGTATCCAGGGATCTTTAAACCCTATGTAAAAGCAATAAAATATCATCAATCAATTAATAAAATAGTTTTTAAAAATGGGACGTATATCATTTATTTTCAGATAAAAAGCTTCAACTTTTTGGGGTTTGATCTTTTGTGAGGTTATATCAGTATGTGGTTATAATTGTAATTGAGAAATATTAACTACAAAGCAGAATTTTGCGCTGTAGAAATTACTTGTCCATGTTTTCTTACTTATGGGTATTTTGTGGAACATTTTATGAGTTTCATTTGAAGTTTCTATGTTGATTATATACTTATGAAACATTTTTCTGAAATGTTTCTGAGCTATAAAACTTGACTTTTTAATCCTTGTGTTAGAAAGAATATTGCTTAAACCATTTAACCAATTTTTCTAATATTTACATAGAGAAATTAAAGTATTGGGCATAAATTAAAATAAATTTTTTTCCATCTTTCTAATCTTATTTTATGATATGTCTTTTTCTCTGGTGGTGTCAAATTTAGATTTGTTAGGGATTTAACAGCACATTATCAGTGTAGGTTGTAATACTCCAGTAAAAGTGCAGATATTTCAGGGCACGGCTGCTATTGTTTATTCTAGAAAATTTAATGTAATTGTCAAAACAGATATATATGTATCTGTACTTGTCTATTTTGTGAATTAATTTTTATTGCATATAATAGATAACTAAGTTTCTCAGATCAAAATAATTATTAAGATTTTTCCCCTATTAAATTGTAACAGTTCTAATTCTTTTTAAATTGATCTTTAGTTTTACAGAAATTATAGAAGGTGATTTTGTTTTGGGTTTTGTTTTAAGAAATAAACTATTATGCAATACAAGCATTATTTAGAACAACATGGCTCCCGGAAAATTCTCATTGACAATATTATCTTCAAGAAAGGGAGCCACAGATACTAATATTTGGTGTTGCTTTATGTTTCTCTTTCTTCTCCATATCTGATATCATATCAATATTTATCTGAGCAGCATAGTGTAATTATATAGTCTAATACCTTTAAGACATGTGGGAAATAATGTCCTTGAGGAGCTCATTATTTAAATGGGATGATAAACAAGAAAATTGTAGCACATCTTAATATAAAGAGAAATACTAGATATATGCTATGTGAACCTAGAGAGATGACCAATTAAACTTATTCTGGGACTGGGAAAATTTCCCATTTAAGATATTAAAACTGAATATGATTTTAAGGTCAGGTAGGAATTTGCAAAGGTTAGAAACATAGATATTTCATTTTGAGAAGAATTTGAAAGGCTTGACTATTTGGAGAATGGTGAGAAGTACAGTAATACTAATGACAAAGTCTGAGATGCAAGTAGCAGAGAGAAGAAACTGTGAAGAGTCTGCAAAGTTTTTCCTACAGACAATAGGTGCCCACAAATTTTTTGCTTTATTTTGTTTTCTTTTTAATCATTGAACTGACATAGTCAACTGACAACATGGAAGATGGTCTGGAATAGGATGATTAGAAAGAATTTTATTTCATACTTTACAAGGCCACTGAAAGATTTTTAACCAAGGTAGTAGACTTGGGATGGATAGATTTAGTGTTCATATTCAATGTTAAAAATATCTGGGAATGAGAGATAAGGAGAAATCTAGATTTTTTTTTAATTTTTTTTTTTTTTTTTGTATTTATTGATCATTCTTGGGTGTTTCTTGCAGAGGGGGATTCGGCAGGGTCATAGGACAATAGTGGAGGGAAGGTCAGCAGATAAACAAGTGAACAAGGGTCTCTGGTTTTCCTAGGCAGAGGTCCCTGAGGCCTTCCGCAGTGTTTGTGTCCCTGGGTACTTGAGATTAGGGAGTGGTGATGACTCTTAATGAGCATGCTGCCTTCAAACATCTGTTTAACAAAGCACACCTTGCACCGCCCTTAATCCATTTAACCCTGAGTTGACACAGCACATGTTTCAGAGAGCTCGGGGTTGGGGGTAAGGTTATAGATTAACAGCATCCCAAGGCAGAAGAATTTTTCTTAGTACAGAACAAAATGGAGTCTCCTATGTCTACTTCTTTCTACACAGACACAGCAACAATCTGATTTCTCTATCTTTTTCCCACATTTCCCCCTTTTCTATTAGACAAAACTGCCATCGTCATCATGGCCCGTTCTCAATGAGCTGTTGGGTACACCTCCCACACGGGGTGGCGGCTGGGCAGAGAGGCTCCTCACTTCCCAGAAGGGGCGGCCGGGCAGAGGCGCCCCCCACCTCCCGTACGGGGAGGCGGCCGGGTGGAGGCGCCCCCTACCTCCCTCCCAGACGGGGCGGCTGGCTGGGCGGGGGCTGCCCACCACCTCCCGGACGGGGCGGCTGCCGGGCGGAGGGGCTCCTCACTTCTCAGACGGGGCGGCCGGGCAGAGATGCTCCTTACCTCCCAGACGGGGTCGCGGCCGGGCAGAGGTGCTCCTCACATCCCAGACGGGGTGGCGGGGCAGAGGCACTCCCCACATCTCAGACGATGGGCGGCCGGGCAGAGACGCTCCTCACTCCTAGACGGGGTTGCGGCCGGGCAGAGGCTGCAATCTCGGCACTTTGGGAGGTCAAGGCAGGCGGCTGGGAGGTGGAGGTTGTAGCGAGCCTAGATCACGCCACTGCAGTCCAGCCTGGGCAACATTGAGCACTGAGTGAACGAGACTCCGTCTGCAATCCCGGCACCTCAGGAGGCCGAGGCTGTCAGATCACTTGCAGTTAGGAGCTGGAGACCAGCCCAGCCAACACAGCGAAACCCTGTCTCCACCAAAAAAATACGAAAACCAGTCAGGCGTGGCGGCGTGCACCTGCAATCCCACGCACTCGGCAGGCTGAGGCAGGAGAATCAGGCAGGTAGGTTGCAGTGAGCCCAGATGGCGGCAGTACAGTCCAGCTTCGGCTCAGCATGAGAGGGAGACCGTGGAGAGAGAGGGAGAGGGAGACCATGGGGAGATGGAGACGGGAGAAGGAGAGGGGGAGGGGGAGGGGGAGGGGAGAAATCTAGATTTAACAATGAAATGGTAGTTTCAGAGTAAATGGAAAATAATTCAATTAACAAATTAAAGAAATAAGAAATATACTTTTGCAGATAGGTAATAAATTCAATTTTGTATGTGCTAAGCATGAGATTGTACAATGTTTTCAGTTTACCCAGGTGGACATGCTAAAAAGCAAGAATTATATGCTTGAAATTCTGAAGACAAGTTTAATATAGAGTTTTTCTAAATTTTCATAGAACTCAAAAATATTTGGTGAAATCTGTGGACCTTTACCTCAACAAGCATACACAACCATACATAAACACAAACAGTTGCATACCATCTCAGTAATATCTGATGATGTTTGAAATCATAAATGTACGTCAGATTACCTAAGGAAATATTTTGAGTTAGAATAGGACATAATCTAAAATGGAGTACTAATCAAATAAATCTGGGATAAACCTTGTGAGGTGGAAAGAGAACAAAGAAAGAGCCACAAAGTTATAAAAGATAAATAAAATGAATTAAGAGTAGAACTGAAGAAAACAAAAAGACAAGAGTTTCAAATAGTAGTGGGAAGTTCATAATTGCCAAATGCTACTCTGCAATACAAGAAGGTGAGAATTTAAAATAGGGCATATAGCTTATCAATTAAAAACTTATGAGTAATCTTAGTTGAGACAAACTCATCTGATGTGGCTTTAGTTTCTCAACTAAAGCAATGTTAAGAAGGAAGTAAGAGTAGAGGACAAAGAATAATGGATTGAAGAATAAATTCCCATTCACGAAAGTACTAGATAGTAATTGAATCTATCCTTTCTTATTTGATCGTTGGATAATGTTAATATACTGCATTATACTGTTAATGTTATCCATTAGTATTGATTATCAGTCAGTGCAAATACTGACTCAACTCCCACACTCCTCTCTTCAGTAAAACTGCCCCATATATATATATTTTTTTAATCAGTAAATGGTAGTATATCGGGTGACCTCACTTTGGCCAAAACTAACTGGAAAATTACTCCATAGACTGAAACTTAATTATCCTTCTTGCTACTAAGTTTTGCAAATTTGTCAGCTTTTGTTCAACAAATTACCTTATTACTTGAATAACTCTTTGTGGATTTCTATACCTTGCAACTAAACAAACAAACAAAAATTACATCAAAACGTTTGGGATCTGGAAGAGATACTGCATTTCTCTGTTCATTGCAGCTTTATTCATAATAGCCAAGCAACCTCAGTGCTCACTTATAGACAAGATGAAGAAAATGTGTTACATGCAAAAAATGGTATATTATTCAGCCTTAAAAAAGAAAAGTTTGACATCTTCAACAACACAGATTGATCTGTGGGACATTAGGCTAAGTGAAATAAGCCAGAAACAGAAGGACAAATACTAACATAACATTTATGTGGAAATCTAAAATAGTCAAACTCATAGAAGTGAGAGTAAAATGGTGATTACCAAGTGCTGAGATAAGGGGGAAATGGGGAGGTATTTGTCGAAGTATGCAAAATTTCAATTATGCAAGATGAATAAGTCACAGAGATACACTGTACTGTATAGTGCAGTGATTGCAATTAACAAAACTATATTATACAGTTAAAAAGTTGCTAAGGGTAAATTTTATGTTGTTTTCTTATTATGTAACATAAAAATAATAAACAAGAAGGATGAGAAAAAACTTTTGGAGGTAATGGTCATCTTTATGGCATTGATTGTAGTAATAGTTTTATAGATGTATACTTATCTCCAAATGAAGTTGTACACATTAAGTATGTACAACTTTTTGTATGTGAGTCTTACTTCAATAAAGTGTTTTTTAAACTGATACTTGATTCAGTTTTTAGAAGACTTTAACACTGTTTGGACAACTTGGTTGTGTCAATGTTTTCTCATAACTATAATATTAAATCTAGATACAGATCTAGTATATCTGATCAAATTTAAATGTGATATAACGGGAAAACACACTGGATTTCGAACCTCAGTATGAAGAAAAGCATAAAACATATTTTTTTCATTCTTTCAAAGATTACATTTTTAACTGATAGTATTTTGTATTTCTTGGATTGTGCTATAAAATTTTTAGAAATGATTGGTCTTGAAGTTTCATATTCACTTTCCCAGAAATTCCAACAAAGTGCTGGGTAAATATAAGAAAGAAACTAATAATTATATGGTTGTATACTTGATGATAAATGAACACCTGCCTTCATAAACCTCCATACTCATTTATAGATAATCCCACACTGCCATGGCTTTAGGGATGTTTGGCTCTTCTTACTCCTGCTTCTGATTGGAGAGAAGCTTAATAGTTCTAGGGAATAAATGGCCTGTCTACTGTTCAACTCACTTGTCATTCTTAACTACTTGCTTAACCACTTCTTTTACTTCCATTCATAAGGGGTTTGTAGTGTGAAAGTATGCCCCTGGTGATTGGACAAAATAGATTCCATGTGGCTGAGATGCTCAAAGTTAAAACAGGATCAGAAAGCCATGACTAAGTGAGGAAGTAGTCACGGACTCTATGTTCTCAAAAAGATGTTGTAAAAGTATCACAAGACCTTTCTTTACTCAGTCAGGGCTCTACTATTTTGACCAATCAGAACTGAACAAATGTAAATTTTTTTATTTGCATAAGTGAACATCATTGAGAACGAGGGTAAGAACTTTGCCTATTTAAGGCAGACCCTCCATTTGTTTTTTGGAAAGCAGACTTTCACTTGTCCTGGAGGACATGCCTCCCCAACCTACACATTGTTTTTTTTTTGTTGTTGTTGTTTGTTTGTTTTTTGTAATAGAATATAAAGCTCTCCCTTTTTCCTCTGAAGATCTCCTGGTCTTTTGTTTACTTATTATTTCCTCCATTTCCTTTTTAAATTCATTTAAAGTTAGGTTTATTTTAGTTAATGCAATTTTTTACATTTATATACAGATTATTTTTGTTCTTCTGATTTCCTTTCCCTTTCAACTCTTTTCTAGTTATTCCAAGAAGGTCTTTGTCAACTTCTCCCTTTTTTTCTCCTTTTATCCTTAGAAAGTTATAAACATAAAGGAAAGCTAACGATGAAAATATATGAAAGAAAATGGAAGTCATAATGGTTGAACTAGTTAACAGTCCCACCAACAGTGTAAAAGTGTTCCTATTTCTCCACATCCTCTCCAGCACCTGTTGTTTCCTGACTTTTTAATGATCACCATTCTAACTGGTGTGAGATGGTATCTCACTGTGGTTTTGGTTTGCATTTCTCTGATGGCCAGTGACGATGAGCATTTTGTCATGTGTTTTTTGGCTGCATAAATGTCTACTTTTGAGAAGTGTCTGTTCATATCCTTCACCCACTTTTTGATGGGGTTGTTTGTTTTTTTCTTGTATATTTGTTTGAGTTCATTGTAGATTCTGGATATTAGCCCTTTGTCAGATGAGTAGGTTGCAAAAATTTTCTCCCATTCTGCAGGTTGTCTGTTCACTCTGATGGTAGTTTCTTTTGCTGTGCAGAAGCTCTTTAGTTTAATTAGATCCCATTTGTCAATTTTGGCTTTTGTTGCCATTGCTTTTGGTGTTTTAGACATGAAGTCCTTGCCCATGCCTATGTCCTGAATGCTATTGCCTAGGTTTTCTTCTAGGGTTTTTATGGTTTTAGGTCTAAAATTTAAGTCTTTAATCCATCTTGAATTAATTTTTGTATAAGGTGTAAGGAAGGGATCCAGTTTCAGCTTTCTACCTATGGCTAGCCAGTTTTCCCAGCACCATTTATTAAATAGGGAATCCTTTCCCCATTGCTTGTTTTTGTCAGGTTTGTCAAAGATCAGATGGTTGTAGATATGCAGCATTATTTCAGAGGAAGTCAGTGTGGCGATTCCTCAGGGATCTAGAACTAGAAATACCATTTGACCCAGCCATCCCATTACTGGGTATATACCCAAAGGATTATAAATCATGCTGCTATAAAGACACATGCACACGTATGTTTATAGTGGCACTATTCACAATAGCAAAGACTTGGAACCAACCTAAATGTCCAACAATGATAGACTGAATTAAGAAAATGTGGTACATATACACCATGGAATACTATGCAGCCATAAAAAATGATGAGTTCATGTCCTTTGTAGGGACATGGATGAAACTGGAAACCATCATTCTCAGCAAACTATCACAAGGACATAAAACCAAACACCACATGTTCTCACTCATAGGTGGGAATTGAACAATAAGAACACATGGACACAGAAAGGGGAATGTCACATACTGGGGACTGTTGTGGGGTGGGGAGAGGGGGGAGGGATAGCATTAGGAGATATACCTAATGCTAAATGACGAGTTAATGGGTGCAGCACACCAACATGGCACATGTATACATATGTAACAAACCTGCACATTGTGCATATGTACCCTAAAACTTAAAGTATGATAATAATAAAATTAAAAAAAGAAGAAAATGGAAGTCATATATTTTAAGTAAATTTAGTCCTAAAGAAAAACATATTAAACTTGATAGACTTTGAAATTGCTTAGAATTGACCACTTAATCTCCATAAACTTATATCTATCTCTATTATTCCCTTCTAACAAAAACTCTTTATCCTCAAGGACCAGGATTCATGGTAATTTTTTAAACTGTCATGAAAATTTTCTGTATCTCTGCTATTATCATCATATTGTTTTTGACTGAAGTACATTGAAAACGCATACATTTTACATGCAACTTGGGATAAAATAGGTATTTGTTTACTATCCTCTGGAACATAATCAGTACACATAATAGTGTTTCTGAGTAAGCTATTGAACTTTTAAAAATTATCTTTCAGTTGAAAACCTCCATTGTTGTGTAACACTAAATAAATTAACAAGAAACTGAAATAATGAGTTTTAAAACAAACTTCAAAATAGGTCAATGAAAAAAAGACACCTGAAATTATGTGAACACAACATTTCCATTAGTAGATTTTTCCTTGGATAATCACCAGTTTGCTCATCAAAGTTAACATTTACCAGCGGTGAGCAAGTTTCCCCCATGATTAGAAGCATCTAAATCTGAACGACACTCTTTGGCATAACTCTAAATTATATGCCTCTTTTTTAGCAGTTACTATGTAATTAAGTGTGTCTTAATTTGAACATTAAAAAATGTATTGAGTTTTTCATGTAGCATTTATAATTACAAGATCAATTTGTGTGGTTAGCTTATTTCACTGCTAAGATTTTTGTATCTGGAATATTTATATGCACTTCCAAAATTGCCACAGTAGGGAAGGCTGTGTTGGAGAATACTTCAATAAAAATAAATCATTTGTATTCTACACTGGCTTAATACTGAAACATGCAAAATGCAAGAACATGTGAAAGGGACAATAATGCACTAGAATAAAACCATTGTATAAGCACTCAAATGTTTATATAGGTACACACACACACAGACACACACACACACACACACACAGACACACACACGGTCTTAGCAGGTTAAAATGCCCTGTTTAGAAAGAATAAGCCTATGTTGGACCTTGATTTCTGTTCTTCAAAAAACAGTCATTTAAATTTTAACCTGGTATGACTTTTTAAAATTCTTATTTTATGACTTCCCTAAGCAATGTTCTGAAAATACTTGTATAATGTATTTCTATGTTGGCATAAACATTTAGCCTCATAGTCCATGCAAGTTTCTATGCCACTGAAATTTCAAAATGACACAAGCTTGATTTTCTCCCAGAATCAGGCATAAACATGATTGACTTAGTATATTGTGTCATAATAGAACATGTTTATTCTTTGACTAAAGTTGATAACCTGATTTTCCATGGAAAAAAATGAAAGTTTCAGAACGTCATTACTTGGAGTTGCAGAACATTAAAGAGCTATTTAAGTGCACACATCTGGAGTGCAGCACAGTCTGCTGCAGGAAAGCATAATTAGATACTTAGTTTGCTGTGCAAAATTTTGCATGAATGACCCTGTTAATTTTTCCCCCTTAAATCCAAACAAAAAATACCCCAAAGACTCATCTTAAAAATGCAGCTTCAGCAAAGTTGCTGTGCAGTGCTTTTGGGATTTTAAATGAAACACTGGGCTACTGGTTTTGGCAGCAAAGAAGAAAGTATACAAGAAAAAGAAAAAAAAAGTTGAAAAAAAGGTTGATTTACCTGGAGAGTTTGAAAGAAAAACAATATGAAAAAATCATTGAAACAATAAAATATGTAATATTTACCATGAGACAGATTTTCAGAAATTAATATAATTTAGAAAAGAAGTGGACAATCTAGGGAAGGTGTTAAAAAAACATATAATCTGGTATCCATGGCATACATTTAAGTCATCAACCAGTAGCTTTGTTTGCAGAATAGTTCTTGATCTTGATCTCACTCACCTTTTTTGAGAAATGCTGTTCACTGGCATGCTTCCCAAAGAAGCAGCCATTTAAAATGAATTGGTATTTCTTTCCGGGAGTGTCCCAGGACCACGTATCTGATACAATCTGGGCCAATTCTATTTCTGTTCTTAAGGGTTTTGGAAGCTGAAAAAAAAATGAGAGGCACAGAAAGAAGGGAGAGAAATTAAAAAGAGAGAGAAGGAGAAAAGGAGGTACGGAGGAAGAAAGAAAGAGACCTGTGGAGAGACTGATCAAGACAGAGAAGTTTGTTTCTAATGCCTACAATACAGCATAACATCCTTCAGTGGCTATTCTGCCAGCTGTACTAAGAAGTATAGCACATTTTCTGCAGT
This sequence comes from Homo sapiens, assembly GCF_000001405.40. Taxonomy (NCBI): domain Eukaryota; kingdom Metazoa; phylum Chordata; class Mammalia; order Primates; family Hominidae; genus Homo; species Homo sapiens. The sequence goes on along the minus strand of NC_000005.10, from coordinate 105,852,153 downwards.
GAAAGTGAAGAAGCAGAAATGCATAGAGAAAAAAATGGAAAAATAATTGTGTTGATGGCGGTTGAATTTCTGGTTCCTGTTAGATTCTAACATGAGTTATTTCCCTGCCTTCGGTTTGTTAAGACACCTTGAAATATTTTCTATTTCAGCTAATTGAATTGGGCTTCTGTTACTTGCAACCCCCAAATCCTCATTTTATGAAATAAAACTAGGTGATAGAAAATGATAATTGTAGAATAAATATTTGAAAAAGTAATTTAGGATTAAATAATATAATGAATAAAGCAACAACACATTAAAAAGTTCTAAGTAGTTATGGTTTAGATATAGTCACAAAAATGTTTCATATTAAGAAATATTTTATCTCTTCAGTTGGATAGATTAAATAGCTACAAAAAAGTTTTAAAGAAATATTTTATCTCTGAAAGAAAACCCAAGATGGAAAGTTTCTGGCTAAGGCAATAAACTAGCACTATTAGGTAGGACAATTCAAAGATGTGTTGAATGAATAGTTTTTCATCCATCTATAATATATCACAGATCACTCTTGTAAGTAGAGTCACTGTAGTAAATTACAGCCTGTGAAGAATTGGATTAGTGAGATTCAGCATTTTTCAATCCATTTTCTCATAATGACATCCATCCACTTCCAATTTCAATCTGTAAGTGCTATCTATATTTGTTTTATATAAATGGTCTGGCACAATTTCATGTTGCAATGAAATTCTTTATTGATAACTTCTCCCAAAGATCTTTTAGACTAAGACTGCCATTTTGATTAATAAGACTTCAGGTCTCTGTTAAATGTGCCTATTAATACTACATGGGAGGTGCACTAATGATGAATGTAAGTGGCCCTCTGGTCAACACTTCTTCCTTCGAATACCCCTTGCCTCAACACACACATTGACACAGAAGCATCAGCTCAGTACCAATACAGGTGTTGAATACCAAACGTTAGTGACTAGGAAACAATGAAAAGTTACATATGTAATTTGTAAAGAAAATAGACCTCCTTATGTGATGAAGGAAACAGTATAGCAATTATTATAATTTATCAGAGAAGCAATCAGAATAGCTCTTTTATTTTTTCTACAGGTTTTAGCTTGGTTGAATAGGTAAGAAGGAGGACACCAAATTTAATCTTTGTGCTTGCTTTAAGCTCTGAGGAGAAAAAGCAGCCTAAATGCAAAATATTATTACTTCTATTATTTCTATAATTTAGAAGGAAAGAGCAGCAATCTACTCCCACATACTCGTCATTCCTCTTTTCTCTCAACATTACTATTTCTTATTTAGGCTGTATTTATAAAATGTAGAAAAATATTAACTATTCCATAAATCTAAGAAATACTGTAGTACTTTCCCTATAATTTTTCAATAATTAACATAAATTGATTATATGTCCTAGTATCCTAGCTTTATTTTAAAAAATTAATCTTTGTTAAAAATATGTTTTCAGATAAACTTTATACTATACCAATGTCACCAACACTGAATCAGGTAAAATATATAAATATGTTCCTTTTTTTACTAGTTCTACCCCTTCCCATTTTTTCCTTTCCATAAATGTGAACATTTCTGAATATAAGGCCTACCTTTATCTTTTTTTTGTATGCTTTCCTCAAATAATTTATGGTACACCAAGTCTTCTGCACCCTATTATTATCAGTATAAATGACATAGATTTAGATCTACAGCATGCTCCCACTTTTATTTTTTCATTGTAAAATTAGAGATATTTGACCTTAGGAATTACAAAATGAGAAACCATCTTATCTCTAAGGTGTCATATTATTTAACTCTTATTTTTATGAGAATGTAAATTATGATAAACTTACTTATATGGTGTGACAAAGAGAAGCAGAACCAAATGAAAATCTGCGTTTGTATTATATGACTCTGTTTGAGCTTGGACTTGAAGTCTTTTTAAATCAGTCATACTTTTGCATATCGAATTTTAAAATAAAAAACAATAAGGTTAAATATTTTTTAAATGTTTAAATTAAATGTCACAACTTTAACTCATTCAGTATTTTATCTAAGACTTATACAATTATTATGTGGCTTAGAAATTATTTCTCAATAATGTGGGAAATTTCTGATCAATCCAATTGATTAATCCAATTTCAACTTTCAAGTTTTATTATTTAAAAAATACATTTTTTAAGGCCACAGAAGCCATATATAGTGAGTGATTCATTTGGTGGATCTGGGCAAAGTGAAAACCTGAGAAGGACTCATCATTCTGGATTTCATTAAGAACACTCATGATTCATGGAAGGTCAAAATATCAACATTAACAGGAGTTTGGAAGTTGATTCCAACCCTCGTGGATGTCTTTGAGGGACTCAAGACTTCAGTGGAGGAATAACCACATCTATGGTGGAAATAGCAAGAGAAATAAAATAGAAGTGAAGTCTGATAGGTGACTGAATTGCTGCAATCTTGTAATAAAATTTAATGGATAAGGAGTTACTTTTTATGAGTGAGCAAAGAAAGTGTTTTTTTTTTTCAGATGAAATCTACTCCTAGTGAAGATGCTGTGAAGATTCTTGAAGTAACAAAAGATTTAGAATATTCCATAAACTTAGCTGATAAAGTCCTGGCAGAATTTGAGAGTGTTAATTCCAATTTTGAAAGAAGTTCTACTGTGGGTAAAATGCTATCAAACAGCGTCATGTGACACAAGGAAATATTTCATCAAAGGAAGAGTCAAGAGATATGACAAATTTAATTGTGATCTTATTTTGCCATAGCCACCCCAACTTGCAGCAACTACCATCCTCATCAGTCAGCAGCCATCAGCATTGAGGAAAGATCCTTCACCAGCAAAAACATAACACTTCCCAGAAATATCCTACAATATTTTAACATTTTGTGGAAGGCTCAGTTGATTGTTAGTGTTTTTAGCAATAAAGTACGTTTAAATTAAGGTATCTCAGATATAATGCTATTGCACACACAATAGACTACAGTACGGTGTAAAGATAACTTTAATACTTACTGAAAAACCAAAGAATTTGTGTGACTTTATTGTGTGCATCTGAAACTGAACGTGCATTATCTCGGAGATATGCCTGTATTAGCAAATATAATTCAGCAATATAGTATAGACAGATAAGTGAAGTTTATCCCAGAAAAGGAAGAATAGATTATTTGTACTAAATGTGTTAATGCACTTTACCTTCCTAATATAGAAAATGGACAAATACAATACAGAGAAAATTCACAAAAGAAAACAATGACAATAAACATTATGGGGAAAAAAAGAGAGAGAAAGAGAATGGACCACTCTAGATATCAAATAAATACATATTTAAACAACAAAATGAAATTTTTGCCTCAACTTGTTGATGATTGAAATCATTTATAATTAGTGACATAGAGGCTTTAAGTACACAAGCATGTATTTTATTTTAGTCTTTTTAAGAGCAATTATTAATATATAATTTTTATAAGTGAGTTTTTTTAATTTAGGAATTTTACTGCTAGAAATTTAGCCTATAGAAATAATTACCAGTATGCTCTAAGATTTAACTACAATAATATTCAAAATATTTTAAAACAATGCAATAAAAGATTGGTTAAATAAACAAAATGTATTGCATACTTAATGTTATTTAATAATACTGTTGAATAATGCACTTTCAGATGTTGGGATATTCTTCATAAAGAAAAACGTACTAGTCATTATAATGTACTCAATAAAAGATAAAGTTAACTTATAAAGCAGTATGCTCCCATATTTCTAAGGCAAAGGGCTACATTAAGGAAACACACACAAATGTAGGGACAAAATAACATACATGTGCATTATTCTCTGAAGAGAATGTATAAATTTCAATGGATTTTCAACGGCAGTTAAAAATCTCCAAAAGTTCAAAACCATAGAAAATAATAATGAGAATGATCTTGCAAATTAGAGGACACTAGTGATTTTAAATTTCTCCTTCTTGGATGTTAAATTAATTTTATATTCTTTATATAAAATTTTACAAATACTGTGATTATTAAAGCATGCCACAGATAAACAATTAATACTCATTGACACCAAAATGTCATGAAGGTAAACTTTAGACTAATGTTTGAGGTTGTTGTAAAAGTTCCCTTAGTGCATAATCTTCTTTATATTCACAAACAACTTTTTTAAAGTGCTTTAAAAACTTGTTAAAACATATTTAATGCTCACTTTCTTATAAATATCCTTGGGAATACTTTTGATTCTTCTTTGATAATAATTAACATAAATTAATGGTACCTGATAGACTAAACATTGTTTTCGCTCGAGATAAGAAGGCAATATGAGTCTGACCCTGAGTGAAAGATAGGGAAATAAAGTTTGATGGAAACATCCTAGACTGCAGTGCAGTTCAAGGAAGATTCAGCTAAGCCATTCAAAACTCTTCAAGCCAAAGCCATCTAACAGAGAAGTTTGTATGTGCTGGGAACAGGCCTTCCTTGGTATCCTTGCTTAACTCAGTCTTTTGCCAGGAGCAGCCCATGGATGTTGTGGGCTTGTAAAAATGATGTAATGATTTCAAAGTACAGCATCTGAGCTTTCCCTCAATAGAATCATCAAGGTTGCCACAATTAGTATATCTTAATACTTACTTTAAAGTTATTAACATTATTTATTATATTAATAAATTATTTTATACATTTATTTTAAATTTATTTTTCTATTTTCATTTTATATATTTTGTTTTATGTATTCATTTTTTATATATATACATGTTCTTTATATATAAGATTATTTTAAAAATATAGAATGTGTACATATATGAATGTATGTGAGTGTGTGTGTCTCTGTGTATATGTATGTATATACACATTATTATTTATTTTTAAGAGGGTCTCGCTTTATTGCTCAGGCTGGAGTGCAGTGGTGCAATCATAGCTCACTGCAACCTTGAACTTCTGGGCTCGAGTAATCCTCCCGTTTCAGCCTCCCAAGTAGCTAAGACCACAGGCACGCTAAACTTTTTTTAAGTTTGATTTTTTTAGAGACAGGTCTTGCTGTGTTGCCAAAATTATTCTCATTTGCCAAAGAGTCTAGGGACTCTTCAGTTCCCTTTAATGTCTTACCTTTGTTGATGGCTAAGGATATTAGGGTTTGAGTTAAGTTTTTTGGGTTGACTTTTGATAGGCCAGAGTGCCACTTGTTCTATTGCTGCCCCAATTCCTGTCAGAATTAATTATACTACTCATTGACTTCTTGTATTCCTGGATCTTATGAGAATATAGACTATGACTCTTGGAGGGGCAAGAGTGGCCAATGTACATTCACCTCTGTTCTAAGTTTTTGATATACAAGGGAAAGCCACTCCTAAAGGAACAGGTGGCTTCCTGAGTAGTCATGGCCACAGACAAAAATAAGCCCAGGTGGCATGCTGGGTCATCATGGCTCCAAACAAAGAGGATCTATGTGTCATAATGTCTATCCTTTGTGGCCAAGTTGGGTCTATAGAAAGATTCTTCCCCTGCTCCAATGAGAATGGCCGAACAATATTTGTTTTCGAGAAGGGGGTGATATACCCACTTCCCTAACCTTCCCAGGTTAGGTAGTGTTCTTTTTTGTTTTTTTTTCTGTATGTTCTTACCTGGAAATAGGCACCGTATATGGTCTCCTTGCCTTGGGAACTTGGCAACTAGAGTTGGATTAGAGTGTCACAGGGAAACTTCCACTTTTGTGTCATTAACACAGAGTGGGTACAAAAGATAGCATCATTAATGTACTGGAGATATAGATAACCCAACTTTCTAGGTCCTGGTAATAGTGGTGGTGGAGTTCAGGAGGAGTCTGTTAAGTGGGGGAGAATTCCACCAAAAAATAGGGGTCTGAGTACATTAGAATCACTATCATTAGTTAGGAGGTCTGGGGACTGGAACTTTCTATCCTGGGGAGGTTGATAACAAATCTAGCAACCATAAAGGTGATTCCTTGAATCTATAATTTTAATAATATTTACTATACAGTTTTTTTCCCACCCACACTGGATCAGGGTAATTGGGATAGCAAAGAGGATTAACAATGCCAGCATAGTGTCTGTTTGGGCCTTAGAGTGGCCTCTTTCCCCAACAAAGACAAAAGGGATATTTCCCAGGAGGAGGTGGTAGTCTAAAGTGATAGAAAATAAGTATTACAGTAAGGAAGATGAGATAAATCAATGCTTCTTTTCCCACCCACAGAAACATGTTACCACTTCCAGCAGAGTGTTGGTTCCTTTAGGATCTATATTTTTTGGCAGTTGATTCTCTACCTCTGAGGTAACAGAGATCTTTCAAAGGTTTACAGATGTAGGTCACAGTGTCTTCCCTTTGTGACTGTGACTCATAAGAACAGTTTTAATCCCTTTTAGCACACCCAAGTAGTTATTTTCTGAAATTTAACAGCAGTATGGGGGCACTTAACAACATCTAATAAGAGCTCTTCCATTTTGGATGTAATTGATCCTTGGGGACTCTTCTTTTTAAGTTTTTAGTAAGACTAAATCTCATGGTTGAACAGGGGAGCTATTCTTTTCCTTTGTGGGAAAGGGCAATGTTTTATTTTAATATTGGTGGGTCTCCTGAACCTGGCCTAAATTCCAAAGTGGAGAAGGAAGGTTTGTATAGCTAATTACTGCAAGCCAAGACCACAGCAGCACAACACACAGAACCCACCGACAAGCTACTTTTACAAGCCCGTGTCCTGGCTCCTAGTCTTTAGCTCCCATACTGCTCAAAAGGAGTTCAAGGGGCAGTGAGTGCCTACTCGTTTCCACTGTCACCCAGCCCAGAACATCCAGCTGGCTACAAGCCCCTGGCCATGGAGATCCCACCAAGGAACACAATGGAACAAGGACAGGTAGCACACCACCCAGCATTGGCACAGAATAAAATAAAAGCTTAGTTCTTGACATTGTCTTTGGTACACCCTGACAAAAAGGAGAATACAAACCAAAAAATCAAAATCCATAGCCTCCAACAGACTGAACAAATGCATCCCTCCTGGCCAAAGGAAATGTAATTGGGCAGGCATGCATTGGCCCCCAAAACCTTTCTAAGCAATATAAGAATCAAAAGCCAAAAGCCAAAATAAAGTTGCACGTAGAGAAAATGTGTAACTTTTCTCAAGAAACTTTTTTTTAAGATCATAGAATTAAGCTATATTGGGGGAAAACACTGCTCCCCACAGACCTATAAGAAAAAATACTTTAGCATTAGCTTACAACAACAGTTAGAATCAGAGGAGAACACTTCAGAGGAACTGCCCAAAAGCTAAAGAAATGAGTTACATTAATCTGAGAAGCTTTCAAAAGAAATAGATTACAGGATTGAAAAGTAAATTTTCTGGTAATTCAGTAAATTAGCACCTTAAGAAAAATTGGTTTTAAAATGTAGATCATTCTTTAGAAATTCTCTTATAAACAATTTCTTTTTAATTACAGCTAGTTTGATTACACACAAAATTCCTTTCATAAATTCCTCTTTATGAACCTTATGACCAATGCAGACCATCTACAAAATGCTTGGATTTTCTGACTTGTCCATACTACCTCTGTCTTAAATAACCAATCATTTTACTCTAGGAAAAGAATTTACTGTACAAGACTCTTTTTAAACAAAATTACTGTTTCTTTATATCCCTCCTTCTTATTTATACTCACTAGTTCCCTCATTTTTGAACCTCCCTTTTAATAATTTCTGAAATAAAACTATTTTTCCCAATAAATGATATATTTTTGGCATGTTTTATATGAATCTAGGAAGCAAGAAATCCTGAACTGCTCACCAGATTTTGGCATTATATAGATGAGAATCATTTTATAAATTTAAGATTTTTAACTGTAAAAAATGCTCACTATTTAAGCATCTATTCTATTCCCATGTATTTAACTTTTTCACTTTTAACAGATTTCTCTAGACCACCTCCAAGAATCAGGATACCATGCAGAGCTAGTCACCATTTAAAGGCATTTTAACCATCTTAATGCCTATGAACATCAGTGACTTAGCTAGGTAAAAATATTAAATTTTAGAAGACACAACATTCTCTGCAAACTAATAATCTTAGACTATCTTGTTTAACTTATGAGCACTCTTTTATTTATAAGGCCACTCTTTTATTTATGAGGCCAGGTGCAGTGGGTCATGCCTATAATCCCAGCACTTTGGGAGGCCAAGGCGGGTGAATCACTTGAGGTCAGGAGTTTGAGACCAGCCTGGTGAAACACCATCTCTACTAAAAATGCAAAAGATTAGCCAGGCATGATGACATGCACCTGTAGTCCCAACTACTTGGGAGACTGGGGCAGGAGGGTCCCTTGAACCTGGAAGGCAGAGATTGCAGTGAGCTGAGATCGCACCACTGCACTCTAGCCTGGGCAACAGAGCAAGACTGTCTCAAAACCAAACGAACAAAAAAATGTCAATATGATAGCACACTAGACACAACACACATTTAAACACCTGCATATATACCTAAACAAACGCATCAGATAAAATGACCTGTATAAGACAACAGGATTCAAGTTATAAATTGTGACCCATCTATTTGGCCAAATTTTGTTTGTCCCAAATGGAAGAGAAGAAAAGACAGGGGAGGGGATCCCATGGCATCAAATATAAGGAAGGAAAGGGGCAAACTGCATTGCTCAAGGAAAGACCCTGGAGTTCTCAAGCCTCTGGAGAGCTCACCTAACAGTAGAGACACTGAAAAAAAATGTTTAGGCAGCCACTTGTCACCACTGTGGAAAGCTGTCCATCGGGTTCTAGGGTCTGTGTTCCCCAGTAAACATACTTGAGCAAGGCATCTCTTTGGGGTTAGTGGAAGAAGGTAAGCTCTATAATTTATGCAGAGCTTTTTCTCTCTGTCTCACACAGTTAGGACATTCTCATTGCCATTGGCCTTTTTGCTTATAGTAAGCACACTAATTCTGGCCCAGGGGTTGGCAAGTTTGGAGCTCTTGTCTGGGCATTCCAGACACCAATCTTGTGACACTTTCTCAGGATGGGCAGCCCTGAGAGTGCAGAGGGGCTTAAAGCATTTGCTAATAATTGTACTTTTTGGCTCTTTTTTTTTAAAACACCTCTGTTGCCCTGTCTCTGTTGTCATAAACTTTAAAGGCCATGTTTAAGAGTTAGCTCATAGGAGTTAGAGGTCCCATTGCTCATTTTTGTAGCTTCCTCCTAATGTCAGGGGCAGATTGAGTAATAAAATGTATACTGAGAAGAACTTGCCCTTCTGAAGAGTAGGGGTCTGCATTAGCAGATTTTCTGAGGGCCTGAACCAAATGCCCCCAAAGCAGAGTAGGATTTTCCTCTTTTACCTGACTTATTTATCAACTTTGTCATAATTGACTGGTTTAACCGCATGCTTTTTCCTCTACTTTTTTTCCCACAGCACAGCAAGTGGATGACAATATTTGTAAGTCATGACAAGTTAAATAAAAGAACATGGTCCATTTAACAAACTCATTTATAAACTTTTCTGGATTCTCTGAAAACTGACCAAATTTGTCTTTGTATAAAGCTATACACATAGAAAATGGCACATGTATTCTAAGTATTCCCTCACGTCCATCAGTCACCTCCCACAATGGACACAGATTTGACTTTAGGAGCTGATATGGGTCCTGCTTCTGGTGGTTCTGGTTGGGCTTATGCTTTGGGGCAATGGTGGGTATAGGCTGGCGCTAATTGAATAAAGGTGGTTTCCTAATGACCTTGGGGTGGAATCCTTCATTAGAGAACTAGTGGGGCGCCCTTCAGGATTGAGGGTCTGAGGAAACTCCAGGGAGTTTATAGGCCTTTTAGGTGGAACGGCTAGAAGGGGATCCGGTATGTGTGGCTTCCTGGTGCCTGGAAATAACATGAACTAGCATAAGGGCCACAAAAGCATGTACATAATGGACCTCCTCCCATTTTCCTTCTTTTTGACAGAACAAGTCTAATTATAAAATATCATTATAACTAAAAGAATCATTTTAAGACCAAATCTATTGGTTTTCTAATTAGTATTGAGCTCAAATAATATTTCAATAGAAAATGAGTTTCTTTGACTTTAAGATGAATTTGAATTTGCTACAATAGCCTAAATGACACTCTACTGGCTGGTCCTCTGTGATGTTTGTCATTGTCCCCTTGTGTAACAAGGATTTCTATAGGACACAGAAGTTTTTCTAAGTCTAGGAAGAGGAAAACAACTGGGCCCTTCTTGTTTTTCGCTTTCAGATTCCCACTTCTTGCAAAGAAGGTGTAAGTATAGGTAGCAATGTGTTATGAAGAATTATAAGCATTTGCCAGTGAATGAAATATGACAAAAGAAGCATTTTTATTAAGAAAAGTGCAGGAGGAAAAGTGTAAATGAAGTGACAATAAGAAAATAAAATGCTATCATGAAAATGAAAACTTTAGGGCAGAAAACAAGCAAAGGCAAGACCAAGATTCCCCTAGGTGGAACTCCAACTCACAGTCCTAGAAGAAATATGAATTCTGAAAGCCCTAAATCATTGCCAACAATAGCAAATGCCAAAAATCCAGAGTACCTGAGTATCAGCCAACAAGGGTCCCCATTCCAAACTCCAGAAATTCCAGAATATCTAGGGGCTGACCAAATGCTGAAAACCCTGGAGCATTTAGAGGATGGCCAACAGTGAACCCCAAAGTCCTGGTTGGGCCACAGAACAATGTAACTATGGCATCCCAGAGTTAATACAATGGAGGATCTCACACAACCAATTAGATTGCCTTAAACAATTGCTCAGGGAATCAGAGCAAAGCAAAAGACTGCAAACAAAACATACATTTTAGGACAGAAAATAACATGGCTTGCAGAGTAATAAAATAGAGTCAGAAGAAAAAGGGTGAAGGGGTGAAGGGGTGACAAGGAAGTGTTTTGAGGCACTCAAACAATGGGGAAGTTTTTCACTGACTGCTTAGCCAAAGGCTTTTATTCCCTAGCTCACTCTATATTATGAGGGCGACAGAGGGGATACTCATCCATCCGCTGGAGCAAAAGGGTGCTGACTGATCTTCCATGTGGGTGGGACTTGAGTAATATTTCTTCTGGTTCCCTCAGCCTGGTTGGGTTCAGCTGCCATGGTGGGAGGACCTAACAGAGAGAATGATAATCCACTGGCCTGCTGGTCAGAATGGCAGGTCCCATATAAGGCAATGGCAATTTGGCTGCTTGCCAATTTACTCGGCTCTGCTGTCCACCAGGGAAAATGATGACTTTATTTTTAATAGAGGTGAGGACTTGCTATGTTGCTCAGGCTGAAACTCCAGTGCTCAAGCAATCATCCCACCTTGGCCTCCCAAAGTGTTGGGATTACAGGTATGTGCCACCATGCCTGGCCAAACATTGCTTTTAAAAGTGCTTTCGGCTAGCGTTACAGCTCTGCAATTTTACCAGCTCTTTATGTTACAGCCTCAGTGTTATAGCTGTGCAGCTTTGATTGTCATCTTGCTGTCTCTTGCCATTCACTGCCTCTCACCTTCTTGCCATCCCATTGACAGTTGGCACACCACTCCACTGTCTCACCATCCTGCTGACCACTGCCTTGCAATTTCTCCCCAATGGCTGCTTCTATACTGTCTTTGTTACTTCATCAGTGATATGTTTGACTGTGTCCCCACCCAAATCTCAACTTGAATTGTAATAATCCCCACATGTCAACAGCAGTGCCAGGTGGAGATGAATGAATCATGGGGGTGGTTTCCCCCACATTGTTTTCATGGTAGTGAATAAGTCTTATAAAATCTGATGGTTTTATAAATGGGAGTTCCTGTGCACAAGGTCTCTTGCCTGCCACCATGTAAGTCATGCTTTTCTCCTCCTTCACCTTCTGCCATGATTGTGAGGCCTCACCAGCCATGTGGAACTGTGAGTCCATTAAACCTCATTTTCTTTATAACAATCTTGGATATGTCTTTATTAACAGCATGGGAATGGACTAATACAGTAAATTCATACTAGGAGTGGGGTACCACTGTAAAGATACCCTAAAATGTGGAAGCGACTTTGGAGCTGGTGACATGCAGAGGTTGGAACAGTTTGGAGGGCTCAGAAGAAGACGGGAAGATGTGGGAAAGTTTGGAGTTCCTAGAGACTTTTTGAATGGTTTTGACCAAAATGCTGATAATGATATGGACAATGAAACCCAGGGTGAGGTGGTCTCAGATGGAGATGAGGAATTTATTGGGAACTGGAGCAAAGGTGATTATTGCTATGCTTTAACAAAAAGACTGGCAGCATTTGGCCCCTGCCCTAGAGATTTGTAGAATGTCGAATTTGAGAGAGATGATTTAGGGTATCTGGTGGAAAAAATTTCTAAGCAACAAAGTTTTCAAGAGGGAGCAGAACATAAAATTTTGGAAAATTTGCAGCATGACAATGCAATAGAAAAGAAAACCCCATTTTCTGGGGAGAAATGCAAGCTGGTTGCAGAAATATGCACAAGTAATGAGGAGCCAAATGTTAATTGCCAAGACAATGGTGAAAAAGTCTCCAGGGCATGTAAGATGTCTTCATGGAAGCCCCTCCCATCACAAACCAGGAGACCTAGGAGAGAAAAATGGTTTCATGGGTGAGGCCCAGGGCCTTCCTGCTTTGTGCAGTCTCAGAACTAGACGCCGTATGTCCCAGCTGTGGCTAAAAAGGGCCAACATAGAGCTCAGTCCATTGCTTCAGAGGGTGCAAGCCCCAAGCCTTGGCGGCTTCCACATGGGGCTGAGCCTGCAGGTGCGCAGAAGTCAATAATTGAAGTTTGGGAACCTCCACCTAGATTTTAGAGGATGTATGGAAATGCCTTGATTTCCAGGCAGAAATCTGCTGCAGGGGCAGAGCCCTCATAGGGAACCTCTGCAAAGGCAGTGCAGAAGGGAAATGTGAGGTCAGAGCCCCCACTCAAGAGTCCCTACCCAAGTAGGAGCTGTGAGAAGAGGGCACTATACTCCAGACCCCAGAATGGTAGATCCACTGACATCTTGCACCCTGAGCCTGGAAAAGCTGCAGACACTCAACACCAGCTCCTGAAAGCAGCTGGGAGGGGAGAAGTACCCTGCAAAGCCACAGGGCAGAGCTACTTACGGTTGTGGGAGCCCACCTCTTGCAGCAACGTGCACTGGATATGAGACATGGAGTCAAAGGAGATCATTTTGGAGTTTTAAAATTTGACTGCCTGTTGGATTTCAGACTTGCTTGGGGCCTGTAGCCCCTTCCTTTGGGCCAATTTCTCCCTTTTGGGACAGGAGACATGCCTGCACCCCCATTGTGTCTAGAAACTAACTAACTTGCTTTTGATTTTACAGGCTCATAGACAGAAGGGTCTTACCTCATCTCAGATGAGGCTTTGAACTATGGACTTTCAAGTTAATGCTGAAATGAGATAAGACTTTGGGGGACTTTGAGGAAGCCATAATTAGTTTTGAAATGTGAAGACATGAGATTTAGGAGAGACCAGGGCTTGAAGGATATGGTTTGGCTGTGTCTTCACCCAAATCTCACCTTGAATTGTAATAATCCCCATGTGTCAAGGGTGGGGCCAGGTGGACATAATTGAATCAGGGGAACAGTTTCTCCAATACTGTTCTCATGGTAGTGAATAAGTCTCACAAGATCTGATGGTTTTATAAATGGAAATTCCCCTGTACAAACTTTCTTGTCTGTCACCCTGTAAGGCCCTTTATCCTCCTTCACCTTCTGCAATAATTGTGAGTCCTTCCCAGTCATGTGGAACTGTGAGTCCATTAAACCTCTTTTTCTTTATAAATTACCCAGTCTCAGGTATGTCTTTATTAGTAGCATGACAACAGACTAATACAATCAGTCACCAGATGATACAGGGCAAGAGAGCCTCAAATTGGGGCTTAGCTCAGGCTGCTGATAAAGACATACCTAAGACTGGGCAATTTACAAAAGAAAAGGGTTTATTGAACTTACAATTCCACATGGCTGGGGAGTCTTCACAATCATGGTGGAAGGCAAGAAGGAGCAAGTCACATCTTATGTGGGTGGAAGCAGGCAAAAAATAAGAGCTTTTGCAGATAAACTACTGTCTTTAAAACCATCAGATCTCGTGAGACCCAATCACTATCATGAGGACAGTATGGGAAACACCTGCCCCCATGATTCAGTCATCTGCCACCAGGTCCCTCCCACAACATATGGGAATTATGGCAGCTACAAGATGAGATTTGGACACAGAGCCAAACCGTATCACCCAAGAAATAATTCAAGGGTGAACTGATGTGTTAGACAGCAATTTTTATTGAAGAGGGAGGGTACAGCACCATCAGAGGTACTGCACCTTGTGGAGCTGGGCTACCCCGTAGGCAGTGTGCCCAGAGTAGCAGCAGGTAGTTCTGCAGTCATATTTATACCCACTTTTAATTTTATGCAAATTAAGTGGCTGATTATGTAGAACTTTCTAAGAAAAAGGTCGTAATCTCTGGGTCATCCGGTCGTTGCCATAGAGAGTGGTGGTAACTTTTGGGTTTTATTATGGCAATGGTAAACTGAAGTGGCACACTGGTGGGTGTGTCTTATGGTAAGGTGCTTTTGCCTCTTTCCTATTTTAGCTAGACTTCAATCTGGTCCGGTATGCCACCTCCTACCTCAATTGTACTTGTAATTTTATCTTTTTTTTTGGTTTTATAATTTTTCATCAGTCTTCTAAAAACAACACTAAATATTGAACAATCTTTTTTTCAACTAGATTTTAGTTTTTTAATCTTCACTACTGATTTGTAGTTTTTTATTTTATTGATTTATATCCTTACTTTCCCCTTTCTCATGTTTTAAATTTTACTCTGCTCTTTCCTATTTTTTAAGATGTTTTAATGCTTGTTTTCTGATACATTGAAAGCCATTTTTTTCCAAATATTAATGAACACTTATGATATTCATGTGATCACTATATGTGTGCATGTTCACAGGCTGGAGTGATTACATAAAAATGTGTCTAGTTGAATTTTGGGGAATGTGTCTTAGTCTTTTAAATAGACTCAAAATAGAGCATGATTCATTGAAGGCTTTTACATGTCTCCTACTGATCCTCTCTCAGCTTGTAGCCAGCAAATCAGGGAAGGTGTACAGATTTTACGATGCTTGGGTCAGGATAGTTTTTCATCATCATTGATGCAATTGTGAGATCAGTCTCTCCAGAGTGGTATGCTTAGGATAATTATGTAATCATAACTGTCAATATTGTAGTTATGATACAATTACTGTAAGGACAATATGTGCAGAATTTCTAGAATTCTCAGTACATGCAAACTAGCTGAAGTGTTCAGACTATTTCATATTTGCATAGTGTTCAGATATGTTTTGGCATAGAAATCATGAAAATTGAAAAACTGCTCTAGCTGTAATAAAATAAATATTCAGTTAATGAATTTAAGTGTTCACATTTGGGCCTTGTTCTACATAGTATTGTCATAGAACCAAAACACATTTTTATAGTCTGACCATCTTCTTTAGGTAGTAAAAGCAAATGTCTTTAAAAGTAGGAATTTAATAATTCAGCTGGTAGAAGTTCTACTCATTCAAAAACAACTTAGAAACATTTTATTTTCTATGGTAATTTTTTTCCTTAAAACTTGGTTTTTGGCCTTAACAATTTCCTTCTCATCATGTGCTTCAAGAATTCAAAGCAACTGCAGCATGTGGTTGCCAGGATACATGTGCAGACATTCTCTGATGAAAGTACAGTGTAACAGCTTGATTTGTCATCAAAATGAGGAAATCTTGAGAGAAAAGTGATTTGGGGAATGGAAACTAGAATTTACAAATGCTGATTTTCCTAAGTTAACAAGACAAACATGTAACAAATTGATACCATGCACATGTATTCATGTGTGTTTGCATATCTGTATACTGATAATTATATGCATACATTTATTCTAATGTGAAAGTTACATGACAAGAAATAATAGTTTATAATGAATATGTGATTAAGAGTTTGCATTTCCTATACAGAATCAACAGATAATTAAATTTCATTATTTCCGGTGTTATTTTTGTTATATCTAATCTTAACAGTGTATAAACAATTGACTTATTTTTCATAATTAATAATCATTACCTCGACAGAATTTCCAGAAAACTTTTAACCTATTATTGATTATATTATTGCTTACCAGAACAGATCTTATTTTAAAAGACTATTTAGTAGTGTCTTCAAATGAATTCCAGAATTGTAACCCTGTGATAATGCTGTATGTAATATCCACTAGTCAAAGATGTTTGGAGGATGGAGTTCTCTCTAATCCTAAAAAGTATTTGAACATATGAATAACATTTCTCTATAGAAGAAATATTTTAAATCTTTTTTCACAGCATTGACACTATACAGAAAATCTTGTATGTAATATACTGAAATAACAAAACAGTTTTTTTCTCATTGTAACTTGATTAATTTTGTTGCATATAATTCTTAATTTTATGGTTATATGTGGCTTTTTCTTTACCTATTAACTTTGAATGAAGTGAAGGTGGTCAAGGATGATGATATGGTTTGGCTCTATGTCCCCACCCAAATCTCATCTAGAGTTGTAATCCCCACATGTCGAGGGAAGGACCAGGTGGGAGGTGATTGGATCATGGAGGCAGTTTCCCCCATGCTGTTCTCATGATAGTGAGTGAGTTCTCATGAGAACTGATGGTTTTAGTGTGGCACTTCCTAGTTTCCACACTCATTCTTTCCTGCTGCCTTGTGAAGAAGGTGCCTACTTCCCCTTAGGCCATGATTACAAGTTTCCTGATGCCTCCCCAGCCATGCACAACTGTGAGTCACTTAAATCTCTTTCCTTTATAAAGTACCTAGTCTTGGGTATTTCTTTATAGCAGTGCAAAAACATACTAATTCAGATAATTAATAAGGAGGGCTAGAAAATGAGAGGAGAAAAAGAGGTTTAACTTTTTAATATATTAGGAAATTGAGATCATGAAGATATAAAGTGACTTATGGGTCATTTATTGCTTAAAAATGCAGACATTCTGTAAATTAAATTCCTTCGTTCTCTGCCCTCACCATGTTTTCAAAAGAGGGCAAATGTAGACATCTTATTTTTGTGAAGATTAGAAAAACTCTTGAAGGAATTTAAGTCATGAAGAATGTCTGCATCAAAATTTTACATAACAAATAGACATTTAATTGAGGATATTAATTTCTGTACTCTAGATGCTGACACATAACCATTTAACATCCATGTCATTGACAGATATTTATTTCACTACCGCAAGCTATAACATATAAAAATTTAATTATGGATATTCATTTCCTTCTTTTAGTCCTGATGTATACCCATTTAGCTATCACATCACAGAGGCATATATTTTTACCAATTCAAGCTGTGAAATGTCAAAATTAAACTGCAAACATCCATTGCCTTGCTCTAGTTCCAAGCCCATAAAAACAAGCCACCAAACTGTAGACAAATAGATATTTTATTGTCAAGATACTTATAATAAAAGTATACTTTCAGTCATTAATAAATATTTAATCTTTCAAAGAATAACTGTAACTATAAATTTAAATATGACCAATTATCTAACAAAATACAATATGTAATTCATTCAATACCAGTTGAAAATAAAACATAAAGTAAAAATTAAATTTTTTGTGAAAATATAACATTTGTATTATGAAACGTCAAGTATTGGAGAAAAGCACAGAAAAAAGTTGAAAATCCACACCAAAATTCTAGCACTTGGAAATAGTCTTTGCCAAATTTATTTACATTATAGAGCACATAAAAAGATATAAAGGTATAGATAGCTAGTTACCTACCTTGATAGGTGGTAGATAGATGATAGATAGATAGATAGATAGATAGATAGATAGATAGATAGATAGACCTAGTAAAGAAATATAAACAGAATACTGATTGTTTAAAAAGTATTTTTAGTAAAAGTTATTAAAATGCTATTTCTTCTCAAGAAAATGAAGCTAAAAATTGATAAATTAATAAATTTTAGAATATTCTTGTTTCACCTCAAGATATAGAAACACTATAAATTAGTAAAATCCATTTAAATTTAGAAAACATGTACCCAAGGCTCTGCGGCCGTGCAATGGATCACCAGAGAGTATTCTAAGTACTGATCTCTGAGTCTCATCCTGCATAGGTCCTGATTTAATTGGTGTAGGAGGGTGTGACTGGCTTATCAAGAGAGTTAAATGTGATTCTAATGCGAAGCCAGAGTTGAGAACCTTTGCTCTAAAGCAGGAAAAGTTATAATGAAAGCCTAAAATTATGTGAAATTATAAAAATTAGAATGCTTATGATATTAAGTAGCTTTTAACATTGTTAAAAAAGAGAGGAAATTAGCAGATTTACAATTCTACCTTAACATTATTGCTCCTGCATCTCCTTAAATAAATTTACTATGCAGCAATAAAATATATTTTGTATAATCAAAAAATTCTTATTGTGTTTATTCTTAGTCATTTGAATTGGTTCTATGATCACAAATGTTCTTTTAGTTTGCTTTCCTCTTTCCTCTTTGCTTTTAATCAAATCTTAAATGGCTAAATTTAATTAAGTTTCCATCTATCTATCTATCTATTCATTCAACTATTTATATATTTATCTTATGTATTTATGCTGTAATAAGTTGAAGATCTTGGAAATGAAATTTTTGATTTATATTGTTTTTTAATCAAAATATTATAATTTTTTACCTTAGAATTTATGTTATAGCCTTTGAATATTACTATAGAGGGTAAATAATAAGTTTGCCTCTTTTGAATCATCTTTTTTTCCCATCAAAATGTTTATGAATCTTCTATCTCCTTTAAGTTCTGTAACTTTAACTTCATTATACTAATGTTTATAAGGTTTTTTTCTGGTCAATGATAATTTTTTGAAAATATATCAAGTCTTTTTTTCAACTAGTATTTCTCTTTTTCATTCTTGTGTGTGTTCTATTTAGTTTTGATTTCCAGTATGAGCAATTATGTACATAATGAAATTGACTTGTCTTGGATATTTATCATTTTTAACAATTTTTATTTGTTTCCCTATGAAGTATAGAACATACAAAAAAGCTCACATAAAAATGAGTATAGATATACTGAGCATTCATTTACAAAATTGTGTACTCTTACCCAGGCCAATAAATAGAATATCCTAGGGATCAAGAAACCCCCGAGAGCTTCCTTCTTCCTCCCCATGATGTAAGGTAACCATTACCCTGAATTTGAACATTTGGATATGTTATTTATTTTGGATGCATATCCTTTGTTACATGTTTAGTATATATCTTTACCAAATGTGGTAAACAATTACATTAGTGATACCCATTGGACCATACTTTCTGGTACTCTAGCCATCTGTAGTATCATCACACATTGTTTCTACGTTTGGCCATGTACATTTCCTTGGCCCATTGGTCATTAACAAGGATGATATGGCATATATTATGCGTTCCAAAGGCCTGAACCTCTTGGAAATTTCCCTGTTAATTGCAGAAAACATACTGTAAAGAAGTTTAAGCTAGACTGCTGAATGATAAAAGATCATATGTAGAAAGAATTTGGAGAATGAGAGATATCTGTATTATTCCAAACCAGGCTGGGCTTCAAAATGAATATAGCTGAATTAGTGACCTTGGCACTAATCCTCGTGACTTTGTGACCTTGACTATATCACTTGGCACAAAAGGCTTGTCCAACTGAGCACAGAACATTCAAAATTATGAAAAATAATACATTCTTATTTTAGGCCACTACATTTTAGGATAGTTATGAAATAAATAACTGAAACATAAATTATTAACTGAGATAACATAAAACTAAAACATGTTTCATTTGTTTGTGGCCAGCTGGTAGGAGGCCTAAAGAGTGGCAAGCAGCCTATTATTGGAAATGGGAAAGTCAGTGAGGAAATTGCTACAGGAGGCTAGAGAAAAGAGAACTCTTGTTGGATATTGGGCCGGGCATGGTGACTCATGACTGTAATTCCAAAATCTTGTTAGGCCAAGGCAGGCGGATCACCTGAGGTTAGGAGTTTCAGACCAGCCTAGCCAATGTGGCAGAACCCTGTCTCTACTAAAAATACAAAAATTAGCTGGGCGTGGTAGCGGGCGCCTGGAATCCTGTCTACTTGGGAGACTGAGGCACAAGAATCGCTTGAACCCAGGAGACGGAGGCTGTGGTGAGCTGATATCATGCCACTGCACTCCAGCCTGAGCAACAGAGTGAGACTGTCTCAAAAAAAAAAAAAAAAAGAAAAGAAAAAAAGAAATGCAAGAAAGAAAATGTATCTAAAAAACTTGTGAATAGAGCTAAGATTTCTAGGAACAATGTTTAAAATGCTAATTGGTTACTTTAGTCACTTATCATAAGACATTGCAAGAAAGAGATGAACTATTAGGTTGGTACAAGTGCATTACTTTCAGTGGCAAAAACTGCAATTACCTTTGCACCAACTTAATAATCAACTTTTCAGTTTTCTAGCCAGATTAAAGGAAATAATGTCCAACCTTGGACTTGCTGGATTGGAAAATATAAATATTTCTCATTCTCTCCTCAGCCAACAAAATAATCTCAAAGTAAGAAATAATCTCAAGGCTATGATAAAATCCATGGCGCTGCCAATAAAACATGGCCTCAGAGATGAAGTCAAGTCAATAGTGCAGCTGTAAAACACTTGAATACATCTCTCCAAAAAAAAAGGTGCTTCTAAAGAACTTAATGGTAATGTATTAACAGCACCCTAATTCGCTACCCAAAGTAGAGAAAGGCTCAAGTGAATTTGTGGGTGTGATTTTTGTCTAATGTAGTAGATTATCATTTAATACTATTAAAAGCTAAACTGAGGCAAAGTAAAATTTTATAATTTATTTGAGCAAACAGCAATTCATGAATCTGAAAGCACCAAAGTGAAGATGGTTTCAGGCTACAGTAAGGAAATGCAAAAGGGAAAGGCTTTGAATGCACAAGTAAAGCAAAGAAAATATTTCACTGGTTACAGTTACACAGTTGCCTCACTTGGTCTAGCCTTTTTGAAAGTCTCTATTTATACAAGTTAGTTGGTGGCTTCTGATTGTTTAGCCTTAAATTTTATTTTTCTCTAATATAGGCATTTAGAATAAATACCTCAAGTTAAGTTTCACTTAAGTTTGCAAATCAAGCAAGGTTAAGGTCACTTAACTGACTTTGTCTGCTCAAAGATTCTTCAGGCCTGTTATCTATTTAAATTTACTATAGTAATACAAAGTTTTTAAAGGAGTTATCATACCTTGGACTAAAAGGGAACATGAAAGTTCAAAATGTAAATAATTCTCTGTATGTCCAAATTTCTAAATGCAGGAAAGAGAATGAGAAAGATAGTAGCAAAGATGAATAATTTCCTGTGGAAAAAGAAAGATGATTTGAGGCCAGAACCAAGAGGCCAGCGACCAGAACCTAGCTAGATTTTGGAATTGCTATGAACACATGACTTCTTTGTAAATGGTAGTGTCATTTGTGTTTGTTCTATCTTGGATGCAGCATTTTATGATGGGAATGCGAAAGCCAGATTGTTTTTTTTCTTTTTTCCATCTAAAGACTTCTGCATCTGCAGAACAAGATGGAGGGAACTGCACTTGAGGAATTCCATACAAAAACTCATCACCACCTGCAACTGAGGTAGATAATGACATTCTAGATTCAAGACTATATCTGATGTTACAATGGAATGAGACACTCAAAGATGTTGGGTGGCAGTGAGTATAGTTTGCACGTGGAAGTTGTGTGAATCATTGGAAGTCAGAGGGTGGAGTGGAATAGACTTATTACATTTTGGCTTCCAACAAGATGTGCCTCGCCCACCCTTTTAAAATCCCCTTTTATATTGTCTTAAAGTTTAGCCTGCCTTCTTACTTTGGCCAGTGGGATATTATCATGCGGAAACTTGACAAACACTTGCACGTTGGAGCTTAACTTCTTGCAGTGTTCTCTCTTGTACATAAGCTGCCATGCTGTAAAGAAGCTGGATGTAAAATAATGAAAATGATAAGAGACCATGCAGGGAGAGATTCGAGAGGACAATTAGCCATCTAGGATGTCCTATCAGGTCAGGCTTCCAACTTAATCAACGTGCATATGAGAGTTTAGCTACTCTACTTAGAACAGAATTTCCCAGTTGAAGCCAGTTAACCCACAGAATACAAAAAGTAGTATATCTTTATTTTTCTAAATGACAGTTTTAGAATAGTTTGTATGTATCAGTGGATTATTACATTATCACTTTCTTTATCTTTACGTATCTTTTTGCAGTGTGTTTTGAAAACAAATTATCTTCATTTTGATGTAGCTAAAGTTTCCTTTACAGTTATTGAAGATTCTCTATTGTAATATATTAAAATATTTATAATTCTATCTTTCATACTTAATGTACTAGTAATTTGTGGTATGTGTAGGTGTGTGTATATGTGAGTGTAGTGGTGGTCCAATTTTATCTTATTTTTTTCCCTCATGGATTACTAATTTTACTAAAATTGTTTTGTTTTGTTTTTTAAAAACACCAGCCTACCTATCCCCATTGCAAGTTAAGTTTCCATGTATATGTGAATGTGTTTCTAAATTCTCAGTGCTTGCATTGGTGGATTTTTAGTCCCCCATTAATACCAAATTTGTTATCTCTAAATATTTATACTTTTATGCTACTATAAATCATGAAAGGAAATTATAAGGCCTTGAATATAATTATAAGGATTTTAGTCGTTATTTGTGATAGGAAATTCTTGAGCATGTTGAGCTGAAAATTATTATCTGATTTAAGTTTAAAGAAAAACATTGAGAACAGACAAAATTTCCTTTCTCCAACTTAAAAAAAAACTAAACTAAACTAAAGAAATAGGTGAAGGGAAAACAGATATTTCAGTCTGAAGCCCAGTGGATAGATCTGGCCTAAAATATGGACTTGGAAGTCACTGAGAATGAAAGATATTTAACATTTTGTGACTGATAATTTAACTACAGTGGAAAAGAAAATACATAGAAGGACTGAATTTTGGAGGCTTTCATCTTTGAGAATTCTAGATGAGGAATGATAAACACTGGAGACTGAGGAAAACAATATTCAGAAAGCAAAAGGGGAACTAGGGGTATGTAATACGTAGAATTTAATTAAATGTAATTAAATCTGACAAATGGGCTTTGCATTTAGCAGCACACATGATAAGACCTGTGGTGGTAAAGGCAAAAGCCTGGATGGACTGAGTACAAAGAAGAATTTAAAGAGAAAAAAAATATGTGTAGAAAACTCTTAAGCTACATTTAAGCTTCCATAACTTAACTTTGATAAACATTCTTACTTTACTTCAAGTTACTCATCCTCAACTTTGAAATATTTATCATACTACTTCCAAGGGCTAGAATCTTTCCAGATAGTTTATAGTTCATATGTTATAGACTATGTTCTTTACTGTGGAGATAAAAAGAACTAACAGGGTCCCAAGACTTAAATTGTATAATCTTCATTATGGTATGTCAATATCTTTGTCAGTGATCATCACTCTATTTTCTTAGTAATCAATAACATGTGTAGCTTTTTCCTCCTCCCAAGTCTTTACAGCTCAAATTCCATTTATTTTCATCCAATATTTGGTAGATTATTAGAATATGTCACTAATAGAAAAACAGCAATCTTCAATAATTTTCTATATGTTTATTTTCTTTATCTTTACATATTTGCTAGCAAATGTCATGACTTTGTAATTTTTTCCAAGGAAGAATATTTTTCCTGATACATTTCTGTTTCTCTTATTTTAGAGGCCTAACTGAATAAATCATGAGAAGTCAGCCATTGAACTGAGGAAACTAAAATGATTTATGCTTTCAATTAGTCCTACCCTGAGCTTAAAATTACTCACTAATATAAAATTAAATATATTTACATTAAATATACTTTTAAGTTACTTGTGTATGTCTTATAAAATAGATGCTAATAGTAAAAATGAAATAATATAGACTGAAACAAAAACAAAACCGAATTAAAACTACATATCCCTTACCTACTCACCAGTCTTTTCATTCAGAAGCGTGTGAGTGTATTATTTAAAGACAAAGTATTATTCTTATTGTTATGCCACATACTTTTCAATTAACAATTCATTTTAGCTATACAGGTATTTCTATATCACAACAGATAGATACACATCATCTACTTTAAAGGCTATACAGTATTCCATTTTAAGACTCTACCATAATTAATATAATTAGCCTTATTGAGATAAATTTGTTTTTGTTTACAGATTGATGACATTTGAAACAATGCTCCCATAAATATCCTTCCATTTATATCTTGGCAAAGTAGTACATCTACCTAGATTCATGGATTGCTAGTGTAACTGGCAAATATATATTCAAATGAGCTTCCGAAACGTTTGCTCCAGTTGATACTGACAACAAAAGAAATACCAGTGCCTATTTTTTTATTTCCTAGCCAGCACTTGGTATTGCCAAGAATATGCCAATGTTACTTTACTCTGATAGGTATATAATGTATATATGTATATATAATGTGCATGTATGTATATATAATGTATATAATGTATAATGTATGATTCACAGTTTATAATTTTATTTTACAACTTTTTCAAATTATGGGTGAGGCATAGCATTTTCACCTATTTGAGAGAACTTTATATTTTTATTTTGTTTCAATTTATAATATTAATATTTTCTGTGTTCTGTTTTTACATATATATTTCCCACTTTTTCTTTCAGGTTTTTTTCTAATGGATTTATATGTAAACAAAATTAAAGGCATTAGTCTTTTGACTCTAAGAATATTGCAATTATTTCCTCCAGATTGTCGTTTAAATATTTAACTTGTTTATATTTCTTTCATATTGAAATTTGTCTTTGTCCTTGTCTAATTTATTAAAACAATTGTAATGGATTCTAGGAATTAGATTCTATGACTTTTCTGATTACACAATTGTTTTTAACATAAAAAGATTCAGTTATATTTATCCTATTACTTTTCTAGCTTTGTTTAAAATTTTTTCCCAAATGTTTCTCATTCCAACAATATTTTTAAAGACTGCCATATTGATTTTGGTACATTTCTGCTGTTCTTTTAAAAATGCTTCCAAATGACTAAATATTTTTATGAATTATATTATAAATATGCTATGTTTATTTCCATATTTTCCATTTAGTTTTAAATATGTGTCTATCCTGTAAAGACACTTACCTGTTTTAATTCCTAGTGATTCAGAATAGATTTCAATAATTGCTAATGCTGGTGCAGCTCTTGTTGCCTTTCCTTTTCATAATTTACTTGGCTTTTCTCTCGTGCTTTATTTCCAAGTGAGCTAAAGCAGGGGTTGGCAAACTTGAGAACTAACGTGGAGAAAGGTCTAATAAGGCAGTTAGAGTTTTACAGGCTAAAATCCCAGAGAGAAGAAAGAATATTCAGGTGATTCTGACATTCTTTCTTGCTTTTTATCTTTAAGGCATTTTCTGATTTGAAAATGTCTTAGGCCAAAGGCTAAGCAGCTAAGCAGGAAGGAGAGGTCCTAAGTAAGAGGTAAAAAGTCAAGCAAAAACCTTTGGGAGCCTCATGAGGCTGGGAAGAGAAACATTTAAGTGGGAAGTCATTTCAGTTTCTTTCAGAGAGGAAAACAAAAGAACACAATGTTATAAGCTTTTAGCTATAGGCTTTATAATCCTTTTTGGTAGGGTGGGACTTATACTTCAAGCAAAAGGCTGAAGTTTCAGCTGCTACTGGTCAGCAGGATCAAAGTGGTTGCAAGTGAGTGGCCCAAATTGTTCCTCCTCCTGACTACTATCTTTCAAAGCAACTCTTTGTGGTGTTCTGCCGGGATATACTTTTCTACTACACTGTACCACTTAGTAATGAAAAGGACATTTTAAGTAATCAGTGGTGAGTTCTTCCAAACTCATCCCATCTCTACCATGTTTAGCTGATATTTTTGTTCTTCTTAGCATGAAGTTTATATTTTAAAACTTTAAAATATATGTAGCAAAAATAAAAAACAAAGAAATAAGCAAAGAAACAGAAAGAAATCAACTTATAGAAATATTAAAAAAACAATATATGATGAAATAAACAATAATGAGATTTTTAAGATTGAGAAGTCTATCCAAATACTTTCATATACCGCTTGTCAAGAACAAATCACTTGTTATAGGCAAAAATAAACCAGGAAAAATGTTAACATAAAGAGCAATTTTAATGTCAATATAAAACACATAATAGAATGTAATAGCATTACATGAAACAAATGGCTATGTTTTATTGAAGATGCATTCAATCTACAGTGAAAAATATTTATTCAGTCTCAAATTATATAAAATACTAATCACTAAGTATAATGAAGTAGACAAAATCAAAATATAATTAACATTTTTAAAACATCTTTCTAATCTAACATATTTTAAATTCAATAAAAAACAGACTATAAATGTTTAAATTGCAATTAAACTCTATACCAAATTTATATGTTATAAATAATAACCTTTAAAAACTCATGTAATAATCGCATATATTACTATGTTTCAGAAAATTATAAGTAGTGGTCATTTCAGGATGAGGAGTGTTTTATGAGAATATGGGTAAAAGTGTTATATTCTACTTATGATTGTGTAAATTAATGAGATTTTCTGGAATACAAACAATATGATCATAGCAATATATGTATATGTGCATGTATAGGTGTATATATTTAGTTATGTCAGAGGCATTTAAAAAGTACATACCATTTGGCCAACAATATTACCTTTAGGAAGTTATTTTAATGGAAAAACTGAGAATTACATAAAGTCTTAAATGCAATGGTAATCATTGCTATAAAATTATAATAGCAGAGATTTAGAAACAATCTTTGTCCACTTATATGGTATCTCTTAAGTAACTCTAATATAATATTATAAGGCAACCCATGTAGAGGACATTAATGGCCAATAAATATTTGAAAATGTAGAAGAGAAAATATCTATTGGTGCCTTTATTTTTGTTTGTTTCTTTAATTAGTACTGAAATTGAATAGCTTTTAACAGTGATAAAATAAAATCAGCAATGATTTCAAGGGCATTAAAATATACCCATTTTTATGAATTTAAAAATAATTCCATCAACCTTATTTTGTCTGAGTGTTCCAGTTCTTAAAACTTCTGAAGTTTGTCATTGAACAAATTTGCACAGAAGTACATAGAAGATTGTCCCTGGACTATTGTCTAATAATTAAAAATAGAAGCAGCCTATATAAGGATTAGTTTAATATAGTTTTTCATTCTTACTTTTAAAAGTATGATGCATTTTTAAATGTATATGATTTATCTCCATTCTTTTATGCAATAAATGAAAAAATTGTTGCTAAATAGTATTGGTAGAGGCATATGTTATGAAAGACAGAGAGAGAGAGGAAGGGAGAGGGCAGAGAGTAGAGAAGAGATTTGTAGAAATGTGTACAGTAACATGGGTGATGTTTTTCTTTCATATTAGGATTTGGGGAGATATTTTTCTTTTCATCTAGTGGGGAAAAGGGTAGAGATTTATTAACATTACCCTCCAGAAATCTTTAATAGTTATATTTTCTTTTTATTTATTTATTTATTTATTTGTTTGTTTACTTACTTACTTATTTATTTATTTGATATACATTCTCACTCTGTTGCCCAGGCTGGAGTGTAGTGAAGCTATCATGGTTCACTGCAACCTTAGCCTCTTAGGTTCAAGCAATTTTCATGTCTCAGCCTCCCGAGTAGCTGGGATTACAGGGGTGCACCACCATGCCCTGCTAATTTTTGTATTTTTTTAGTGGAGACAGGGTTTCACCACGTTAACCAGGTTGGTCTTGAACTCCTGACCTCAAGTGATCCACGCGCCTTGGCTTCGCAAAGTGCTGGGATTATAGGTGTGAGCTACCGCACCTGGCCTATTCCCCCCTTTTTATGCCTTAATATTTTGAACACTGCTAATAATTCCAATTTGTAAATGATGCCATCAAACTCAAAGTATTTAAAATAAAAGACAAGTCTGGAAAGAGTGGGATGGGTTGATAATCCAAGTCAGTCGCTACCATATATTTAAATATATTTAATGTCACTTGTTCCATTAAGCCAGATATTTTTTAAAATACATGTGTAAACATTTATTTAGTTAAAAAACTATTACCTCTCGAGAGTACAGTTTCATCAATTTTTCTCTAACTGCATACATAACTGCTAGTTATGTATATAGAAAATTTCATTATAAAGGGAAAATACCTAAAGCAGTAATCTGTGGAAATACTATTTCATGGAATAATATTATAGTGATTTACAATTATGAGTAGATTGTGACTTCTATACTGTTAATAAAGAAACCAAGTTATGATGAATTTGGGCACTGATTGCACTGTAAGTCATACCTGGCTGTAAGTAATACATTTCACAAAATATGATCTGCTTAAATTCTTCTTATATTGAAAAACAATATTATAATAATAATACAGTTATGATGAATATATTTTATAGCAAATTATATCTTGTATATGGGGCTTGCATGTGAATTTAACTAGCTCAATGTAAAAGAAATAAGATGGAAGTATTAAACACCAGAATACTGCTTGATACAATATATATGTAAATATGTGACATGTTCCCTTCCAAATGTCCAAAGTAACTACTGTTAAACACCACATTTGCACTCTCTCCCATAGAAGAATCTTGAAATGAAAACATGGGCATGGAGAGCACTTAAATTCAAATATAAAATGAGCCAAAGAGCAATATTTATTTAATATCATATAACGTAAAATTTCAGGGAAAAAGGGGCAAAAGGGATAATTAAGAATGATTAAAAAAAAACTTAGTTTAACTTTAATACCTTGTCATAGTAGTCAAGTAGTTTAGACTCCAACTCTGGCACTAACAAGAGTGTTATCCTTGCTCAATTATTAACCCTTCTTAGCAACATTTTTTTCATCTACAAAAAATAAATGTCATAGTACCAGCCTTATTGTGCACTTCAATAAATTAAATGAGGTAATCTAACACAAAAAAGTACACATTACAGCAATTGACATATATTTAACAATCAATAGATAAGTTATCTACAAAGTGATTCTTATTGTAACACTACATTATACATTAAAATATATTATTTACCATTAGAAAATACAGCAGAGAATAATAAATACCATAACATATACAATATTTCATTATTTTTATGAAAAGCAAAGTTGCATGAAATGTTATATACCCAAAGTGTATCAAACATCAAAGCAAAATAATTATTAAGGCAATAAGTCTAGTAGATAAAAACTTATTTTCCATTCATATTTATATCTGTAAATTCTATCTCATTATCCTATAATCAGAAAAAATATTTTTCTGAAATATTAATAAAAATATATTTGATACATATTTTTCTCTGAGCATAATACAATAAAACTCAGAATAAACAAAGACAAAACAATTTTAATTCTAACTAATTAAAAATTAAGTAAATCTATCAAATATCCAAAAGTTAATAAGGAAACCAAAAATTCCATTTACCTGTAATGTGTAATAGCTATATTCACACACATGCAACAGGCTGAGCGTGACTCTGATCCATGAGAAAGGGAGGTAGAGTGAGCCCCACAGTCTTCTCAAATTGTCTAGGATATCTTCTTGAACTTTCATTTGGGAAAAAGAGAATAAAATAATGAAGATCAGAAAAGACAAATAGAAGAAAAATAGAAATAAGTTTGACTTTTACTCAGTCATATGAAAACTTACATTAACTGTAAATGTAGTAAGCCTTCCAATTAAAAGGCAGACATTGTCAAAGTAAACAAAGAAGTAAGATACAATATATTCTGTTGAAGGATACATTAAATATGAAGACAAAAATGTGTTAAAAATAAAAGGATAGGCCGAGAACAGTGGCTCACGCCTGTAATCCCGGCACTTTGGGAGGCCGAGGTGAGTGGATTGCTTGCCTGCAGGAGTTGCCCAGCCTGGAAAATGTGGCAGGACCCCGTCTCTACTGAAAATACAAAAACTAGCTGGGTCGTGGTGGTGTGTGCCTGTAGTCCCTGCTACTTGGAAGACTCAGGTGGGAGGATTGCTTGAGCCCAGGGTTGGGGGGCAGAGATTGCAGTGAGCCTAGATCCCACCACTGCACTCCAGTCTGGGTGAAAGAGTGAGACCTTCACTTAAATAAATAAATAAATAAATAAATAAATAAATAAATAAATAAAAATTGTATAAAGGATAGAGGATATTAATAATAAGAATTGATAATACTAATCATAAGACATCTAGAATGGCTATGTAAATATCATTTAAAATAAACTACAGAACAGTGAATATTCCCAGGGATATAGACAAACATTTTAAAATGATATAAAATCATCCACATTTTATAGTGATAAAATCAAGAAGACAGTAATTTAATTTTTTAAATTATTTTCTTATTATTTTATATCAATAGTTTTTGGGGTATAGGTGTTTTTTTTTTTTTTTTGTCACACAGATGAGTTTGTTAGTGGTGAATTCTGAGATTTTAGTGCATCCAAGAACTGAGGTGTATACATTGTACCCAATATGTAGTATTTTATCTTTCATTCTCCTCCCAACCTCCCTCTCCCAAGTCCCCAAAATTCGTTATATCACTCCATATGTCTTTGTGTCCTCATAGCTTAGCTCCCACTTATAAGTGAAACATATGATATTTGGTTTTCCATTCCTGAGTTACTTTAGTTAGAATAATGGCCTCCGCCACCATCAAAGTTGCTAAAAAAGGCACTATTTCATTCCTTTTTATGCCTGAGTAGTACTCCATGGTGTATATATACCACATTTTGTTTATCAACTCTTGGGTCGATGGGCACTTAGGTTGGTTCTATATCTTTGAGATTGCGAATTGTGCTGCCATAAACATGCATGCATGTAAGACATAGTAATTTCTAATACCTAATAACACACCTAATACACACCTAATAACAGAGCTTCAGAATACATTAAGCAAAAGTAATTCAAACTGAAGAGAATTATTGACAAGTTGAAAATTATAGTTTAAGATGTTTGCAGTATACAATTGACAGAAAATAAGTAGAACAAACATCAATCCTATTAATCAATTTTAAAAATCAGCCAAAAGACTTGACCGGGGAGTTTAAAAGGTAGATAAATAAATGGTCAAGAAACAAATGAAAAAGCACTCATCAATTTTTTAGTTATTAGGGAAAATAAAAATTAAAACCCTAATGAGATTTTACTACATGAAAACTAGAATAACTAAAATTATAAAGAATGACAGCAAAAAACCCAGATGATTGATTCACAGATAAGTGATAGACAGATGATAGATGATAGATAGATAGATAGATAGATAGATAGATAGATAGATAGATAGATAATGTAAAACAACTGGAACTTTCATACTTTGACAGTGGGCATGTGCAACTATACAACCATTACAGAAATCAGTCTGACAATGCCTCTTAAAATAAACCTCACACCTACTTTGCGATCCAGTAAATTTACTTCTAGGTATTTATCTAAGAGAGAATAAAACATATGTGTATTACACTATTTAAACAAGAAAGTCAGAATAGCTTAATTCCTGCCAAAAATGGGGACAAAAATGTCCATCAACAGGAAAATTAATCATTATGTTATAAACATACAATGGAACATTACTCAGTGATATTCAAAAAAGAAAAGAAAGAAACTACTGATACATATAACATGGTTGAACCTCAAAGAATGATGAGTGAAGTCAAACATAAAGATAGTACATGCTTATGAAGTCACTTATATGAAGTACTGGAGCAGTCAAAATTAATACACAGTAAAATTGATCGTAACGGTGGTTGTCTCTGTAGTGGGAAATGTGGCAGGTATTGACTGGAAAGAGGCATGGAAAATTTTTCTGGAGTTTTGGAAATATTCAATATCTTGGTAAAGAGTGCGTATTATAATAATGCAACTGATAAATATATCTAAAAATTCATTTAAAATTTGCATATTTCACAGCATTGTACAACACATAATACAACAGTATAGAAAAAGGATAACAAGAAAAAATAATGAGAAAGTTGTAAAACTCTAGGACATTAAATAATAAAATCTAGTTTTTAGATTAGATTTCTTCTCTAATCATTCTATTAAGCAATTGAAATCTGTAACAAAATATCCCCAAATAAAATTGAAAAACAAAACAAAACAACAGATTATTTGTGTAGATATTGAATCTAAGAGAGGTAAGAGAGGAGTAGGAAGTTCAGATAGGATATTATCATTGTCTAGAGTCTCATCTTTAATTTTAAATAATATAAATAAAATCAAGATTATTTCCAAAAAAGGTAAGATAGATCTGATCCATAAAACTATTTGGCGCTCATGTCTTTTAAAGCATGTTATTTGTTTACATTTCTAAGATTAATGTTTTTGGAGGCAAAAACATACTACGTAGTATTCATACCAATAGAACTTTGTCGAATGAGTGAATGAATACAATTATGTATAACTCCATTTCTATGAATTAACTCTATGTTGTAATTTATTCAATGGGCCATATTTCCAAAACCGATGTGTCTAAAGTTTCTTTCACTTTTTATGTTAAAAATTTTACCTTTCTTCTATTATGGGTTGTAGAAAGATTTTTGGTTCATGGAAAAATCAATCAAATGACCCTCTAAATTCTCTGACCATTAAATTCTTCTAGTCTTATTTTGGGGTTTAGTTAATTATAATCAAGTGTTACAAATGGTGATGTTTTTCAGTTGAATATCTCAAACGTAACAATGTGTACAATTATGTCATATAAAAAGCAATCATTATATTACATATTTGATTATTTGTGTCAGTAATATGTGAAAATAGAAATAAAGTGATTAAAACATTGCTGAAAATGTGACTCAAGTAGACAGAATTTAATTTCAAAGGTAGTTCTCTCCACTTTATAATTCGATGACCAATAAGCAGAAGCATAGCACTACTTTGCTGGCATTTGCTGTTAAACAAAACAACAAGCCAGAAAATACAAAGGAAAGAGGTAATATAATTCAGCGTGTTCTGTAAAATAGAGTGCTGGAAAAAGCAAAGCAAATAATTCTTTTGAGAGACAAGATGAAAATGAGGAAATTAATATTTAGTGTAATAAATACTCATATTTTCAAAAAGGGTGCTGTTTTATGGAATAAGGAGAGAAGAAAATTTAGCTCATTATTACAGTGTCAAAAACCTACAGAGGAAATTAAAGAAATAATTAATATTTTATAAAGTCAGATATTTTAGGTATATATGAAAGAAAAACTTTTCTATTACTGTGATTTATAATTTTGTCATTTTTTTGGAGGGTGGTGTTTAACTGGTATACAAAATAACATTTCAAAAAATAATTTGGGAGACCCAAAATAAAAGACTGTCTATAAAAACAATAGACACATTAAGTGTGCCAATCACAATTTTTATATGATACTAGGTAACATTTCTGATAAATGCAATATCTAGGTAATCCAACATATACATGGCCAATTTATTGTTGTTGTTTCTCCTTTCAGCTCTCTAGTCTAGAATCACTCTGTACCATGTATCCCAAGTTTTAATGTTTAGTTTATGACCTTATATTAAAGTTAAGTGCTTAAACAATCAAATAAGTTTATGCAACTCCACTGGATCATTTTTGGCTTTTTACACAGAAACAACCACCTTCCATTTTTTTGATGGAATTGTAACTGACATTCCATTTTCATGTCATACACATTAAAATAAAACAATTTGATAATAATCGTTGGAATAACTTTATCAATAGAAAATAACATGTCTAGGTATAAGCTTTAAAATAAAATAATAGTAAATTTAAATTATCTGATTTATCATGTGTGTACAGGGGAAACAGATTAATATGGAGTGAGATTATTTTTGTATGAGAAGAAAAATATTATAATACATAGTTACATTTATTTTGCGATAAAACATGTAGATTCATTCCACAGAGAAAAAAATATCTGGGTGTTACATGTTGTGATCAAATGACAAAATCCTTTGTTTACACAGATAAACTAGGATCAGGGCCATCACTTGTTTGTTTATGGTTGCATCAGTATTCCTGTCTCTAGGATACTTACATCATTTTATTGGCTCAAAAAGTAGAAAACAACATTTTCTATTTCTCTTTGCTAGTAATGGTTGTTGTTTACATATTTTATTACATTCCTTGACTGTGGCATTTATTTATTTGGCATATTACTGAAAAAAGAATCACTCGACATGAACTGAGATGGACAGTAAAAATACCACTTATCTGAGAAGATTGCTCTAATTTTCCTCATGTGCTGAGGAAGTCAGGAGAAAACAAAACTAAGACTTTTCAGTGAGATAATTTCAGGCTAATCTCTTATCCCAAAACCTTAACTATGTTTTGGATAAGTGCTCAGATTTTGAGATGTTTGATACAAACCCTTTCCCTTACCCAAGATAGTATCTTTATTCATGAAAGGATATAACTGTTCTTCCTTTTTCAGCCTCCAAAAACTGGCACAGTGGTAAAATGATCTCTAGAAAGAAAAACATCTGATGGGCTACAGATTTCTGTGGTAGAGATATTCCCACCGTGACTGATTTCAAACGATCTATGTGACTTGACTGAACAGGGAATTAGAAAGAGATGTATACAATCAGCTCCAACACAGAGCAGATGCCAGAGGAGAATAAGTTTGATCCAAAAGCATAAGTGGACAATCAGTTAAAGTTACCGACTCCCTTTTGAAAATATTTCCAGACTTTCAAATCTCTTCCACATTACCTGCTCTTCCCCTAGTTGATATTTAAGTGGGTAATGGAGCATGCCAATCTCCCTTCTCAGTTCACAAATCCATTGCCTCCTGATGAGGTTGGAAGATGGAGAAAGCTAAGAGTGAGTCTAATTTAGTAATATTGCTCCATACTCAAAATGCTTAAATGAAACATTTAAATAAAACAACTTTTTTTGGTCCAAATGTTTTGGTTTTCATATCTGTGAGTGTCCTCTTGTTACTGTGGCTGCTCTTTAGTCATTAGTCATGACAAGTTTCCTTGCCCAACTAGTCACTATTCATTCTAATGGCATTCACACTATTATTTTTTACACTATTAAAGTATTTAACTTTCATGTTAGTGGGTAAATTTGGCATTGAGATTGAGATCGTGCATTTCATTGTTAGGTCTCTCTCCAGGCTTGGTTGGGGACTGATGCCACTCTGGCCAACCTAGTTCTCCCTTTATATCTTGATGTCACTATGGACACCTGAGTATGACTGTGTCCTCCATCCAGCCCCTGAGTGAGTCTCTGTCACTCAAGGACACTCTATGGAGTTGAACGCCCACAGAAGAGTTGCTGTGTGAAGGCCCATGGAATACTTCTTTCTACTTGGTGTCATATTTGGAAATGAAGTCTATAAATTAAATATGTTTATATTTGTAATTATAGTTATATATATTTTATATTTATATTATAATGTATTATAGTAATTATAATATATATTATGTTATATAACATATAAAATATGTTATATATTATATAATAGTATAATTACATTACTATAATATATTATAATTATTACTAATAAGAAATATAGACATATATCCCCTGATTTATATATGTCTTATTGGTAATATAATATGTCTCCCGATTCACATTCTATCATATATAGATATATAGATACAGATATATGTGTACATATATATATATAAAATCTTGTGATCATTTGAACTATTTTTACTGCAGAAGAAAACAAACTCAAGGTAGCTTAAAATACAGATTGGTTTTACTGACTCTCATTAGAGAGAAATTTCAGAACAAAGATAGTGATCAGGCAAAATTCCATCAGATTTCCAACTCCATTTCTACAACTTCTTATTTTTTCTCTTCTCTTCTGGATGTTAACTTTTTTTTTTTTTTCTGAGATGGAGTCTCGCCCTGTCACTCAGACTGGAGTGCAATGATGCCATCTCGGCTCACTGCAACCTCCGCCTCCCGGGTTAAAGCAACTCTCCTGCCTCAGCCTCCTGAGTAGCTGGGATTATAGGCATGTGCCACCAGGCTCATTTTTGTATTTTTAGTAGAGACGGGGTTTCACCATGTTGGTCAGGCTGGTCTCGAACTCCTGACCTCGTGATCCATGCGCCTTGGCCTCCCAAAGTGCTGGGATTACAGGTGTGAGCCACCAGGCTCAGCCTGGAAGTTAACTTTAACACCAAGCTCATAATAAATGGGCATTTCATCTGTTGACTAGGGAATATAGAATATAATAAAACTTTATTTATTGGTTTAATTTAATGAAAGGTTACATTAGTGCAGACATAGGTAGAGAAAAATTAAAAGGTTATTTAATTTAATTGAAAGATGTAAAAGTTCATTCTGAGAAATTTTGTAAAGCCTAAAACACCTTGTGGAGTAGCAGACAAAGTAGGAAGAAAGACAGTACAAAGAGTTTACATTCTTTTGACATTTTATAACATTGTTGTGAAATACTCAGAATTTGACTAATTGCAATAGAGGAAATCCAATTGAGACAAGTCTTTTCATTACTGTCACTTAACTTGGAAATGGAACTCTTCCATGTGATAATGAAAACAGCTATAGGAAAATAAAGTATAGGGCAATTAAGATGGAGTAGAAAATTTCTTCATGGGAAGATCAAGGGATGGATTTGGAAAAGGATGCGGTAAAAAACAAGTAGATAACTGAGGATAAAACTTTACATTGATTATGAATGTTAAACAAGACCTAGGTTTTTGAAATTGTTATTAATATTATGGGCTCAACCAGCTGTATCTCTAGCTGACTTTGGTTGAAATTAGTGTAAGTGATAAGCCAAACGTAAATATAGAAGCTTCAGTCAAAGACGTCCTAGATATAATGGAATAGGTAAGTTTAAAGCATCCCTATATGAAATTGTCCAGATGAAAGCATAATTCTGAAGTTCTTTCATAAGTGCAGGGGAACCTCCCAAAATCTTCATATGCTTCTTGACCTGCATTAGGTCAAGGTCCATTCCTGAATCTATTTCTGCAGCCAGAAAATGTAATGTGTTAATTATATTAGGTTTATCAATATGTAAAACAATTAGAAAACAGAAGATGATCAACTAGAAGAATTAGCTACTATGACCTCCCCTGCAAAAAGAATTCTAGACTTGTTCTGTAAGCCTTAGTGAAGAGTGTATGTTAAAGAGATTACAAAATACCAAGTAAGTACCCTTTATGAAATGTCTGTGGCATAGCTATCATACACCTGGAACTGTAACAGATAATGATACAATAATGAGCTAGATAATATCTCCCATATCAAGTAGCTGATAGGCTAATATGGGAGTTAAATATATAAATGTTTAAATCGGTATAATGTAAGAAACAATACTCTACCTGAGAGTGGAGTATCAGGCAGGATACTTAGAAATGTGACGTTCATGTACCTTGAAAATGCGCAAGTGTTTATCATTGGAATATCAGAATAGAGGCTAGCATCCTGGGCAAGGAGGAGGAGAACCTGCAAAGAGACTGAGGCATAAAATAGTTTATGAAAAAGGTATGAGAAATGAGACTCAATAACATCCATGAACAAATCCAATGTAGCCTTGTAGAATAAGGTAGGGAGTGTAGGTTTTATTCCACAAGTTGTGGCAAAAGTGTTGCATAACTAAATTTATAAATTACCATCCATTCTAACACCTGTTTGGAAAATTGTGTGGGGGCCAGGGAGAGAGTGGAGTAGAAAAAATGAGTTCAGCTGGAGGTCATTTACATGTTAAAGTGTGATGTATCTTGATGAAGAACATGAAATTCTAAAGTTCAGAAAAAGAGATGCAGACTTTAGCTAGAGATTTAGAATTCAGTCATTGTTTGCTAATTTGGGGATCAATTTTTACAGAATACAATTATATTCAGCTTTTATTCTAATGAACATGCATACATACACACACACTCACAGTATTTGAGTTTATAAATATTTAGCTTGACTTCATTTAAAATTTCAGTGTATAGCTGGGTGCGGTGGCTCACGCCTGTAACCCCAGCACTTTGGGAGGCTGAGGCGGGCGGATCACGAGGTCAGGAGATCGAGACCATCCTGGCTAACACGGTGAAACCCCGTCTCTACTAAAAATACAAAAAATTAGCCGGGTATGGTGGCCGGTGCCTGTAGTCCCAGCTACTCGGGAGCCTGAGGCAACAGAATGACATGAACCCGGGAGGCGGAGCTTGCAGTGAGCCGATATAGCGCCACTGCACTCCAGCGTGGGCGACAAAGTGAGACTCCATCTTAAAAAAAAAAAGTTCAGTGTATAGAGAAGAAATTTACAACCAACACATCTAGTGAACACTTAAAAATTTATACAAATTTTTCCCACTGGAATATTTTAAACCACATTGGAGTTTGAATGTTGTCAAAATGAGAGCATAATGGCTAAGATTGTTAAGCATGTTGTGTTATTTAAAATATAAAGTGTTGATGTGCGTTTTATCTTGCCTCCAGGCTTTTATTATTTTGTTGATAATAGCATTAGAAACTATTTGTAGTCATTCCACAGAAATAGTTATTCCTCTGAAAACTTGAGTTGGAACCATCTTATTAGGGTCTATATTTTTGTTACCCTTAGGCCTAGAATTTAAATTTGTTGAATTACAGTTGTCCTTTTCCATGGGCTGTTTAGCTTTTTTGGCCAGCATTTATATACTTTTAATGCTTGTACCACAGTTAATTTGCCTATCTATTTTTTATGCAATATTAACTCTTTTGGTTGCGTGGGATTTTCCAGAAAAAAAATCATTTATATATAATTCATTTCTATTCATTTGGAAGTTTCTGCTCTTAATAAATTCTAGGGAAGAAAATTACTCGAATTGAAAGATTACTTTTGCTATATTTTGTATATTAGGAAATATGCTTTACATTAAAACTCATCAAATATGCATAGTACCTTATTAAGATCATTACTATTGTTTAATGAACAAATATGTGAAGTTGACTCCCTTTGAGATGTACAGTGTACACATATTAAAGGTACAATGCTAAGTCCATTGATACCACATTGCAGCTAACTGTTTCACTTTTAGAAGTGGGTATTGTGAGTGATTTTGCTGATTAGGATTTTAAAGAATATAGAAGGGAATTAAGGGAATAATATAAGAAAAAGACTAATGCCTCATTAAAAACTGTTTTGCAGAGATTGCACGCAGTAAAATGCACACAGTAGCAACAATTAGTTGAGCAAATGGCTAATGTGTCCTGATTCTCTTACCTCACCAGTAAATTCTGTCAGTATATAATTTGTACAGCATAGCATTACCTGCTAATGACTCTATGATATAGTTCAGATAGATTTCTACAAGGGGAATCAATAACTTCAGAAAGCATTTAGAAGGTTTTACTTAGATTGCTAATATGATTAAGTTAGGGGGGAAGGCATCTATAATTTCTTAAGCCCTTGTCTTACTGGAATAATGATATTTTATTGAAGAAATTCATAAAGATTTCTATCCTAAAAAATAGGTTAGCAGTTTTTTCAAATGATTTTACTGTGGTTGTTGTACATAGAGTTTTATTTATTTATAATAATCACAAATGCATTGCTCAATATATTGCTAAAGGAAATAACATCTACAGTGAGCAAGCCATGCCAAAAATAGCTTCCATTTTGGCTAAATACACTGTAGTTATATGATACGGTTGAATTTTTT
This sequence comes from Homo sapiens, assembly GCF_000001405.40. Taxonomy (NCBI): domain Eukaryota; kingdom Metazoa; phylum Chordata; class Mammalia; order Primates; family Hominidae; genus Homo; species Homo sapiens. The sequence goes on along the minus strand of NC_000005.10, from coordinate 105,812,509 downwards.
TCTCCTCTGAGTATACAGCTCTGAACATTATGATGCTAGGAAGAATTACTCCACACTTCTCAGATCTTGTGGAATCTCCTTTGCCTAAGTGGTAACAAAGGATTTTAGATATCCTCAGGATTACTTCTTCCAGACAGAGCTCTGACTTAAGATTCTCAAGGGGAATTTCAGATGGAGCCAGGAAAGGGACGTGAAAACTCAATGGTGTAAATTATGGTTTATCTTTGCATTTAGATTTCATGGCTTTTGCTGATTTGAATTATAACTGTACTACCAGTTACATGTAAACTTGGAGGCTGCACGTGTGATGAATATATACACAAGTTTTTAAGTACGTTCAACTGCTGCTGATCCAACTCAAAATTTATTGATGTCCTTTCGTAAAAACTCATCTGTATTTTTGCTTACACATCCAGCAGAAAATTCATTTTGCTTAGATTAGCCATTTTTTCCTCGTTTTTTTCCTCCTTTTTTTCCTCGTTTTTGTATACTTAATCAAAGCTCAAAGATGCCAGTATAAATTATTATCCCAACTATAAATCTTAGTCTTTTTACAGATTTGCATTTTTAAGCTCTACCCTAAGTTTGCCTTGTAATACTTGCTGCTTTCATTCAGTACCCTAAGAATCATTCAGTAAAGCAGATTGCCAGCTCCACAATATATTAGCCTTAGTGGGATAAATACAGATTTGCATTTTTAAGCTCTACCCTTAAGTTTACCTTGTAATAATTGCTGCCTTCATTCAGTACCCTAAGAATCATTCAGTAAAGTGGATTGCCAGCTCCACAATATATTAGCCTTAGTGGGATAATTTTTAGACATTCAGAGAAAAATAATATATTTCCTTGATTTTATTGATACAGTTTACATGATTTGTTAACTCATTTATTTATTTTACCAATTTTTATTTTACTCAATCTATATCCATTGATAGCCTTCATGTTATGGAAGCTTCAGAAGAGACCAGGCATGATTCCCTGCTCCAACAGCAAATAATTTTATTGTACTCACTTACAAGGAAAACTAACGCATTTGATTATTTTTCACAAGAGCTGAATACTTCCTTTTTTTCAGAAACTAGATTACCTGATGCTGCTTTCCTAAATCTTTAGAAAACATTAATATCAGTCAATGACTCATTCAACACCTATTTTTTGAACACCTACCATGTTTTGTCACTTTTTAAAGATCAGACAAAATAATGATAAATGAGGAACGTTCAATGCCCAGCATATGTTTCCTTAGGATCTAGAAAAAGAAAAAAGTAGAGGGTTCCCTAAAATATAATGAGATGGGTACAAAAGAAGCTAGAATAGCCAGAAACAATTAACCTGATATAAACACTCCTTTCTACATAGTTTCATTTTGCTCTACCTACTCTCTCAGTGGGTGAAATCTAAGGAATTGTTCCTACTCATCCTTCAACTAAACAGTATCTAGTAGTAGATCTCTTTACTTCCAAGAACTGTACAATACAAATGCAGTCAACTGCCTATTAAATTGGCATCAAGTAGAGTTAATTACATTAGTGTTCAGTATAAATGCTTTCAAAACATAGGAAGTTGTGCATTAAGAATGCCGTCTCACCTCCAATGTCCTTTCTCTATTTTTTTTTTTTTTTTCGGATTCTCGCCTTTGAGCAACTCTCCTCTCCTCATTTCTGACAATCTCTGCCATTCGTCCCTTCCAAAGATGCGTCAACTCTCTCTAGAGAATAATGAAATGCGCTTTTATCAGTCTTTTTTTTTTTTTGGTTTTACCAACATCCTACTTTTCAGTACTTACTAATTCCAACCATTTTCTTCCTGCACCTTGAATGAAAGGGAAGAAGCACTTGTATGACAATGAATGGCTCCCCAGGCAAAAGTTCTGTCTTTTTGGATAATAGAGGGAAAGTGTTGGTGACTTTCATGTTCTAGAGAGGATGTCTTTTCTTCGTTAATTTATATAATGAAGCACAGTGTCATCACTATGAACATATGGCTTTTATTTTCAGGAGAAATATAGAAAAGTGATCTATATCACAACAGAAGAGGAGCATGACATCTTGGACATTTCACGGATTTGTAATCTAGGTCAAGTTACTTAAAATCTGAAAAATTAGCTCTTTTATCAGTTAAAATAGGGTCAATAATAATCTTAGGATAAGGGTGGAAATGAAGTGAGATAATTTATGTCAAAAATGTCTGAAATATGATATACTCAATGCTATCCACAATTATTGATAATTTTCAACCTTAAAAAGTGATAATCTTGCTTTCTAGTTTTAAATGCTAAAAGAACCTCTAACATACCCTCACATAGACTAGGCTCTCAAGCTTCTTTGGGCAAAAAAATTTCAAATATTGGGGATTTCACGTAGTTCAACTTAACATTATCTACAAATGAATACTATCAAGTATTTGACCATGAGGTGGAGGCAGGGAGTATTTTGAAGGGATATATTTCCATTTTCCTATCGTATTTAGATGACGGGAAATTTTTTTTTTTTTTTTTTTTTTTGAGATGGAGTCTCGCTCTGTTGCCCAGGCTGGAATGCAGTGGGGCAATCTCAGCTCACTGCACCCTCTGCCTCCCAGGTTCAAGCAATTCTCTGCCTCAGCCTCTCAAGTAGCTGGGACTACAGGCACATGCCACCATGCCAGGCTAATTTTTGTATTTTTAGTAGAGATGAGGTTTCACCATCTTGGCCAGGATGTTCTTGAACTCCTGACCTGCCTCGGCCTCCCGAAGTACTGGGATTATAAGCGTGAGCCACCATGCCCAGCTGGGAAAATTTTTATAAAGGGAGAACAAGAGAAAAATGTATTTGTTAGTGTGATGAGGGTAGTAGCCAATTTTTAAAAATTTGTTCAGTGAGTATTTAAAGTATGGTTTCTTTTCAATTTTAAAAGTAGGTATATCACTTTATTTGTGTTTGAGTGTTAATATTAAGCATTAATATAATTGTTAGTTTGTAGTAAAAGATTTTTCTTGTGCATATTTTTACTAAATTAATGTCATCATTAGTTGATATTAACAATTTTTTTAAACATCAGTGTAACTTTTCAGGGGCATCCTGTCTTTTAATTATGCTAAGCTTCATTTTAACAATGCCTGAGATGGAACTCCCTTTTTAAAGCACTGGCATGCAATGAAATATTAAATTAAGTAATTGTAGACACAAGTTTCTAATTGTTCTCTCTGAGTATAGACTAAGCACTCAACTAGGCATAACACTTTTAGGTATAATTGAATAGAAAATGTAATTTTCAATATGTATTTCTCTGTGGTTACAAGAAAGGAAAAGGAGAAATAAATGATCTCCAGTCAATGACTGATTTTTTTTTTACTGTTATTACCCATAATTAATTTGAAGTTCCCAGATGATATGCCTCAGCTACACAGTACACTTCTGATCTATCTTTTCCTGCAGTCTGTGAGTTTCTGTTCAGGAAACAAAACTATTATTAAAAAATGCCAAGCAAACTTTTAGCCAGAATGTACTATTCTTGGAAAGAGAGAACACACAAGAGAAGGAGGACGCTATAATTGAATTTAAACTCAAGTAGAAAATTCTATGGAATTATCTAGCATTATGTAGAACATGTTAGTATTTGTTAAGAATAAGATAGCATATTCAGAAAGGAAAACACACACACATACACACACACACAACTTTAAGCTATCAGTTCTGCTCCCTTTTTGACCTTCAGCAAGTTATTTGATCTATTTGGTTCCCCATTTACTCAGTCGACTTGTATCATGAAAGAATTTATAGTGCACCCTCAAACTTCATGGCTCTGTAATCTAGGGATTCTTACAATAAAGACATATTCTTTATGATCAATGTTTAAATAAAGTAATGTACATTTATTGGGTGACAATTAGCTAAAGGGTAAATGCCCTAAAAAGCAGGGAAGAATAACATGGAAGAGTAGTAATGAGTGGATAAGTGCAACACTGTTTCTCAAACCACAACTCAAAAGTTTGCGTGTTATTTAATGAAAGTGTAAGACAATAGGTATAAAAGAAATTCGAATCCATTACTTTTTATGCAAATGTACACCTGCCTCTTATTTGAAAACTTGTTTAAGCAAAATTAAAAAAAAAAATAAAGCCATGAAAGTGTTGCAAAATAGTGTCTCACTGAATGAAAATATAGACTAAAATTTGTAATATGAATGAAGAGCTAGAAGAATCTTAATTTCTGTCTCCTGGCTGCAAGGACAGAAAGGTCTCAGTTTTCTCTACACTCAGTGGATAAATCAACCCCAATTTTAAGAAGGATTTTTTAACCTTAAAATGTCTATTTCTATGCCACAATAAATGGTTTGAGGATTATCTAACACTTTGGATTATCTGCACCATTAGTGAGGATAATAAAGAACTGACTGCATTTTGCATTGAAATAGCACGGTCTATTACGCTCATGAATAGTCTGAGAAAGAAGCATTGGAAAGAGTCTTTCTTACTGCATTTATGCACAATGGTTTAATTGACTGCAGCGTGGCTGAGGGGATTTTTAGGTTGTTTACAATTGGTGTACATCCATCACTTTTTCAATTTTTAGTTTTAATTATTAAAATTGATTTTAGCAAATAATTATGTAAATGTGGTCTTAAGGAGCTTGTCATTTCTATTCTTAAAAATAACATAGACATATTTCACAAATATCTTGAATGGAGTTTCTCTGTTTCAGTTGTCTTGACAAGTACTAGTTGTCATTTTTGTGCTGCTCCCTTTACTAATAGCATCAAAAGGAATTATCAAAATACTAATAATTTTCAGAAAATGTATTTCAAGTAATGCAAAAGAAACCAATCTTAGTTACCAGAGCTTAAAACTCTGATAGATTAGCAGAAATTCGTTTTCCCTAAAAATATTCCAAGCATTTCTACTTATGGAAATCATAAAACCTTAAATGAGTTTTTTTGCCCCTAAACATTACCACATGTCTGGGACTTAAATATTTCTATCAAACTTATGATAAAGATAAAATTCCTTTGTGTTCCTCTCCAAAGCTATTTTTGTTATTGTTCCATGCTCCACAAATCATAGGGATGCTGAAGAAAATGGCATTCTTCACTTACTAAATCAGGCATGAATTTGCAATGGTATTTCATGCAGAATGTCTGGCATAGATCATATTGCTCTTTCTAATTTTGAAGCTTTAAAAATAACTGTACAGTTCTGATTTCTCTTAAGAAAAATAACTCAAGTATCAGGAAATCTCAAATGGTAATACCAACTAAATCATTCCCATTTTACAACAGTAATATTTAATTAGAAATTGTCTTTGATGGTTTTCTTGCATGTATTTATTAATAAGGGAAATAATTTTAAAAATTTGATGCTGCCATCACTAAGGAGATTAAGATATATAAATGACACTTAGGTAAAATTTGCCCATGTGACAGCATTCATTCATTCATTTATTCATTCATTCTAGTGTTCGGCTTTTTTTTTTTTTTTTTTTGTCAGTCCATAATGTAACTCTGTTGTAATTGCTAGGGATACATTTTTTGGGAAATGCAAAAAAATAAATAAATAAAGTCTCTTGTCATAGAACTTACATTCTAGTGGCAAACACATAAATAAATAAACAAATACAATTTTTAAAAGGTGAGTTTAGAGAAAAAGATTATTGCTATGAAGCTAAAAGACACTGTGGGATAATAGAGACTTACTAGGTCAGGCAAGGGACAGGAAATACTTCAGATAGGGTAAACACAAGGCAGAATTCCCTGACATGTTGGCATTTAAAGAAAAATTTTCTTGACTAGAAAAGCCAGCCAGGGCAAAGTAAGGTATGCAGGCCCAGACAGAAACAAAGTTGTTTTTCTTTTCTTCTTTCTTCTTCTTCTCCATACCCTTCTCCTCCTTCTTTCTTCCTTTCTTCTCTCCTTCCTTCCTAAAAGGAGAAAGAAATACTTGGGTGGGGAAGAGGTTAGTATAGTGTAGAAGACATCTTCAGAGATAACTAGGCATAAACCATAACAAAGTCATAAAGAGTTTAAAATTTATTCCACTAAGAAAAGCCAGTGGATTGCACTTTAAATTTATTATTATGATTATCATTACTTTTGTTGTTGTTAATCTGTGGAGAATTGACAATAAGTAACAAGAATGGATGCAGAGAGAGCAGTTAAGAGGCTATTGCATTAATCCTGATTAAAAATGATGGTAGCAGGGACTGTGGCAATGACAGGAGAGACAGAGAAGTGATTGGATTTGACATACGTTTCTGTTGGTAGAGTGAGATGTGCGAATGGCTTGGATGCAGAGAGATGACTCTTACCGTATCCTGAAGGAAATCAATGTTTCACTACAAAATATGGCTCTCTGGTGTATGAGTATTTAAAAAAAAACACTTAGAGATCATCAAATGCTGAAAGAGACTTTTTTCCCCTGTCTACATAATGATGGGACTGACCCACCAAGGAGAAAACTGTTCTTGTGCCCCTCCTTGCTATCCCATGGTCTGTTGCAAAAAAGAAGACCAAAAATGTAAACCACACCTGAACTGACCCTTTGTCAAGAAAATTACTGAGACCAGGTACAGTAGCTCCTGCCTGTAATCCTAGCACTTTGAGAGGCTGAGGCAGGAGGAACACTTGATTCCAGGAATTCAAGACCAGCCTGGGCAACATAGTGATACCCCATCTCTACAAAAAATACATAAAAATTAGCTGAGTGTGGTGGCGCGTGCCTATAGTCGCAACTGTGTGGGAGATGGAGGTCAGAGGATTGCTCAAGCCAGGAGGTTAAGGATGCAGCAGTAAGGTGAGATCACATCACTGCACTCTGCACTCCAGCCTGAACTGGAGTCTAAAAAACAAAAAAGAAAAACAAAAAGAAAATAAAGAAAAGAAAAAGAAAAAGAGAGAAAATGACTGTTCCCAGATCTAATCATATTTTCTATTCATCATTTATTTATTGCCCCTCACTAGAATTCTTCTTTTTCCATTTCCCATAACCTGTTTTACCAAGATCCAAGTCCCCATTTTTCTCTGTAGCCTGAAGATGGCATATAAGCTTCTGTACCTTATTGGGAAGTTTGTCTTCATTCTGAAGGCCCCTGTGTATACACATTAAAAAAAAAAAAATTGCAGGTCTTTTTTTCTGTTAATCAATCTGCCTCATGTTGGTGATTTTCCATGAATCTGTAGAGGGCCAAGAGTCTTGGCCTCCAAGATCCCTTAACAATTTAGAGGATTATAGTATCTCAGATGTAGAAAAGTGGAAGATAAATAGATTGAGGAAGGGACAGGAGAATTCAAAGTTCTATTTTGATCATGTTCAGTTTGATTTATCTGTTATATATTCCAATGGGAAATGCCAAGTAAACAATTACATTTCTAAATTTGGATGTCAAAAGAGAGATCATGACCAGAGATATGCATTTTAAAATCATCAGTATGTATCAGTCACTATTCTTAATAGGACTATTTACATTCCAGGGAGAAAATGTAGCTAGAGAAAAATTTAAAAATAAATATTTTGCAGAATATGAACTCAGATAAAGGGCATGGCAATGTATTTTTCAGCTGGATAAAAGGAAAACAATATGGTCGGGCATGGTGGCTCACTCCTGTAATCCTCACTTTGAGAGGCTGAGGCAGGGAGATTGCTTGCAGCCAGGAGTTGGAGACCGGCCTGGCCAATGTAGCGAAACCTGGTCTCCACTAAAAATACAAAAAAATTAGCCAGGCGTGGTGGCACACACCTGTAATCCCAGCTACTCGGGAGGCTGAGTCATGAGAATCGCTTGAACCCGGGAGGCGGAGGCTGCAGTGAGCTGAGATAACGCCACTGCACTCCAGATTGGGTGACAGAGTGAGTCTCTGTCTCAAGAAAAATAGTAATAATAATAAAGAAAACAATATGACTCATATATAACTGGTGATTTGTTTTCTCTTTTTTTTTTTCCACAATTACTTTACAGCAGTGTTGGAGACTGGATCACAAGGGTGTTTTTTTTCTTTCTTTACTCCCTTTTTGATTCTCGAGGAACTTCCCATGGGTGGATATAAAACCACCTTTACAAAAATTACGACAATTAGAGAAGTTTAGCATGGCTGGCTGCATCTTGCCTCTACCTTCATAGATTGGCTGTCCTAGCTCATTCCTGGGAGTAGGCCAAGCAAACCGTGGGGGGAAATTAGTTTATAGTTTAACTTTGAAGCAAGGATCATAATAATCCCTCCATAAAACTGACCCTTTCTTTGCTTGGGGACTGAAACGGCTTTCATAAGACTAATGAAAGCCGTCAAGATCAGGATTATGAGAGGGGCCTGAATTCTGCTAAAATGTATGCATAGTTAAATGACAACCAGCCATTGTTTCCTAGTTTATTCTTCTATAATCCCTTAATTGCTCAGGAGTCATGTGGCCAGAGATCACAAGATCTGTGACTTCCCGAATTGCTCCTATAGCTAAAATATCACTATTGTAGAACCTATGATTGGTCTTTTCAGATACTTTTTCAGACATTTCCATTTTGTCAACTGACTCTACCTGGAACTGTGACTCATGACTCAACTGGTCCTGTGGTCCCCACCCAGGTTCATGAGGACCATTTTTTACACTCTTATGATTTCACCCCCCAACCAATCAGCAGCACCCATTCCCAGGTGTCCCATCACAGAGCAGGAACATCACCATCTTGGACAAGTACCACCATTTCAAAGTTCACCTTGATCAAAAACTGCCTAAAGTCAAAGGGTATCAGCCTAATGGCTAAGGTCAACATGACCATAAACCACAAATGACACCTCTGACCAGAAACATTCCAACCATAAGATAAATCCTTCCCCAACCAGAGACATGCTAGACCTGGGATAACCTCCCTTCCAGCCAGAAATATGTCAACCCCAACATAACCTCCCCAGGACCAGAGGCATTCCAACCCCACCGTAAACTTCTCCCCCACACAGAAACATTCCAAGCTTGTGATAAGCTCTCTCATCCTAAAACCAGTAAATGCCCTTAGTCTGTAAGAGAGAGTGCTCCTGACTGAAATTGGCCAGAAGCCCCTCTCAGGTTTATTCTCCAAAATAAACCTGTCTTTGACTGTTGAGCAACTTTTCATGTTTCTTTCCTCTTTCTTTAACTCTTACACCCTGCCTGCCAAATTATCCATGAAAACCACAGCCTCTGAATGACCAGGGAAACAGATTTGAGAATTAACTCCTGTGATTCCTCTTGGCCAGCACTGTGATTATCACATTCTTTTTTTTTTTTTTTTTTTTTTTTTTTTTGCTACAAAAACCTGCTGTTCTCCAAGCATTGGCTTTTCTGGACAGCAGGCAAGATGAATCCATTGGGTGATTATAGGTATATGACACTTTACACATGTCTAAATATCTACCTTATGTTATGACTCTTGACACGTAATTTGTTTTTGTTTGTTCTTTAGATCAAAACTGTCACATGCGTCCGTGTGAAGAGACTACCACACAGGCTTTGTGTGAGCAATAAAGCTGTTTATTTCACCTGGGTGCAGGCAGGCTGAGTCTGAAAAGAGAGTCATGGAAGGGAGATAGGGGTGGGGCCATTTTATAGGATTTGGGTATGTAGTGGAAAATTACAGTCAAAGGGGGTTGTTCTCTTATGGGCAGGGATGGGGGTCACAAGGTGCTCAGTGGGGGAGCTTTTGAGCTATGAGAAGGCATTTCACAAGATTAATCGCTCAGTTAAGGGGGGTGCAGAAACAAATCACAATGGTGGAATGTCGTCAGTTAAGGAAGGAACTGGCCATTTTCACTTCTTTTGTGATTTTTCACTTGCTTCGGGCCATCTGGATGTATACGTGCAGGTCACAGGGGATATGATGGCTTAGCTTGGGCTCAGAGACCTGACAAAAACCATTTTCCAGCAGATATTGTATCTGTGATACTCAGGTCTTGATCATGAATCATGTGATGCCTATTCCTTAATAGATACAGTAGATAATCTTGTTTTCCCCTATACAAAAGATGTTACAGGTTTAAAAAATATATATTCTTGTCTTTTTTTTTTTTTATCCTTAGTGGTCTAAAAATACATCTTGGTATGGTTTGTAATTCTTCCTTCTCATTCACTCTATTGAGGACTTGGAAGGCACATGGCATTTGTCTGACAAATTATATCTTGTATCTTCTCATCCGCTTTATACATGTTTAATTGTTTCTGGAGTTCTTATTGGTTGGATATTTGTCTCCTTGGATTGATCATTTATGTTGATTTGTTTTTCACAGTTCTCATGCTTTCTAATTTTTTTTCTTTATTCTAGAAATAGTTAATGTATTGTCAACCCCTCCCCACTACCAAACACACATGCACCTAAACAGTGTACAGGTGAAGGGAATTTTCCCCTTCTCTCTGAAGGTTCTAGTCTGCTGAAGTAAAAGCACAATAAATTAGCAGGAGAATAGGCATGCAAATTTCTTAACATTGAGTATGCACAGGAACCATTTAAAATATGAGACATTGAAAAACCATACGGTTAAGTCTTAAATACCGTCTTTTATAGGGGACAGGGAAATCGAGTATGAAGGCAATTTTGAGGGGTGGTAAATAATTTCCATGGGAATTAAATAAGTCCAGAGAACAGACAATGGTCTAGAACAAAGTTCCTAGGAGTTCTGGGGGAGATGGTGACAAATTGCATGAAGGTGAGCAACGGAACTTTACTGTGAACAAAAGTTGTCTTATTATGCAGATAAAGCCTCTCAGGTAATCCTCTTGGAGCTGCCCTCAAAAGAATAGATGAAAAGTCTATCTGGGCATGGTGAGGACTTACAGTTTTTTCTCTTTCTTCAGTGGTTACTGTTTTTTCTTTATTTGATGAGATTTCTAGGGAGGGAGTTTTAAGACAATTACACTTCTTTTTTTTTTTTTTTTCTTTTTTGAGATGGAGTCTCGCTCTGTCGCCCAGGCTGGAGTGCAGTGGCACAATCTCGGCTCACTGTAACCTCTGCCTCCCAGGTTCAAGCGATTCTTCGGCCTCAGCCTCTTGAGTAGCTGGGACTACAAGTGTGCACCACCACGCCCCGGTAATTTTTGTAGTGTTAGTAGAGAGGGGTTTCGCCGTATTGGCCAGGCTGGTCTCGAATTGCTGACCTCGTGATTTGCCCACCTCGGGCTCCCTAAGTGCTGGGATTACAGGCGTGAGCCACCGCACCCGGCCAGACAATTACATTTCTTTGGGAAGAAGTTTTTCTCAGTCCGATAAGGGAACTTAGAAAGAGAGCCCCTCCCAGAGCTTGGCAGGGAGAAACAAGAAAAGGTTTCTGTCCTTGGCTTCTAAGCAGCTTCTAAGGCCTTACAGTTTCTCTTAATTTAAAAGTGTTCAGCATACCAAAGCATCACACTTAGTTATATCATTCTCTGTGCCCCAAAATTGTCCTAACTGAAATTCTCCTAGAAGTTTCACATACTGAAAGATGAGTTGGTGGATGCAGATTGAAAAAAGAAAAAAATAGGTTCGTAGCTGAGTGGTAGAAGATCTCATTAAACCAGTCTTCCATTCCTGTGAATAGGTCAGTCCTCTTAAACAGTTGTGTCTCATTTCAGGAAGTGGCGTTTGTAGGGGTCCCATCAAAGTTAAGCCTTTATATCAAGGAGGCAGATGGTTGTTTATTAAAAGGCATTTCTATGGAAACAGAAAAAAATAAAAGTTAAGGTCTGGAGCAGACTATAAGCTAGTTTCTTATGGAGTTTGAGGGCAGTTGGTTGAGATGGGGTGTGAAGCATTTTCAGTTGGAGTGGAAGAAGGTAGTGGCAATCTGACAGACTTCTAGATTGCAGTTTGCATGGTACAAAAAGTTGTCTACACATAAACTGTCATGGTCATTTCTTCCTAGATTATATGAGATTGACCAGTTTTAGCTTACAGGACTTCAGGAAAAATGACAGTTTTAATTTCAGTGGTTCCAAGTCAGAAAAATTGGAGAAAATTGGGAATATTAGTTTGTGGGCTCACATCCAAATATTGGAAGAAACTATAAGAAATTCAGATTCAGTCCAAATTTCTAATCAGGAATACAATCTCAAAAATAATGAGCTAGAATCTAATAACAGGTGTACTATAGTTTTCTTTTGAAACGTAATTTTTCTCTCTCAAGTACCCTAATTTTATCAATCTATGTAAGTATAATTTATATGTAAACTAAGTTTAATTTTATTAAAATTGGGCTGATCATTTACATAAGTTCAGCAAGAAAAGTGACTGTTCATATAGGTTCCTTTTAATTCTGTTGTTGGAGTTTTTCATTAGAAATGTCAGAGTAGACTTTTAATTAATTTTTTTCTTTTTTCTGTATTTATTATTATTTATTTTTTAATAGAGAGAGGGTTTCAGTATGTTGGCCAGGCTAGTCTCTAACTCCTGGCATCAAGTAATCCTCCTGCCTCGGCCTCCCAAAATGCTGAGGTTACAGGCATGTACCACTGCACACAGCCCAGATTAGACTTTTAAAAGTCTCTGGAGGCTAGGAAGCAAAGCCAAGGTCTCTTCCTTAAATTGTGAATGTAGATCAGTTACTTGCAGACTAGTTGAATACCTCTCTTCTCAAAGTCTCCAAAATACCTTATTTCCTGGCTCTGTCAGAAAGTGGGACCATTGATTACCTATGCACAAGGCAAAAGTGACCCATTTATTCAAAGCACTAGGACAGTTTTTCCAAGGGGCATTTTATTGGCTTCATAAAGTTATTTTCAGTTATTTGGGTAAATGTCCCATCTGTGCCACAAACTCTTCTCTGCTTTTGACTACAAAATTCTACAACTTGGAATGAGAATCTTATTTTCTGAGTGGCTGATAGATGATAGAATCCAGAAGTCTTGGGAGAATTAACCCTCTGAGGAATAAATTTTAGTTGGTGGAGATTGGAGATGGTGAAGTCAGGCAAATGAATTCCTTCCCCTTCCTCTTTTCCATGTATTACCAAAGATAGCTAAACTATCTTTAGATTAAGGTGGAAAAAAATTTTAGACAAAAACAGAAAATTTACTGTCAATATACTCTGACTAAAGAAATTTCCAATGTGTGAACAAATGAAAAAATGACAAACATAAGGACTAATCTGAAAAAGTTAAAAAAAAAAAAAGGCTTTGTAGTATGAACAACCTCCGGCATATTCTAAATGGAAAAAAAATTACAACAAATTCTCATATCTGTCCTTCAGTTTCAACAAGTATCAAATCATAGCCAATCTTCTTGGAATTATTATTTTGCCTAATAGATAGCCCCTATAATATTAATTTAAAATAAATTCTAGCATCTGTGCCATTTAATCCAAAAGTGTTTCAAGAGATAAGAATTCTTTAAACTAACATTGTAATACTTAAGAGTAGAACAATGATTATTAGTAAATACCAACAAATGCCCACGTTTTTCTAATTCATAATTTTTAACAGCTTATTTGCTGAATAAAGATCCAAACAAGGTTCATGCATTTCAACTGGATGATATATCTACCATGCTTTTTAACAATTAAATTATGAATTTAAATTGTAGCCCTACCCCAACTTTCTCTCTCCCTCCCTTTCCCCCATCCATTTCTCTTTCTTTCTCTCTTTGTGTTATAATTTTCTTACTGAATAACTGGGATCATATGTCTTACAGAAGTTCTCACTGTTAGATTTTGCTATTTTAATCCCATGCTGTCATATAATGTGTTTAAAATGTTTCTCTGTCTTGATAATTTGACAAGTTCAATTCAAAATGCTATTTTAATTTCAATTGGCTGTCTCATGGTGATGTTAACAAACACTGATAATTATTGCTTAGATCCATTATTTAACTAGAAGCTGCAAAATCATGATGTTCTAATATGATAATTCCTTAGATACAATATTATTTTCTTTAATAAAATTAACTGGTTTTACCAACTATTTGGCTACACTAAAATGATCTTTTTGTAGGAAAGGCAGAAAAAAATGGTATCAATTTTTAAAATAAAACATTAAACATTTATCATCCTCCTAAAGTGACCATATTTTCTAGTATTATTATAAACTCATCTATTAAAACACATTTGATATTTTAAAACTAATTTCAATTATCATTCTAATTGATGATCAAATTGAACATTGCTCAAAGGAAGGTGTGATTTCACTTTTCTTCTTTAATCCTTCTGATACAATTTAGTACTCTTTAAAATTTTAAAATTTAAAATTTAAATTTAAAGAGCACTAAATTTTAAAGAGTACTAAATTTTTAAAAATTTTAAAACTTAAAATTTAAAAATGCCCTGGAGACATTTTCCCTATTATCTTGGCTATTAACATTTGGCTCCTTGTTACTTATGCAAATTTCTGCAGCCTGTTTAAATTTCTCCCCAGAAAATGGGTTTTTCTTTTCTACTGCTTGGTCAGGTGGCAAATTTTCCAAACTTTTATGCTCTGCTTCTCTTTTAAACATAAATTCAAATTTCAGACCATCTTTTCTTCACACATATGAATGTGCACTTTTAGAAAAAGCCAGGTCACGTCTTGAATACTTTGCTACTTGGAAATTTCTTCCACCAGTTACACTAAATCATCTCTCTTAAGTTGAAAGTTCCACAGATCTCTAGGGCAGGGGCAAAATGCTGCCAGTCTTTTTGCTAAAGCATAGCAAAATTGACCTTTGTTCCAATTCCCAATAAGTTCTTCATTTCCATCTGAGACCACCTCAGTCTGGACTTCACTGTCCGTATCATTATCAGCATTTTGGTCACAATCATTCAATAAGTCTCTAGGAAGTTCCAAACTTTCCCTCATCTTTCTGTCTTCTTCTGATTCCTCTGCACCATTCCAATCTCTGCCCATTACCCAGTTCCAAAGCTGCTTCCAAATTTTTCGGTATCTTTATAGCAACGCCCCACTTCTCTGGTGCCAATTTTCTTCCCACAGGCTCTGCTAGAAGCATGGCTAGGAGGCCTCCGGAAACTTACAGTCATGGCAGAAGGGTGAAGAGGAAAAAAGCATCTCTTCATATGACAGCAGGAGAGAGAGAGAGCAAAGGGGGAAGTGCAACACACTTTTAAACAAGCAGATCTTGTGAGAAGTCACTTACTATCATAAGAACAGCAAGGGGAAAATCAATCCCCATGATCCAATCACCTCCCACCAGGACCCTCCTCCACCACTGGGGATAACAATTCAGCCTGAGATTTGGGTGGAGACACAGAACCAAACTATATCAGCCAAAATAAATATTTAAAATGAGAATTCAATAAATCATAATCACAATAGGTTTTAACTGACCACTTTTAGTAAATATACATTAGGAGAAAAATGTCAGTGAAGTGAGAGAAGATCAATTACATAAATCTACAGAACGCTCTACACAAAATGGAGGAGATACTTTTATTTTTTAGGTACATATAAACATTTTATCCCTGAAAACAATCTAAATGCGATAGGAGTTCATCATCAAATAAAATAATTCTCTTAAAAGATTATATCTTTGTGAATTAAAATTAATTGCTCAAGAAAGAAATCATGAGAAAAAGTTGAAACTATTTAGAACTCGTAAGAGCATTCAAATGTGGGATATAGGTGGAGTGATAACAGAGCAAAATTTAGAGCCATAAATTGATACATTAGAAATGTATAAAAACTGAAGTTTTATGAGATTTATGTTCAATTTAAAAGAAGTTAAAAGAAGGATATCACAACGGACTCTAAGATAGCAAAATGACAAAAAAACAGAAAAGATAAGAAATTATATATAAAATGATGAACTATCACACAGAACCAGAATATAGTGAGTTTGTTAAGCTAAAAAAAAAAATTGTCTTCTCTCTACAAATATTGACTAAGAAGAAAATAAAAGACATACATAAATAAAATTTATATTGAGGAAATAATCATATTTGCAAGTATTATTAAAAATGTGAGAAGTAAATATTATGAACATTTTCATGTCAACACCCAAAGTTGAAAAATGTGTCTTAATAAAAAATTCCTAGAAAAAAATTGTATAATCTTTCAACATAACTCATTCATAAACAATTAGAAAATTAGAATATTCTCATAACCTTTGTATAATTGAATCTTTAAGTTAAACAGTTCACACACACACACACACAGACTCACACATATACACACACTTAAAAATTACTACTCCCAAATAATTTTACAACATCAACCAAATATTTAAGGAAACAATTTGATTCTTCCAAAAACTCATCCAGAGGATATAAAAGAAAGTTTACTTCTTAACTATTTTTATGAGAATGAAGTAGCTTTGAAATTAAGTATAAATAGAATTGACAAATTTATAGTACATTATATAGTGTGACATATTTAATTGGTAAATTTTGAGAGGGGGCAATGGATATGTTGAGGCAGCTTTTTTTTTCCCTTTTCCTCTTGCTCTTCTGAACAAACCAGCCAGAAGGTAGCATATATTTTGCTCCTTCTTGTATAACTTTGCAGAGGGAGACTACTTCAGATTTGGGAGGAAAATTAAATTTAAAATAGTGTTATAAAGGATGTCTATTTGGAAGTACAAATTATATAGACTCTCTTAATGAGAACAATGCACAGCTTTCACCTTTAAACTGTAGACTTTTGGCAGTATTTTGTAGTCATGAGTCTGACTTACATGATTGTGTGGTTTAATTTTTATGGTTAGATTCTGGGCAGGTGGCTTTCAGCAATAAATGACAGCTAAGTAGCATTTTCAAGTTGGCAAATTGGTGCATTTTATGGTTTATTTGGCCATATATAATAATATAAGACCTCGCTTATATTAAACAAAATCTAGCGTCTAAGAAAAGATAAAGAGGTTATTCATTTCAGCAAATACATAGGGACAATGATCCTGAGTGTATATTTCTTAGACTTTGTGGAGCTCAAAGATGCACGCTGCTTATGGCAAAATGAGCATATGCCGGTCACCCTGGCCTCAGAAAACATGTGGTGCATGGAGACTGGCTTAGCCAAATGGAGGAGACTTTTCTGGAACATTGGTGGTGAGGAACAACATAGGTGCAGCTGTGTCTGGAATCAAAAGCTTGGAAAGATGGGGTCATATTTTTTAGTCATTGTTGGCCAAAAAACATTTGAGACTCTAAAGTTGAATGTGCCTGAGTTTTGCTTGTATTGATAGCACTAGAACAGTTTTAGCTGTAAGTTCTCAGTGGCTACAATAAGAGGGTTTTCATCTTACATTGCCTTCAGTAGGTTGGATAACAAATGGAGGCATTTCACACAGGACCTGGTGATCAGGACTATCACGACTCCCTCACCAAGCCCTGGGCCCTTTTCTGGAACACCTTCTCCAGAAGCTAAGGACTGGCTTTTTATCTAAAAATGGTGAACATGGAGCTAACGATCTGGTTTCTGACTATCTTGGGTGCCTTATTTTCTTTTTAGACTATAAAATGTAAGGTACAGATATATCAAGTTCTAGGTACAGTTGAACTGCTTAAGGAAAAAACAGCAGATAATGTTCAAATGCAAGTGTGTGTGTGTGTGTGTGTGTGTGTGTGTGTGTGTGTGTGTGTGTGCTTCCATTTGACTAAGCAAGCCTGTGAGGCCAGAATGATTGGCCTATGCTCATTCTGCCATAAGCAGCATGCATCTTTGAGGTCCACACGGTACAAAAATATACACTGAGGATCATGTATACACACACATGCACACATATATATAGAGAGAGAAATATAAAATCTATCTCACAGATCATGTTCCCCAGGAATTAGATCTGGGAGAACACCTGTAAGAGAGTGAAAGAATTATAATTGAACAGAAGAAAAGTCGGACTGCTATGACGTCACAACAAATGCCTCAGCCAAACTAGAGATCTCTGGAGCTGGGATTATGCTCCAGAGATGTTCTGAATTTCAGCAAATTTGCCTATAGACTAAAATGTTAAAATCATATGTATGTATAAATACATATTCATAATGTGTAATTAGTAATTTTTTTATATATACACAATGTGTGTGTAAAGCATCTAGGACTCCTAAAGCAATCAGGAACAGAAAAGCAAAAATTGAAGAATTCTAGAAAAGGAAAGAACTGAATAGAGAAGAGGTAAGTAACCTCCACTTCCACTGAAACAGTTGCCAATTCTGGTTAAGATAACAGACTGAGACAAATAGAACATTGGAATAAACCCATGCATATATGGCTATTCAATTTATGGCAAAGGCATCACTGCAATGCATAGAAAGGTATGATCTCTTCATTAAATAGCACTGAGTCAACTGGACATTGATTTGGGATGAGATGGTGAAGTTAAAGCTGACTGATTCCACTCTTATTCTTGCATATGTGCATCATGAAACAGGTACAATAATATTCATATCACTATAGTTTGTAATAACAAAACCCTGGAAACAATCCAAATGTCAATCAAGAGCAGACTGGATTAATGACATAGAGTCTACCAATTTAAGGGAATGCTATACTGAAGAAATAATAGCATATAGTAGTAGTATTATTATTTGTCCCAAACTGCTGACACTACAGGTGTGAGCCACCATGCCCTGCCAGAAGTCTATTTTTTTACATCCAAAAGTTCTTCTTAATGTTTTCTCAATTTAGACATACTATATTTAATAATATTTAATAGCATTATTTCTTCAGTATAGCATTCCTTTAAATTGGTAGACTATATGTCATTTATCCAGTCACTGGTAGACTATTACTTCTTACAAGCACTTGAATTCATCTTATAAATATAATCCTAATATTTATATTAAAAATATTCAGAAAAAGGATTGGGAATAAATATAATATGTCTAAATTGGAAAACATTAAAAAATACTTTTGGATATAAAAAATAGACTTCTGGCAGGGTACAGTGGCTTACACCTGCAGTGTCAGCACTTTGGGAGGCAGTGATGGGAGGAGTGTTTGAGCTCAGGAGTTCAGACCAGACTGGCCAACATGGCAAAAACCCATCTTTACTGAAAATACAAAAATTAGCCAGGCATGGTGTCATGTGGCTGTAATCCCAGCTACTTGGTAGGCTGAGGTTGGGAGGATCACCTGAGCCGGGGAGGTTGAGGCAGCAGTGACCCGAGATCTCACCACTGCACTCCAGTCTAAGTGACAGAGTGAGACCCTGTCTCAAAAAAAAAAAAAAAAAAGTGGGCTTCCACAAAGGGAAATAGAGATTATTATCTTGGATAAGGGTACACAGCATCATTGAGACATCAAATTTACCTATATCAATTCATATTTTAATATGAATACAATTAATACCATTAATAACAAGTAAATTTACATACTCAATGTTTTAGGCATCCTTTAAGGTTTTAACATATATTAATTCATGTAATCCGACAAGTAATTCCAAAAGGTAGGAAGTATTAATTCTATTGCTATTTATAAACATGCAAATTGAGGCAGAGAAGTTAGATAACTTGCTGGAAAATACAAATGTCAAGATTGAAATTGACTTTAACCCATAGTCAGTGTTCTTAACCACAACAATATGCTAAGTCTGTGACTAAAAATATATAAATGCTATTTTTTTTTCTTTCCCAGAAGTAGGCTAAGAGCTCTTAATGTATACATTGCAAAATAAAAAATTAAGAATATTCAGAAAAGCTCTGTAAAAAGGAGCAAAGGGGATGGAATAACTTTACCTAAACATACTATAAATCTTCAATAACTGAAATTTGAATTTGGCACATGAACAGACAGAACAAATCAAGCAGAATAGAAATCCAGAAAGCAACACACTTATGCATAATGTTTTAGTATGTAACAAAACATTAGCAATCTATAGGTTAACATTAGATTTTTTGAATACAAGGTATTTAGACATATGGTTTGCCATATGAGTTTTGTTTCATATTGATCACATACTACTTTAGAGTAAACTCTATAGATCAAAACTTATAAAACACTAAAAGAATAAAAGTAACAGGCAAATATGGGCATATATTTTAGGGGGTGATGGGGGCATATAAACAAAAACTTTGGAACAGCATAAGCATTTTTCAATTACAACAGGTGGAAAGGTTATTAGAAGTAAAAGTATCAGTGAATTGAAACAATCATGTAGACATCAACTATTATTCCTTAGGCATAAAACAAATATAAAGACTATCTGTTTTTTTTTAAGTCAATGGCAAGCATGAATATTGTACCGCTTTGATTCACCAAGGTACTTCTATCATGTAGTTATTTTACCTAAATCTTGAAGATAAACTCTAATTTATTTTAGAATTGAGAAAGATATAGTTTTGATCACATCACTTACTCTAATGAAATACAGCTACTTTCTCCTTTGGCATACCTATGTAAAACAAATATTTTCTTGCTTTATGTTTGCCACGTGATTATGAACAGATTAGTCCCATCTCTTGAATTACATGTAATATCGGCCTAACTTAAAGATGGAAAATATTATACTTTTACATTCATTTTTCTCCTTAATATGACATGCTGTTTTATTTTGATTGGAAATGATGCCCTGTAATTTTCAAGTTTCTTTTGCCAACATCAGTCAGACGGGTATACATGAGAAGTTAAGTTAGCAATGGTCAATGCCCAAGAATATCTCTGCTTCTACAATAATTTTGAAAAGAAAATCATTAGAGATTCTGCCTAATGTTGCAGAAGTTCAGTGAAATTATTTCAATAACAATGCAACCAACCACTACAATCAAGACTTTGGATTGCTAGTCACATTTGATACCCAAACATGAGCCTGTTATCTTCTTATTTTGTTGATAGAATATAATGAAAAAGTTTGTGTATCAAGTGATGGCTGTGAAAGAGAATGCATTTAGTCTGTCTTATCCTTGTCACAGAGGCAATGCTGAGAACAGTCAGCATCTCCTTTTTTGGTAATTGCATCAGATTTAACTTTCTTATGGTACAGGTTCAAATGGCAATCACTTTGGAATTCTAGAATCAAATGCTTATAGACAGGGAACCTTGCCATCACCCTGGAAAATCACCTGCCTTTTAGCATCTGCCACATAATTAAAACAGCATCTGAGATAATGGAGAGAGGGTGCTAAACATACTCTACGAAACAAATGCTGCAGAGAAGCCTTCGTGCCTGTGATTAAACGAGCATTATTATTTATTAATTTATGAATTGCAGTGCCCATGTATCAGAGTACTTTATGACAGAAGAATCAACAATATAGCCTTGAGAACAATAAAAATCCAAGAAAGCATGCACTCCTCAAACAAAGAATAGCAGTAATGCCCTTTTGATTTGATAGAGAGAAAACTGCAGACACTCTGAGCTTCTTGACAAATACCACATCCAGAATTTTAAATTCCCAGGGAATTAAATTGCCTTAGATAACTTCCGATCAATTTTAAAAGTGGAAAAATTCTAATGCCTTAAGATACAGTCCATTTTGAATTCACAGTTTATTTTAAGCCTAATGATTCTATTTCCTACATCGATTTTATAAATATGTCTGATATTTCTGTAAATGTACCTCTCATATTTGTCCTCACTAAATAAGGATTGAGAGTAAATTTTATTATATTTAAATATGTGGTAAATAATATATTTTGGTTTAACTTTGTAAACAGTGTGAATATATTCAAAGCCTAGGGAAAAATAAAAATGGAAAGAAATGTATTGTTTTAGAAATAATAACTCAGAGAAAAAACACATTTAATATGAAAGTTATTTAACTCTGTACAATAGCTATAAGTGAAGACATTTCGTAATTTTTGTGATATATTGGGGGATGTAATGACTGTTATCACCCCAAAGACTATTCATGAAGTTGTGATATATCTTTACTCTCCTGGTGTCTAAAAATGCAATCCAGATAATAAATATATTTAATAAAGCAAAAGAAGAAAGAAGAAAAACCGCTATGCAGACTCTTAAGGAAAATAAAAGTATTATTTTACAGAATAGATTAGACTGAAATATCAATTCAAATTAAGTGAAATTATTGAGATTGGCATTACAATAATCCCTACACATCAAAAGTTAGAGAGGAGTTAATGCCCAAGAGAAGGTGGGAATATGGGAAAACAAGAAATAAAAGAAGCTGGAGTTGAATATATTGAAATAGCAATATTTGAATTTTTGTTTTTTTGAGACAGTGCCTCATTCTGTCACCCAAGCCGGAGTGCAGTGGCACAATCACGGCTCACTGAAGCTTCGACATCCCAGGCTCAAGTGATCCTCTGACCTCAGCCTCCCAAGTAGCTGGGACCACAGCATGTGCCACCACACCCATCTAATTTTTGTGTTTTTTTGTAGAGATGGAGTTTCACCATGTTCCCCAGGCTTGTCTCGAACTCCTAGGCTCATGTGATTCTCCCACCTAGGCCTCCTAAAGTGCTGGGATTACAGGTGTGAGCCATGGTGCCCAGCCTTGAGAAACATTGAAGTTAACTAATAAATGTACATACATGTTTAGAAAGTTGGTTCAAGTTCTTTGAGGCATTTTTCTTGTACTTTTATAAGATTTTTCTTATACTTTTATACATTTTCTCATAGTTTAATTTTTTAATTGATACATAATTGCTCTACATATTAATAAAATTAACAAATATTTATTTTGTTTCCCCAATGTTTAAGTTACATTGCCAGACCTGGAAAAGAAAGAAAGAAAGAAAGGGAGAAAGAAAATCAGATATGGCCATCACTTTCAAGCTCACTAGAAAGGTTTTACAACATTTTAAAAATGATGCAATAAATAAAACTTTACAGTCAGTCTGCTTCCATCACCATAATCCATGGTGTTGATTAGACAGTCTAATTACCAGTCAAGTGTGGGTAATGGCACTTATCTTTATGGATGAAAATCTTCATAGAAAAAAGACTAAAAAATTACCTGGAACCAAGTCCTTCGAAAGGAATGGAAGCAGACTTCTAAGGCATTCCTATTCAAAGTAGATAATATCAATTTTATATGTAACTGAAGAAGTAGAAAAATATATCTACTTAAAATAGAACACTTTCTTTTAAAAAAAGATAGCTTCATCTAAGGTCAAATTCATAAAAATAGAAAAGTCATATGGATTTATTAAATAGCATTGAAATATCCTTGGAGAATGTTGTGCAGAGGGAAGAGCAGGGAGTGCCCTGGGAGTAAGCAGACTAGGCTATTGTCTGAATCATGCACTTGCTATCAAGAGTATTCCTGAGAAACCTTCTTACATATCTGCTTACCTTGGGAGTAAGCAGACTAGGCTATTGTCTGAATCACTCACTCGCTACCAGAGTATTCTTGATAAATCTTATCTGTCTGTTTATCAAGTTACCTTCACTGGAAAATCATAGTTTTGCAATAAAAACCTCTCAAAGTCTAAATTTACTCTGAAAAAAATCTGTTACTATGATCCACATGACATTCTGTTTTAGAATCCACATACACTCAAGAAAAGAATTTAATGAATAAAAATATTTGAAGAAACTTATGTATAAATTTTTCAATGTAGCGTTACTTGTAACAGTTAATAACCGAAAAAGAAGCACGAGTAGTAACAAGAAATTGAGTTAATAAATTCAGATATATCATGAGGATAGTATGCAGTCATTTAAATTGTATTTTTCAATTATATTTAGGTGCAAGGAAAATGTGCATGTTAGAATATTTTATCAAATAAATTTATATCTCTTAACACCATATGACATTAATGTAAATAATTATGTATCTATATGCATATATAGTTATAACTGTAGCTAAATATATGCATACATAGGCATGGATTTCTAAGTGTTAAAATATAGATAGCTAAAGACAGCACATCTTCCTACAAAATAAACCAAAGACAGAAAAAATGTTAATGTTTATCTCTAGATACAGAAATCATAAGTATATATAGATGCTCCTCAACTTACAATGCAGCTACACTATAATAAATCCATTGTAAGTTGAGAATATCATGAATTACAAATGCATTTAGTAGACCTAACATACTAAACTACACAGCTTAGCCTAGATACCTTAAACATACTCAAAACTCTTATATTAGCCTACAATTGGGCAAAATCATCTAATAAAAAGTCTATTTTTTAATGAAGTGTTGACTATTTCAAGTAATTTATTGAATACTATACTGAAAGTGAAAAACAGATTGGTTAATGCATACTCAAAGTACATTTCTACTGAATATCTGTGGCTTTCACTCCATCGTAAAGTGGAAAGATTGTTAACTTGAATGAATCATCCTCACTGTCGATATTCTTCATTGCAGTTTCTGTATTTTTTATTTTCCTCTAAGAAACATTTACCGGTATTACTTTACAGGGAAAATAATGATTAGTTAATATTTTAGTCAATATTTGATATTTTGAACATTTTCAATATGCAGATATTATGGGGGTTTTATATGTACTTTTCCACAACTATGATGTGTAAGGCTGAGTAAAGAGAGGCTTAAGAAGGTTGTTCTCATTTATATGGAATGGAATAATGCCTACCCTTTTAAATAAAAGTTGGGAGAAGTTTCAGTGCAATAAAAAGTACTTAGTGTGTAACAATATGCTTTCTTGTAAAAAATGCAATAATATGTAATTCATTACATTAGATAGCTTTAATATGTAAAATATTAATAAGGTAACAAGTATTTTTGTATTTTCATATAAGTCATTTCTATTTAAAAAGCAAATTGTATTGTAAAAAGAATGAAGCTCTACATGAGTCAACTGTGAGACGGTGTAAAAAGAAAAACAAATGGTTTATCCATATAGGGTAGAGAACATCAGAGGGGAAATGATCATTTGTAAAAGGAAGAATGGCAGTTGAGGTCCAGTTTTTACATTACTGTGTATGATCGATGAGTTAATTCCTCTGACTAATGAACCAAGTCTTTCTCTTGGCCAAAACTAATGAACTAGAATGTTTTGCAGATTCGATATTGTATGGCAACCACTCCTCTGAAATAGACATGTGCCTTATGACAGCAATCAGATGTTAAATAATGATCATGTGAAGCCTTACCTGAAGTCATTCATTATTTTTTCTTAAAAGTGTTTAGAAGATCATGAAGACAGGGGATAAGTAGAATATAGCTAGTCAAATACAGGAAATTACTTAGTTTCATAACCCTATGGGACTTTTTTGTCATTGCAGAGGATTATAGTTAAAATCATGAGTGCACCTTAGCGATATTATTTATATAATTTGGATATTATTTTAACAGCTTTTATTCAATCTTCACTTTTATTATCTCAAGTACATACTGTAATCTAATGAGGATAAAAGCACAGGAAATACTCTTCTATATGAAGCAGAAAGTAGCATGGTAAAGTAATCCTGAATGATAAAGAAGTCCCTGAAAAATATACAAAAGGAAGAAACACCAGGATATCTGATGAATCAGACCCTATTTGTATCTTAAACAAAATTCACAAAGTTTTCCTGGCATTCTCAAGGGATATTTAAACATCAAAGATACCTGGACAATGAAGATCACTTTTGTTAGTAATGTGTTGCATTATCCATACACAATTCATGAACCATAAAATGTACAAAAATAGGAAGAGCCAAAAGAGAATGAACAATGCTATGATGCTACAAAACATTTCTTGATTTGCTATTGCTTACTTATAATCGACCAAGGCTTCCAGAAAAATGCATTTGCTTTAAATTGTGCCTGAAACTCTTATGTCAAAATCCAAAAGACTTTCTAAGCATATGTATTTCAAACCATACAGCAATTGGTCAATAAATAAATAAATAAATAAATAGAATTTAGTTCATGCAGTACAGGCTAATAAAGTGTTTAGGGCAAGCGTTCTCAAAATTGCTTTCCAGCATATGCAAATAACCCTTCCACAGCTAAAAAGATGAAAAGTTATTTAAGAAACACATAGAGAACATTCTACAGGTAAAGTTGGGCAAAGTTGATTCAAATTTCACAGTTAAATGGAATTTCTGTCCAGCTTTCAATTATTCACCCACATATTCATTTTATAAAAAAAAAAACTCATGTATTCTTTATAAAAACTCCCTAAAGTAGTACAATTATTACGCCCACTTTATAGATGAGGAAAATAAGATATATGCAGAGGTTTAGAAACTTGTTGTTACACAGCTAGAAGTGGCTGATCTGGATTGCGAACCGTGCAGTCAAACTTCAGAGTCAGTTCTTTTAACCACTAGGCTTTTCTGTATCTCCTAGGGCTTGATAACATCCTTGCCCCACTCAAGCACCAGCAACACCACCTTAGTTTCAACCCCTGCTCTCCCATTTACTAGCAGATACTGGACAAGTTACTTTAGCCTTGACTAGTCCCAGTGTCTATATGTATAAAATTGATGGAGATCATAACACTGATCAAATTGTACTGCAATAGAGATAAATAGAACAACATATCTTAGGTTCTGGTTTATGTATTCTTTTTTTTTTATTTTCAGGATTAGAAGGACTAGAAGAAAGCGAATTGTTTTTATGAGTCTTGGAAAAATACATCTTATCATCTAGATCATTCCCAGTCTCTCTCTCTCTCTCTCTCTCTCTCTCTCTCTCTCTCTCTCTCTCTCTCTGTCTCTTTCTTTTCCCAGATAGGGTCTCAATCTATCTTCCAAGCTGGAGTGCAATGGCACAATCTTGGCTCACTGCAGTCTCGAACTCCCAGGCTCAAGCAATTCTCTCATCTCAGCCTCCTGAGCAGCTAGTATTCCA
Organism: Homo sapiens; assembly: GCF_000001405.40. Taxonomy (NCBI): domain Eukaryota; kingdom Metazoa; phylum Chordata; class Mammalia; order Primates; family Hominidae; genus Homo; species Homo sapiens. The sequence goes on along the minus strand of NC_000005.10, from coordinate 105,785,967 downwards.
GCCATGCACCACCACACCTGGCTAAAGAGATGAGATCTCACCATGTTGCCCAGACTGGTCTCAAACTCCTGGGCTCAAGTCATTCTCCCTTGACCTCCCAAAGTGCTGGGATTCAGGTGTGAGCTACCATGCCTGGCCCCAATCCCATGTTTTGAACTGTAATTATTTTCTTTCATTAAGCCTATTAAATAATTTTCTTAATGGGCATCTCTCACTAGTATGGGCTTGTGAATTTTTCAGAGTGAACAAAATCACATCATTCTAGTTATTATGACATAGATTCACTATAACAAATATAAATATATGTATAAATATATGCAGAAAACTTTGGGTTCAAAATGACACAAGAAGGGTGTGGCTGGATGTGATTTAAGGTGACTTTACTGACACAGATGATCAAACTCTGTCACCTGATTCCTTTTCTCCTTGGGATGGAGACCTCAGTTCGTTTGGATATCTTCCTAGAAAAGCTGAGGAGGTGCAGTCCACATGTTTTCCTATGGGCAATGTCTCCTACTTAAATATAAAAAATAATTACTAAACTGATCAAGTCACTAATTTCTCCAGCCTACCCTCCCAGATCGGTTGAACCATTGCATGAAGGAAGGACATCTTTGGCTTTCTACAGGCTTGACAATTGTATTTCACTTTTCAGTTTCATTTCAGGACTTCCTGATTTTCTTTATAATTGATGAATCTCTATAATTGATGAATCTCTCTCATTATTGAGGAAAGTCTAGGGATTCCTGTCTTAGTTTCATTTTCTGTCTGTTTTTTACTTGCTTTCTGAACCAATTCTGGCTTAATTGATTATGTATTTGCTGCTATTGATTTAACATTGCAGCTCTTCTTTTAATAAACTAGTTCCTTCGAAGTGCTTCTTTAAAAAAAATGTTGCACTAACTTATCTCAATTGTAACCTGAAATTTTAATAATTTATCTTATACTTACATGAAAGATAGTCTTCTTTATGTGTTCTCTCTCCAACTTGTTACGTTTCCTATCACTATTCATCTATTTTATTGATGCATTTTCTTCATTATTTCTTAAAGGGAATTCATTCTTGGTCTCTAACTGATGATATATTTAGAAAATTTATATTGTTGTTTGCCTTATTGACTTGTGTATTTCTTCTTTCATGCTCTATTGGATAGTTTTAAAAAATTATATTCTTATATTCCCCAATTCTTTAGTATAATATCCTGTTGCCAGAAACACTAACCCAGCTGATATACATATACATATACATATACATATATGTACATATTTCATAAGCCTCATCCTTTGCCTGATTTTTCTCTACTCTTCATGTAAATCACATCTGCATACACATTGTCTCAACTCTTTGTACACTTGCATTTCTATTGTTTGTCCTTCTCACTTATGACAATGCCACACATATATGTTTTAAACATATACACATATTTCAAAATGGTTTTTTGTCTCAGAATTTACCTTTGATTACCACCATGATTCTTAAAATTAGTAACTTAAAATGATACCATCTCCCCTCATTTTTAGATATGCCTAATTGCATTTATTTTCTACTGTGTGGTTTCTAGCATTTTTACTCCATTTTACTCCATTTTATGTGAAATATACACATATCCAATTTCATAAACTCCCCAAATGGCATGAAATCAGATGTAACACATTTGGCACTTGAAACCTGACACTGAGTTTCCAGCTGACTATATGTGTAGGCTCATCCTTGCCATTCACTAATTGTGAATTTTATGTTTTTGTTTTTGTTCTACTTATTAAGAAAGCTATTGATTAGGATTGGGCAAAGTTGATTCAAACATCAGTTATTCAGAATCTCTGTCTAGACTTCAATTATTCAACTGCATATTCATACTCTCCTACTCAAGTATGAAGAGAAGGCCTTCAATCATCAGAGAACATTTTCTCCATTTTGTACTTCCCTGGTGTACATGTAATAAAGCGTCTCCCTGGAAAAGTCCAGATGTATGTGGTTTGCCATATCAGTGAGTTAACCACAATTCTGTAATTAATCATGTCTTCATTTTTTTTTTACAGTTTGTATATGAATGTTCTGTCTTTCAAAAAATATACAGCATTCGGAACAATAATGATTTACCATTCAAAATTTATTTTATCATTATGTAATATGACATTCTTTGGAGACTTAATAATTAATTCATTAAAGGGGGGTCACACAGCTGTAAAAATATTCCCTCTGGGGCACTATGAAGTGAATTAAAATGGAGAAAATCAGTGTGTTCAATGGATCAATGAATTTGTGACCACTCATTTTTTGTAAAGAATGATGTCTACTAATAAGGGTAAAGACAAGTGACAATAACAAATATCAAAACCATTTTTGTGGAGCTCTATGACTCCATTTTTATTTCTGTTATGTAGATATTTCTTTCTTTAATATTAGGATTATATTAATTACTGTAGACTCTTAGATATGCTTTGTTTCCATTGATGAGTGACTTCGTGAAAATCCTTACTTTACTCTAGAATATGCAAAACTTAAGTTACAAAAACCCAGTCATGCCTTGATCACCTGAAGTTTACACTTTCCATTAATAAGTCTTAGTTCTCTTTTCACCAGAGCCTCAAGAAACAACCAAATACACTTTAAGTAGTTTTTCCTTACCCGTTCTTAATATAATGGACACTGTCTTTAGATGTTTGTAGTAAGTTTTATCTTTCTTTTTTTTTTTTTTTTTTTGTTTTTGAGACGGAGTCTCACTCTGTCGCCCAGTCTTCAGTTCAGTGGCACAATTGTGGCTCACTGCAATCTTCGCCTCACCTCCTGGGTTCAAGAGCTTCTCTTGCCTCAGCCTCCTGAATAGCTGGGATTACAAGCACCCGCCATCATGCCCAGCTAATTTTTTTGTATTTTTGTAGAGATGTGGTTTCACCATCTTGGCCAGGCTGGTCTTGAACTCCTGACCTCAGGTGATCTGTCCACCTCGGCCTCCCAAAGCACTGGGATTACAGGCGTGAGCCACTGCACCCAGCCCTAGTTTTATCTTCTTAATGTGGCTTTTCTCACCCATTCTGGGATTTGGGAAAGTTTAATTATGAAAAAACACTCAGTTTATGAGTAAATCATGGCAATAAACATTTTGATAGCTTTCTTTATGTCTCAGTCTCTATGCAGATGATACATATGTGATCAAATAGAAATGAGATCTGTTCTCTCAAAATGTAAATTTTTGAACATGGTATTTTCTTTAGTTGTCTCAATCTTCAACTATTTTCTCTGTTCTTTAATGACTAGACTAGAGAAGAATGCACTAGCGATGCAATCTTTGTTTAAAAACAAAGTTATCAGTGGAAGGATAATCAGAACTAGTCACTTTTACAACTCTTATTGAACTAGTGTCCCAACGTTGCAGCAAGAAATGGTATAGGAAATTCTGGAACAAGAAATTTTCTGATGACATTAAACAAATTAAGAAATTATAGGATATATAAGATTATGGTTTGGATTATTGACCAAAAGAAAGGAAAGACAAAGTAATAGACTGGTATGCAAAACACAGAGAAATAAAATACTGTTGAAGTTAATAAGTAATAATATTGGAAGAGTATTACTTTCTGGATATGACATTTCAGTGTAACTGTGATAAATCAAATATATTAAACACACAAAAATACACCTAAAAGTGTGTGTTTGTGTGTGTAAACTTATTAAATCAGAGAAGAAAGTAAATTTGAGCAAAAACAGATTGCCTTTTAGGATGGCCAAACCATAGCTCACCACCTATTTTTGTATAGGTTGTCAGCTAAGAATTGTTTAGCATTATAAATAGTTAAAAAAGAAAGAGAGAATATTTTTTCACCTTTGAAAATTATATAAAATTAAAGCCAATTGATTATATATGTTTGGGTTTATTGCTAGACTTTCAAATTATATTCCATTGCTTTCTGTGTGTATGCTTATACCAATACCATACAACTTTTGGTAATTACAATGTGGGAATCCTATAACTTTATTTTTCTTTTTAACATTCTTTTGGCAATCTGGTGTCCTTTGCAGTTTCATATGAATGTGAGAACCAGCTTTTTCATTTCTGAAGGATCGGCTTTTCCATTTTGGGAGATACTTGCTATTACTAGGGTGGGGAACACGGGGCCACATCCTCTAACACTTCAGATTGTGTGTTTTGATTTGAGTGTCCTATTGCCACCTCTTCAACTCTCTCCATCAACAATTTTGAACATTCATACATTCCTTCTTCTAAACCTAGGCTTGTACATCTAATTTTTTTTTTCTTTTGAGATGGAGTGTCACTCTGTCCGCCAGGCTGGAGGGCAGTGGTGCAATCTCGGCTTACTGCAAACTCTGCCTCCTGGATTCAAGTCATTCTCCTGCCTTAGCCTCCCAAGTAGCTGGGATTACAGGCATGCACCACCATGCCTGGCTATGTTTTGTATTTTTAGTAAAGACAGGGTTTGGCCATGTTGGCCAGGCTGATCTTGAACTCCTGACCTCAAGTGATCCTCCTGCCTCGGCCTCCCAAAGTTCTGGGATTATAGGCGTGAGCCACCATGCCCAGCCTCTAGTTTTTTAAATAGGTAATCTTCAACATCCAATGAGCATTTTCTCAGAAAGTGGATATCCTCTCTTGCTCCAAGTAGGTACCTAAAGAATTCAGTGGCGTTTGAAGTTCTTTTCTGAACAACACAGTATTTGGAAGATACCTCTTTCCTCTGTCTATTCTGTCATGATAAAAAAAAACTTCAGGGTAGCTCTCTCCTCACCACATTGCATGGTGCTGTGTATTATATTCTCTGAACAGTTGGTCTGAGAAGAATAATTTTAAGGGGAGAGGAATAATAATAATTTTCTCACTTAACAGTTCCCATAGTTGGGAGATAGTCTTTAAAAGCATTATCTCTTAGAAGTAAATACTGACAGTGAATGTGATATAAAATACTCCTTCTCTTGAGATAATTTGTTAAATTCTGTTTTAGAAGGAGAAACATGTGATAGTCTCCTTAAAAATGAACATCTGCTTCGATGATACACAATTAGCGTGAAATCTCCACCTATGAGCTGTGGTTTTCACTAACTTTCATTTGCAATACAGTTGACAGTATTTTCTTTTTATTAAAAATATTTTTATGTTTGTTTTCATGGGAAGGTTGAGAATTTATTTTTAGATTGTTGACATATTGAAACAAAAGTATGTAAATATTTTCTTATTTGTTTCTCTAGGAGATAAAACATATGCAACAAGGATATTTTTATTAAACTAGCTATTAGACAACATAAGAATGTGAAATGGTTGTATAATACATGGATATTTAATTTATTTAATTTCAACTGCTTATAAGTAATGAAATTACCAAATACTATAGTTATGTAGAATAATGATTTTATTAGCAACATTTTAGGTTAAATTATAACATTTTAGTCAGTTAAAAATTAAAGTTACAAATCACTAAGAAAAAAGCACACCATGGGCTCTGGAAATCTCTTTCTACTGAGAAAACTATGAAAAGAAAAAAAGAAAGATTATTTCTTTTTTTGCATTCCAGGTAATTAGTCCTTAAAGAAGCTGAAATGAAAGTAGGTAAAAAGAAGGACGGAAGTTGGCTTACATATTACAGAGAAAATTATCTGATTTTAAAGTATGTTAGAGAAATCATAAAATGATTACTTGGAAGATTATATTCTTGCTTATGTTATTGACACAGATAAGGGGTATAATTAAAGATAGAGTCATCATATTCAAACAATTAGATAAGATTATTCTATCACTCAAATACCTAACCTATTTTATTGGCAAAATACCTATTTTATATATTTTATAGATAAAATACCTATGTATAGCTCACTTTACAAATAATTTTCTTCTTAAATTGTATTCAGAAACTGATTTTATTACAGATATTTCACATTTGTTATATTTAATTACAATTTACATATTCCACTTCATCCTTGGTAGTAATTGCTTATAGCTGAAAAGTCCAATATTAGCTTTCGGTCTGATAATGATGTTACGCATTATGTGCTCCTATTCCCTGAGAAAACATTGTTAAAGAATAGGATAAATCTTGGCATGAAAGTCCTATGCCCCTAAACACACCCCATATTGAACTTGTGTCTTGCAGGTTTCTCTTTTAAGAAATTTTATTGTATTGTGTAATAAAGGGAAGCACTGGCAAACAAATAATGAATAAAGACAAACCTAAATTTGACTTAATCTTTTTGTTTAAAATACAAATTGTTTGCAACATTTATAATCTTTTCACCCACCAGAGCTGAGAAAGCTGATAAACATTTGAAAAACAGGCATTATGCAGAATCATCAGTGCCTACTGCTTACTAGCCAGAGTAGGTAAATCCCCAAACAACTGGTATTGTCTGCAACTAACAGACTGGTGTCCACTCGTGGGTTTCTATGTAGAACACTATAAATCCATTTGCTAATCCAGAGAGTCTGTTTCGGTTAATTTTTATTGTCCGTATAATTGTCAATATAGTAACAACTACAGATGAGAACAAAACAGGATAGAAATGGAGTATACTTTGAGTACAATCTTAATTGAGGTCTTCCTTGTTATGGGAACTGTGAAAAAAAACTTTAGGAGATGATGGAAGTCATGATAGAACTTGCATATCACTCACAGATAACTTAGGAATAGTGTGTATCTCTCCCTATTATTTAGAATTCTCCACCTATGAATATGGTATGTGTTTTCATTTATCTATGTCTCCTTTTGTGTCCATAACTAAAGTTTTATAATTTTTATAAGTTTTATAATTTTCTAAATAAATAGAGTATGCATATGTGTACTATCTTCTAGTTTACATTGCTATTTTATATGGGATTTAAAAAATTAACTTTGTTACTTATGTTTTTAGTATTTGCAGTACTATTGAAATCTGTGTATGAGTTATATTCTTTAAGTTTAAAATTTTTTTTGAATTTTGATTTGTGGTTTGATCAGTGAATAATAAAAATTTGATTTCGTTTCTTTTCAACCCATAAGTATCACCTATGTTTACCCTATATTATTTTACTATGATTCTTATTTAAATATTAAATATAATCACAACAAATATGATTTTCTGTCCTTTTAATTTATATACAGAAACTCTACCTGTTTCACTATTAAGTATAAGGCTTGGATAGATTTTGGAAAATAACCATTACCTATTTAAGGAAGTTCTCTTTTGGTCTTAGTGTTTTAATACATTTTGTCATAAAAGAGTTTTTGGATATAAGAAAGTTTTACAACTTTTGTGGGCTTTTTTATTTCTTTAACTTAACATAATGGCTGACAAATATAGATTTTTCTGTTTTAAGTTATTTATGAAATTGTGGAATCAATTCTACTTGGTCATGATAGTTCTTCTTTCTCAATGATTATAACATGGCCAGCTAAGAGGATTTTCTAATTTTATACTTGAAATGATTGCTAATTAATCCACAGAACATTTTCTTATGCTAAATATCTGGACTTTGTCATGATCAACCCTAAATATATCTCTAACTCCATAGAAGCAATCATGTGGAAAGCCTATTTTTGTCTTTCTGAGGTTCTGCCATTTTTTAGACCAGGGGTTGGCAAACTTTTTCTGTAAGGCCCACATAGTGAATATTTTAAGCTTTGAAAACCATATGGTTCTTGTCCCAAATACATAAGTCGGCTGTTATATCACAAAAGCAGTCACAGACAATATGTTACATGAGTGTAACTATGTTTCAGAAATAATTTATTATGGACACTGAAACAAAGGTTGACAGAATTGAAAGGAGAACTAGACAGTGATAGTTGGCTGTTTCAATACCCCACTATCAATAATGGATAGAACCTCTCCATAGAACATCAATAAGGAAATTGAAGACTTAACAGTACAAACCAACTATACCTAACAGACATACAGAATATTCCACACAACAACAGAATAATATATGTTTATCTCAAGTGCACAAACATTAGGCCATACAACAATTCTTGATAGATTTTAAAAGATCAAAATCACAAAAAGTATTTTTTTCAATCACAATGAAATGAAATTAGTAATCAAAAGCAGAAGGAAGATTGGAGAATCAGGTGGAAATTAAACAACATACTTTTAAGCTATAGGTCAAAGAATGAATCAATGGAGCAATTTGAAAATATTTTGAGATGAATGAAAACAAAACCACAAGATAACAAAATTATGGAATGTAGGAAAAGCAGTGCTCACAAAGAAATTTATAGCTGTAAATGCCTATAGAAAAGTAAAAAAGTACTCAAATCAGTAACCTAATTTTATACCTTAAGAAACTAGAAACAGAGGAGAAAACTAAACCCAAAACAAGCAAAATGAAAAAATTAGAATGGAGATAAACAAAATAGAAACTAGAAAAATAATAGAATCGATAGACCAAAAGTTTATTTATTGAAAAGGTCATCAAAATTGATAAGTCCTTAGCTAGACTAAGAAAAATGAGTGAAGATACATAACTCAAATTAGAAATTAAAGCAGGGGCCAGGCACGGTGGCTTACGTGTAATCCCAGCACTTTGGGAGGCAGAGATGGGTGGATCACCTGAGGTCAGGAGTTTGAGACCAGCCTAGCCAACATGGCAAAACCCCATCTCTACTAAAAATACAAAAATTAGCTGGATGTGGTGGCAGCAACCTGTAATCTCAGCTACTCGGAGGCTGAGGTGGGAGAATTGCTTGAACTATGAGGCAGAGGTTGCAGTGAGCAGAGATTGTGCCACTGCACCACTCCAGCCTGGGCAACAGAGTGAGACTCTGTCTCAAAAGAAATGAAAGCAGGGCCATTACTAGTGAACTTACAGAAACTAAAAAAATGATAAGGAAATTGCCTTACAATACTTTTATATATTGTGCTTTTTTATATGTGCAATATGACTGCACATATGAAAATTAGATTATCCACACAAAATTGAAAAATTTGTAGAAACACATAAATTACCAAATCTGACTCAAGAAGAAATAGAAAATCAAAATGGGCCTATAATAAGGAAAGCAATTAAATAAGCCATCAAACATCTCACTCTCACAAAAACAACAAAAAGTTTATGACCTGACTTAGTGATGACTTCACTTATTGATAAATTCTTCCAAACAAAAAAGAAGAATCAACACCAATCCTATTCAAGCTGTTCCAAAACATGGAAAAGGAGGGGGCACTTTCTAACACATTCTATGAGTCCAGCATTGCCATGATACCACAGAAAGATTTTACAGGAAAAGAAAACTACCATCAATATCCCTTATTAATACAGACATAACAATCCTCAACAAAATAATAGCAAATCAAATTTAAGAGCACATTAAAAGGATGACACATGCTGAAAATGTGTGATTTACCTCGTGAATGCGATGATGATCAACATAAGAAAATCAATGCACCACAGCACTAGGACAAAGGGGAAAAAAACCCATCTCAATAGATGCAGAAAAAACATTTGACAAAATTTAATATCCCTTATGATGGAACCTCTCAACAAACTAGGAATAGAAGGGAGTTTCCTTAACGTGATAGAGTGTGTTTATAAAAAACCTATAGCTAATATCATACTCAATGGCGAAAAGAATGAAAGGCTTTTTCTACAATCAAAAACAAGATAAGCATGACCAAGTTTACCACTGCTGTTTCACAGCGTATTGAAACTCCTAGCCAGAGAAAAATAGGCAAGAAAAATTAAAAAAGTATCCACGTTGGGAAAAGAGAAGTAAAACTATCTCTATTCTTAGATGAAATGATTTTATAGAGAGAATATTCCATAGAATAAAATATTCCATAAAATAGACACACACACACACACACACACACACACAAACACACACAAACTCACATGCACAAACTACTAGCGGTAATAAGCAAATCCAGCAGTTGCAAGATACATAGTATAATGATTAAAAATTCTATTTACAATAGTATCCAAAATTATAAAATTTCTGGGGATAAATTTAACAAAGGAAATGAAAGACTTGTACACTAAAAGCTACAAAACTGTTGAAATAAATTAAACAAGACCTAATGAAAGAACCACCCATGTTCATGAACTAGATCTGATATTATTACGATGACAGTATCCCCCAAACTGATGTACAGATTTACTGCAATCCTTTTCAAAATTTTAATAGTGTTTTTTTCAGAAGTAGAAAAGATGATCCCCACATACATATGGATTACAAGGGGCTTCATATAACAAAAACAATATTAAAATGAAAAACATAATTACTTAAAATGACTTACCATAATAAATCACCCATTACAAAGAGAAATAACAGTAAGTATGCAGATTAACAAAATGTAAAAGAACACTGTACTTGTACAAAACCTAATAGATTGTAAAATATCTTTAAATAATTACTCCGTAATTCTAACTTGTCACTAGGCAATTATTTAAGGAAGAAAATTTTAAGGAAGAAAAATGATCCCAAGGAACACCCAGATACATATGGATTGGTAAATTATGTTAAACATTAAATGACATATTATTTCATTAATATATTATTTCAAATTTTATATAATTATGTACACTTTATGAGTGACATTCAATGCTGATACTAAGCTTTAAATGACATATTATTTCATTAAGATATTATTTCAAATTTTATATAATTATGTTCACTCTAATTTATGAGTGACATTCAATGCTGATACTAAGCTTTAAATGTCATACTATTTCATTAAAATATTATTTAAAACTTTACATAATTATGTACACTATTTTATGAGTGACATTCAATGCTAATACTAAAACCTGACACAGACCCCTGACATAGAAAATAAATAAATTGTACATATAAATATAGATGTCAAAATATTTAATCCAAAAATATATTAAATATCCCATTACTTATATAGAGATTATGATATCATTTATTATATTCATTGAAGGAATAGTATTATTTCATAAATTAAATAGCATATCATATATTATTATATTCATTGAAGGAATAGTATTATTTCATAAATTAAATTTATAAATTAAAATAAAATATAACAAACATATGGTCTCATACACACTATTTGATATTTTTATTCACTTTTCTGAAACTTCATGTGAGCTTGTGACTTTCAGGGTACTTTTCAAAAATTTGAGTGAAATTTCATAGTTATTTTCACAAAGGTTGATGTTCATTAATCATAGTATTCTATAAACTTAATATTGATTTGATTATTATTGCTTGAATATTAATAACTATCAACTTTTTAATATCTGTTGTCTCTGGCCAATTTACTAAACATTCAATACATCTATAATCTTTGTAATCTAATTGCTCCTTTTAGTGTTGTTATTTAAATGTATTTTCAAGGGTGAATAATATATCTCTCTCCTTATGATGATCAGACACTATATTCTGTGTCCTTATTACTGAATTGTCGGTATTTCTAAGTAATGTAAAGTAACACGAAAGTAATATATTACAATTTTTGATGTTATGTGAATGCCTCTATTGTTCACCATTTAGTTGTTAATGCTCACACCCCTTTTCTCACTTTATCAGTACTCTGTGCAGGAGTTTATTCAGTATCTTTTCAGAATATCTCAAAATAATTTTGTACTTTATTGTACTTACTAAAATTGAAATTATGTCTGTATGTACGATTTTTTAAAAAATCAGTAAGAATAATGCTAGATGTGGCATAAAACAAACTCCAGCGTTTCAGTAGATGTGTGCAAGAGAGGTTTATATTTTATTCGCATAGTAGTCCAATATTGTTTTTCTTGTTCAACAAGCTGTTTTCTTTTATGTGGTGAAACAGGGAACCAGAATCCTTCTACTTTGGCTTTCACTAGGCTCTCCTTTTAACTAAAAGCATGCCTTAGTTATACATGTCACTTCTATTCTCATAACAAGAATTCATTACGTGGTCCTACCTACATTCAAAGGAGATGGGAATGGGATAAGGTATGGAAAATACAGTCCCTGGATAGGCAGCTTCTTCTCAGCAGCAACTTTTTACAAATAAATTAAAACACAGATAGCTAACAATTATCTCTACAAAAGTGACTCCCTGTCATTGCTGAAGCTATTTCTTTTAGCATCAGATTCATTCCTACCTTAATACGTCTTTCAAACAGAACATCACATAATTTGAGTGGTACTCAAAAACAAAATAACCACAATTTGGTCTGGTATTGTATTGATAACATTTTTGTGAGATTTTCAACACAATATTTTCAGTGCCAGAGCAAGGGCAGAATCATTAAAGACATAATAAATACTTTTTGGCTAGTATTAAATGTAGTTGATCTAGACAAGAAATAACATCTTTGGTTATTGAGTGACATAATGCTCTTATATGTTATTCATTTTGCATAAACCAACTACTATCTTACCTTCACTGTTTATAAATCTTCATTAGTCTTAAATTCAAATAGCATTGATATTTTTTACATAAAAAATCAATGCCTGTTTCTTATAAACCAAAGCTCTGAATGAGTAAAATCATTTTGTATCATTTCAGTTGCTTTCTCTGTTGTAATAGACTAGGAAGATGAACCATGTAAATTTGCATATAGATGAACTAAAATAGTTTCAGACACCTCTATGAGTATATTGTGAAGACAGAGCGAAAGTGAAACATTTAGATTCTGGCAAATTTACCTTTGAGTATTTGAGACCTACTACTACTATGATATTTAAATAAAATAGTGGTCTTCAAACCGGGAACACAATTGCCTGACAACAGGCCTATCAACTCTAGGTGGTCCGAAAAATATGGACTTTGATGAGATTTATAAATATAAACTTTGATTTTTTTATTCTCAAAGGACAAATTTGCCTTGGGTATTATATACTTGCAGTGATGATCTATTTAATATCTTGCTTTTAAGTTGCTGCTTGTATCTGATTGTAAAAGCAAATTACTCACATAAAAGTGAATATGAAGATTGAAGAAAGCATAGTATGACAGCTATGTTAATAATTAAAATTCTAAGCCCTTCAGTAGGTGATTATTGATTTCTAAACCATTAAATATAATGGAGCCCAGGATGATTCATTTCTTAAGAAAGAAAGAGGGAAATGGAATGAAAATCAATGAGATATTTTAGTGACTACCGTGTATGTACATATTTGCTAGCCCTGGAAGGAAACTGAAATTTTTCTGTATCTTTCTTGGCCTTAAGTAATTGAAAAGGTTTGAAATAAATAAGTTTAGAATATCTTAAATGTTACAACTTGATTCTATATTTCTGTACTACATTTTCTGTGTCTAATTTCATTATTTACAGAAAACAGAAGATAGAAAAATGAAGAAAGGATGTAGTAGTCAATGAAGGGACCTTAAAGAACAGTGAAAAAGATAAGTGGGTGAACTTTTCAAAGAAAAAAGGAAGTCCATGGATTTTACTTTTTCAAAGATGTAGCTGAAGATTTTACTTTTTCAAAGATGTACATGGTGTATTGCCAGATGACTTTCAGCGTGAATTGCATCTGAAGATAGAAATCTGGAAGGAGTGAAAGATTAAGTTGAGATCTGTAAGAGAGTGTCAGATAGCAGAAGGTTCTTTTTTGCATTTTAATTTTTATTATGACAATAATATGCATATTAATGGCACAAAACTGTGGAAAATGGAAGCACAAGTAATACTATAAAAATCATTTCTAGTCACATCATAAGTATATTATTTTGGTGATTCTCAAACATCATAAAATATTTTTTAGGCCAGGCGCAGTGGCTCACGCCTGTAATCCCAGCACTTTGAGAGGCTGAGGTGGATGGATCACGAGGTCAGGAGATCGAGACCATCCTGGCTAACACAGTGAAACCCCATCTCTACTAAAAATACAAAAAAAATTAGCCGGGTGTGGTGGCGGGAGCCTGTAGTCCCAGCTACTTGGGAGGCTGAGGCAGGAGAATGACATGAACCTGGGAGGCAGAGTTTGCAGTGAGCCGAGATAGCACCACTGCACTCCAGCCTGGACAACAGAGTGAGACTCCGTCTCTCTCTCTCTCTCTCTCTCTCTCTCTCTCTATATATATATATATGTGTGTGTGTGTGTGTGTGTGTGTGTGTGTGTGTGTGTGTGTATTCATATATATATAAATATATATATAATATATATATAAATATATATATAATATATATATAAATATATATATAATATATATATAAATATATATATAATATATATATAAATATATATATAATATATATATAAATATATATATAATATATATATAAATATATATATAATATATATATAAATATATATATAATATATATATAAATATATATATAATATATATATAAATATATATATATATTCCTCTGCCTTCCTCTGCCTCTCCCTTCTCCACTCTCCCTCTACCTTTTTCTCTCTCTTTTCTTCCTTCTAGCCATTCTAATATAATGTTAAAAATATTTTTCTCCAATTTATATTGTTTTATTTATTTGGGTAGTCTTTGGAAAATAATAACTAGACAAGATATCTTGCATTGCAGTGGACCCTAAGAACTAATAGTATGACAGGGGCATATGGGATGAATTGGAGGGAGCAAGGGACCACAAGTAGGGATATAAATGAAGCCTGGGTAAGTCGCAAACAAGGGGCAAACTTTATCTTGGTTTTTCTTTCCCATGCCTCTGACTGAATTTTATCTTTAATTTCAGGCTTTTAGTATTTTTAAGATGAGTGTAGGTATACCTACAAAAACAGATTCTACACAAAAATTAAAGGAAACAATGATAATGAACACTCAACTAAAAAGCTACATTCTAAATGTGCTAGGTTAGTTCCCAGGGACTGCACAATATTCTTCATTTCTCGATATGTAATTGGAATATACAACTGATTCCATTTATATTGTCACTTTTTTTTTTAACTGGCACCTTCTGTTCTAATGGCCCTTCAATACAACACTTAAAATGAAATATCAAGTCTTCCAACAGAAAATGAATGTGAAAAAATAACAAATTATGGGGAAAATGTACTTTCATTGAATGTCCACAAATACAGTTATGACATTCATTACCTAGACTCTGTTTCTCTAATAAATTCTCTGCTATTAAACTCCATTCAATCTTGTTTCATAAGAGTAAAATGGAAGATAGTATTTGTAAAACGGTTCTTTCTGATGTCCAGATGCGTGTGATTTTTATCAAGCCTAACAAATCATCATAGGCTTGAAGGTATCCATATGTAGAAATTCCACAAACACCCCAAATATATTGTTCTGTAGGGTCAGTTAACCATATCAGGTTCATCCTATACCAATGATTAATTCTGAACTTTAAAGTAGATTTTGTATAGACATCTATAATTATTTGTATAGACCAACCTACTTTTGAATTTTCTTAATTTCTATATTAAAGTATTAACACAGTATTAAAATATTAACACAGGTAACAAAAATGAATAATTCCATTTTGATCAAAAGGCATGAATAGGCAGGAGAATAGGTAATTTGTCAATATCTCTTCTGCCTAGGGAATGGTCATTTGGAAATATGAAGAAATAACCTTTCTCCTGGTTAACTTGTTGAAGAATTATTTCTATGGAATCATTTTTCTTAGACCTTGAAATATTTATTTGCATGTGTAACTTTCACACTTTCATTGTTTAATTTTCCTCCTACGTATTACAGGTAATCAGATACCTCTGATTGAAAAGACACTCTTTCTTCATGGAACCTCCTCTTTCATCACTCAAGTGTCTGATTCTCATAAAATTTGCATTTATTTGAAAAATCTATGGCTCAGAAAAACTTTGACAGCCAATTCTTTAAGTACATCTTATAATTTATTCAGTGGGGTGGAATTGGGACTTAGGGCAAATGCACTTAAAATTTCTATGTAAAATATATTTACTTTTCCACACAGAAAGCTACTTGTTTCCTTTCCATTTTATGTCAAGTGTAAATCTTCCAAGGATATGATATTATTTTATCTGGTTCTTTTTTACAACCCAATTTGCTTCATTACACAGTAAGAAACATGATTCCGATATTCAGAGTAGAAAAAGGGTTCACATTCCTGGTTACCACTACTGAATGTGTGACTTGGGGAGGAAGAAAGAAACACACCAACTCACTTCAAGTTGAATTAATATTTCTTGCCAAGTTGAATTAGTATTTATTTCTTATTGGGAATAAGAAACTCTTCTTTTTACGGAAGTATCACAACAATTATTCCATTAATTTTTGTATCCTGGTGGAAAAGTACCACCTATGAGTAATCTGATAGTCACTGTTAACCAATAATGATGCTCGAAAGTTTGGATTCTCCATTTTTCTTTCTGACATACATACTACCACACTACTCCCTCTATACACACTAGTTTTTACTAAACAAAGCTCATATATATATATATATATATATATATATATATATATATATATATATATACTTTAAGTTTTAGGGTACGTGTGCACAACGTGAAGGTTTGTTACATATGTATACGTGTGCCATGTTGGTGTGCTGCACCCATTAACTCATCATTTAACGTTAGGTATATCTCCTAATGCTATCCCTCTCCCCTCCCCCGCCCCACCCCACAACAGGCCCCGGTGTGTGATGTTCCCCTTCCTGTGTCCATGTGTTCTCAGTATTCAATTCTCACCTATGAGTGAGAACATGCGGTGTTTGGTTTTTTGTCCTTGGTATAGTTTGCTGAGAATGATGGTTTCCAGCTTCATCCATGTCCCTACAAAGGACATGAACTCATCATTTTTTATGGCTGCATACATAGCTCTTTAACAATAGTTTTTTTTCCTGTTTCCTATTTTACATAGTTCCTAACCTTTGTTTCTTTATTGATTTTACCATTTTCCGTTTTAGAAAAAAAATGCAGCTCGCTACCAGGTTGCATTTAATTTTACATAAACACTCTCTTTGAGGTTGAAGCAAACCTGACTGATTTTCAATGTGAAAATAAAATATAAAAACTGTTTTCAGAGTCATTTGTAAACAGGGCTAGCATCAGAATCCTCCAAATCATCAGCCTTATCTATTTCGGAAAAATCAGATTCATCAAATGAATCTTCAGCCAACAGCAACTGTGCGAGAATGATGTTAGCATCGCGTGTAGGAATGCTACGTTTTCTAGGATTTGACATGGTCAGCGATGGAGCATTACTATATTATGTAAATGAAAATACCACTACTAAAAACAGAATACTATAAATAGAATGATATCTTTTGTTTCTAAAGTTAATATACTAGAGCGATGCGAAAATACTAATAGAAGCGAGCTATTTCCTAGCAAAGTTATCTCTGGGTAAACACCACAGCCACAAGTGCTGCCAGTGAGTATTCTCAGGGCAAACAGAAAGAGGATCAATTAAACAAAAAGTACTATGGCCCTACTGTGTGCCATGCAGTGTTGAATGTTTGGGATACAACGATAAATAAGGAGATGAATAAGAAGGTAAATAATAAACAAAATTCAGCCACAAACTATCCCATTTCCACAATTTCTTTCCTTACTGAATTTTGACTGCATCATCTCCAAAAAAAAAAAAAAAAAGGAAAAACAAGAAAAGAAAAATCCACTCTGAAACCAGAATTTTGAATTTTGTCAAACTCTTGACTGGTCCAAATCATTTTCAGCATGGCTATGCAGAGGCCCTGCTTCTGACTCCACTGTAGTCTCCTGAGATTTTACACATCACAATTCCCATGGTAGAACAAAAAAATGAGTGTATTTTCTCACTTTGTCTATTTTATGCCTCATTGCTCCTGGCTTTTGTCCCCCAGAAATTCACTTTCCACCTTTTTAAAAAGTATTCTTCTTCTTCTTCCCCAGGTCAGGAGACACCTCCTCCTGGCATCTTTCATTGAATTCCAGATGGAGACAGGGATTTTTTTCCCCTGTGCTCTCATGGCACTTCTTTATATATCTCTCTTTGCATTAATAACTATATAGACATTGCTCATTGATATTTCTGCCTATCACTCTATACTGAAGCTACTTGAGGGCTGGAATCAGTCCTACATCAGCAGCATTTTTATGCCCCCCATCCTTTAGCTCAGGAGCTGGCAAATTATCACAACTACTAAGCTGTGCTGTTGTAGCATCAAAACAGCCATAGGCAATACGTACACAAATGACCATGGTTATGTTCCAATAAAACTTTATTTACTGTGACAGGCATCAGGCCAGATTTGGCTTGCTGGCCATAGGCTGCCGACCCCTACTCTAGCATGTTGTTAATTACATAGGGTCGAATAAATGTTGTGGAGTGAGTGAAGGAATGACTGAATCTTCCACTTGTTTTTGTTTCTGTGCTTAAATTCTAAATGGATAAAATGCCTACTACTTGTTCCTTCTAGAATAGGCCTGTTATATAACTTCCTTCTCCACTAGACATTGGTGTCTCATCCTGGATTTCCAGAGAAGTATTTGGAGCACTTTCCCTTGTTAACAAGTTTCTTAGTATCTGCTGCCTGTGTAACAGCATTCTTTTCCATATATCCTGCTTTTTTGTTGACTTTCTGACCATTTGTCGTAAAGTCCCTTTATCTTTCTATTGGTAACATCCTGTATTGCCCATGATTTAGCAATAGGGACTCGATATCTTCTGTGTGCCTGGCATTGTGAAGCAGAGGTGAGTCAGACATAGTCTCTTCCTCATGCCCCTAAGGTCATGTGTGTCAAATAGAATTACAATCAGTTGTGAGGAATGAAAAAACATATTCCTTTCACTTAAACAATCAAGGAATTTGTTTTCCTCAAACATCAATAACAGTCTGGAATTGTGCCAGGCTACTGACATTTTTAAGGAGTCTAGTTCTTCCAATATTCTGTTTTACCCTCCTGAGGCAAGGCATTTGTCCTCATGGTCACAAGAGAGCTGCTGAAAATCGAAGCATCATATCCACATTCCAGAAAGGGAGAAAGAGGCTAGAATACTCATTTATTTCTACACAAGCCTCATGTGTGAAATTGGCATCACATAACCATTCCTAATTGAAAGGCAGATTGGGAAAGAGTGGTAGCACCCTTTCAACTTCTATGTTGAAAGACATCAGGAACAAAGGTTTAAATGGATATTGAGTGAATTTACCTGCAGTATGTGTCACATCATGCAGCCTCTAAATATTGTTTTGCGAGGCTGAATGTTTTCTTAGACTTGCAAATGGTTCTGTAATCTCCAGCTTTGAGTAAACAATTTTCAGAATTTTCTTAAACACCATAAAATTTAATGTAAATTCAAACTATTTCATGTGCAAATGATCATTTTGTGTTTCTAGCTCTCCCTTTCTTTAACATCTTCACTGTAAAATCTCTTGACATTGAAACAAATTTCTCCTACTTGATCTAAATATTAGTACATTTTGTGATAAAACTCTACATGGAGGAAAGTATGTTATAATATTTGATATTTGAAGAGCAATTTATATTTTCAGAGTACTTTAAAATCACGTATCCATTAATCTTATTTGAATATTATATTGACCCACTTTTCCTTTCATTATGGATAAAAGGCTTTTAGTAGAGAACTGCAGTAATTGAATGTTATAGTTAAGGAGATGAAACATTTCACATTCACTTTTCTATAATAAAATCTATTGAAAAATAACATGGTTGGGATAAAGCAGAAGAAGCTAAAGGGCAAAGGGAAATTTTATTTTCTTTTAGGATCAGAACACCATCCTTTCTATGATCTGCACAGATATTTTAAAATTTCTGTCTTGAAGATTTTATTTTAGCTCTATACGGATATATACAAATTTAATGTTTAGAAAGGACTCATGAGATGGGGAATAATAAATAAATGCTAAGCAATATCCCTTCACTTTCAAGAAAGGTATCAAAGATGCTTGCAATTTATTATAAAAAATCTCAATGATAATTTATAATAAATCCATTTAACTAGTAAAGTTAAAATTGTATTTCAGAGAAGAGCACGTTTTCAATTTTTTTGTAATAACAAATATAACATTGTGCATTGTTTAATCTGTGTAAACTCCAAAACCTACAAATAACATATGAATATATATGATGCACAGTATCCAAAGGTTCCCCTCTTCCTTAGTAAGATTTTAAAAATTCCCTCCTTTTTTGAATCTCTCCTTCCTTGTTCTATCCAGTTCTTTTTCATTATAGAGTCAGCCTGTGACCTCAAATCAACCTCTTGTCTAAATGAAAAATAATCTCTGAAAATTAGATCTCTGATTGTTCCTTTAGATTGTTGCAATCAACTTTGGTATTAATAAAACAAGCTTCTCAGTAAGATTTAGTGGACTTGAAATTAATCTCCATCATTAGTTGATCTCTTTATAAATTTTGAAATAATTTTACACTTAAAGAAAAGTTTCACAAATACACTTCACTAGCTTCCCCTTATACTGGCATGCTGCAAAATTATAGTATAGAGGCATAACTCATTTAATAGCACTTCACAGATAATGCATTTCTTTTTTACAAATTGAATGCTTATGGCAACCCTATGTCAAGCAAGTCTATCAGTGTCATTTTTCTAACAGCATGTACTCACTTCATATCTGGGTCATATTTTGTTAATACTCAAATATTTCAAACTTTATTATTATAACTGTTATGGTGATCTATGATTAGTGATCTCTGATGGTACTCTAGTAATTGTTTAGAGGTGCCATGAACCGCGACCATATAAGACGAATAACTTAATAGATAAATGTGTTCTGACTGCTCTAATGGCTAGACATTGCCCCACCTCTCTCCCTGTAATCTGGCCACCATATTCCTGGAGACACAACAGTACTGAAATTAGGCCAATTAAAGATTATCCAACAGCCTCTAAGTGTTCAAGTGAAAAGAGAGTCACACATCTCTCGCTTTAAATCAAAAGTTAGAAACGATAAAGCTTAGTGAAGAAGGCATGTCAAAAAATGAGATAGGCCAAAAGCTAGGTTCCTGATGCCAGTTAGCCATGTGTGAATGCAAAGAAAACGTTATTGAAGTATATTAAAAATGCTACTCCAGTGAACACATGAATGACAAGAAAGTGAAATAGTATTATTGCTCATTTGGAAAAAGTTTGAGTGGTCTACAAAGAAGATCAAGCTGATATGGGGCAGGCGAGCCCCAAAGTGGGCCTTAGGCCATGAATGTTCTTGGTTTTACCCAGGAAAGAATTCAAGGACAAGCTGGAGGGAGAAGAATCAGCTTTATTAAAGCAGTATTGTTACAGTTCCTACGGTTACAGCTCCGTGACTGCTCCTGCAGAACAGTGCTAACCCACAGGCAGAGAGTAGAAGCTCAGGGCCGTTTTGCAGTGACATTTATAGCCACTTTTAATAATATGTAGATTAAGGGGCAGTTTATGCAGCAATCTCCATGGAAGGGGTAGTAACTTTTGGGTCATCATGTCATTGCCATGGAAAGGGGCAGTAACCATTGCCATGACAATGGTAAACTGACATGGCACACTGGTGGATGTGTCTTATGGAAAACTGCTTCTGCCCCAGACCTGTTTTAGCTAGTCTTCAGTTTGGTCCAGTATCTGAGCCCCACCTCTGGAGTTGAGTCCCACCTCCCATATAATTCCACTGTTAGAGATTAGATATTCCTCCTCAAACTTAGGGGGGGTCTATTAAAGGGTGGAGGTCTGTCTTCTGTAACTGCTTTCTGCTGAGCTTATGGGCATAGACCCTGCCTAGCACTGGAGAAGTAAAAATCTCTGGATACCTGATATAAAGGGCTCAGAAGCAGGATACATTTATTCTCCAAGTCAGTAGATGGGATGGGTTGGAAGACTTGTACCAGGATTGTCTTTACCTGGAACTACTGTAGCCTAAAAGACACAGATTTTACTAAGAGGTTAAACAAGCAAGGGGCCCAAATTTAGTAACAACAAAATAGCTATCAAAAGGTCCTAGGAGAGGAAAAAACTAGGTGAGACATGGGAAGACTTTTTTTTTATAGTTGACCAGATATAGGTGGGGTTAGTGCCATGGTTATATCTATGCAATGAGGTAGCTTACTTGCAAATCCTTTGATTGTTAAGCTTAACTTGTCAAAGTTGTGAATATGTGTCCAGCAAGTTTTATTAATGACTGCACAGACTCCCCTTTATTCCATGTTCTGGTTTGGCTGTGTCCCCACCCAAATCTTGTCTTGACTTTCCACATGTCGTAGGAGGGACCCGGTGGGTGGTAATTGGATCATGAGGGCAACTCTTTCCAGTGCTGTTCTTGTGATAGTGAATAAGTCTCATGAGACCTGATGGTTTTATAAAAAGGGGAGCTTCCCTGCATAAACTCTCTTCTCTTGTCTGATGCCATGACAGATGTGCCTTTCACCTTCCACCATGATTGTGCAGCCTCCCCATCAGGGGAACTGTAAGTTTAATGGAACTGTAAGTCCATTAAACTTCTTTCTTATATAAATTGTGCATTCTTGGGTATGTCTTAATTAGCAGCATGAAAATGAACTAATGCAGTAAATTCATTACTGCATTACTGCATTACATTAGAGTGGGGCACTGCTGAAAAGATACCTGCAAATATGAAAGCAACTTTGGAACTGGGTAACAGGCAGAAATTGGAACAGTTTGGAGGATTCAGAGGAGGGCAGGAAACTGCGGGAAAAGTTGGAGCTCCCTAGAGACTTATTGAATCACTTTGACCAAAATGCTGTTAATGATATGGACAATGAAATCCAGGCTGGGGTGGTCTCAGATGGAAATGAGAAATTTGTTGGGACCTGGAGCAAAGGTAGCTCTTGTTATGCTTTAGCAAAGAGACTGGCAGCATTCTGTTCCTGCCCTAGAGATTTGTGGCACTTTGAATTTGAGAGAGATGATTTGGTGTATCTGGCAGAAGATATTTCTAAGCAGCAAAGCATTTAAGAGATGACTTTGGTGCTGTTAAAGGCATTCTGTTTTATAAAAGAAGCAGAGCATAAAAGTTCAGAAAATTTGTAGCCTGACAATGTGATAGAGAAGAAAATCCCATTTTCTGAGAAGAAATTTAAGCTGGCTGCAGAAATTTCCATCAGCAATGAGATGCTGAATGTTAATCCCCAAAACAGTGGGGAAAATGTCTGCAGGACATGTCAGAGGTCTCCATGGCAGGCCCTCCCATAACAGGCCCAGAGGCCTAGGAGGAAACAATGGTTTAATGGGCCAGGCCACGGGTCCCCATGCTGTGTGCAGCCTAGGGACTTTGTATCCTGTGTCCCAGCTGCTCCAGCCATGGCTGAAAGGGGCCAAAATAGAGCTTGGTCCATGGCTTCAGAAGGTGGAAGTTCCAAGCCTTGGCAGCTTCTACATGGTGTTGAGCCTGTGGATACCCAGAAGTCAAGAATTGAAGTTTGGGAACCTCCACCTAGATTTCAGAAGATGTATGAAAGTGCCTGGATGCCTAGGCAGAACTTTGCTGTATGGGTGCGGCTCTCATGGAGAACCTCTGCTAGGGCAGTGCAGAAGGGAAATATGGGGTCAAAGCCCCACACACAGGCTCTACTGACCACCTCCTGGGGGAGCTGTGAGAAGAGGGCCACCATCCTCCAGACCCTAGAATGGTAGATTCATTGACAGCTTGCACCTGGAAAAGCCACAGACACTCATTGCCAGCCCATGAAAGCAGCCAGGAGGAAGGCTATGCCCTGAAAAGCCACAGGTGGGAGTTGCCAAGACCATGGGAACCCACCTCTTGCATCAGTGCGACCTGGATGTGAGATATGGAGTGAAAGGAGATCATTTTGGAGCTTTAAGATTTTACTGACCTGCTGGATTTTGGACTGGCATGGGGTCTGTAGTCCCTTTGTTTTGGCCAATGTCTCCCATTTGGAATGGCTGTATTTACCCAATGCCTGTACCACCATTGTATCTAGGAAGTAATTAACTTGTTTTTGATTTTGTAGGCTCATTGCCTTGCCTCAGATGAGACTCTGGACTGTGTACTTTTGAGTTAATGCCAAAATGAGTTAAGATTGTGGGGGATTTTTGGGAAAGCATGATTTGTTTTGAAATGTGAGGACATAAAATTTGGCAGAGGTCAGGGGTGGAATGATATGGTTTGGCTGTATCTTCACCCAAATCTCATCTTCAATTCCCATGTGTTATGGAAGGGACCCAGGGGGAGGTAATTGAATCATGGGGGCAGGGCTTTCCAGTGCTATTCTTGTGATAGTAACTAAGTCTCATGAGATCTGATGGTTTTATAAGGAGAAGTTTTTCTGCACAATCTCTCTCTTTTTGCCTGCTGCCATACATGTAAAACGTGACTTGCTCCTCCTTGCCTTCCACCATGATTGTGAGGCTTCCCCAGCCAGGTGGAACTGAAAATCCATTGAACCTCTTTCTTTTGTAAATTGCCCAGTCGCAGGTATGTCTTTATCAGGAGTGTGAAAATGGACTAATACACTTGCTGTGGTCTCCATATATCATAAGGATCTCTATAGGTGATTTCAGTTAGCCTAAATTTATCAAATGCCTAGCGTCCTTTCCCTTTTAGTTTCCCACTTTCTATAGATATCAAAGTATTATAAAATATAAAAGCAGGTTACACATTTCAAGTGGGCAGTTGGATGTTGAGGCCAAATTCTAAAGAAAGTAAGGGTTGGGCAGAAAGGGAGGAAACAGCATTGCCCAAGGGGAGACCTCAGAAGCCCTAACTTGCTAGGGAGCACACCTAGTGGCAGAGAAAAAGACATTTGGGTGGCTACTTGTCTACTGCTGCAGGTGGCTGTTCATCAGGCCAAGAGCCTGGAAACTTCCAGTCTTTGACCAAGCAGGTCTTGAGCAAGGCAGTTATAAGACAGCACACAAAAAAGGACTAGGAAAATACTTCCAATAGGGCAGAAGAAGGCAAGACCAATATTCCCCTAGGTGAAGGGGTATAACCCAAATCCGAGAGGAAATGTCAACACCAAATACTCCAGAGCATCTGGGGGACTGCCAAAATACCAATGCTGAAAATTCAGAGTGGCTGAGTTTCATCCAAAGAAGATCTCCTCGTCAATGCTGAAAACCCTGGAGGACGCAGGGAGTGGGAGTGGCCAACAGTGAACCAAAGACCAAGTAGAGGTCACAGAACGACATTACTCTGGCATTCCAGAGTCAACACAATGTGGTACCTCTCACAACCAATGGTCTTGCCTCAAAAAATTGCTCACACACAACAAAACGTTAAAAGCAAATATAAGAATGCACACATTTTAGGACTGAAGATAATATGACATCAGAAGGTGAAGGAGTGACAAAGATGTGCTTTGGGGCAAACAATGAAACTGATCACCTAGCCAAAGGCTTTTATTTTACTTCCTAGTTCTCCCTGTACTATAGGGTGTGGGCAGAAGGGACACTCACCCAACCACCAGACCAGGCATAATGCTGACTGATCTTCCACATGGGACCCAAGTGAATATCTCTCCAGAATCCCTCAGCTCAGGTAGGCTTGCCTGCCATGGTAGGAGGAGCCTGCATGGAGCTGGTAACCCACCAGGCTGCTGGTCGGAGTGGGGGGTATCAGGCTTGCCTGTCTTATCAGCTCTACTGCCTACTAGGAAAAATGATGGCTCTTAAAAGAGCCTTAGGTTAGTGTTAGAGCTCAATGTTACAGCTCTGCTTGGCTGACTCTCCACTCATCGTCCTGCCTACTGCTGTTGTGTGGATTGCAGTCCTGTTGAATGATATTCCACCAATCCTCATCCCACTGACTGCCATCATGCCAATCACTATCCAGCTGATCCCCAGTTGCCACTAGCCACTTGTTGACTGCTGCCTCACAGACTTCCACTCACCATCTGCCCCTTTGACACTAGCCTCTCTCTGACTGCCACTTGCTGATCGCCAATTGCCACCTCATCATTGCCTTGCCATCTCTCATGATGCTATCTTCTTTCTTCACCTCACACCCAGTAAGGTGCTATAGAGACATACCTGAAACTCGGTAATTTTAATACGCTCAAGGTTCTGCAGGCTGTTTAGATTCTGCTTCTAGGGAGGCCTCAGGAAACTTGCAATCATGGCAGAAGGTGAAGGGGAAGCAGGCACAGTCATCACATGGCTGGCGGGACAGAGAGCAAGTGAAGGGAGAGGAGCTACACAGTTCAAACAACCAGATGTTGTGAGAACTCCCTCACTATCATGAGACCAGCAAGGAGGAAATCCACCCCTATGATCAAATCACCTCCCACCAGGCCCTTCCCACAACATTGGAGATTACAATTCAACATAAGAATTGGGTGGGGACACAGAGCCAAACCATATCAGGTGCCAAGCTGATGCAAGGCAGGGGAATCCCAAGGTGGGGCTTAGCCCCTGAAAGTTCTTGGCTTTACCCAGGAAAGAATCCAAGGACAAGCTAGTGGTATTAACAGAAAAAAATCAACTTTATTAAAGCCGCAGTGTTACAGCTCTGGTGGTGTTACAGGTCTGTGAGTGCTCCTGCAGAGCAGGGTTACCCTGTAGGCAGATAGTAGCAACTCAGGGCAATTTTGCAGTCACACTTATACTCGCTTTTAATAATACACAGATTAAGGGGTGGTTTATGCAGAAATTTCCACAGAAGGGGCAGTAACTTTCGGACCACTGAGTTATTGCCGTGGAAAGGGGAGATAACTCCTGGGTGTTGCCACGACAATGGTAAACTGACATGGCACACTGGTGGGCATATCTTATGGAAAATTTCTTCTGCCTCGACCTGTTTTAGCTGGTCCTCAATTTGGTCTGGTGTCCAAGCCTCACCTCTGGAGTCGAGTCCCGCCTTCTACCTCAAAACCAGCCACAGCATTCCCTTAAGACAAAGCCTAATCTAGAGCAAAGCCCTAACTCTCTTCAGTTTTATACAGGCTGACAGAGGAAAGGAAGCTGCAGAAGAAAATTTTGAAGCTAGCAGGGTTGGTTCATGAGATTTAATGAAAGAAACCATCTCTGTAACACTAAAGTGCAAAGTGAAGCAGCAAGTGCTGATGTACAAGCTGCAGCAAGTTAGCCAGAATATCTAGCTAAGATCATTGAGGAAGGTTGGCCACAGGAAAGAACGACTTTTAATGTGGATGAAACAGCCTTATATTGGAAAAAGATGCCATTTAGAACTTTCATAGCTAGAGAGGAGAAGTCAATGCCTGGCTTCAAAGATTCAAAGGACAGGCTGACTCTTTTGTTAGGGGCTACGGCAGCTTGTCAGTATAAGTTGAAGCCAATGCACATTGACAATTTCAAAAACCTCAGGACCCATAAAATTATGCTAAATTGACTCTGCCTGTGTTCTATAAATATGATAACAAAACCTGGAGGACAGCACATCTGTTTACAGCATGTTTTACTATTTTAAGTCTATTGTTGAGAACTACTGCTCAGAAGAAAAGATTCCTTTCAAAACATTACTGCTCATTGACAATGTCCCTGGTCACACAAGAGTTCTGATGGCAATATACAAGGAGATTAATGTTGATTTCATGTCTGCTAACACAACATTTATTCTGCAGCTCATGGATCAAGAACTAATTTTGACTTTCAGATCTTATTTAAAAAATACATTTTGTAAGGTCATAGGCGCCATAATAGTTGTTTCTCTGATATATTGGTCAAAGTTAATTGAAAACCTTCTTGGAAGCATTCACCATTCTAAATTCTATTAAGAACATTGATGATTTATGGGAGGAAGTTGAAATAACATTAGCCAGAGTTTGGAAGACGATGATTTCAACCCTCATGGATGACTTTGAGGGGTTCAAGACTTCAGGTTAAGAAGTAACTGCAGCTGTGGTGGAAATAGAACTAAAATTTGTGGGACCTGAATATGTGTCTGAGTTTCTGCAGTCTTATAATGAAATATTAATGGATAAGGAGTTGCTTCCTGTGTATGAGCAAAGTGGTTTCTTGAGATGGAATCTACTCCTCATGAAGATCATTGAAATAACAACAGGCCGGGCACAGTGGCTCACGCCTGTAATCCCAGCACTTTGGGAGGCTGAGGCGAGTGGATCATGAGGTCAGGAGATTGAGACCATCCTGGCTAACACAGTGAAACCCCATCTCTACTAAAAATACAAAAATATTAGCCAGGCATGGTGGCAGGCGCCTGTAGTCCCAGCTACTCAGGAGGCTGAGGCAGGAGAATGGCATGAACCCAGGAGGCAGATCTTGCAGTGAGCCAAGATTGTGCCATTGCACTCTAGCCTGGGCAACAGAGTGAAACTCCGTCTAAAAAAAAAAAAAGAAAAGAAAAAAAAAGAAAAAAATTTAGAATATTGTATAAACTTAGTTGATAAAGCAGTAGCAGAGTTTGAGAGGATTGACTCCAATTTTGAAAGAAGTTCTACCGTGGGTAAAATGTTATCAAACAATCACTTGCTACAGATAAATCTTTTGTGAAAGGAAGAGTAAGTTGATTTGGCAAAGTTCTTTGTTGGCTTATTTTTTTTAAATTGTCACAGCCATCTCAACCCTCAATAACCACACTCTGATCAGTCAGCAGCTATCAATGTTGAGGCAAGACCCTCCAACAGCAGAAAGATAAAAACTGGCTGAGTGCTCAGATGATTGTTGGCAATTTTTGGCAATAAAACTTTTTAAAATTACAGTACAATTTTTTTAAATATAATGCTTTGTGCACTTAGTAGACTACATTGTAGTGTAAACATAATTTTATATGCACTGGGTAACCAAAAAATTTGTGAGACTTGCTTTATTGAGACATTTGCTTTATTGCAGTGGTCTAGAAAGCAACCTGCCACATCTTGGAGATATGCTGGTAATTAGCAAAACTAAAGAATTAACTTTCATAGATTCCATTATCTAAACTAAAGGCCTTTTTTGTTATTCCAGGATCATGCATTCCATGAGCTCACATTATATCTTTTAGTTGCATTTCTTATCCTCCTCCAATCTGTGACAGTTTCTCAGTCCTTCCTGCTTTTTTTGGAGACAGAGTCTTGCTCCCTCATCCAGGCTGGAATGCAGTGGTGTGATCGATCACAGCTCACTCCAGCCTCCACCACCTGGGCTCAAGCCATCCTGCCTCAGCCTTCCAGGTGCCACCACACCTGTCTAATTTTTTAATTTTTTGTAGAGACAGGATCTCACCATGTGCCCAGGCTGGTCTCAGACTCCTGGCCTCCCAAAGTGCTGAGATTAGCGGCATGAGCTACTATGCCCAGCCCTATTTCTCTTTAATGGCCTTGGCACTTTTGATGAGTACTCATCAGTTCTTTGTAGACTATCTTTTCATTTGATTTTATGTAATATTTTCTTGTTATTAGATTAAGGTTATATATTCTTTGGCCAGGATTACCACATACGTTATATACCTTTCATAATGCATGTTATCAGCAGGTACTTTATATTAATATGTCTTAGCACTGGCAATATTAACATTGATCACTTGGTTTAGTTGGTATCTGCCAGATACTCCACTGTAAAGTTACTGTATCCTTCTTTGTCTTTAATAAATGTTCTGGGAGACATACTTAAGACCATGCAAAAACCCGACTTTATTCTTACCCATTAGTTTTAGCATCCATCAGTGAGCCTTAGCTACAAGTGTGAGCATAGTGTTCTAATGATATTTTCTATTGTCTTCATTTCTTCTACATTTACTAACTGGAATTCTTTGGAAGGAAGAGCTAGCATTTTTCCTTTATTTACTTATTTATTTAAGACTTTAAATTATTGTGCATTCATGTATATCTATTTTATTCTGTGGTTTATATTCTACTACTGTTATTATATTGTTAGTGATGTTTTTTCAACTTTGGCTATTGGGAACCCTTTCATGTTGATTCTTGTGCTTTTTGGAATGCTCCTATACATTTTTGTGTACTTTCTTTTTGTTATCACAAGATACTCCAGGATATCTTGTATTTCCCCATCCTAGCTTTGAAACCAACCAGTTCTCTAAAGATCTTGTTTATTTTTGTTGTGGAATAATATTTTTTTAATCAACGTATGTGTTCTGGGTGTGCCCATTGCTACTAGGATATCCTTGCTTCTAGAACATTTCAGGGAATAGAGCTTGGAAATACATGTATGTATACTAAACCCATGCACACAGACATCTCTATATTTCTAAATCTATCTTCCTGTATATATATTTTAAAGCCACAAATTCACATTAATACCTTGATTAATTGCAACATTACAAGATTTATTTCAGCTGTCCTCCTTTCCTTATTTGCCATTTTTTTCTAACAATGTGAAGCCTGACTCTCATGATAAGATACATTTACTTATTTGTTCAACTCTAGCATATTCTTAACAGAGTTTCAGAATTCTAATCCTTACCCCAGTGAGAAAAAAAATCTGTAAAACCTGAAACCACTTCTAATACAATATTTTATCAGGTAAGTGCAGTTAGTTTACTTTTGGTATTATGCTTTAAAATCATCAAAAGTAATCATTAAATATGTAGGGAAATAAACTTTTTTTTTTTGCTATTTTAAAATAATATGCTCTATTTTAAAGGAAAAAAATTTAATGTAAAGCTAATTGTATTCTTATATGTTACACATTTTGACATGAGTACAATCCCTTTCCTATAGATTTTTCAGCCGAGAGACAAAAATAGCCTCGAGTATGTCATAACATGATTCTTTTCCACATTCTAACTTAGCTATTAAGGTAGAGTGGAAATGCCCTTGATGAATTTCAGTGAACTTTCATGCTCACTCCATGGGAAAATCTGAACAAATGAGCATACCTTTAGAGTCTCGAGCACAATGGAGTATAAATGTACAAATCATTGCCATTATTATAATTGCACTACTATGCCATATTGAATAATGTTGGTGAATTAGCATTACATTATAAGGGCTAACTTACTGTATAAATAATCTATTACATTTTTACAGAATAAATGAAAGTGGAAATAATGGGCAACATTAAATTAAAAATGCAGTGCATGCATTCATTTAAGTATTATATACTAATATTCAGATAGATGCTGACATGTTTTATTGATTTTTGCTCATTTTGTTCATAAAAGATCAATTTTATATGAACTGTTTAAAAAGAAGCTTTCCTTTTTCTAGGCAAGACATAGATGAGAGAAACTTTCACATTCTGATGTCTATATAAGCATATTTATTTTAACTTCTAATAATATACTGGCTTAAAAATCTAGTTTTCAACCATATTTCTATTTGATTAAAATAGAAGTTCTCTCACAGACAAGAGTTTATAATAAGAAAACAGATCGTAGAGGGAGAAAAGCACAGCTTCCCCTACATATGTAAGATGAGATGGCAGAAATTAATGACCAAATACGTAGAAAAAATATTTTGTCTGACAACATTTTGTTCTGTTGTTTTTGTGTCCCAATGTGTCTTAGGCACCATTGCCCATTTTTTCTCTTAAACTGATACAATAGAAGATAAATCGCCAGTCATTAAACTCTGAGACAAAAATCTTGAAAGTCTCAAACACTGGAAAGAAAATGTTAATAAATTCAACCCATCAGTTAAATTTTAAATTTTAATTCCAATCGCGTGGAGAAATACATAAATTGTTACTTCTCTAAACAAAAATAAAAGTGATAAGATATAATATTAATCTAGTACATTTTGGTTATTTAAAATCCTTGAGGAAACTTAATCAGAAATGCCAATTAAAACATATTAATTTTTATATTTTTGAATTGAAATTATCCTAAAATATTCTTATCTAAATATCTTACATTCTCAAAATAGAATGTAAAAATAATCTCAATATTAACCATCCTAATTTATTTACAATTTTTTATTAAATGTCTACTCTGTAGCAGACACTTTTCTGGAGAGGAGGAGGGTTGCTGGGAAGTTTCTTCAGCTGAGTAAGGAATCCAGATACATTCCTGTAAGGCAGTTTAGCAACCACAGTCTATCAAGAAGCTTGTACATTTAGAAGGAATGTCTTTGCATTCAGGCAGGTAGTAAATTGCTAATCCAGCAAAGGCCATCAAATGAGAGACTACTGGCTTAAGCAAACAATGCCAGAGGGGTTGGTAGGGCAAAACCCAGAAAAACACCACCTATCCCAAAAGTACACTGAAGTCCTGGAAGCGAAGTGTCTGTGACAGAGGGATGCTCAAATGACCAAAACCTTAAGAAGGATCACAGGTAGGTTTAGAGGAGGGCTGGAGGAGAGAAAGGAGTACATCTGAGGATGAAGACAAACATGAGACAGTAATAAGAAAGAGGAAGTTTTGCTGGGTTTAGAATCTGAGAAAAGATGAATGTTTTCAAGGAGACAATATTGATTTCACAGACTTTTTATGTATTTGTTCTTTCCTGAAAAATAATTTTAAAATAATATTTGTTGCTAATACTTATGTAGTGCTTACTCTGTACCAGACACTAAGAACTTTAGAATCACACGCACAGCAATCCCATGGAAAATTAATAATATTAACCCTAATTTAAGGAGGGAATGCATGGACATACACGAAAGGCTGGAGTAACTTGCAGAAGCCACATGATTAGTAAGTCTTACTAGGATTTCATCTCATGGTATCTGGCTCTAATCTTTTCTCTTGTCTACTGTGATATATTATCTTTCAAATATTTGGCTTTAACTTACGTTATTTCCACCATCAAAAGTGCAGAAAAGTTGAGTTGTGCTATTCTGGACATTATAAAGGATTTATTCAATGGCTATAAACTTTATTAGAAAAAAATTCCCCAAGAAACTATTTTCATGAGATAAGAGTGGATACATATTAATTACCATATCTTCCTTAGTTCCCTTCTTCTTTCCTACCTTCCTCCATTCTTCATTTCTTCTTTCCTTGCTTTATTTCTTTTTTTTTCAGATTAGTGTTCCTTTTGCTTTTAGCTGTCTTTGCAATAACCTGAACAAATATTAATGTGGGAAAATAAAAATATGTCAATGATATATTCATTCTTTAAACTTATTAAGCTGGATGCTTCCCAAAAAGGATCTATATGTGTATGAGAAACAGATTTAAAATCCAGGATGGCTTACCAATAAACTCTTAAACCCCCCCAAAATATCTAAAAACTGCTTCAGTTAGTCTGAAATATGAAACCTGAAGTGTTTGTTGAGCTCTGGTTGGAGCCCCTATTGGTGGTTCTCTCCATAACAGTGGCCATAATTCCTACTTCTGAGTCATCTGCATTTTGCTGTTCTGTGTGTGCGTGTGCACATGTGTGTGTGACTGTGTGTGTAATAGCATTTAAAATAGATGGATTAAATTTCTTTCAAAGATTAGCATACGCAATGTGACTATTCAAATAGCGAGTCAGTTTGGAGTCTATAATCTTTGAATCATTGAGTTCCTGAGTTTTAATTAAAAGACCAAGAAAATACTTTCTTCTTAGTTCATTCATTTTTATTTGCAGCCAATCTCATGCCTAACTCTTTGTCAATATATTTTACTAATGATCCAGGCAATTCCATACAAAGAATTATGACATAATTTTATATAAAAACTAACTCTTAAAATAAAATTTCTTCTCTTTGCCTATTGCAGATGAAATATTACCAACAATCTTTCCTACCTTATTGATTCTTCCTTGCTTAGGTACAGCAAAGACATGGGTAAAAAAGACCTTCTAACAGGGCTGAGACATTTGATCCACTTCAGCTGTGCTCTGCCTCGCCTCATGATTTAAAAAATCAATGGTATATCAGCTTAGTAGCCACTGATCCGTGAGGTAATTGCACCTTCTAATGTCTTCAGCACAAAGCTTCTGAAATGGACAAAGCCAATGACTAGAGGGTAAAAAACATGTTTTGTTTGTCTTTTTTTCAATTTTGTGACCAAATTAAGAAATAATCATCTCTGTTTGCATTTCTGAAGGAAAAATAATATTTGCCTTGGAGGTGTAAAGCCACTATTAAAAATTTTTATTATACTGAGATTATTATTCTTTTTAAAAAACTGGCTTTATTGTCCTACATATTATAGTTACCTGTAAAACTTGTGTGTAGGCTTCTGACCTAATTCATTAAAAAAGTACTCTGGATTTCATTATGGAGAACTGAGCACTTCATTTGTTTGTTAAATATGGTGGGAAATTATCCCCACTGCTTTTGTTATGCTGCTTAGAGACATCTTAACTAACTAGATAGGAATTCTTCTTTAGGAAAGAGATGTGGGCTTAAGTAAATATTAAACAAATTGAATATTAACACACAGGGAGAAAGTAAGATTGATGATCTGACAAAACATTAATTAAAAGAAGGAACATTGCCAAGATTTTCTTGTATAATTCAATTCCACATAATTCAAAAGCAAAATTAATTTACTGTTCCTTATTTGACAACAAAGAGTGAGTTTCGTACTGATTTTTTTTTAATGTGTGCACACATGACATGGTAAAACTCTGTAATCGGAAACATGGTTGTTTAACCTCAGAGGTTTGCATTTAAATTCCAGAATTCCATAGAGACAGAACATTTGTTTGAAATGAAATGAGCTTATACTTATTTCTGCAGGTTCCTAGGCATATACAAACATCAAATACCAATTTCTGTATTAATTAAAGGAAATAACCCTAACATATTTGGCAATTTTTACTTTGAGCAGTTGCCAGTTTGCACAGCCCAACATATGCTGAATTTTTTATATAAAGTGATTTATTACAAAATTTACCAATGATGGCTGACACTATTTTTTAAAGTTTATTTGCCCAAGTATTAACAGTTTGAAAGATTAAATATCATTATGTATTATAATGCTGAGTATACTTACTAATTTAATACTGAGAAGACTTGAAAATTATTTCACATCACTGTCATTTCAAAACGTTATTTCCGCAATAGAGATGTAGATGATGATTCTGTTAACTTCCTGTCTTTATCTCTTTCAGTTATGGTTAAAAGGAATGAATCTTTTTGGATTTCCAATCTTGATACTCAACTAAAATGTAAATAAATATGGCTTAGTAGGCTGGACGCGGTGGCTCACACCTGTAATCCCAGCACTTTGGGAGGCCGAGGCAGGTGGATCACGAGGTCAGGAGATCGAGACCATCCTGGCCAACATGGTGAAACCCTGTTTCTACTAAAATACAAAAAATTAGCCAGGCACGGTGGCACACACCTGTAGTTCCAGCTACTCGGGAGGTTGAGGCAGGGGAATTGCTTGAACCTGGGAGGTAGAGGTTGCAGTGAGCTGAGATTGTACCACTGCACTCTAGCCTGGCAACAGAGCAAGACTCCATTTCAAATATATATGTGTATATATATATATATATTTTATATAAGTATAAATAAATAAGTAAATATATATAAATAAATATATATATTTATATAAATATATATATTTATTTATATATAAATAAATATATATATTTATTTATATATAAATAAATATATTTATATATTTATTTATATATAAATAAATATATTTATATATTATACATAAATATATAATATATATAAATGGCTTAGTATATTGATCTGTTAAAATTTCCTATGACTCCATTTGAATTGCATAACTTAACTGAAATTTAATTTACTCATCTATAACAAAGGAACATTTTATCTCATTCATAATGTATATAGTTTTCTTACTCTTTCTTTTCACATTGAGAGTCATTTAAGCCCCACTTGTAACAGCCATATAATACATATAATAGAACATGATGAAGCTCTTAGACAGTGAGGCATAGCTGCATATCCTCTTCAAGAACACGACCAAGATATATTTAGTGGAGCAGATGAAGTGCTACATAGTGTGTGTGGTAGAACAACATATGTCAGTGCTGTTGAATATGGTAGCCACTAGCCCCGTGTGGCTTCTCAGCATGTGCCATGTGGCTAGTTCAAATTGAGATGTGCTCTAAGTATAAAATATACCAAATTTGATGACAATATTCAAAACATCAAACACCTCATTGATGATGCCTTATGATAATTTCTTGTGGAAAATGTAATATTTGGGATAATTGGATATAAAATACATTGTTAATTTTTTAAATGTTATTTCCAAACAGTCTTCTTTTCTGTTAAAGACTTCAAGCAATAATTTTTTAAAATATTTAATTCTTCTGTTTGATAAATTTTTATTCCAAATTCATGGCTAAATGTATAGCACTTAAGTGATGCCAAAGCAAACACTCCTCAGACTTCTAAATATCTAGAAACAGACCTTTCTGCAACAATTTTCTAAGATACTGGTTAAATAGCACTGATGTAGCTGAGAAGATGTAACATCATGGCAAACTTCTGAACTTTAAATTTCCCACCCTATCAACCAGAAAAAGCTCAGGACCGGATGGATTCACAGTTGAATTCTGCCAGATATATAAAAAAGAGTTGGTACCATTCTTACTGAAACTATTTCAAAAAATTGAGGAGGAGGGACTCCTCCCAAACTCATTATATTAGGCCAGTGTCACCCTGATACCAAAACCTGGCAGAGATACAGCAAATAAAAGCGAAATTTTCAAGACAATATCCTTGATGAACATAGGTGTAAAAATTCTTAACGAAATACTGGCAAACCAAATCCAGCAGCATATCAAAAAGCGAATCCACCACAATCAGTTAGGCTTTATCCCTGGAATGCAAGATTTGTTCAAATTACACAAATCATTAAATGTGATTTACCATATAAAACTAAAAACAAAAACCACATGATCATCTCAATAGATGCAGAAAAGGCTTTTGGTAATATTAAACATTACTTCATGTTAAAAAACCCTCAACAAACTAGGCATTGAAGGAAAATACTTAAAAATAATGAGTCATCTATGACAAACCAACAGCCAAAATCATCCTGAATAAGTAGAAACCAGAAGCATTCCCCTTGAGAACCAGAGTAAGACAGGGATGCCCACTCTCACCACTCCTATTCAACATAGTACTGGAAGTTATAGCCAGAGCAATCAGGCAAGAGAAGAAATAAAAGGCACGCAAATAGGAATAGAGGAAGTCAAATTATCTCTGTTTGCAGATGATACCATTCTGTATCTAGAAAACCCCATAGTCTCTGCCCAAAAGCTCCGAGATCTGATCAACAACTTCAGCAAAGTTTCAGAATACAAAATTAGTGTATATAAATCAGTAGCATTTCTATACACCAATAATGTTTAAGCTAAGAGTCAAAGCAAGAATGCAATACAATTCACAATCACCAAAAAGGAATAAAATACCTAGGCATACAGGTAGCCAGGGAGGTAAACAATGTCTACAATGAGAATTACAAAACACTGCTTAAAGAAATTAGATATGACACAAACAAATGGAAAAACATTCTATGCTTATGGATAAGAAGATCCAATAATTTTAAAATGACCATGTTCCCCAAAGCAATTTGCACATTCCATGATGTTTCTATCAAACCACTAATGACATTTTTCACAAAATTAGATAAAAACAAAACTATTTTAATATTGATATGCACCTTGAAATAGATTGAATAACCAAGAGAATTCTAAGCAAAAAGAACAAAGCTGGAGGCATCATGTTACCTAACTGCAAAGTACACTACAAGGCTACAGGAACCAAAACAGCGTGGTACTGGTACAAAAACAGACACATATATCAATGGAACAGAATAGAGAGCCCAGAAATAAAGCTGTACATTTATAACCACCTGATCGTTGACAAAGTCAACAGAATCAAGCAAAGAGTAAAGGATTCCCTATCTAATAAATGGTGCTGGGATGACTGACTGGCCATATGCAGAAGATAAAAGCTGGACCCCTTCCTTATACCATATACAAAAATCTACTCAAGATGCGTTCAAGACTTACATGTAAAACCTAAATCTATAAAAACTCTGGTAGATAACTTAGGAAATAACATTCTGGACATGAGCCCTGGCAAAGATTTTATGACAAAGACACTAAAAGAAATTGCAACAGAAACAAAAAATGAGAAATGTGATCTAATTAAATTAAAGAGCTTCTTCACAGCTCACAAACACAAAAATCAAGAACAACAACAATAAAAAAAACCTATCAGTAGAGCAAACAGGCCATCTACAATATGGGAGAAAATATTTGCAAACTATGTCTCTGACAAAGGTCTAATAGCCAGAATCTATAAGGAACTCAAAAGATGTAAAACAGAATTACCATTCAACCCAGCTATTCCATTATTGAGTATATACCCAAAGGTGTATAAATCATTCTACCATAAAGACATATGCGTGTGTATGTTTATTACAGCACTCTTTACAATAGCAAAGACATAGAATCAACCTAAATGCCCATTAATAGTGGACTGAATAAAGAAAATGTGATACATATACACATTGGAGTACTATTCAGCCATAAAAAAAGAAAGATATCATGTCCTTTGCAGCAACACCAACAGAGATAGAGGCTGTCATGCTTAGCAAACTAATGCTGAAACAGAAAACCAAATACTGCAGGTTCTCACATATAAGTGAGAGTGAAACATTGAATCCACATGGACGCAAAGAAGGGAACAACAGACACTGAGGCCTACTTGAAGGTGAAGGATAGAAGAAGGGAGAGAATTGAAAAACCACCTATCACTGGAATAATAATGGAAATATGTAAGGAGCTCAGATAACTGTATAGGAAAAAATCTAATAATTCAACCAAAAAATGGACAAAAGATTTAAATAGATTCAAAAGAACACATACAAATAGAAAAAAGACATATGAAAAGGTGCTCAACATCAGAAATGCAAATCAAAACTGCAATGGGATATCATCTCACTCCAGTTATAATGGCTTATATCTAAAAGATAGATAATAGGCCGGGCGCGGTGGCTCACGCCTGTAATCCCAGCACTTTGGGAGGCTGAGGTGGGTGGATCACGAGGTCAGGAGTTTGAGACCATTCTGGCCAACATGGTGAAACCCCATCTCTACTAAAAATACAAAAAAATAGCCGGGTGTGGTTGTGTGCACCTGTAATCTCACCTACTGGGGAGGCTGAGGCAGGAGAATCACATGAACCTGGGAGGCAGAAGTTGCAGTGAGCTGAGATTGCACCACTGCACTCCAGCCCAGGCAACAGTGCGAGTCTCCATCTCAAAAAACAAAAGATAATAACAAATGGAGAGAATGTGGAGAAAAGGGAATCCTTGTACACTGTTGGTGGGAATGTAAATTAGTACAGCCATGATAGAAAACAGTTTGGAGGTGCCTCAAAAAACTAAAAATAGAAAACCATATAATTCAGCAATCCCACTGCTGGACATTTACCCAAAAGAAAGAAAATCAGTATATTGAAGTGATATCTGCACTCCCATGTTTGCTGCAGTGCTGTTTACCATAGCTAAGATTTGAAAGCACCTAAGTGTCCATCAACAGATAAGTGGATAAAAAGAAATGTGGTAATTATATACAGTGGAGTACTAATCTAGCCATAAAAAAGAATAAAACCCTATTACTTACAACAACGTGGATGGAACTAGACATCATTATGTTAAGTGAAATAAGCCAGGCACAGAAAGAGGAACATCATATGTTCTCACTTATTTGTGGGCTTTAAAAATCAAAGCGATTGAACTCATGGAGATAAAGTGTAGAAGGATGGTTACCAGAGTCTGGAAAGTTTAGTGAGGGGCTGGGATAATTATTGGGTACACAAAAATACAAAGAATGAGTGAGACATACTCTTTGATAGCACAACAGGTGATTATAGTCAATAATAATTGTACATTTAAAAATAAAAGGGTAATTGGATTGTTTTAACACAAAGGATAAATGCTTGAGGGGATGGATACCCCATTCTCCATGGTGTGATTATCACACATTGCCTGCCTGCATCAAGAAATGTTATGTACCCGATAAATATATGCACCTATTATGTACCTACAAAAATTAAAAATGAAAAAAATGATGTGAAAAAAAGAAAAGATAAACTACCTATGGGGTACTATGCTTACTACCTGGGTGATCAAATAATATGTACACCAAATTCCTATGGTACACAATTTACCCATAGAAGAAACCTGCACATTGAACCTAAAATAAAAGTAAAAAAAAAAAAAAAAAAAAAAAATCCCAGCATGGGAATATTCTTCTTAGAAACAGAATGTTAGAATGGAAAAGGAATTTTGAAAAGTTACTTAATTTGGCTCCACCAGAAATCAGAACTGGGGAGTAAACTTAGATAAATTAATTACTAAATTAGAGAGTGCAATCCCAGGGAAACAGAATACAAGAGAAAAGAATGAAGCAGGGAAGAAGGAAGTCAATAAACAGATGTAGTACTGAGCTGCTACCTCATGGAGCTAAGCGAAAATGATTTCTAACTGGTGATATAGATAGGCTTTGTGTCCCCACCCAAATCTTATCTTGACTTGTACTCCCCAGATACTGAGGGAGAGACCTGGTGGGAGGTGATTGGGTCATGGGGGTAGTTTCCCCCATGCTGTTCTTGTGATAGTGAGTGAGTTCTCATGAGATCTGATGTTTTTATAAGTGTTTCACATTTCCTCCTACACATGCACTCTTCTCTCTCCTGTCACCACATAAAGAAGGTCCTTGCTTCCCCTTTGGCTTCCACCATAATTGTAAGTTTCCTGAGACTCCCTGACATGTGGTACTGTGAGTCAAATAAACCTCTTTTCTTTATAAATTACCCAGACTGAGGTATTTCTTCATAGCAGTGTGAAAACAGACTATGTAGCTGGAGACTTCTTCTGAAAGGCTGTAGGATTACTGGTCCCAGGGAAGTCCATGGTGAGGCAGGGCAGAGAGTAAGAAAAAAATTGTCTACCAACTTTCTTGATCTAAATAGGGAAATATTTGCCCTGCAGGGTGTTAATTCCATACCACTTATTTTTTTTTCCACAAGTATGGCCTCCAGTCAGGTCTGAGAAGTCTCAAGCCTCTGTGTCAAAGGAAAGTCTCAGGAAATAACTCAATAGAGGTGTGCACCTTGGCATCCAGGCAAGGTGCATTGTGTTGTGCCTGTGTGAAGTTAAGAGAAGTCATGCAGAGTTGGTCATTACAGTGGTTAATGAACCAAAAAGTTACCAAAGCTCCAGAAGGCAAGTAAGGATAACAACAACTAAGTAGCATATAAGAAGATATTTGTAACAAAAGCAACTTTTTTATTCAGACTAGAATAAAATTTAACATTTGGGACTGATTTATTAACCAACACTTCCGTAATTCAGAAGTGTAGCACCAGCTATATATGTAGGCACAATTTCTGAGTGAACACCTTAAAGTCAGCTAGGAACATTGTACTTTATTTCTTTATGGTGCTAATATTAGTTTAAGGAAGATCGTAACCTACCTTGTAGGGCAGTTGTACACTTGACTAGTAAGATAGTTCTGAAGCTATTTGACATTTTAAGATAGAAATAACATTAGATTTTACAAACTTAGTATTATAGAACATTTGAAACTGAAGCAGGAAATTTTCCCTGACCTCTTTCTTCATGGGCGGAAACTGGAGTGCACAGGCACTAGAACTAGCCGGCCACTTCGGTGTCAGCAGGGGTGGACTCCACTTGCTTGGTGCCACTGCCTTCCATCCCTTGCAAGAGGGAGAGTGTAGGTGAGTGGGGGTAGGAGCCAGGGCAAGTGCCTTTGGGCACCAGCAGGAGCGAAACTCTATGAGGCCCCACGGCAGCATCTGGGGAGATGCCCACAACCCCAGAAACCCCAGAAAGAGTGTTACAATCAGTGTTCTTTTAGCTTTGCTGTCCATATTCGGCTTAAGTGTTGACAGCTCAATGGAGGGTCAGTGTGACAGCCTTTTGCACCCACACCTGAGATCCTGTCTGGTGTCCAGGAGGAATGAGGTTGCATGAACAAATTGGAGATGGTCAATGTGAGGGATTTTATTGCCAATGACAGTGGTTCTCAGCAGGAAGGGGAACTAAAGAGGGGACAGAGCAGGAAGATAATCTTCCCCTGGAGTCCAGCCATCCCTGAGGGTTTTTATGGACACAGGATAGGGTTTTATGGGCACAAAATGGGGGTAGGGCAGGCCATGGGTGGTTTTGGAAAAGGCAACATTTAAGTCAGAAAACAGGAATGTATGTTCTCACTTTGGGTGGCAGTTCCAGACTTGAGGGTAGGGCCGTCACTGGGGACCTGCCCTGTCTGCCCAGAATTTCCCTGCCTCCTGTCCGTATCGAAATTACTTTGACATTTTGGAATGAAGAAAATTAATTATGCTTTTTAAAAATATAAGTTAGCTGTCTTTATTTTCTAAGAAAAAATGTAGTTTTTACTCAAAATGGTGCTTAACTGAGCAGCATTTATGCAGAGTGACATCTATAGATAAGGACTAGCTGTTTCTAAAATCAAGTTTATTTTTGAAGATAGTTGTCATTTTTGGCAGAGCAAATGAAAGTGAATATATAATAGTAACTATGGAGAATAAATAAATACAATAAATAAATTTACTTCTTAGTTTGCACGGTCTGTGTCAACTAATCATACAGTTTTCATAAATGGCATTGTTTTATGATTTTATATATATAATTCACATTGTTTCTATTTCATTTTTACTTTTTTCAGCTCTTAAGATTCTCTTTGAATTTTGCAATAATTATATAATTTAATTCATAAACATTTTATTTATAAAATACACATATATTTATACTATATAAATTATAAATTATATTACATAATTTATATAAATTGTATAATTTTATAATTTATATCTTATATAAATATAAATTATATTTATATAATTTATATATCCTATATAAATATAAATTATATTTATATAATTTGTATATCTTATATAAATATGAATTATAATATATAATTTTTTATTTTAGAAAAATATTTAGATTCTAATTGGACTTCCTTTCTTCTTCACTTCTTAAAATATTAGAGTACAAATCAAGTATAAGTGAGAAAATTACATGACAACCTTCTAGTGTTTTGAATCCTCTCAATGTTCAACTTTCTCTATACAGTCACATTTACTGAGACCATATTGGTGACCTTTGCTTTTCCTTAAAAGAAATATCTATTGGCCATGTGGATTTCTGCAAAATAATTCTGAAGGAATTAAGAATCAAACACAGTACTGAAGCAAAACACTTACTAAGTATTTTTTTACTGCAAAGACATTCCAAAAATCAGAAAATGAACTTAAATATGTTAAATATCAGCATCAATATATAATTTAGATATTTTAAATTTCTTCAAATAGGCAGATTAGGGGAAAACAAAAATTCCAAGTTTAGTTTCGATTTTTACAAGAGAGCTCCAATAAATGACTTTCTGAACATTAACTTATATAACCAGTTCATTTATATTTCTGGAGGATCTTAAAGGAAAGATAAACCATAATTGCACTCACGTGTATTTGAATAACCAGCTTATGTAAGCAAACTCTGCAAAAATAAGTTTATTTGAACTCCAGAAATAATAATCTAATAATATGTCTGAATTTAATTTCAAATAATATTTTATATTATTTTAGAGTACTCAGACCCCAACCCTCTGTAAGCTCTGTGAGAATCTTTCAAAATTCAAGTCATTCACATACCCTTAAAACTTTATAGCAATAAAATAAAATAGTTTATCAAAACAGAAAAAACTGTATTTACAAAATTGCTTTCGATTTTTTATAATCTAACCTCAGAAGAGACATGTTTTAATGCACTTTCCAAACATGTCTCATAGTGTCTTATTGACTGAGGATTACATAAAATAGACTAATGCATTGTGATGGTAATTAACAGCAAAATGGCAGTCTGTAGGTTTTATAGAATAAAGATCCTAAACTAAGCTCCCCAAAGAGAGTAATCATTAAGGGAAATTATATTATTTATTTTATTTTCCTTTACAATTTGGCAAAATTTTCCTTTAAGATTTCAAATTGCCTTTGTTTATAAAAGAAAACTAAGCAAAAAATAGCTTAGCAGATTCATGCTACTGTAGTAGCAAATTAAACATTTAGTTCTCAGCATATTAAAAAAATGAACAGGAATAATTGATACAGCCAAAGGGAATCACAGATTGGTTTAATCTGGCAGTATAACCAGTTAAAACTGGAGCAAGGGGAATATTTTAGTCTAGGTATTATCTGACAATTGAGAAAACCATCTTTTTACAACTCAACCCTATTGCACTGACAGTAATAATGCAAGTTCTGATCACAAATTGTCTAAATTTGAGAATGCTATTTAAAGGCCAAGGTTTATTTTTATTTTTTTCATATAATGAGTGT
Organism: Homo sapiens; assembly: GCF_000001405.40. Taxonomy (NCBI): domain Eukaryota; kingdom Metazoa; phylum Chordata; class Mammalia; order Primates; family Hominidae; genus Homo; species Homo sapiens. The sequence continues at coordinate 105,742,031 of NC_000005.10, read as the reverse complement.
AAACAAATGAAATGCATTTCTGGATATGTTGAAAGTTTAAAATTGCAAGCATTCAAAATAGGTTAAGCAGTCTGAATTATAACTCATTTTATAAAGCTTATAGGGCTTTAGAGAAAAAAATGTACCTGAATTCACAGCTAACATGACATTTGCAATACAAAATAAGTTAACAAGGAAACCAATGACATAAGCCCTAGGATAATGCTATTTGGTAGAACAAAAGAGTACCACGTATTAATACCAGAGAAGACTGCATCTACACAGAACTTACATTTAAAAGAGAATGATAACATGCAGAAATGTTGCCACGTCCCACAAAAATTTATCATCAGATTTGGCATATTTCATGCATCAGAACAATATATGAAAAACAAAGATATTTATCATTTAAGTGACCTAGCTGCTCCTCAATTTGAGTAAAAATAACTTGAGTTTACTTGAGAATTTCCTACTACTTTATAATTTCTAACACCTAAAATATAACCATTAGGCATTTGTTCTTAATTACCAACTCCACCACAATCACATTCCTCATTAGTTGAAAAATGAATCCTATCAAATCAGTATTATAGTCAATGTCATTAAATCTTTTGCTAGGAATGTGACTATCTGAATTTGTTTTCAAAACACGATACCCTTCTTGAATATGTGCTTAAATTTATCTTTGCACTGTTGTTATAAACTGTTTTGCACTTCATATATTGCTAAGGAGTATGTTTGGCTATTTAAATATTTTATTTCAGCACTGAATGATATAGTACTAGACTAGTAAATGATGCATAAAAATAAAAATGTGTGTAAATATCCTATAGTAGATTCTTGCCACTTCCTTGAAAACAGAAAAAAATTAAAATTATTTCATCTATTTTTTCCTAGTGATTGCTCAATTGCCTTGTTTAGCAGTTTCAAAAGTAATACATCAATCTATTATGAATTTTAAGAATTGATGTTTGCATCTTAGACTTATTTTAATCACAGATATTCCTTTTTCATGCCTATGAACAAATTCATTCTTGTAGCAACATTCCATATTATAATAGTGGTAGAAAAGGATATATTAAATTTACAACATTAATTATCTCAGATAAATAAAACATTTAATAATGTCTTATGTAGCATTTATTCTGCTGAAGTTGTATTATATGAAAGTACAAGTATTATATGAAAGTATTTGTATTAAAGTACTGACTGCATGCGACCATAAGCATTATTAAACCTTGTTATTAAAATTATGTAAAAATAGTTCAATAAAAATATTCATAAGTAAAATAGTCAAATTGCCTTCGTATAGGTTGTCAATTAGCACAATGAGCCAAACTGAAAGTGACAGCCAAACATTTATTTATTATCTGTGACAGCACAGGAAAGATGCAAAAGAAAAAGTCGCTAGCTTCCCAGTGTTCCATTTTTCCACAGAACCTTGTGGGACTCTGAACAGATGACATCCAGGACAGATAGGGGCAAATGCCTCAGTCAAGGTTTTTCTACAAAGACATCTCTGCAAAGGTGGCTTAGAAGTCTCAGCCAATGTCCCTGACGAGGAGGCTTCCAACAGGAAGTGCCTGGGCTAGACACTTAGATATGCACATGAGCTTGATTGGTCTAGAAGTGCTGGGTCCTTGACAGCAGCTCTTTCTGGAAAAGTGCAAGTACTGACTGTACTCCAAGACTGGTGAGGGAAGGGTAGCTTCTTTTTAGGCCTGACAGGCAAAGCCTTATACAATTTCTGAACGATATTGCCCATGGTTAGGCTCGAAAGTTCACACATGGGATTTTGGCCTGGTGCTGGTCTTTTTAAAAACAAGTGTTTCTTGCTAATGACAAAGTATAATCTGATTTATCTATTAATCCAATAAATACATTGAAAACTAACATAACAAAATTGTGTGGTAATACAAAATTGTAAGGTAATATTAAGCAATATTTTTAATTTGTCATTCATTTTCATATATCTGGCTTAGAAGAAACATTATTTGTTTACTGTTTCTATTGTTCAGAAACTTTTCAACTTATGATTAGCAAATTCATAAAACTCACTTCCTCAGCTTTCTTTGCAATTATGTAAACACATGACTAGAGTTTTCTAACTTAGAGTCATGTTTGAACTGAAGTGAAAAAGAAAGTACCAGTTTTGACTTCTGTCACTATGAGCAGTTAGATATGCTGACAAAACTGTTTCTAAAACTAACTAAAATGTTTAATGAAATATTAAAAACATAATTTCAAGTGAATTGTTGTTTGGACCAGAAAATAAGAAAAATCTCAAAAGCCACAAATGAATTAATAGTTGAAAAGCTAAGTAAGAAAGAAAGAAAGAGAGAGGTGGGGGGATCCCAGGAGGAAAAGAGGCAGGTAGGTTAAATTGAGGAAAGGAAGGAAGAAAGAGAGAGAGAATGCAAGTATTTTCAAAGTCAAATAAAGTTGGATCACTCTCAACACATCCACGAAGTTGCAGTTAATACAAAAAAATCTTGTCAACTCTATACTCTGTACACAGTTTTCTCTTTTAAGATCTTACATCATCACAGTACATTTGTCACAACTAATGAAACAAATTGGTACATTATGTTTAACTAAATTTCACAATTTGATTTCCATTAGCTTTTACCTAGTTTTGTCTATATCTAGATCTTATCCAGGATACCACATTATTTTAAGTTGGCATGCCTACTGAAGTACCTCCCTATAATAACCATTTCTTAGACTTTTCTTGTTTGCAATGATCTTGAAACTTTTGGGGATTACTGGTCAAGTGGTGTGTAATGTCCCCTCAATTTGGGTTTGTCCATTATTTTTCTCATGGTTACACTGATGAGCTTCTTTATTGAGGCTTATGAGGAAGTCAGGGGGCAGAAAATAAAGCCAAAGGCCTGTCCAGGGTGTGAGTTCCAGTAAGCAATGCTTGCATATAGCTAAGTCCTGAAAGCAATACATCCTCAATATAAGGATAAAATTGAACCACATAAAGCATCTCAGAAAGAAACTGAAAAATCTGTATTGTCTTAACATAAGGACCGAGTAGAGATTAAAAAAAATATCTCCTGAGATTACATGATGAAAACCTTGGCCTTAAGCAGGTTTGCTGCTCAAGTTCACAAACCTGTTGCATTAAAAAAAAAAAGTATCAAGGCAAATATGTTTTTAAAATGGTTCTAGTACAATTGTTTTCCAATTATGTGGCAAAAATGAATGGGAAAAACCTTTAATACCATTCTTTAACCAAGGCCCATAGAAAATAGTCCTAAGTGGGTGAGTTCACATGAACAAATAAAATAAAATTAAAACAAAACACACAGGGATAAAGGCACCATGAGCAAGAGTCAGCAGAATGAGGAGAGACAGCCAAATCAGATCTATAAAGACTTCTAATGTCTTAATTTTAACAGGCACAAAGCACAAAATATGTATGTTGAATATGGTTAAAATAAAAAAGAGGAAAGAATAAGAAACATTTTGGTTAGAAGGGAGTACTTTGTGACAGATCAACATTCCTGCTAAGAACAATCAGAAAAGCTGTATAAAATCCAAAAGTTAATTATCTGTTTAGCAGAATCAGAAAGCTATAGAAGAAAGCAGCTAGAGAATTGAGGAAGAACAGAGGAAGACCACAGAGACAAATGCATGCTCTCTGTTGTTGTTGTTGTTGTTGTTCCCTGGGAAAATTTGTCAATTCCAGACCAATTTTTAAAAAAATGCACAAATAGAATGAAATAAGAATCCAAGAAAAGACCAATTTTTACGTGGATTTTATATGGCATTATATAACTGTGAAAAAATTGATTATTGTATAAACAGTGGTTAGACAAGTTGCTATCCATATGTTTAAAAAATAGTAGACTACTTCCTAAGAACATATATAAAAACTAATCACAGGTGGATAAAATAGCAAATGTAAAAGCAACAATAGGAAAACTTAAAGTAACTATATTGATAAATATCTTTATGATTCAGAAAGCCTCACTCTGTAAATAATGAAACATTTTATATCCTTGTGGTTTGGGTGTGATATCAGCAATCTCAACCTCTGAACCAAATTTTCGGTTAGGGTTGACCCTGTTTCTGCTGTATGATCACAACAAAATAGCTTTAAAAGTTTCATAAAGCACAAATAACAAAGAAAACTTTGCACTAAAATTAGAACTCTATTAATTAAAAGATGTAGAATGGGAAAAGACAAGTTGTATCCTAGGAAAATATATTTACAGTTTTGACACACTTGAAAAAGGAAAACTGTTTGTAAGTATAAATAAATTTAACATACAGTTTTTTAAAAGCCCACGTGCTGCAAATAATAAATGAACAATGACTTGACTAGGTATTTCACAAAGGAGGAAATATAATAGATAAAGAAAGTTAGAGGAAAAAAGCTCAACTTCATTAATAATGATGAATATGTTAATTAAAGCCACAATATGAAATATATTTATATTCACCATTTAGCATAAATAAAAATCTGACAATAATAGGTGCCATTGGTTATAGAGCCACTGGACCTGCTTGTGGAAGTATATATTAGCAAACCAGTTTAGAAATTAAATTTTGCATTGTTTAAAAAAATTGAATATATGCATCCTTTTTTGGCCCGGTAATTCTATTCCAGAATCTTGGTATAGTGGTCTGTCTTTTCTCATTTCTGAGGTTGTCACCTTAATGAAAACCCAACATAAGTCTCCACCCAGTCATTCTCCATCTTTTTGTATGTTTTCTTCTTGTTTACCTAGTCTATGTTAAAATTTTATATTTACTTACTTACTGTCATATTTGTTATATGTCTGTAACACTGGTTATAAACTTATAAATTTATTCAACATCACAAACCTCAAGCTAGAAAGTATCTTACACAAAGTATTTGAGCAATCAAATGTGTTAAAATTACTTAAATGAAGGAAGAAATTAGCTCCCCTCATTTGTCTGAGGATTACTTTTATTATCTCATGTATTAATATACTGAAATGTTTTGATGATTTACTGAGATAATATATACAAAACAGTACAGAGTCTAGAATACAGCCTGTCCTCATTAGATAGGGTCTGTTTCTAAATGAAAATTTACCATGAATTTGGATGCTTTATTTCCTAATGATGAGTTGGAACAGGAAGTTAATTGGACATAGGTTTTAATTTTACTCCCTTATCAACCTTTTAAGATCAAGATTTACATGTTTTGTACATATTGGGTGCAGGTGCCTATTTATAAACTTTCTTTTGTCAATGAGAATTAAAAGAAACTAGTGTAAATAATAATTGTTACAAATAAATCATATGTCACCTTGAATTGCATTTTTATAATGTATCTTACATTGTGTTCTCTCCTCAATGTTCAGATTTTTAACTTGTACAACAGATCAAACACTAGATACTTATTTGGAATTAATGTAAACCATGAACCCATTGAAGACACTTCAAAAACTATTTCTAATTTACCTATAGAGTTGACCTTATAATTTATTTTTGTAAAATAATTGTTTCTTTCCTTTCTCGTCTAAAAACATAAGGCCAAAATTGCCATGTCTCTAATTACATTAATTATTTATTCAGCATTGAATGTTATGCTCTTAATTACTTACCCAATATAATCTCTTACATGCAATTTGCTCTTTATAATCTGCAAAAGAGAGGATAGCTAATGTACAAATAATCCCCAAAAAAGGAAATCTAAGAAGAATTTTTGTTTGTCTTGGTGCTATATCTTGATGATTTATTTTTCACTATTTTTCATCATAATTAAATTGTTGGGAAAATAATAAAATTTATGTAGTGAACTTTTGCTTATAACTCTTTAGTATCTATTAGTATTTTTTCTGTCAGTAACTCCTGAAAATTTTTTGGAAAATCACCTCTCTGCCAAATCTTAGCCCAATTTTAGTGGAAATGAACTCACAACTAGTTCCAGAGAGTTAATGATTCAGAAATAGCATGTTATGTAACAAACATGACACAGAGAAACATTTCCTGGGCATTGGGGAAAATTAGTTTGGATAATTTCCTGCTGGTCTTGGTAGACTAAGATAGCAGCATGAAAGAGTTAAAGCTATCTTCCTAAAACAGCCAGAGTAGGAAGCTAACTAAAAATAAAACAAAACAGAAATGCAATACAACCCAGAAATGTGTTCTGGTGATGTCACTTGGGCTCTGAATCAAAACCACATTCAGTGTAAACCCTATGTATGTATTTTGCAGTGACATAATCCAATAAATTCATGTGTTCTCTTTTCATTTTGTTTTGTTTTAATGTGTTTAAATTCCATTTTTATTCATTTATTCTGAAAAGATTCCTAATTTATGAAGTTTTTAACTCTAAACTATATAGCCATTGAAATAAGTAGAAGAACTGAAAAAAAATATGTAGATGGCAGGAAGAAGTTATTGTTAAGTATACTATTTCTGGTATTTTATAGGCATGATATTCGTGTGATCAGTGGATGATTGTACATTCACTTGCAAGAATAATTATGTGATAACCATACCCAGTTGAATTTTGGATAAATGTAGCAAAAGTCTTGCCCAACCAAATATTTGGAGGAAAGAGCTTATATATAGATACATATTCCCATTGACTCATCTCTATATCACTCTTTTTCTCTCATAATATTTACTTAATCATTTTCTGTTTGTAGACTATTCTTCATGACAGACAAGTTGAAATAAATCAGCAGTTGCATAGGTAGATCTTATTTTATCATCTGTTTGCCATAAAATCTGAACCAGGAGCCTAGGTTGCTCTTATTCTTATTGTTCCAATGATTAGCCATAAAGTTGAACGGAGCAAAGAGGTGTTCTATTTTTCTACATAAGTTTATTCTTATACTATGCACTCAATAAGCCTGGAGGCCTAGAAAAGGCACGTTTCAGACCTGTTGTAAACAGAATAATTGACTAATAGCCCTAGCTGCTGTCCTGGATCTACCACTGCATTTGTGTAGACGTCACACTTCCCAGCTGATTACTGATTACAGTGAGTGCACTAATGAAGGCCAGTTGTGACAAGGGACCCCCTCAATCAGCAGGTTTGACCCAACAACTTCCCAGCAGTCTTGCCAAAATTAGAACTGCTGTTCTTACTGGAGTTACCCTTCCTCACTGAAGTCTTCAGTATGCATACTTCCAGTTTTAAAATTGATCGTCCCAGGACGTTTCCATTAAGATAATTCAGCAATATTACATTCCTACATAGCAAACCCAATTATCTACTTAAATTATATTATGAATCAGTGTGTCTGAATT